>NC_000006.12:88898261-89523261 GCF_000001405.40 Homo sapiens | reverse complement strand
CAGAGAAGCAAACAGCCTTCAGAACAAAAAAGGGAAGATGCTAATCTTGTCTAACGCAAACCTGAGAGTTGATAGTGCCACAGCTCCTTAAACACCCTTTTCTGAGGCCTACAACCCAATACACTTTGGCACACATTAACACCTTTGCAGACTTGTTAAGTGAGAATAAAACAAACTGAAGAGGCTGCTCCAGCTCTCAGGAGGGAATCTGCTGTCTCCATCTCACCTAGGCTGACCCAGGGCACAGAATATCATCTCTGCATCAACACCTAGGAATGCCTGTGACCTGGAGCAATCCCCAGTCCCCGCACCTGACATGCTGGAGGCTGGGTCTCAGGAGGATTGAGGTAGGGCTTCGGGACACTAGATTTAATCCCTTCTCTCTTTATGCTCTGGCTGTTGGTGTCAGATGCCTGAGACCAGGAAGAGTGCAAATCTAAATGGGTAGGGCACAAGGCTATGAGACTCTTCCTCCTCATCTACTCTGGAAGAAAAGAAACAAATTCTATGGGAAATTTCTCTAAAATCAAGAGATGTTACTCCCTAAATTTTCTGGGGCTGCCCTAGAAAAACTTCCCAAGCCACAGGTGTAAACTGCTGACCCAGGAAGCTAAAACCTCTCCCATGGATTTAGCAAAGCTTAACTAAATCACTGTCAAAGTGAACTAGACAAACGAAACAGGGCTGGCACATAATTCCCAATTTAGAAGAGTAGTTGTTTCTTTTTTGGCCTGTCAAGAAGGGTCATCACACTGTTTCAAGATGACACCCCCAATCAAATTTCATTTCTTAATCTCCCCTTTAGCAGGTTTTGAGGAAGCACTTCTATTTCAGCTCATTCTACAGAAAGGTATTTGGCAGTTCTTTCTATGACACTCTTTTACTCTGACCATTCAGAGATGCAGTCGAGCTCCTTAAGCATCTCACAAGCCCCAGCAACAGCCTCAAAAAGCCCCTAACAGTTGCCTGCCCTACAGCAGGGGTTGTGGACTAGAATTTCAATAAAGCATCTGCCAGGGACCCTTCTCCCATGGCTTGGATGCCAACATATCATGTAGACATTCTTGCAGGCCAGAAGTTAACTAGATTCAGAATTAGCTAGAGAATTCCCCCCTGATAAGTCTCATCCATGATGGGACCATAATGCGCACACTGAAAACAGGCCTCAGGTTTATGTATATACACTGGCAAGGAGTTCTTCCTTGGGAGATCCACAAGTTGATGCCAAGGCATTTCAACTGTCAACATAGGCCAAATAATTTATATTGGAAGCTTAAAAGGGTGTTATTCAAAGTATAGGTTATAAAATAATGTATATACAATTACAATTGTCAATATTCAAGTTTTGTTTTTAAAATAAATATAAATGCACAGAAGAGAGACTAATAGGATTATGTCATAAATAAATAATGCTATTCCCTGGGAGATGGAATTGGAGACTTATATTTGAACTCATATTTTCTCAAGGTCTTCTATAATAAAAAATATTATTTATATAATAAGGAAAAAAATTTTTACAAAGGAAAATAGATCTGATTCATACAATTCTCTCCAGCCTACTGCTACCAGTCTAGTCCAGACCCCTATTCTCTGCCCTAATCTAAAACGTCACCTCTCACCTCTCCCCTGGATTAGTAAGTACCACAACTGGACTTGTTGCATCTTCTGTGGCTTCTTCTCATTGAGGCCACAGTTCTCTTTTAAAAACATAAATCTGATTATGTTGCTCCCATTCTTAAAAACTTTCCAGCATATTGGTTGCCCTTAGGATAAAATTCACAATTCTTAACATGGTTGGGGGCCAGCTGGCCCCTTCACTCCAGCCTCACATTGGGGGGCTTGCCACATTCCTGAGTCCTGACATGTCAGCTTGCTGGCTCCTCCATCTCTTTAATTCTCACTCATCTCTGAACCCTGAGTCTAGATGACACCTCCCCAGAGAGGCCTTCCCTGACCTGCTAATCCAGGTAAATCCACTCAGCACCTTGTAGGATTCTTTTCATTACTCTGATCAGACTTGTAATCACTGGTTAAGGGGCATCTCCTGGGCTGGACTGTGAGCACTGTGAGGGCAAGGACCACAGAAGCCTCAGGTTGACACATGGTAGATACTCAAATCAGTATTGAGTTTTAATACTTATTTAAAAATGAAGCTGTGACTAACAGGGCAACATTAAATAAAATCTCTATTTCTCAACATGTTATTTCCTGCAATTCTTTTAAAATTCCATTTTAAAATAAGAGAATGTGGGAGGACAGACTATTTTTCTTTTTTAGACATGGTCTTGCTCTGTCACCCAGGCTGGAATGCAGTAGCACAGTCATGGATCACTGCAGCCTTGGCCTCCCAAGCTCAAATGATCCTCCCACCTCAGCCTCCCAGATAGCTAGGACTATAGGAGCATATGCTGGGATTACAAGTGTGAGCCACCATGCCCAGCCCAAGACAAATGTTTATTGTGCCATTTTTTCCTGTACCTACATTCCTACTGTTCTGTGCTAGGACAAAACAAACAGCAACTACTATCATAATTAAAGCTAATATTATTGGCTGTCTTTTTAAAACACGCACCATTGCTCACATGAAACAAGAAGGGCTGGGTTTGTGTACTTCTTCCACTCTGCAGCCTAGGATCCAAAGTCCGAGGGATACTTCTTAGCTCATCTGGCCATCTGAACACCACATCCCACCTGGCTCAGCCAAAGCCATTAATAATCCAGGAAACAGTGATGTGAACTACTGAAAGAAGACCATTTTGATAAGACCATAGGCCCCTATCTTTCTCATCCTCTGTGGTTTAGCTGTGGTAATTGCTAACATATATTTTGAGTCTCTGCTGTTTGTTGTGATGCTGACCCATTTGCAGCACACTCCTATTCAGACATCCATGGAGGTAACTGCCTGATGATATAGGAGGCTATGTAACTGACTAGACAGCTGTAGGTTGCAGGGCTTTTGCCAAAATGAAAAAGAGGCTGCTGAGTGCAGTGCTTCACGCCTGTAATACCAACACTTTGGGAGGCCAAGGTGGGAGGATGACTTGAGCCCAGGAGTTCAAGATCAGTCTGGGCAACATGGTGAGATCCCATCTCTTTAAAAAAATTAAAACATTAGCCAGGCATGGTGGTGCATGCCTGTAGTCCCAAGTATGTGGGAGGCTGAAGTAGGAGGATCGAGCCTGGAGGGTGAGGCTGCAAGTGAGCCGTGATTGTGCCACTGCACTCAAGCCTGAGCAACAGAGCGAGATCCTATCTCAAAAAAGAAAAGGAAATGAAAAGAGGTACCAAATTTCCATCGAGTCTCATAACTTGAGTTCATTTGCCAACCTCTTTCCAAAATTCTTAGTAGAAAATTACCTACACACTATGCTATGATCCGAAGAATAATTTGTTTAGTTGGAGATGCATTCTACTATTTTCTTTAACAGATAGCATTTCTAAAGAGATGATTATGAACTATCTTTAAACTCTGCTCTGGTTCATGTAAAGAAACAGTGTAGACCACAGTTTTAATTCAAAAGACATTTATCAAGAATTTAAAATATGCCAAGAGGTATACTAGCTGCTATTACTATCTGTAGGCCCAAGCCTTTCAAATTCATATCCATATTTCAAATCTCTCCTCCAAACTCCTGATTCAAATAGCCAACTGCCTACTTATTTCCACATGGATGTCTTCAAAGCAGCACCTCAACTCTAAGACTCAGATCTAAGACCAAACTCATCTGTCTCCAACCTAGTCTTCTCCAGTGTTCGTTATTGCAACTGTGCAAGTCAAAAAACTTGGAATCGATCTTGAAATCTCCTTTCTCCCATTCTTTCTATAGAATGCTTCAATCCACCACTGCATTGTGTTGGTTTTGCTTCCTAAATCTCTCTCCCATCCATCTATACTACCAGGCCAAAATCCAACTGGTATTGTGTCTTAGCTGGGCTTCTGCAGTAGATTCCCAACTAACCATCCTGAATCAACTTTGGCTTCTTCTGATCTTTTCTCTGCAGTATGACCAGGATGATATTCTCAATCTGTAAATTACAGCCAGTATCTCCCTTGCTTAAAAATCTTTAATAGCTTCTGTTAATAGACTGAATTGTGTCTCCCTCCAAAATTCATACGCTGAAGCCCAAACCCCCAGTACCTAGAATGTGACTATCCTTGGAGAGAGGGTCTTTAAAGAGGTAACTAAGGTTAAATGAGGTCATAAAGGTGAGGCTCTAATCCAGCAGGACTGGTATCCTTAGAAGAGACATCAGAGATGTAAGTGCACAGAGATAAAGCCACATGAGAACACAGGAAGAAGGTGGCCATCTGCAAGCTGAGGGGAAAGGCCTCAGAAGAAACCAAACCAGCAGACACACTGATCTTGGAATTTTAGCCTCTGGGAGTGTGAGACAACACATTTCTGTTTGTCATTTAAGCCATCCAGTCTGTGGCATTTTGTAATGGCAGCCCTAGCAAACCAATATAGATCTCCATAGCTCTAGGATAAAGATCAGTGCCCCTGGCTTGACTGAAAAGATTCTGCATGGAGCCACCTCTCTCAACACATCTCTTAACTTTCTGAGCATTGGTCCCATTTGGCCTTTGTTCAATTCCTCATCAGTGTTATGCTTTTTTTTTTGCATCATATGACTCTGTGTGAGCTGATCTGTCTGCCTGAAATACTTAATCCCTCCCCACTGCTCCTGCCAGTCAAAGCCTACTCATCAGTTCATCATTTCTTCCTCAGGGAAGCTTTCCTAATCCCCCAGCTTAGGTCAAGCTCTGTTGTTCCATGTTCCCATGGACTCGTGTTCATTCCTTTCATTCAGATCACTTACCTGTGTTTGTCATAAGATACTTATTTTTTTTTTTTTTTGAGACGGAGTCTTACTCTTGTTGCCCAGGGTGGAGTGCAATGGCGCGATCTCGGCTCACCGCCACCTCTAACTCCCAGGCTCAAGCCATTCTCCTGCCTCAGCCTCCGCAGCAGCTGGGATTACAGGCATGCGCCACCACGCCCAGCTAATTTTGTATTTTTAGTAGAGGCGGGGTTTCTCCATGTTGGTCAGGCTGGTCACGAACTCTGGACCTCAGGTGATCCACCCGCCTCGGCCTCCCAAAGTGCTAGGATCACAGGCGTGAGCCACCACGCCCGGCCATAAGATACTTATTTTTATGATTATTTGGTTGTCTGTTTCCCACTAGACACCATGAAAACAGGAACCATGTCAGTTTTTGCTGTTTAGAGTATCTTCAGTACCTGGCATAGCACCTGCTACAAGGTAAGGGAGTAATAACTATTGAATGAATCCATGAATACATAAAGACATTGACTTTGCTCTCAAGGGCTTGCAGAGAAGTGTATATCCAAAAAAGTCAAGCAACTGCCACAGGGGCTATGACTGGTAAGATCCCATGACCTGCTGATGTGACAGTGGCTACTCCCATCCCATTACATATCATAGTCCCCCCCTTAGGAAAACAAGAGCTGGGTTTCTGTGCATCTACTCTGTTTAGCAATTAACTGTCATAAGGACAAGACAGTTTTCTCTTTTAAAAAGTATCCCCACTGACGGGTTACAGGTGGTCAGAATAAACATAACTATCAAGTTTTTCCTATAAATTATAATAATGATCATGTTGATTAAACAATCTATGTGGACTATAGGTCCAAATTTTTTCATATATAATGGTTCCATTACATTTTTTCCCCACTCTTATGTTTTTAACAAGTATCTCAACAACTTCTTTCGACATTATACTACAACAAGGAAAACTAATAATGGGCACAACTTTCAACCTACCAGAAAAACATCAAATGAGTTTCTTGAGTCTATTATTCCAATAAAAGAGGCCAAAGTTTATTCTATTATGTGCCTTTTCACAATGTATTAAAAATTACACACTATCCCTCTATAAAGAAAGAACTGCATTCCACCAATTTATTCTGAAATAGCAATTAAAATCTAGAAACAATGCAATAAAATTATTAAACTACTATTAATTTTTAAATGTTACAGATAAATTAATTTATGTCAGACCAACTGTATAGGTTTCCTGTGGCTGCTGTAACAAATTACACAAACATGGTGGCTTAAAACAGCAATCTGGCCAGGCGTGGTGGCTTACGCCTGTAACACAAGCACTTTGAGAGGTCAAGGCAGGAGGGTAACTTGAGCCCAGGAATTCGAGACCAGCATGGGCAACATAGTGAGACCCCATCTATACTAAAAATCAGAAAAATCATCTCGTTTTGGTGGTATGCACCTATAGTCTCAGCTACTCAGGAGGCTAAGTGGGGAAGATCACTTGAGCCAGGGATATCAAAGCTGCAGTAAGCTATGATTGTGCCACTGCACTCCAGTCTGGGCAACACAGTAAAGCTCTGTCTCCAAAAAACAAACCAAAAACAAATTTATTCTCACTGTTATTGGGGTCCTCCAGAGAAACAGAACAAATAGGAGATATACAGATAGATATGGATATTGAAAATCTAGAATGAGGCCAGGCACAGTGGCTCACACCTGTAATCCCAGCATTTTGGGAGGCCAAGATGGGTTGATCACTTGAGGCCAGGAGTTTGAGACCAGCCTGGCCAACACGGCAAAACCCCGTCTCTACTAAAAATACAAATATTAGCTGGGAGTGGTGGCACGTGCCTGTAAACCCAGATACTTGCAGGAGGTTGAAGCAGGAGAATCGCTTGAACCCAGGAGGTGGAGGTTGCAGTGAGCTGAGATCACACCACTGCACTCCAGCCTGGGCAACAGAGGCTGTGTCTTAAAAAAAATCTAGAATGGAATTGGCTCCCACAATTTTGGAAGCTAAGTCACACAATCTGACCCCTGTAAGCTGGAAACCCAGGAAAACCAGTGGTGTAAATTTGAGTCTCAGTCTAAAAGCCTGAGAACCAGGATCCCTGATGGTTGTAAGTCTTAGTTGAAGGGCAGAAGATTGATGTCTCAGCTCATGGACTCAGGCAGGGAGAAGTCAACCTTCTTCTGCCTTTTTGTTCCATCAGGACTGGCCCTGAGGGGTTGAATGATCCCCATCCACACTGGGGAGGGCCATCTGCTCTACTCAGTCTATCCAGTCACAGGCTCATCTCTTCCAGAAACACCCTCACAGACACACCCAGGAATAATGTTTAACCAGGTATCTGGGTATCCCATGGCCCAGTCAAACTGACACACAAAATTAACCATCACACTCACAGTTTTGGAGGCCAAAAGTCTGAAGTCCAGTTGTTGGCAGTGCTGTACTCCCTTCAGAGGCTCTAGGGGAAAATTGTTCCTTGTCCCTTTTAGCTTCTTGTGGCTGCAGATGGTCCTTGGTTCAGGCCACAACACTCTAATCTCTGCCTTGGTTTTCACTTCACCTTCTCTTCGTGCGTCTCTGTCTAATTTCCCTCTGTCTTTCTTATAAGGATATATGTGATTGCACTTAGGGTCCACCCAGATAATCCAGGAGAGGCACCTTCTCTCCAGATCCTACCCTAGTAATCCAGGAGAGGCACCTTCTCTCAAGATCCTATCCAGATAATCCAGGAGAAGCACCTTCTCCCAAGATCCTACCCAGATAATCCAGGAGAAGCACCTTCTCTCAAGATCCTGTCCATATAATCCAGGAGAGGCACCTTCTCTCAAGATCCTTAATAACATTTTGGGGGGCCACATAAGGTAATATCACTCATTTATCATTTAAGGTAATATGCACAGGTTCTGAAGGTTAGGAAATGAGTATGTCTTTGGCAGGGCAGACATTTTACCTGCCGACCATACCAATCCTACCACCAGTAACAACCAGAAAAGCTCAACAAAACATTGAACAAACAAAAAAATCTGTGTGAAGACCAAAGACCCAAGTCCTTGCAAGAACCTAAGTATTCAAGATCATGAAGGAAAGGGTGGTGCAAAGAGGTAAGCCAAATGTTTGAGGACATGTTTTCCTTTGTGGCATTTGCTGATTTGCAAGCAGCTGTGAAGTTTAGGGAACACAAAGGTAGAAAAACTGAGTAAATAAACACTCCAGACTTCAGTTGGACACCCTGAAAAGGGCTAATCATCCTAGAAATAAGGACATACTGGAAAGACACTAGCTTCATAAAGACTGATGCCCAGCTCAGAATCAATTCAAATGAAAGAAAAACCACAGTGACAGGAGATTTATAGTTCATGTATCCAATTAAGGTCTGATGTCCAGAAGACATAAAGAATGTCTTCAAAATCAATAAGAAAAAGATAATCTAATAGGAAAATGCTCCAGAGTTTGAAAAGGTAATTTCACCAAACAGGTTATCCAGACAGCCAATAAGCATATGGAAAGGTGCTCAACTTCAAAAGTCATCAAGGAAATAGGAAGTAAAACTACTACGCCCAGACAAGAAGGACTAAAATTTTAAAAGACTGGAAACACCATGGTTGACACAGATCTGGAGCAATGCTAACTCTTTTAACACCTGTGCCTGAGGATGTAAACTGGTATAACTGCTTTAGAAAACTGTTTGGTAGTGCCAAACATCTATATATCCCATGCCCAAACAATTCCAATTCTAGGTATATAATCAACAGAAATACAAACATGTACACCAAAGGACATATGGGGAATGTTCACTGCAGCATTACTCATAATAAACTATAAATTATTGGTAATCCATCTAATCATAGAAATGAAGTGAACTATTTCCACAAAATATATTATGACAGTCTTTTGAGGATATCTTATGCCCAACATTTTAATTCCATTTACGGCAGGGGTGTCCAATCTTTTGGCTTCACTGGGCCACATTGGAAAAAGTAGAATTGTCTTGGGCCACATATAAAATACACTAACACTAACAATAGCTGATGAGCTTAAAACAAAACAAAACAAAACAAAAACTCCAAAAAAATTTTTTTTTTTGAGATGGAGTCTTGCTCTGTAACCCAAACTGGAGTGCAGTGGCACAATCTCAGCTCACTGCAACCTCCGCCCCCCAGGTTCAAGCGATTCTCCTGCCTCAGCCTCCCAAGTAGCTCGGATTACGGGTACATGCCACAATGCCCGGCTAATTTTTTGTATTTTTAGTACAGATGGGTTTCACCATGTTGGCCAGGGTAGTTTTTAACTCCCGACTTCATGTGATCTGCCCACCTCGGCTTCCCAAAGTGCAGGGATTACAGGCATGATCTACCGCACCCGGCCCTTCATAATGTTTTAAGAAAGCTTACGACTTTGTGTTGGGCCACATGAAAAGCCATCCTGGGCCATATGGCAGCCCACTGGCCACGGGTGAGACAAGCTTGATGTAAGGTTTAGCTACTTAAGTCATTGGAATGTGACAGTCTGATAATTCTTGTTTTCATAAATTGGAACATTAAATTTTCCCACATTATACATTAAAAAATTTATCTATAGAAATAGTGAACGCATTCTGAATTGCTTTGCCATGCCATAAATAGGGAGAGATTGCCTTGTTCTTCACTTTGCTCTCTCTTTGTGTGTCTCTGTGAAGCTCACTGCCACCTAAGACTAACATTAATGCCTTTCTGTTCCAGAATGTAGTTAACCAAAATATTTAGGTTATGTTCTTAAGTAGTTTATTGTTTGGTAATTTAACAGCAAAGTTGAAAATGAAATTTAAAATACAGATAATTTTTTAAAACTGTAAAACAACCAAAATGTACATAAATAGCAGAAGGGATAAACTGTGATATATGTTCATACTACATAAGAATGTAAATCAATAAACTATTACTATTTATAACCATGTGGATAAATCTTGCAAATATCCTGCTAAGCAAAAGAGGTCAGATACAAAAAGGATATGCCATATGATTCTCCTTATATAGAATTCAGAACAGGCAAAAGTCATCGATTGCATTATAAGTCAAGAGAGTGATTTGGAGGGGAAAGCAGGTTAAGGATTGGGAGGGGGGATACTGGAAATTTGGCAGTATTCAATTTCCTGATTTGGGTGGTAGTTACGTGATGGCATTCCCTTTGTGAAAATTCATCAATCTGTATTTTTACGGTTTGTGCACTTTTCATTTGGTATATATTTTAATTGAAAGTTAAAAGAAAAAACAGCCATGACAGCCATGCACAGTGGTTCATGCCTGTAATCCCAGCTACTCAGGAAACTGAGGAGTTTGAGACCAGCCTGGGCAACATAGTGAGTCTCTGTCTCTAAAAATACTTTTTCAAATTTAGCCAGGCATGGTTGCACATGCCTATAGTCCCAGCTACTCAGGAAGCGGAGGCAGGAGGATCCCTTGAGCCCAGGAATTCAAGGCTGCAGTGAGCAATGATCCCACCGCTGCACTCCAGCCTGGGCAACAGAGCAAGACATTATCTCTTAAAAAAAAGAGAGAAAAAGAAAGAAAAAAAGGAAAAAGAAATAGAAAAGAAAAAAACAGCTATGAACTATGAGCTTCCAGATCTGAATTTTCTGAGTGGAAACCATTCACTCTTCTAAGACAGACAACAAAGATTATTACTTCTTCTAGATTAGCTATGAAATCTATCCCAATCAGTATCTGATTAAAATTGATATTTATGTGCAACATGCTGCACAGCCATTTGCTAAGCTTATTGGCATTTCTGACACTTCCAGGGAATCCAATTCCATGCTTCACTAATACTGGTAAAGCACTGAAAATATCTCCTCCAGCCAAAGTCCAGGTTTACCCCAACAGACAAACACAGATGCTGCTCCTTGTGCCCACCCTGGCCACAGCCCCACACTCCAGGCTGCACAGCTGGCTGCCAGTGACAGTATGGGATCCCCAAAACCCATGACTGCACTCCGCCCCCTAACTTAGAAACAGACACTCATTGTTCTGAGACCAAAACCAAGAGGTGGCTTAGATTTGCCCCATGGTAGTTCATGTGGGAGTGGAGAGAATAGAGTGCAATGACAAATCTGTATGACACTTAACACTGCAAACTTTCCTTTGTTCATCAGGAGACCCAACCTCTCTACTGGATGTTTTACAAATATAGCATTGACTGGCGTTTAAGACTGTTGCTGTAAGTTTATGTTGGGAGTAACAACGATCAAAGCAGAAGATAATTTTTACTTTTCTATACCATCTATGCATGGAAGTCTATCTACATGGCCCATACAGGCTTATCATATGACCTTGTAACTGCTTTCATGTTGACTTCTCCAGGACTCAAAGAACAGTCAAGGTAACCCCACAATCAGGAGCATACCTAAGACCAAACTGTCAGGCTTAGGCCTGTAATCCCAGCACTTTGAGAGGCCGGGGTGGGAGGATCACCTAAGCCCAGGAGTTCGAGACCAGCCTGGGCAACAGAGTGAGACCTTGTCTCTACAAAAAAAAAATTTTTTTAATGTTTTTAAAAATTAAAAAAACAGTCAGGTTCTTTGGTCTCTGCTGTGGCCACATTTCTCTATTCACTTCCTTTGACTTCCCTTTCAGAAGATGACAAGCACAGGGAATTCAGTTATTTGCCACAAAATCATTTTGCAAATCATAAGGTAATCCTAAAACAAACAAAAAAATGTAGTTCTTTTGTTCCCTAGGGAATAGTGACATCAACAATATCAGGACCAAATTAGATTGTATCAAAAGCCATAGCAAACATTTTCCTGGGCCAGGCATTGCACTAAGCACTTTCTATGCATTATTCTATGTAACTCTTACAAATTTATTCATATTACTATTCATATGCCCATTCTACAGATTAGAAACAAAGGCTCAAAAAGGTTTAGTAACTCACCTGGAGATTCACAGCTAATAAATGGCAGATCTGGCCCTCAAGCTTCAGAGTGCCTGACCCCACAGACTATGCCTTTAACCACTAACTACTCTTGCCTCCTTGTAGTCTTAAATAATGCAAGATGAGTACTTAAGGCAAACAGGGTACCCAGACTTGGGTCTGCAGGTAGGGGTAGAAAATCCAGACCAGCAAGCCAGGAATGGCTGCAGCACTACTCAGAGCAGGAGCAGGAATCTCCCAATGCCTCAGTGTGTGCCTCTGAGAAATGGCTACAAGCCATAGCCCTGGCCAGGTAGCCAGGGAAGGGAAGCCAGGAACCTGAGAGGAGAAGGAATCCAGTGAGGTCCTGAGAAAAGTGTGTATTTGGGAAGAGTCTACGGAGGAAGAGGAATCGGGCTGTGGTGGGCCCACTCGTACCCCTTCATGACCTCAGCCTTGCAATGCGGTGTTTTATAGATGACTTACCCCATGTCAAGGGTAGCTGCTTTCACTGGGCCTATGATCACATCCTTATAATAAGCCCTGACACAGAAGTCTCTGGATGAAGAGGAGATGTTGTCAGCAGGTGATTCTACCGCTCCCTTTATTCCCTGTCCAGGGCAATGCTAAGCAACACCAGCCATCACCATCCGGCTCTCCACTCCGACCTTCAGTAACCACTCACTTACCCAACAGATATACACTGAGCACCTACTATGTACAGGTACTGTGAGGGGTACAGAGTTACAGCATAGAGCAAAGCCAAGATCCTTCACAGAACTTACATTTTATATGATTGTATTTATATAAAATGTCCAGAAAAGGCAAATACAGAGACAGAAATTGTATCACTTGTAGACTAGGGCCGGGGAGATTGGGGGGAAATAGGAGTCACTGCTAATAAGTACAGGTTTCTTCTGGAGGTGATGAAAGTCTTCTAAAATTAATTGAGATGATTGTTGCACAACTCTATGAATATACCAAAACCCACAGAATTATACACTTTAAGTAAATTTTATGGTATGTGAACTAGATATCAATAAAGCTGTTGAATTAGCAAAAATAATAAGGACCAAAAAACAGAACTTTCCATCTCAAGCTCTGCTCTATGCTATTGCCACAGTACCAGGTGCTTTCTGTATATAAAGAATAACATGAATGCTTCCCAATGAGGCTAAAAAAAAAAAAAACTATTTGGAAAGACTTTTAAGTGGCCAACCTATTTGCTAATGTGCCCCTTAAAACGTTAGGCACATCAGAGATTATTATGTGACTCAAGATAGGCTAAATTATGCTGTAGTAACAAACAAGCCTCAAATCTCAGTGGCTAAATAACATAAGTTGATTTTGCATTTATGCTACACCCACTTAGGGCTGGCTGAGGCTGTTTCCTCTCCAACTTGCCCAGACTGACAGAGCAACCACCATCTGGAGCTTTGCCAGTCTCCACAGCAGAGGGCAAGAGAGATCTGGAGGGTCACACACTGGTGACAGAGTGACTTAGCCCAAAAGTGATATAGCATGCTTCTCTCAACATGGCTAGAAGTAGTCACATGGCTCCAAAAACACAAGGAGGCCAGGAAACGCAAGCCCATCACATGCCTGGAAAACAGAAAGCTTTGAAAAGCCAGTAAACAGCGCTAATGTTTGCACTGGCGATTAAGGTATAGTGTGGTTAAGAACATGGATTGTGAAGTCAGCATACTTGGCTTAAATCCCAATGCTGTCACTCACTATCTAGACATCACCACATTACTTGGGAGAAGTTAACTTGACCTCTTTGGGCCTCAGTTTCCTCACCCATAAAGTGGGGAAAGTAATGGTATTCACCTCATAGGTCTGTTAGAAGATTAAATGACGATTTCTATCTGTCAGGAAGGGAGAACAGTACCTGGCAAGTGCTAATGCCGCAAGTACCATATAACCTTTATTATTTTGAGAAAAAAATAAAGGCAATGTTTTATCTTTGTAATATAATGAATTGGCACTGTGTGAACTGTCATTCTACAGAATCCAATACATACAAAGTAGGCATAAAATAAACTGCAGCCCTCAGTAACAGAAAACCAGGACTTCCACGTCTTACTTAGCCCACCCTTAAACTAGTTGTCCAGTCCCTTGGCTTCATGTTTCTTTCTTATCTTTAAGTGAAGGGGCTGTATGAGATGATTTCCAAGGCTCTCCCGCACTAAAAGCTTGGAATTCCTTATTCATGGGTCACTGACTTGGCCCAGTGTGGTCTTTTCATTGTTTGCTCTCTGTTCTTTGCCAATAAAGGATGGTCCTCCCCTTCAAATCAAGGGAGCACCAAGACATTCCCTACCTGGTTCAGAAAGGTGAACCCCACCTGGATGCGCCCCTCTGGGCAAGCCGACCCTAGCCCACTTGCTGCCAGCAAGACATCAGGAAGCAGCCAGGAGAGAGGCAGGTCACTGGTGCACTTCAAAGGAAGCGCCCGCCTCCCAGGGAGAGTGGGAGGGTGCACAGTCGCCCAGAGGGAGGGCAGCTGGCCTCCACCCAGAGCCCTGGTTAGTTGCCTCCTCCCATCCCTGTGCAAGAGCTTCATGGCCCTCAACAAACAGCTCCACACACCTTTTGGAAGCACCCTCCTCACCTGCATCTTCCCTCCTTGGCCCAGGTGGGTACTGCACCTCTGTGTTGGAGGAGTCTTTGTGGTTCATGGAGAGCCAAACATTCCCACAGATCTGTTGTCTAGTTGGGCCTATTCTGGGGTCAGGAACAGGAATACAAATTTAAAAATTAGGAAGATGTGCCGTGAGATTTTCTTAAAAATCTCCCAGTAGAGCAAAGCTTTAAGAAGTGGGGACCATTCACAACATTTCAACCTCAGTTTAACACTTAAATATGTGAATAAAATATAGGTAACCAGGAAAATAAATCTCAGTGCTGCTGTTTTTCTAATGTTGATGACCGTGTCCGACAATTTCAATCTCAGTAGCTGAGGCACCCTCCCTTTAGGAGCCATTAAAGCCACCTCCCCCAATGTAATCTATCTTTTCTGCTGGAAATCCTTTTTGCCCCCCACACGTATCTCTGAGCCATGCTCTCATTCTGCTTTACACTTCATATGACTTTCTCTTTCTGCACCTGTGCCCTGGCTGGGATGCTATGGCAAGTTCCACCTCCTGGGAATTCCCTGATTTCCCCAACTCTCATCACTTCTAGGTCACTTACTGTCAACACCCATTTGTACCTGACCAGAGCTATCCTTTAAGGTTCAAGCCAACAGCCATGTGGGTGAGACCTCCTGGAGGCAGATTGTCCAGGCTCAATCAAAGCACAGAAGACTGCAGCCCTAGCCAATGTCTTAGACTGCAACCTCACAAGGGACCTTGAGCCAGAACCACCCAGCCACTCCTGGATTCCTGGCGCACAAAAACAGTACGGAATACTAAATGTTTATTGTTTTAAATAAAGTACTAAGTTTGGGGTAATTTGTTATACAGCAATAAATAATGAATACAGGTGGTATCTAGGTGATAAAGCAAGCTTAATAAAATATAGAATTTATGCAGGTGGTAGGTATACAGGTGTTCACTGTAAAAGTCAGCTTTGCTGTATGTATGAACATTTTCATAATCAAACTTGGGGGGAAAAGTGTAGGCTGCATAATATAAAACTGGCAGCTGGATCATTCTAGGACACAGCTACAGGAAAGTTTCCTGAACAATAAAATAAAATGATTTGAAAGAATTACCAAGGAATATAGTCTGTTTTGGAAGCAGCTATCTTTGGAGCATTTACTATATATATTTTATAGTATACATGTGTATATATAAAGTAGGATTAGATGTGTATGTGCTACTTTATTTTATCCCAACTCCCAATTTTGAAATAGACACTGATCTGCCAATTTCAGTTTTTATCAGCAAGGGCACTTCTCAGGAATCCCATGAATGACAAGGAATTACCATAATATCAAAGGTAACCTATTTCTTCCAATGAGGCCACCAAACATCCATTTGTCCTACCCCGTGCTCTGTTTGTTCTGTCTGATTTAGTTCCCAAACTAATTAGGCTAGCTTAATTCCCTGCTGCTTTATCAGCTAATGATTAAAGACACTTGATTAACTTTTACAGAACATTGCTCAACATAGAGCTGCAACAAATGGGTAATTCTGCACTCCAGAGAAATCAGACTGGTAAGACCAGTGCTGATGCTGGTTTGTGCTTTCCTTGCTATTTACCTATACTTAACATCCACTCCTGCATATTTTTATAGTGAAGAGTATGCTAAAATTGCTGTTCATATCAAATACTGAGAATATATTTTTACATAAATAATGCAACTAGCCCAGTCTTTTTATGTAATGATATGAACCATAAAAAAAATTATGTGTTTAACAGAAATACAGACCCATTATTTTCTTCAAATATAAACAAACCAAAATCTGCCTGTCAGTGATTGGAGCCTACTTTGTTTATTTTACAGATATCAGAGGTGGTCATCACAATGTTAATTGATAATAAAAGTTACCCTGTTACAAAGCACACAGTATTGTACTAGAGATAAGCTTGGAAAATATTGACAGTTGGATTCAGTGTTTAGCATAGAGTCTTATTTATATTGCATATGGAATCCTCAACACTGGCCAATGCCAACACATGGAAGAAGAGGCCCCTGCAGTATTCACCACAGACAAGCATGAGGTGAGGCAGACTAGGGATTGGCTTGTTTAATCTCACCTCAACTGCCTCCTAGTTGGAGAGGACAGAAGGTTAAACACTACATTTTTCAGGCTCCACACCTTGCAGCTAGAGATCGGGATGCGAACCAACTAAAGTCACCTGTGCAAAATTAGGGAGGAAGTGAAGCAGAGGCCTTCTCTGGGCAGCTTTTGGCTGGCAAGCAAACTGTGGAATGGGAAGTGGGTTTTTGTTTTGTTTTGTCCAGCTTCGTTGAGGTATAACTGACAAATTTAAATTGTATAAATTTAGGCTGGGGGTGGTGGCTTACGCCTGTAATCTCAGCACTTTGGGAGGCCAAGGAGGGCGGATCGCTTGACGTCAGGAGTTCAAGAGCAGCCCGGCCAACATGGTGAAACCCCGTCTCTACTAAAAATACAAAAATTAGCCTGGCACGGTAACACACGCCTGTAATCCCAGCTACTCGAGAGGCTGAAGCAGAAGAATAGCTTGAACCCGGGAGGTGGAGGTTGCAGTGAGCTGAGATTGCGCCACTGCACCCCAGCCTGGGTGACAGAAACTCCATCTCAAAAAATAAAAATAAATAAAATTGTATAAATTTAAGGTAAACATGTTTTGATATATGCATACATTCCTAAATGAGTACCACAATCGGGTTAATTAACACATCCATCACCTCAGTTACTTTTGTATGTGGTGAGAATACTTAAGATCTACTCTCCTTGCAATTTTCAAGCATAATACACTAACTATAGTCACCATGCTGCACATTGGATCTCCAGAACTTATTCATCTTATAACTGAAAGTTTATACCCTTTGACTAACATGTTCCCATTGCTTCCACCGCCCTCCCCCAGCCCCCGCAACTACCTTCCTACTCTATTTCTATGAGTTTGACTTTTTAAGATTCCACATATAAGTGGAATCACACAGTAGTGTCATGTGTTTGGCTTATTTCATTTAGTATAACATCTTGCAGGTTCACGCATGTTTTCGCAAATGGCAGGCTCTCCTTTATTAAGGATGAATATACTACTGGGGTTCATTTCCTTTATTCAGTGGACACAGGTTATTTCCACATCTTGGCTATTTTAAGTAATGCTGCAACAAACGTGGGGTGCTGATGTCTCTTTATGACAGTGATTTCATTTCCTTTGGATATATACCCAGAGGTGGGATTGCTGGATCACAATGCAGTTCTATTTTGAATTTTCTGAGGAACCTCCATATGGCTTTCCATAATGGCTGCACAAAATGGGTGGGTTTTCTGTAACCACACTCTAGGGCCACTCTCTTGAGTGCCAGGAGGCACTGTAGTGGCAGACCCTTCTCCGTTCAGGCTTCCTGAACTTTGGAACCCAGTAAAGAGTGGATTCTTGAACCTACAGGTCCAGTTAATGTCCTGTAATTGGCAGCCCTGCCAGAGGACCAGATCTTCACTCTTCTGGGAGTTGCTCTGAGGGCCCAGCCCTGCCAGTGATTCTGTGAGCACTCAATTCTGTCTCCTTCTGCTTAAAATGCCTAGAGGAGTTGCTGTTTCCTATGCTGATCCCTTACTTATTCACAACAGAAATCCTGTATCTTTTAAGAACACTAAAAAATGAAAATACAATGATCCCTCCACTGTTTATTTTCCAACTACTCAATCTCTAAGCACTTCAGGATGGGTAGCAAGTGCTGAAATTGCACAGATGGTGCATACGGGAGGACAGCCCCTGGAGAAGGCAGAAATACAGATGCCGGGTAAGGAAATGGAGAACCAGCATAGCCCCAGGATGGTCAGGATTAGACCAACTCTGCCTGCAGAGAAGAAAGGGCAAGGGGAGGACACACAGGGAAACTAAAACCATAAAAGCTAATCTGAAATTGACATAATGGGCCAATCAGCCACACAACTTACCTGTGGACACATGTGACTCATGGAAACCAAGCTCGCTACTTACAGTTAAAGCTCACACGGTATAAGGTGGGGCCAAAAAAAGAAGCTGTGATGTCAGGAGTTCTGTGACGTGCATGCGATTTAATTGAGCATTTCCAGGCTGTGGGTGCACAGTGATTTAGATTTTTCATTAAAGGGAAAGGCAAGAAGCCCTCTATTTGCTTTAAAGCCAGCACGTCTAAGTTCTATTCCCCACACTACTGCTGCAGACTGGATGGGCAAATTCCCAATTTGTTTCCTTTACTTCAAGACCGTCCTTCAGCCAGGCAGAGTAGCTCACACTTATAATCCTAGTACTTTGGGAGGCCAAGAAAGGAGGATTGCTTGAGTCCAGGAGTTTGAGACCAGCCTGGTCAATATAGCAAGGCCACATCGCTATAATTTTTTTTTTTTTAATTTAACCAGGCGGGTAGCACATGTCTTTATCCCAGCTACTCAAGAAGTTGAGGCAGAGGATCTCTTGAGCCCAGGAGTTCAAGGGTGCAATAAGCTATGATCGTGCCACTGCACTCCAGCCTGGGCAACCGAGCGAGACCCTGTCTAAAAGAGCGAGAGCGCGAGCGAGAGCGAGAGAGAGACTGTCCTACAACAAGAGTCTCAATAATAAGAGCAGCAGCTACCCTCTATGGAGAACCTACAAACCCACGTTCCCTACGCATCCCATTTAACCTCACAGCATCCCATCAGCTGGTTATTATTAAATGGATACGATCATTCTCCCTCGTTTACCACTCCCATCTTGATGCAGGCCTCCATCACCTCTCACGTGGATGCTGAACAGCCCCGTGCCTGGTCTTTCTGTTTCCGTTCTTCCTTCCCCCCCACCCCCCGCCCCCCACACTATCTCAATACAACTGCCAAGGTGATCCTTTAAACCTCAGGTCAGACCTTGTCACTTTTCTACTCAAACACCCTCTCCCTCACTACCACTGTGGCTTCTCATTTTACCCAGAATAAGCGCCCAGGTCTGGACAATGGTCTCCAAAGTCCTCCAGCGTCTGCTCCCCACTTACCTCTCTGATTACATCACCTCCTGCTCCCTTGGCTCATTCTGCTCTGGCCACACCAGCCTCCTTGCTCCTCTACCAACACACCAGGCACACCCCTGCCTCAAGGCCTTGCACTATGGTCCCTCTACAAGGAATGCTCTTATCACCAGCTAGTGAAACAGGCTTCTCCCTTAGGGCCTACAAGTGTTTGTACAAATGTTACCTAATCAGTGATGCCTTCTCTGACTACCCTATTTAAAACTGCAGTCTTAGCACTTATTGCCATCTATATAATGTATTAATTTATTTTGTTTACCATTTGTCACCC
Source organism: Homo sapiens (assembly GCF_000001405.40). NCBI lineage: Eukaryota > Metazoa > Chordata > Mammalia > Primates > Hominidae > Homo > Homo sapiens. Next base: position 89,503,647 of record NC_000006.12, on the reverse strand, counting down.
TCTCTGGCTCCTTGAGAATAGAACTTGTTTTGTTCAAGCCTATATCAGCCACATATAGCAGGCACTTAATATTTATTGAATTTGATGACAAGATGAAGAATGTAGGGGATTAGGTAACTTGCCCACGTCTACACACATAGTAAGCAGTACAAGGGGCCAAACTCAAGTTCCCTCTGACTCAGAAGCCCATACTCTGTCCAGAGCAACCTAAACTCTCCTTCTACAGCCCAGGGGCTTTATGAGATGCAGCAGGCATAAAATAAACACCCGAACCAATGGCCTTCTGTCCTCTAATGGCTTTCTGTCCTCTCTGCCCAAGAGAGGTAACATTAGGCACTGGCCTAATCACGACTTCCTAATGTGCACAACCTTAGAAGCAGTGGGACCCCATTTCTGAGGACTCTCGTCTTTCTCTTTCAATCCTTCCTTGATCACCCCAGCAGCCAAAAAGCATCAGACCCACCCACTAGCCTAATGCAAAAAGCTCATCACAGCCTGAGAGTTCAGTAGTTTTTTCCAATTACTAACCTCAGTGAGATATTATAGCTTCTGCAGATTACCTCTGGTTCTGGCTGAAAGAACTGTGTGAGTCCAAGCCAAGAACCCTGCTGCCTGCAGGATGAAAGAGACATTGGAAGGGGCAGCACTATAGGGAGGGTGCAGAGGGTGTGGTGGAGGGGTTACAGCCCAGAGTTATATAGAAATAGAAGCAGCTGCAGCAAAGGATGGGGGAAATCCTGTTAGAACCAGCCAACCCCCACCTCCACACCCCAGTCCCCTTGGTGGAATAAAATTTATCTTGTCATACCCTAAGTGAAGATCTCTGTATTTTTAAATTTAAATCAATTAACATAAATAACACTTAGAATAGTACCTGCCACTGTAAGTACTACATTTCCATAGCTATTATCATAATGGGATTTAATTGCTATATTTTCTTGACAATAGCCAAAAGCTCAAAAAGGGTCCCGTCAGGTAAGGAAAGCAAGGATCAAATCTGCATATGCTTTAAAAGCCAACTTTTTAAAAAGTATTCATTGGCCCAGACTCTTCTAAAAAATAAATAAGACTAGGCTGTAAGCTTTTAGTAGATAGGGATTTGGACCTATTTCCCTTTATCCTTTTTTTTTTAAATAATAACGCTTTGCCATGTTTTTTAAATAAAGGTTCGCCATGGTTTCGCCACCTTGCCCAGGCTGGTCTCGAACTCCTGGGCTCAAGCGATCCACCTGCTTCAGCCTCCCAAAGTGCTAGGATTACAAGCATGAGACACCATGCCCAGTCTATTTCTCTTTATATCACCTTTGGAATGTTCAAATGATTATTCTGCATGAGATAATTATGGTTAAGTTATTTTTATTATAGTTACGTTAAGTATGGCAATGTTACATTATTTGAAATAACTATATACCTGAAACTGAAAAAATATTTTTCAAATAAACAGGCAGTGTAAACCCCAGATATGCCTACTATCCTAATAATTACCATGGTTGCTATGAAGAAACATGGTGGACCTTGGGGGAAAAAAGTTACAAACATCTAACAACCAATGAAGAAACTGAATAAAAAGAGATTTAAGGCAAGTGTAATTTAATGTTAACAATAAGAATATGGGAGGCTAGGTGAAAGTGTTAATCATCTGCAGCAGCTGCCCACCAGCACTTTCAGCTGGAAACCAATGAAGGTGAAACGATCCACAAACCAGACCCATTAAAAGAACACATAAATCCTGTGGGGAGGTGATGAGATGGGACATATTATTATTCCTACCACTCAGTTCAAGTCACTGCCTTTTTTTTTTTAAGATAACTCCTTGTATCAGAGACTTAGCACCACGACACCTTCTAAATGAGAAATAAATGAAATAAGAATCATAGTTACTGCATCACACAAGCACAAAACACCCATTCACTTTGGTGTAACAAACAGTATTTTCAAGCATCTCCACATGGATGTTATCCATAAAGCCCCTCCCCAGGTATCTGAAATAAGTAGTTTTCTTTAATGCAAAAATACTGTATGGTACACAATCAACAGGCAACTTGCTAAATTTTGCTTCCTTCCAGAGAGATGTGCTGTGGATTAGTTACAGAGAGTAAAAGCCACGCTGTGAATAAGCCTAGCATTCTCGTGGCTGGGAGCTCTGCTGAGCTCTTCAAAGGAATGTGTTTCTAAAGAATGTTTAAGTAAGCTTAAGGAGTTCCAAGCAACCCAATACTGACATATCTGGCATGCTGTATTTGCCAAGAAGGCATCCCTCTCAAATGCAAATGCAGATCAGAGCTCCACTGACTCCAAGCTCAACTTGAGGAAGGGAGACACAGAAGACTTTTTGCTGAAAGTATTTGTGTTTTTTCATAAGCATGTGTTCCTTAAAGAACAAAACCCTGGAAATACGTAGAAACAAGCCTTAGGCTTCCATAAGGGAAAACAATTAATCGTTAAGTCTTGATTTTGCAGGTACAAATTATGTTCCATATAAAGACAAGTAAACCTCAATGACGAAAAGCATCCCAAGTATCACATGTTCTGAAATTATGATGCAGGCAAAAGCTACTCCTAAGAAATGGCCTCAGGTGCAAGCCCCGTCTTGATGAGCATTCCTACCAAAGTGTCTTTCAGATACAGTAAGAGCTGTGCTTTTTTCTGTGCTAGAAAAAAAAAAAAAAAAAAAAGACTAATTGGGGACAGTCCTCTTCTGACTGTGTTAAGTGCATCACATTATCTTTATTATTTACTCAGCTCACAACCCATTGCCTTGGCCTGAAATAGATTAAGTTGGACCTAATAAATCAAAATACAACAAGAATCAACAGAAACTTAAAACTACGGCCCACAGTCCTGGATGCTAGCTCATCTATTATTAATGCCTAAAGCCACTAAAAGCCTCATAGCTCTAATGAGAATAGCAATTAACTTTGTTGTAGCTATTTACAATTTCCAAAGTGCTTTCCCATCCCACAGCCCCTTTAATCTCCTGGGAGATTAGGGACCTGGGAGGAGGGCGTTAGGCTCTTCCCCCATTACACGATTTCTGAGAACTCTCAGAAATTCAATGGCTTACTGAAGAAGACACATCTGGTGATACAGCCAGGACTTTTTCAATTCCAGTTACTATTCGTTTTTTAATGTATTGCTTTATTAAAAAATATATCATATGACATTATTAATAGTAGGACTGCCTGGTGAAAATTTTGCAGCCTGATGCATTTTTCTAACCATGGTATATTCATTCCATTTCCAGAGGCTGCCTGTACTGTGATATTTTTCATGCCAGGAACTTCAGGGTAGTATTTCTATCTTCAATATCACAGCACAGGCAGCCTCTGGCTTCTCTGCTTGGAATTCCACCTCCAAGTAAAGGGGAAGAAAAAAAGGAGAGTGAGTGATCTGTGGCTCTCTCCTGGGAGGCAGGGCTGGGAGCTCTAGAACTTAGCCCCTGTGTTGCTCAAGTGACCAGAAGCTGTCTCAGTGACAGAAGCCTCTGCTTCCTTCCTCTAGAAGCATCAAGGTCATCAACTGGAGCAAGATAAAAGAGCCACCAGAGGTGGGAAAGGTGACCATTCACATCACCCCAAGCCCAGGCCTCATAAAACTGGGGTGTGATGGAATCTGGAGAGACAGTGAACAAATTATAAGCCCAGATGCCTCGGAGGCTTTTCAGAGTACGATTTTATAGAGGCTTTAGGGATTTCAGTGGGCATTTCATGCTTTTTGTCTCCATTACTCTTTGGTTTGCAGTGCATTTGTCTTCTGTTTGGAATGCTGTTTTGATGCTGAAGTCTTGAGGAATCAAAGTGGGCATCATAACAGAGTTGAAAGGGAAGACAGGCTAAACTGAGGAGCAGCAGGGAAAGGGGACCGTGAGGGTGTTTAGGTTGTCCAAGTCAGTACAGCAGTGTCTCAAGAGCCCTGGGTGGCTTGCTCTGTGTAGGACTAAATCACGGAAGCAGACTAACGTTTCTTACCATGCATTATGAACTGGTATTGTGAACAGGAACATTTGTGGTACGGCACTGTCTCACACAATACAAGCTATTGGCACCCCTGGCCTGCAGGTGCTAAATAACAGTAGCACCCTCCCCCCAGCACTGCGACCCCAACCCACTGGTTGAGAAACGTTAAACTAGATAATGTCTAGGACTTCCTATCCCTAAAATTCCTCAAGTCCATGACTAGATGACTAGACCAGAATGGCATCAGGCGTGACAGTGCTCTGAGGTGGCAAAAAGGTGACAAACACATAAGTATCAATGAAGCATGTAATCAGCTGCAAGTAACAAAAAAGCAGGCTCACCAGGCCTCACAAAATAGAGGCTTCTTTTTCGCCCATATGAATAAGTCCTGGAGAAGGCAGTCTACAGTTGGTGACAGTTTACCATTACCCTCAGAAACTTAGGCTCCTTTTATTTCTAAATTTTGCCAGCCTTAATGTGATGGCTTTTATCCTTATGTCACCTCATGTTTTCAAAAAGGCTGCTCTACATCCGGGTGTTACATCCAGGTCCAGACAGGAAGAAGGCAAAGTCTTTTTCTACCTTAGATATGTCTTTTTATTCAGGAAGGGAGACCTTTCCCTACAGACTTGTGCTTGGCCAAACTATATCACATAACCACTCCTGGCTGGAAGGTGGTTAGGAAAATTGAACATTGAGATTTCCAGTCTCAACAGTAGAGGAAGGCAAGTGAGAGAGTGGTTGGGAATGGGCCCTGAGAAAGCCAACCTCAAGCATCTACCTCAGGAATCTTCATCCAATTGTGCTCACATTCTGCAAAGAAGCTGGCACATATCTCATACTCAATAATTATGAAAACATTAATGAATGGTCCACAAAGCTATTCAGGAGCTTATTTCTCCTTGCTTATTCTAATTCAAAGAATCCATCTAATCCATAGCAAACTGGGCTCCCAAATCAACAGAAACAATGACCGGATTGTATTCTCACCTTGGTCACAATTTCAGATTAGCAAATTTGAAATTATCCGTGTTCACTTCTCTGCATAGCAGGTTTCAAGAGAACACTTCACATCATTCTCTATAACACATCTCTCTCTACCCTTAAAACAAAACAAAACTTGGCATTTAGAATAAAAGCAAAATGTAAACAAGGTAAAAAAAAATATATATATATAAAGGGAAATCTATTATCTGCACAGACTGATGTTTGAATTAAGTACTATAATTATATATTACAGACCTAGCAGATATATAAGATTTATACATCATTATATCCCAGATTGTCATAGGTAGTGCCTTAAACATAGCAAGAATTTTATATTTTAATTTAATGTTTAGTTCTCTTACCTTCCCCCTTACCTAGGTAGCCACATGTTCTCAAAGTATTTTGCTCCTTAGCTATAGAAAAGAATGAGATAAGTACAAATGCATATATTAAAATATTTATAAAGTAATAACACTAGCTTCAAAATAACCCAAAGAAGTAGGAAAAGTGGGTGGAAGAGGGAGTAAGACTGACCATGGCTTCATAATTACTGAATCTGGGAGTGAGGTACTTGTGGGTGACTTACACTAGTCTAATTGTGAAATTTGCCACAATTCAAAGTTTTGTTTTTATTTGTTTTAAATCCCTCTGGAACTGATATTAACATATACTTCGTGGATGAACCTCAAAAACATTATGCGCAATGAAAGTAGCCAGAAACAAAAAACCATATACTATCTGATTCTATTTATATGTAATGTCTAGAAAAGGCAAATTTATGGAGGCAGAAAGGGGACCAATGGTTGCCTGGAGCTAGGGGTGGTAGTGGGGACTGATCACTAAATGGCATTAGGAAACTTTTTGGAGTAATGAAAACGTTCTCAAACTGGATTCTGATGATGGTTGCACACTGTGTGAAATTACTTTAAAAATCACCAAACTGCATAGTTATAATGGATAAATTTTATGATATATAAATTATACCTTAATAAAACTATTTTAAAATTCGAAAGCTCTGAAGATACACAGATACACAGAGAGAGAGAGAGAAAAAAACATATCCACTGTTATTTGCTAATACTACACTTAGGAAGACAAGACTTGCAGGTAAAGTGTTTAAAAGACACAATTTAGAAAACAAGACAGTTTCCTAGGATTTCAAAGATCCCCTATTATTGTGGAAAAGCAGCATCTAGTCATATATACCATTTCTTGTAGTCTTCCTACAAAGCAGAAAATTATAAATAGAAAAAGAAAAAAGGAAACAGAGGTCTGTTTTTGGTCCAGCTGAAGCAGTCAGCCCCTACTTTACGCAGCAGAACTCACCAGGAGGTAGGAACTTACCAGGACAAGGAGGATAACAGTCACAAAGCAGGAGACAGGTATGCTGAGTGAATGAATGGATGAATAAAGAAATAGTAGTTTAAAGCTTCAAATTCAATTTTAAATATCCTAAATGATCAGCCTGTACCAAAGTAATTTTTGTAGATTCAGAAAACCATGAATGGAAACCTGGTTTTTGTTGCAAAGTAATTTTTTGTTTGTTTTTTAAACTTTTGGGAGAATCTAATCTGTTCATAATCACCTCAGATCAAACCTACCTGATAAGGAGGGAAACAATTAATTTGAAAGTTCAGAGAGAAAGCATCCCTGACAAGTTGGAATTTATACAAAACAGAAAAGAAGAAGCTATAAACTCACCCAGAGCAGGGGACATTCTGTTTGGGGTAGAAGCTTTGGCTGCTGCAAAGTAAGAAGTGGAATAATTTTTCATCAATATTCTCAGATGCTCTATTAAACAATAAAGGTGAGTGTTTATGCTTAGATGTTATGACAAACTTCTTATTTGCAGACCTAAGTTTTCCAAATTCTGAAACATAATAAAAGTTTGTTGTCACTTGAAAACAGACAGTAGGATTTAAGTTTTATCTTTCTCCCGGATCACCTGAGATCAGGAGTTTGAGACCAGCCTGGCCAACATGGCAAAACCCCATCTCTACTAAAAATACAAAAAATTAGCTGGGTGTGGTGGCAGGTGCCTGTAATCCCAGCTATTCGGGAGGCTGAGGCAGGAGAATTGCTTAAACCCGGGAGGAGGAGGTTGCAGTGACCCGAGATCGCACCACTGCACTCCAGCCTGGAGAAGAGAGAGAGACTCCATCTCAAAATAAATAAATAAATTAATTAATTAATTTTATCTTTCCCCAGGGCACATCCCTGAAAGGGCAAAGGGAGAAAAGACAGACTTCCTGGGCCTGGTCCCGACGGTACTACCGGCATATCTCTGCCCACATCTCTGTGTTTACACGTTGACTTCAGTGAGTTTCCTGCAAGCTTGTTATCAACAGGATCCCAGCTGGTAATTTACTCTGCCCTCTGCCATTTAATCATTCCAACAGAACCTCACTTACGGCGTACCCTAGAAGACCTCACACCCCTTCACAGGCAGAATTCTGTTCTGTTATTCATTCAAACATTGTCTTCCCAAAGGAAATTCCTAAGTACTTTAATTATGGTGGGGGGGGGGGCAGTGTGGAAAAAAGCTTGCTAATCCCCATTGTCAGTGTTCCTGAGACCTGGAGAAGCACAACTCCGGAGTCTTCATTTTGTAGATGGGAGACAGGCTTAGTAAGATGTCCTAAAGACTGAAGGTGGCCACCAGTTAGCTCCAGGATTCTTTCTCTTTCTTGGGGGCCCATGGAATTGCATATGAACATGTACACTGGGGTCAACAGCATGGACTCCAAATCCTGATGCCACAATTACTACACAAGAGAATGTGCGCAAGTCAGAAACTTTCTGAGCCTCAGTTTCCTCACCTAAAAAAAACAGAGATAATACCTATAACTTGCAGGTGGTTGTAAAGGTAAAATGAAATAAACAAAAAGTGTCCTAGACAGCATGCAGCAAAGGGCTGGTGTTTGATAAATGCAATTTACTGAATGCAATAAATTATAATGAGCTGAATGTAACATAATTAAATTACAGTATTGAATTCTTACAAAGCCCTATGAGAGAGTTTGTTTGATAAGTAAAAAGCACTACTTTCTCATCCCGTAGTAGAAAAATGAGCCAACGGAAGAGTACTGAAAATACTAAGAAAGTAGGGCTTCCCTACACCTGAAACATCAGCAGGAGCCACCTGCAGAGTTGTAGAGTTGATTCCATTTATATAGTACCTGTCAGAGTCCCAGACACAACACAAGCCGACATCTACGTGCAAAGAGGTGAGCCCATCAAAAGAGCTGTACTGGGCTCAGCCCTGGTCCTATCTAGAGATTAGGTCAACTTGGGGTCTGAGGGCAGACAGATTCCTTCCCTGCTGTGGAAGAGATCCCCTCTACCCTCCTCCCAGAGGTCCAGTCCTGAAGTTGGACCAGTGCTCCCCGAGTCATGGGGTTCATGCCAAATCATGGCCTTAGAAAAGCCAGTTGGTTCTTCTGTTTTGTTTTGTTTTGTTTTGTTTTGTTTTGAGATGGAGTCTCGCTCTGTTGCCCAGGCTGGCGTGCAGTGGCACAATCTTGGCTCGCTGCAAGCTCCGCCTCCCGGGTTCATGCCTTCTCCTGCCTCAGCCTCCCGAGTAACTGGGACTACAGGCGCCTGCCACCACGCCCGGCTAATTTTTTGTATTTTTAGTAGAGGTGGGGTTTCACTGTGTTAGCCAGGATGGTCTCGATCTCCTGACCTTGTGATCCGCCCACCTCGGCCTCCCAAAGTGCTGGGATTACAGGCGTGAGCCACCGTGCCCGGCCTTGGCTTCTTATCTGTCACCAAAGGTTCCAAGACCAGGCCCCAAACCAGTAATCAATTTATTCTTCCCACATAGTGACTGATCTAAAATTCTCTCTGATGTGGTAATGAGTTTCCTAACATCAGTCCTTGTGGGTGTTTTATTTTTCCTATAGGTTGAATCCAAACAATAATCTTCAGGCAGAAGTAGGCGCCACTTTCCAGGGGGCTGGAAAGCAGGGTGCCCTCTAAACTGCTGTCCTCATGAAGGCACACTGCAAGGATGGTGTGGATAGGCAAAAAAGATTGGCTGCAGGAGTTCAAGCCACTTCTGTAATTAGGCAGCAGCTGCATGCAATGTTGAGGTTTCCCCACCAGGACAAGCTTGATTGCTGATAACTTCACAGTGAAAACCAGGTTCCTATTAATGGTCTTTGTGAGTATGCAAAACACTGCTTAAAGGATTGTGACAGAGACTTCTCCTTGACCAAACTTGAGTTGGACTCTTCTGGGCCCTCTTCTTGACTTGGCTTCAGTATTAGTCCCCATCCTTGCCAGGCCTGCACAGCCCAGTGTTAGCAAGAATCCTGCTAAGTCAGTTTAGAAAGAATCCTCCCACCCCTGATACTTGATCCCATTACTATCTAATCAAATTCTTCATCCCCCAGGTGACATCTGATCAAGAGTTATCTGCCTTCAGCAGGAATCCTGTTAGTTTAGCATGAATCACCCAACCCTTGATGTCTCCTCTTAGTAATCTTCCATCTACAGACCCCCATGGCCTTTTCCTTGGCTACCAACGCCGCTCATTTTTTTTTTCTTGGTAGAGAGGGGATCTTGCTATGCTGCTCAGGCTGGTCTCAAACTCCTGGTCTCAAGTGATCCTCCTGCTACCACACCTGGTCCTCCTACTCACTTGTGTTGTATTCAGAGTTGAACCCAATCTCTCTACCCTAGTGCAACTATCTTGACACCTAGCAGGATAATCCTGAATAAAGTCTCCTTTACCATTTTAACAAGTGTCAGAATAACTTTTTCTTTAACAATTGTAGTGGGTTGAACAGTGGCCCCCAAAAAGTTATGTCAACTTCCTAATGCCTGAAACCTGTCAGTATTACCTTATATGACAAAAGAGTGGATATCACCTTATATAACCCCCCGAAATGTGGTTAAATTAAGGATTCTGTGAGGAAGGGCTTATCCTGGATTATCACAGTGGGCCCTAAATGCAGTCACATGTATCCTTATAAGAGACAGACAGGCTGGGCGTGGCGGCTCACACCTGTAATTCCAGCACTTTTTTGGGAGGCAGAGGTGGAAAGACTGCTTGGGCCCAGGAGTTCGAGACCAGCCTGGGCAACACAGTGAGGCCCTGTCTTTACAAAAAAAAATTTAAAAATTAGCTGGGCATGATAGTGCATGCCTGTAGTCCCAGCTACTCAGGAAGCTGAAGTGGGAGGATTGCTTGAGCCCAGGAGGTCAAGGCTGCAGTGAGCTGAGATCATGCCACCGTATTCCAGACTAGGTGACAGAGCAAGACCCTGTCTCAAAGAATAAAAAAATTAAAAAAGGAGAGGGAGAGAGAGAGTGAGAGTTGACACACAGAGACACACAGAAGACAAAAGGAAGTAAAGATGAAGGCAGAGATTGGAGCCATATTTCTCAAGCCAAGAAATACATACAATCCCCAGAAACTGCAAGAGGCAAGGAACAGAATATCCCCTAGAAACTCTGGAGGGAGCAGGGCCCTGCAACACATTGATTTTTGGACTTCTGGCCTCCAGAACTCTGGGAGAATATATTTCTGTTGCTTTACACCCACCAAGTTTGTGGTAATTTGTTACAAAAGGAAGCTGATGTGAGGACTGAAGTGTGAGTCTACGTCTGCAGCCAGCTGAAGGGTTATGGAGCCATATATTCACACCTATCATTTGACATTTTTACAACAAGCTTGAATTATTTCTATTATAAAAACTAATAATGAAAAGCCATAAGCCATGAGTATATGTGGAATTTGGGGCATGGGGAAGGGCAAAAATATAAGAATGTGTCATGCAGCTTAGGAAGACAGCTGAAAAGACACAAGACTTTCACCGGCTATTTCTCAACTGGTAGATATAAAATTTAATTAGGTCCCAAAATGTACTCATTCTTAAATTCTAGCTCACTAAAGAAAAAAAAGGTACCAAATGGTCCAGTTCTTCTAGAATGGGGAGGGCCTGTTGTGAATCTCTGAAAGAGGCATGGACTGGTTTCATGTTACGAACCTCTTCACCTGGCTTAAAGATGTTTACTACACCTCACAGGAATGAGTATACATTAATTGATCATTTCAAGGACATAAAATGCCACAAAAATATATCTGTTTAGGAAAAAGCAGTGAGAAGTGCAGGTTCAAGAACAAAATGCAGAAAGTGGCTAAGGCAACCCTCTAGTGGGGTGTGCGTGGTTGTCTTCAGCAGGCAAAATCAAGGAGCATTTACATATCAGGGAGCATTACTCTCCCTGCAAACACACACAAGTACAGCCACCTGGGTAACAAACAAACCTCACCCTGTGTTTTTTGCTGGGTCACCCGGTGTTAAGAGCCATTACCTAAGAGGCAGCACAATGAACTACCAAATGATCCTCTACAAACAAGGAATTACTCAAACCATCACAAAGGCACCAGGTCAGCTACATGCTTTCCAGCAGTATCTCCTGTCATGCCTTTCACAAAATCCGCGCTCAGGCCAGGCTGCTCCCTTCTCTCTTCCCAAACAGGGCTCTGTCTCCCAGCCCCGGCGCTCTCTCCAGAAATGCCCTTATAGGGAGGAAAAGCATCTTTCCTTACCCATGCTAGGTTCATGGCTGAGGCCCCATAACAAAAGAAAGATTAACCAGAGAAAAGCATGCACATTTATTCAATGTAAGTTTTAGGTGACGTGGGAGTCTTCATAAGGAAATAAAGACCCAAAGCAATAGGGAAACATGTATTTTTTTATGCTGGGTATGATGAAGAAGTGGAGAGCGATGAAGTATGATTGGACAAAGGCGATAGGATCTAATGGTAATAGACTGGAGGAAACACAGCACGACCTGTTTGTGCAGATTCTTCTCTGTGACCCTTCATCTTCAGGGAGAATTACATTCTTTTCCTCCAGGTATAAGGAGAGGACTTTTTTTTTTTAATTTTATTATTTTTTTAAATTATACTTTAAGTTCTAGGGTACATGTGCACAACGTGCAGGTTTGTTACATATGTATACATGTGCCATGTTGGTGTGCTGCACCCATTAACTCATCATTTACATTAGGTATATCTCTTAATGCTTTCCCTCCCGCCTCCCCCCACCCCATGACAGGCCCTGGTGTGTGATATTCCCCTTCCTGTGTCCAAGTGTTCTCATTGTTCAATTCCCACCTATGAGTGAGAACATGCGGTGTTTGGCTTTTTGTTCTTGCAATAGTTTGCTGAGAATGATGGTTTCCAGCTTCAACCATGTCCCTACAAAGGAGAGGACTTCTTACATAAGCATCTCAAGACCTGCTTCAGGGAAAGTTCAGACAATTCTTCCTAGATTGTATGGACGGCTTCAGGGGAAAAGGGCAGGGGTTGTGGGGGAAGTAAGAGCAACCCTCCTATATCTGCAGTTTTCTCAAGTTTCTTCAACTTGAAATATTTTGGGGTCACGTGTCCTGAATCCCAACACCATCCCTTCTGTAATTTCGGCCTATGAAAATCCAGACCATGTTCATTTTCTAGGATTGTCATAACAGATTACCACAAATGTGGTGGCTTGGTACAACAGAAATGTGTTCCCTCACAGTTTTGGAGGCCAGGAGTCCAAAATGAAGTTGTCGGCGGAGCTGTGTTCCCTCTGGAAGCTCTTGGGGAGAACCCTTCCAGCTTCTGATGACTGCAACAACATTCCTTGACTTGTGGCCTCATTATTTCAGTCTCACTCGTCACATGGCCTTGTCCTGTTCTATGTCAAGTCTCCCTCTGCCTCTTAAAAGAACACTTGTTGTTAGATTTAGGGCTCACCCAAACGATCCAGGATGACTGCCTCATCTTAATCACATCTGCAAAACCTTTTTTTAAAATAAGGGAATATTCACAGGCTCCAGGGCTTAGGACATGGACTTATCTTTTGGGGGGCCACCATTTGACCCACTACACAGGCCAAGCGGAGATGGCACTTCTCCCCAGAAGCCTTCCCTGCTCTTGTTTTCTAAACCGCAGAGGTGAGTTTTCTCTCAAAGACACACCCTGCAGCTTCTCACAGCTGTGTTTGGTCCAGCTGAATCAGCCAGCCTGCTGCTTTTCCAGAGCAGGGCCTCCGGAGCAGGTGCTCATTAGGTAAGGAGGATGTAACCAGGCATCCTCACCACTGCAGTCACCACTGTGTCACAACAGCCTTTTGCACCTGTCTCCCCGCTATCATCTGAGCATCTCCAGGGCAGGGCCCATGTCACTCATCTTTGTATCCCCCACACCTCACCACAGTACCAATAAACAATAAGGGCTTCAATGACATCTGATATTTGTCGAATAAAAGAATCTATCTGTATCACTCACACAAAACACACTGTTTTGTACATTGCTACTCATTATGAGGTATCACGTATTTGTGTACTACACAACACCTGGTGGGGAAGATAAATATTTACTGGATTCTCCCAACAATCCCTGTCAGTTGCACCCATAAAACTGATTTGAAGACCCAGTAATGGGTTGAAAACCACAGCCGAAAAATCACTGACTGAGGTGATTGCTAAGGTCTTTTCCAGCACTAAATCCTACGATGACCAACAACTAGAAAAGCAAATGCGCATGCAATTGAACTGGATTAATCTGGACCAATCTGAATGACCAGAAAACTAAGGAAAAAATGCCCATGTAAATGCAAGGTGCTTAGATGCCATTGGAAAAAATAAAAGGTGACTCTTGGGTAGCATACAATTAGTCATGTTGTCTGCATGGGAATAAATTTGTTAAACAAAACACAGTGGACAACCCAGGACACAGAATCCCTGAGTAGCAAGTGGCCTAAGAGTTCTGGTCACTCTTGTTGAGTGTTGGTTCCTTCATCACTAAGCCTTGCTGAAGTCCACCCCAAGTCACAAGGTCTTCATAAAATTCTCATTAATAAATTTAAAGGGCTCCACAGTTCATGGAGCTTTCCAATTACCGTTAGACACAGGCTTCACCAGGCCAAGCCTGCCCTGCGGCCTCCTCCACTCCATTTCCTCCTGCTCACCATTCTCTAGTCCACAGGTCCTCGCTCCTGTATCCCCAGCTCCAACGAAATGGGCATGCCTTGCTCTCAGCACTGTCCAAATCCCCATTATATATTACCTGATACAATCCTAAGGTAGTCTCTTTTCCAATGATGTTTTTATGTTGATCTGGAATTCTAGAAGACCAAAAACTTAGAAGATGCAAAAGACCAAACTTCTAATCATGAAATTTTAGGCATAGGAGACTGAGTGGAGACATTTAAGGAAAATATTTTCTGGACTTCTTCAAAATATACCAACTGGGGAGCCAGATCTGTACCTACTTGAGAGTGAGCCAGCCCTGGCTACAGATATATCAATCTGTGGGCAGCTGGCATCCTTAATAATGAAAAACTTCCTTCTGTTCTGTCAAGAGCAGAGACAAAGACATGATTCAGGGGCACTCAAACTGAATTATTGTCCTCGTTTAAACTTTCCCACTCAGGCAGAGCTGTCAGCTGCAGCAGCCGGTTCAGGGAAGGACCAAAGTTCTCAAAAGCAAAGCTCTTCAAGTCCCCAGGCAGCCAACACAAAGAGCTCTGCCTTGATTTCCTGCCCAGCCCTGTGGCACTGAGACCCCTTCAGGAGCAATGCCCTGGACATGTACAGCCTGCCTTGGACCCGGTACCAAGAGGAAGGCAATGTGCGACGCATGAGACACGTTATCAGTCAACCCACAGTCCTAAGAAACCACCTCTGGAATTGGATTTTCAAACGGGAGGTCATGGCCCATTTGTGGGTCATGAAAATAAGTTAATAGGTCACAAGCAGCATTTTAAAGAATGAACTAGAATAGAATAGAATAGAATAGAATAGAATAGAATAGAATAGAATAGAATAGAATAGATCGATATATTTTGGGTGGGAAACATTTGTTTCATTTGTGTGTATGTTTATATATGTATGTGTACATACTGGGTCACTAGTTCTCATAGTGGGTCACAGTTAAAAGTTTAAAACCCACTGTTCTTGATCAAAATGAGTCAAGTATTCAATCAAAAGAAACAATATAAATGTAACCTATATTTCTTTTTGGAATGCCAATAATTATCCAAAGTACCTTGGACAGTGTCTAAAAACCAAATCAGCCTTTACTAAGCATAGCTCTGGGGGCCTAAAATGTATTTTCAGAAATCTGAGAATCCTGAATGAGAATTTTTACATTCTATGTTCTTAATGAGAATCTAACAAACTGAACATATTTGAGATCAGCTGGATGCCTCCCTCATAATTGCACTGTCATGTGGTTTGTTTTTATTTATTAGAGACAGGGTCTCACTCTGTCCCTCAGTCTGGAGTGCAGTGGTACAATCACAGCCCACTGCAGCCTCAAACTCTGGGGCTCAAGCAATCCTCCTGCCTCAGCCTCCTAGGTAGCTGGGACTGCAGGCATGTGCCACTACACCCAGCTTCATTATGTCATGTGTATTAAATGCTCACGTTTGAATTTGTGTTTATAATCAAATGCAGGTGGGTGGACTGCTGAGAACAAAATGAAAGCAGGCTTCCTCTGGCAATACTGCACTGGATACAGGTGAAGGCCAGGCTGGCTAGGTCACAACATGCTGTAGAGAGGGCTCTCAGTCATCCAAAAAGAGACGACAGGTGGGAGAATTGAGTCACCA
Source organism: Homo sapiens (assembly GCF_000001405.40). Taxonomy (NCBI): domain Eukaryota; kingdom Metazoa; phylum Chordata; class Mammalia; order Primates; family Hominidae; genus Homo; species Homo sapiens. Next base: position 89,488,088 of record NC_000006.12, on the reverse strand, counting down.
CCAGGCACTTGGTAGCACAGGCAAGCTGAACAAGCATCCTGGGCCAGGACTTAGTATCAAGTAACAAAGGTTACACTGTGGATCTTACCTCTGTACATACCAACTTGCAGCAATTTCTTTGTGGAAAAGTAAAAGTAAATACAATGAAATAAGTGATTTTTACACATCACAGAATAAAAAGACTGACTTGCTATTTCACAATTTATGTAGCTAATTTCATGCACTTTTCCCATCATGTTACCAAAGATCATTTTTTTTCTTCCAGTATGTCTAGACATTAAACTAGGTTGCAGGGAAGAGAGTCTGAGGACTACACATTCACATCCTCTCACACATAAACATTCCTTGATCAATGAGAGAAGGTGAAGCACAGGTGAAAAACCAAGCGTAGGTGAGCCACCTTATTCTTTTCATTTGATGGCGAAATGCTTTATGTGATTTGTTTTGTGGCTAATTCATTTTCATAATAATGCTTGCCCCAGAACAATATGAAATGAATTTATATTCCAAATTATTGGAATGGGGAGGTCCCACAGCACACAGAATGTTAGAAGGAAGACAAGCTGAATTTTTTAATGCTGAGAAAAGTTGGTAGGAGTGAATACTGAGACAAGCTTCCTGGAAAGAAATCTAGCAATATGTATCCAAAGCTTTAAACTGCTGTTTGTTCTTTGGCTCAGAAATTCCACATTTTAAAAATGATCCTAAAGTAATACTCTGCATGTCAGAAAGAATTTAATTGCAAGAATCTAATGCCAGGGGATTTGTTAGTGGGATGTATGGTCATATAATCATGGTGATGCTGGTGCTGATAAGACGATATTTAATAGATACTAAATGCTTATTTTATGTAAGGCTCTATTCTGAGCACCCAACATCTATTATCTCATTTAATTCTCAGAACACACCAATGTGGTTGGTATTAACATTCTCCCCATTATACAGATGAGTAAATAATGCACAAAGCCATTCAATAATTTGCCCAGTTAATAAGTGTCAGGGCTAAGGTATGAACCCACAGGGTCCAACTCTAGGACCTGTACTCTTCGGCACCATCCTTTCAGTGAATTACCAGTAGCTGCTATGGACTGAATGTTTGTGTCCACCCCCCAACCCCAAATTCATATGTTTAAACCCTAATCCCCAGTGTGATGTGATTTGGAGATGGGACTTTGGGGAGGTAATTAGGTTATGAGGGTGAAGCCTTCACAATGGGATTAGTGCCCTTATGAGAAGAGATAACAAGAGAGCTTGCTTCCTTTCTCTCTGCTCTACAAATGTGAGGACATGGCAAGGAAACCAGGAAGAGGGCCATTGACAGAACTGAACCAGGGTGGCTCGCACCTCTAGCACTTTGGGAGGGCAAGGAAAGAGATCGCTTGAGCCCGGGAGTTTGAGACCAGCCTAGGCAAGATGGTGAGACTCCATCTCTACAAAAAAATTAAAAATTAAAAATATATTTAAAAAATTTTTAAAAGAACTAATCCATGCTGACACCCTGATCTCAAATGTCCCAGCTCTCAGAACTGTCAGAAATAAATTTCTGATTGCTTAAGCCACCCGTCTATGGTATTTTGTTATAGCAGCCTGAACTAAGACAGAAGTCATGTAAAATTGTGTAATACAATCATGTTACAAACATGGATACATTCTGAGAAATGTACTGTTAGGTGATTTTGTCATGTGAGAACATCATAGAGTGTACTTACATAAACCTAGATGGTATATATATTTTTATTTATATAATTTTTTCATATATGTATATAATCAAATGTCCCAGCACCATTACTGAATATCAATCATTTCTGCTACTTGATCTGCAATGCCAATCTCAAGTGCCACACATCAGGTTTCTACACAAGCTCCATCATAATCTTTTGGGACCACCTTCCTATAGATGGTCTGTCACTGGCTACAAAGTTGTTATGTGACACATGACTATATGTCTCAGAAACAATACATGAGATATTACAAAGTGAACAAAGAAAGTTGTAAAACATCATACATTATGACCCCATTTTTTAAAAATGTTTTAAAGACTGGCAAGATATGTATCAAAATGTAGTTATTACTGATATTTTTCTTAGTTGAATTTTCTTTAAATAAATTATTTTTATAGGGAAAATAACACATTAATTAAAACGCATGCTTCAGGTAATAGAACACTGTAGTTATTAAGAGTTGTATATATGCACAAACATCACAGCAAATTTCTGGTGAGGATTAGTAATAACTCACCTTTGCTTTCTACAAAAAGACAATCCAGAGAGAAGCTTTCCTGTGTGACTTTCATTTAACAGCACTTCACTATCAAATAAGGAGTAATTTAATCATGCCAACCTACCAAAAAATTTAGACACCCCAGGAATCTTTTTTCCAGACCAAATCCCCTTCTGCCTCGTCAGAGTTGTCTAGATGGTTCCTGACAACAGGCAGCCGGATTTGGGTTTGCAGGGCAGCACTGGAGGCTCCAGAGACCCCCTTTCCCAACAGATGGGACAGCACCAAGCAGCAGAGAAGTGTGAAGAGGCAGCTGCCCTTTGTTTACAGCAGAAAAGCCCAGGGCCTTGGGGCAAGCATGTGGCCACAAACCCACTGCTTCCCTTTGAGGAAAGAATATAAGGATAATCCAAAGCCAACCAAAAAACCCAGGTCCAGCTCTGCACCTGCTTTTGAGCCATATCAGTATTTTCTGTGCTTACAGTAGAGATTTCTCCCAGCAACAAAGCTCTGAATCTGAGTTGCCACAGCCGCATGTCCTGACCCAGCATTACTGGGTATGACTTCACCCCAGAAAACATAGCGTTCAATGCTAAATGTGAGAGACAGACACTGAGCGTATTGGCATCACATTATTTTAGATGCTTGCCAATACTCCACTTATGAACTTGACAGTAACAAAGCAGGAAAAACCTAAGTAATCATCTAGTCCAGTGTTACTCGTAGGGGTGTCATTGATATTTGGAGTGGGCCAATTCTTCATTGGGCTGGGTGAGACAGTCTGGGGCATTTCAAGATGCCTAACATCCAGGGTTCCCAAACCATTAGTGCCCCCATACAGTGTGGCAACCTGACATGTTCCCACTCAACATTTCCAAGGGCCCCTGAGTTGAGAACCATTGATACAGTCCATCACTGAGGTCCAGAAGACATTCACCTAAGGCCACCTAGGTAGCTAGAGATAGAGCCCACGTCTCAAAACACTTTGTTTAGTATTCTTTCCACTGTACCAAACTCCACTAATTAAGTTCATTAGAGCAAAAGACATTTAAAAATTAAGAATAGATTTCACACTCAATAACAGAATTTATGGCTTCTGGATAGAAGACTGACTGCTTGAACTTTTTTTTCCAATCTCATTATGGGTATTCTGGAATGTAAACATAATTCTATTACTGTAATTACTTTTAAAAGAGCAAAAATGTATCTGAATATTCAAGGCTTAAGGATGCACACTGTGTACTGAACTCATATTGCAAAAGGCATCTGTACCAAAGACAGAGAGATCTGAAAACATTTGTATTTTATTAAGAAAATGTTTTCTTTAAAAGCACCATCTCTGTAAGCAGTTAAGGAAGTGAGTCCTATGTGGGAAAACTTTACCAAACAAAACCTTTTACTTCAAGATTTTTTAAGATCAAGATTTTCCTCTTACTCAATCCAGTACTCCTCATTCTGAATATGAAATCTCAATTTATATTTTAAATAATCGCTGGCCAGTTAGTAAAGGACTTATAAAAAAAATAAGCCCACAGCATGACAAAGACATATATCCTCTACCCTGTGGTAAGCGCATCACGTATTTCACAATTCACATATTGAATATAGGACACTGAAGTTTCAGAGGAAAAAAGAAAAAACACTTCAAAATATTCATTCTTGGCCGGCCGCGGTGGCTCACATCTGTAACTCCAGCACCTTGGGAGGCTGAGGCAGGCGGATCACCTGAGGTCAGGAGTTTGAGACCAGCCTGGCCAACATGGTAAAACCTCATCTCTACTAAAAATACAAAAATTAGCAGGGCATGGTGGTGGGCACACCTGTAATCCCAGATACTCAGGACACTGAGGCACGAGAAGCGCTTGACAGAGGTTGCAGTGAGCCAAGATTGCACCACTGCACTCCAGCCTGGGCAACAGCACGAGACTCTGTCTCAAAATAGGTTAGAGAGAGAGAGAGAGACAGAGAGAGAGAGGAGGACTACAGAAAACACAATGCCAAAAATAAAATTATCCTTCAGAAATATCAGGTAAAATTCAAAAAGTCCTTTGAACCTTGTAGCTAATCTTGTTCTTGTAAATGCACATACACGTGCACAAATATATCTCTCTGTTTCTCTCCTTACATAATTCAAATTAATAATCACCTAGTAGTATTCATTTTCATTTCAAAAACCTTTAAAGGACCTATGTCTATATCCAGAAAAGAGCGCATTCCAAAGAGAACACTCCCACTCCATGCAGCTGGGAGAAGCTTGCTGTCGACAACCACAGTGCAAAATGGAACAGTTTTACAAGAGTGAATACTTACGGGGACTTCCCTCTGCAGCTGGGATGGCCCAGGCCTCACAAAGGCAAAGCCATGGCCCTCACAGAGCCAGGGCTTTGTGTGGGAAGGCGGGAGGGTCCACTGGGGAACAGCCTCAGGCCTCTCTGACATTTACATGTCAATGGCCAAACCAAAACTCTTCCAATCCTCCACCCCAGCAGATTCTCCACCCCAGCAGCTGTGGCACCCTCTGACAGCCAGGCCCTAGGTTTTGTTCTTCTGCCTTCTCTAAGGAGCCTTGAATCCGTGGGCTGCCAGCATGCATTTGGCAAACTCGTTATGAGAGATTTGTCACCCTCTTCAGAGCCCTGGGCCTAAGTAAATACATCAGCAATCTACCAGGCGGGCTTTTCAAGTCATCCAAGGACACTGTGCTGGGAGAGAGGAATGCTTTAGATAAGACCCACTGGACAGAATCAGAATTCCAAAAGATGTCTGGGTCTGGAAAGAATGAGCCCAAAGGAAAAAAGACAACATTTCAGAGAAGCATGTTACATCTTGCACTTAGGCTCAAAAAGCAACTGGTCTGGAGTTTTGGTTTGTTTATAGATCAATATGAGACAATGGTGTGATGTGGGTGCCAAAAACAAGTTAACAAACTCAATTTTAGGATTCATTATCAGAAATACATTATTATGAACAAGTTGGTGGGGACTCGGGAGAATAGACAGTCTGTGTACTATTCTACCTAGTGGAGTAGGTAACCAGGAGGGTAACTTCCAGGAATCCTGTCCAATGAGGAAGAAATCATTTGAGGGTGGGAGTAGGGGTATGACCATCCTCAATACATGAAGGATACAAAGAGTAGATTTATTCTGGGGGTTCCAAACAGCAGAACAAAGGAGTGATGATTAGATGGAGACAGTATCTACACAAGGTGGGGAGAATTTCCAACAATGAAAAATTCCGGCCCCTGTGCATTTGTGGGCAAGGGGCCTTTCCTGCAGGACTGGGGAGAGGGTAGCCTACGTAGTGGGTGCTGGGAGAAGCCAGTTAGGTTTCAATGACTTCCTTAGTGGCTGATACAAAGGGACCCCCTTAAGAAAGGAATTTCAGGATTTTTAGACCTGGAAACAAAATGACTATGAAATAAAAAAATTGATTTAAAAAGCAACATAATCTGTGTAATGTAGAAAGAATGATTTATACTGGGATGAAGCCACTCTTATAATGCTCAAAAATAGTCCAAGCATTAGTCATTTCTGAAATTATAAAATGCAGATCTACGGCCATTTATTTTGGTTTGAAAATAGCAAGGTTGGCTCACTGGATCCCATTCCCTTAAATTCCTTTTCCTTTTCCCATTTCTCAAAAAGCTGCTGATATAATTTGGGCCACTTACAGCACTTACATTTACAAAGTGTTTTATAGTGAATTGAATGTTATAAATATTTCAAAGGGCAGAATCTCACTGCTGGTCTGGGACTTAGAAGCAAAGGCGGGGAAGGAGTTCCTAGGAAGTGCCTTCTGAGTGTGTGAGCAGGGGCTTGGATGGACACCAGCTATTTCCACCTTATGAGGGGCAATGGTAAAAATCTTTCCTCCTGGAAAGCTCATCTTTCTGTCTATGTTATGAGAGAATCAAAAGAGGTGCTTTGACCCACACTGCCCTCTGGCACTGTTCTGGGTACAAAGCAGACTTGGATGTGACTTTGTTAAGCTTCATCACATAGTAGAAGGCAGTGAATGCTCAAATCACCAGCACCACCAGTACCACCAGTACCAGTGCTATCAGTGGTACAGTATCAGCACTGCCAATAGTACCACCACCAGCAGCAGTACCACCACCAGCAGCAGCAGCAGTACCACCAGCACTGCCAGCCGTACCACCAGTACCACTACTGCAAGCAGCACAACCAGCAGTATTCCTGCCACTACCACGATCACTATTGCTAATAACATTATTATAAAACAGCTATCAACATTCCTCTTTTTCTAAAGTCAACAGAGGAAATGCACATGACATGTGTTACACATAAAATTTTGATCATTACTGACAAATTGCCCTCTAAATAGATTATACGGTTGAGTATCCTTTAATTTGAAATGCTTAGAATCAGAAGTGTTTCCGATTTTGAATTTTGGGGGGTTGGGGAATATTTGTATTATACTTTGAACATATCAAATCCCAAAATCCAAAATCTACAATTCTCCAATAAGCATTTCCTTTGAGCGTCATGTTGGCACTCAAAAATTTCTGGATTTTGGAGCATTTCAGATTTTCAGGTTTGAGATGTTCAATTTGAACCAATTTATATTCCTACCAACATTGTATGAGAGTACCCATTTTGCTATGTGGCCACCAACATGGATATAACTACTGTTTTTACGTTTTTGTTTTATCTTTAAGAGCTAAAGTGGGGGATGCTCATTTTTGTTTACTTTGTATTTCATTTTTTGTTAACGAAGTTGAGCATCACTGTATTTTTTAAATGCAAGGAAAAAATTTAGAGAAATATGTCCTAAACTGCAGACCATGGTGGGTTATCTTTGTGGGGTAGGATTATGGGATACTTACACTTTCTACATTGTGTGCTCCTATAATATTTAAAATACATATAACTTTGCTTCTTCTTCTTCTTCTATTTTTTTTTTTTTTGAGACAGGGTCTTACTCTGTCACCCAGGCTGAAGTGCTGTGGCACAATGATGGCTCACTGTAGCCTCAACCTCCTGGGCTCAAGTGATCGTCCCACCTCAGCCTCTCAAGTAGCTGAAACTACAGGCATGCACCACCATGCCCAGCAAAAAAAAACAAAAAAAAAATGTAGAGATGTGGTCTCACTATGTTGCCCAGACTGGTCTCAAACTCCTGGCCTCAAGTGATCCTCCTGCCTTGGCCTCCCAAAGTGCCAAGGCATGAGCCACTATTTCTAGCCAACTTTGCATTTTTTTTTTCTGATTTTTAAAAGTAAAATTTTTAAAAAGTAATTAGTGAGGAGGATATCTTTTTTAAAAATATACAAAACTATATATACAAAATATACAAAAAATATATAAAATATATAAAAAATATACAAAATATATAAGTAGCCCTTGATGTTTATTACTTTGTTAAGTGACTAAAATGTACTCATACTCACTTTTGAGATGAAGGGAACAATACAATCCTTGCTGGCAAACCCTCCCCTCACTGGGACAGAGCACCCTGTCATTCCTGACCTGGCTCCTTCATGCGCCCCTATTCCCATGTGTCACCATAACTGCAGTTCTCTGTTACTCTATTACAGTAGATATGCTGCCAACATAAATGGGATTTTGAGTCTGGTGGAGAATGCAGGAGTCATTTTGAAAGACACACAAAATAGAACAGAAATAGCTCACTTGGAAGGCTGATCTTCTGGGATAGTTACCTTTCAGACAGACAACAATCTAGGAGAGTATGAACAGAGGCCGATGCAATATACACACCAGCTGGTGAGAAACCAGCACAGAAATTGTGTGGGCAAGTTTGTGACAGTATTGTGCCCTTTATAAAGCAAGTTTCTTTTAGGTGGAGGAGGAACTTAAAGAAAAGGGGTTCTTCATCACACGTGATACAAACCAAACTTTACTTTCTAGGAAAGTTTCAGTCTTTAAAAGCAGGAAGTATTAAACTGTTTTAACACACCCCAAACAATATAAAGACTATAATAAATCAAATTAATTTGTTAATAAATTTCACTTGATTATTACTGAGAATGTCAGTATTTTTGAAAAGTAAGTAAACCTTTTTCATACTGTAATTCTATTTCTATGATTCAATCACTAAAGAAACAATTCTAGGGGAGGCGGGAGGGATAGCATTAGGAGATATACCTAATGTTAAATGATGAGTTAATGGGTGCAGCACACCAGCATGGCACATGTATACATATGTAACTAACCTGCACATTGTGCACAAGTACCCTAAAACTTAAAGTATAATAATAATAAATAAATAAATAAATAAATAAATAAAAATAAAAAATAAAAAAAGAAATAATTCTAATTATGGAAAAAGGCTTTATGCAAAAAATGTATGCTACAGCACTATTTATAATAACAAAACACTGGAAACAGAACATTAGGGGGACTGCTATCCAATAAAAGAAGATGATTCAATGAGCCAGGAAAGCTCCATCTGGTAGAATATTATGCTGCCTTCAAATGATGTTTCTGGTTTCATATTCTTGTCTCAGTAGTGGTACGTTGCTGAGAATCTATCCTAAAGAAATAATCCAAAAACACAGGGAAGTTCTCATTTGTAAAAATGAATAACCGGAAACATCCTAGTGTCCAATAACAGAAAAATAGTTAAGTAAGCTCCCAGTGGTTCTTCAAAATTCAGCTCAAGTGATACATCCCCGGGAAATCTTCCCTGACCCTTGCCTAACCTAGCCTCCCATGATGCCCTGTTTATCGCCCAAAATTGCACAACCCCAGGGTTCTTTATGCACATGCCAATCTAGGTACCTTCGAGACAGAGAACTTGACTTCTTTGACTTAGTATTCCTAAACCTAGTGCAATGCCTAGCACAAAGTAAATATTCATCCAAATGTCTGCATTATGTAAACTGGGTGGCTTAAACAACAGAGACTTACTGTCTCACAGTTCTGGATGCTAGAAATCTGAAATAAAGGTGTCAGCAGGGTAGGCTACTTCCGAGGGCTGTGAGGGAAACATCTTTTCAGGCCCCTCTTCTTAGCTTGTAAATGGCCATCTTCTCTATGTCTCTTCACCTCATATTCCTTCTATGTATGTCTCATTTCTTTTAAAAAAATTTTTTTTTTAATTAAGTATTTTTCCTCTTTTTTTTTTTTTTTGAGACAGAGTCTCACTCTGTCGCCCAGGCTGGAGTGCAGTGGTGCAATCTCAGCTCATCCCAATCTCCGCCTCCCAGGTTCAAGCAATTCTCCTGTCTCAGCACCACCCCGCCCCCTCCCCGCCTCCTCACCCCGGCTGGGATTACAGGTGCACACCACCACGCCTGGCTAATTTTTTGTATTTTTAGTAGAGATGGGGTTTCATCATGTTGGCCAGACTGGTCTTGAACTCCTGACCTCAGGTGATCCGCCCGCCTCAGCCTCCCAAAGTGCTGGGATTACAGGCGTGAGCCACCGTGCCCGGCCAATTAAATTTTTTTTTTAGAGACAGGGTCTCACTATGTTGCCCAGACTAGAGTGCAGTGGCTATTCATAGGTGCTATCCCACTACTGATCAGCAAGGGAGTTTTGACCTGCTCCATTTCTGACCTGGGTCACTTCATCCCTCCTTAGGCAACCTGGTGGTCCCCCACTCCTGAGAGGTTATCATATTGATGCTGGTTTGGACACCCAATTGGCATAGCACACTACTGCCCAGAACCCCTGGGTTCAAGCCATCCTCACACCTCAGCCTCCTGAGTAGTTGGGACTACAGGCATGAACCACCGTGCCTAGCGAATTTCCTCCTTTTATAAAGACACCAATCATATTGGATCAAGGTCCACTCTACTGACCTCATTTTAGCTTGATTAGCTCTGTAGAGATCCCATCTCTAAATAAGGTCACAATCTGAGGTGCTGGGGATTAGGACTTCAACATATGAATTTGAGGACAGAGATAATTCAATGCACAATAATCAGAAAATGTGCATATTTATGAGTTCATAATTATACAGAAATGCCTACTTTATCACGTTTAATAGGGGGAAAGGGTGGGTATCAATGTATGTATATGGTAAGACTTCTATTTTTTCTTTTTTTTAATTAAAAAAATTTTTTTCAACTGGCCACTTGGTTGAAAAAGAATTCTTTTTTTTTTTTTTTTTTGAGACGGAGTCTCGCTCTGTCGCCCAGGGTGGAGTGCAGTGGCACAATCTCGGCTCACTGCAAGCTCCACCCCCCGGGTTCATGCCATTCTCCTGCCTCAGCCTCCCGAGTAGCTGGGACTACAGGCACCCGCCACCACGCCTGGCTAATTTTTTGTATTTTTAGTACAGATGAGGTTTCGCCATGTTAGCCAGGATGGTCTCAAACTCCTGACCTCATGATCCGCCCGCCTCGGCCTCCCAAACTGCTGGGATTACAGGTATGAGCCACCGTGCCCAGCCAAAAAAGAATTCTTAATTTGGATTTTTTCAGATTTTTAAAAAGGTCCATGACCACCCCCTAATTAAGAAACAATGATGGTGTATGATCTCAAATTTTTTTTTAAGAGAAAAATATGTGAAGGTAATAAACCAAATTATTCATGATGTTTGCCTCTAGGTGATGGAATTATAGATGACTGGGATTATTTCTCAATTTACAGTAACAATTTCAAATTACTTTCACCAGAAGAAAAAAAACCTTTCACCGGCTGGGCACGGTGGCTCACGCCTGTAATCCCAGCACTTTGGGAGGCCGAGGTGGGTGGATCACGAGGTCAGGAGATCGAGACCATCCTGGCTAATACGGTGAAACCCCGTCTCTACTAAAAATGCAAAAAATTAGCCGGGCGTGGTAGGGGGTGCCTGTAGTCCCAGCTACTTGGGAGGCTGAGGCAGGAGAATGGCGTGAACCCGTGAGGCGGAGCTTGCAGGGGGCCAAGATTGTGCCACTGCACTCCAGCCTGGGCGACAGAACGAGACTCCGTCTCAAAAAACAAAACAAAACAAAAACCTTTCATATTTTTTAAAAAAGGAAAAATGATATTTGAAAAGAGTTTAAAACATGTAAAAATGAATGTTGTTCACAAATAGCATGGTTGCAGACTATAAAACAAGAAAATAAAATATTAAGAAAAGACAGGAAGGAAATACATCCTAATGCTCACAGAATTTATTAACAGGAGTTACAGGACAATTTGTATGTGTCATCCTATTTTTTTGTGTCTTCCAAATTTTTCTATAAGCACTGTATTACTTTTATAACCACATCAAACCAATCAACCTTATCACTTAAGAACATGCAGTTTAAGTATCTAGTTTTATATTAAATATTCAATATTAAGAACTGAATTAACAAAGTATGGTATAATAACAAAATACAACATGCAGCTTTTAAATAGCCATGATGAAAGATATGGAGAAACAGGAAACAGCTTATAAGACAGTTTTGTGGAAAAAGTCAAAGATAAAAATACACACATATTGGCTGGGTGCCAGCACTTTGGGAGGTCAAAGTGGGCGGATCACCTGAGGTCAAGAGTTCGAGACCAGCCTGGCCAACATGGCGAAATCCTGTCTCTACTAAAAAAAATACAAAAATTAGCTGGCCATGGTGGTGCACGCCTATAATCCCAGCTACTCGGGAGGCTGAGACAGGAGAATTGCTTGAACCCAGGAGGCGGAGGTTGCAGTGAGCCAGGATCAAGCCACTTCACTCTAGTCTGGACAACAAAGCAAGAATCCGTCTTAAAAAAACAAAACAAAACAAAACAAAAAAACAAAAACACAAAAACATACACATATTAATTATAACTGGTAAAATATATTCACATGTAGATGATAATCTACAAAAGATGAAAATGTATCAAGAGTGGCATTATGCATTATTTTAAAAGATTCTTTAATATTATAACACTTTTCATGTAAAAGTACCTATGAAAATGTTCTTTGCTAAAGATACCTGTAAATTGTTTCACACTGTCTAAAACAGCTTATAGCCATACCAAGAATCCACTACTGTACTAGAAAATGGCAGGCAAACTTGAGGTTTGTCAGGCTTCCCACAAACACTCCCATAATACTTCATTCAACTCATGGTTGGTTTCACTTTCACTGTGGGTGGATGTGCACATGGGTACAACCTTTCTGGAGGACAATCTGGCAGTATTTGTTAAATGTTCACTCTCTTTGAGCATTTCCACATCTGGGAATCTGTCCTATGAAAACAATGCCACACATGTACAAATCCAAAGGTGGTGAGAACAATCACCTCATCTATCTAGGACAGTGGGAGGCTGGGGGCTGTGAGAGGGACAGTTTCATTCAGAAAAGCTATGGAGAGAGATCTAGAATAACTACTAAATTTAAAAACCTATGCAGTTATGATTTGTTGCCCAGTTTTTCTATTTTCTTTGATGTCTTTATTTTTGGCAATCAACCAGAAATAAGGGTGTGCTACAACTCTGCATGTTCCAATCATATTCATGCCAGTACAGATATGCTAACAAACAGAATCAATTGAAATAAGCAGGTTTTAGATTGTTTTCTGTTTACCTCCTAACTTCATAAACAGAATTTAGAATATGGCAACTATTTAATTTGAAAACAGGGATGTGATGAGTCAATTTGAAGACAGTCATGGAATAAGAGTCATACGTGCATGACTCTGATATTTTTGCTTAAGTAAGAAAGGTCCAGATTTTAGGTTTGGGCTCCTTGGGTTTGTTTCTTAAATAAGTTGTATTTTCATGCATCTATTCATGTTTTACATAGAGCGTTTTGGGTGCTGCTTTCTGACAACTTAAAGTGAGACAAATTTCTCATTATATATTGAGCCTCTTTATGGTTGACCCAAAGTCCAAAAATTCTGATCAGGTCAAGAATATAGGTTAAGCTAAACTTGGAAAATAAGTTAAACTTGGAATACAAGAATATAAGTTAAGTTTTACTCTGGCTGTAAAGGAGCCAAAGTAAAAACACAAATAATTTCAAATCAAAGTGAAATCAACACTAGATTTCGCACTGTCTAGAACAGCTTATAACCGTACCAAGAATCCACTACTACACTAGAAAATGAGAGGCAAACTTTAGGTTTGTCAGGCTTCCCACAAACACTCCCATAATACTTCATTCAACTCATGGTTGGTTTCACTTTCACTGTGGGTGGATGTGCACACTGGACTACATCCAGTGCAACACTGTAGTGGGCAGTTTTCAGATTTAAAAAGATGAGAAAGGCTGGGAGCGGTGGCTCACACCTGTAATCCCAGCACTTTGGGAGGCTGAGGCAGGTGGATCACAAGGTCAGGAGATCGAAACCATCCTGGCTAACACAGTGAAACCCCGTCTCTACTAAAACTACAAAAAATTAGCCAGGCGTGGTGGCAGGCGCCTGTAGTCCCAGCTACTCAGGAGGCTGAGGCAGGAGAATGGCATGAACCCAGGAGGTGGAGCTTGCAGTGAGCCGAGATCCCGCCACTGCACTCCAGCCTGGGTGACAGAGTGAGTCTAAAAGTTATTCATGTTAGATATCCTCAGATTGAAATGCCTTTATGACCTCTGTTAATAATTTGTTTAGGGATCACTGTACATTCTGAACATTTTTTCTCTACCTCAAGCTAATGACAGCTACAGAGATGTGGGAAAAAAGATAAAAGAAGTTGGGTGAGCTGTGTAGCATCACACACAGCTCTCTTGTCCATCAACACCCTTCACTGTGAGGTTTTCTGGAAGAATCTATAGGCAGTGTGTTCACACTCTAGGCACAGGCTATCCTGGGAGGGTGTCACTGAACAAGACCCAGTAAGTTTTCAGGTGTTTTGTTTTGTTTTGTTTTGTTTTGTTTTTTTGAGACAGGGTTTCAAAAGGTGAGACAGTCGTCTATTTGGAGAAGTTTGACACATAAACACTGCCACCTGTTTCTCTTTCATCTATGCCATTACAAATTGAAAATTTTTGTTTTGTTTTGTTTTGAGACAGGGTCTCACTCTGTTGTCCAGGCTTGAGTGCAGTGGCACGATCTTGGCTCACTTCTCACCTCTGCTTCCTGGGTTCAAGCGAGTCTCCTGCCCCAGCCTCCCAAGTAGCTGGGATTACAGGCATGTGCCACCACATCCTGCTAATTTTTTTTTTTTTAAGTAGAGATGAGGTTTCACCATGTTGACCAGGCTGGTCTCGAACTCCTGACCTCAAGTGATCCACCCACCTCGGCCACCCAAAGTGCTAGAATTACAGGCGTGAGCCACCACACCTAGCTACAAGTTGACAGTTTTTAAGCCTAAACTCTCACCATTAACTGGACTAACAGTGCCTGAAAACAATGTTTAGAAAAATCATCCAAATTGGTAACATAAGACATTACTTTACAAAAGTATAATGTTGTTATACTTGATTAGTAAACACTATATTTTTGGTATGCAGAAATTTTCTGGTGAGACTTAGATAATCTTTAAAGGATGAGAATAAAGATGAGATTTAAAAGGAAAAGTAAACAAGAAGTAACACCTTTAGAGTAAAAATTACTTTTTCTTTCTTTCTTTTTTTTTTTTTTTAGACAGAGTCTCACTCTATCGCCCAGGCTGGAGTGCAATGGTGCGATCTTGGCTCACTCCACCGCCAGGTTAAAGCGATTCTCCTGCCTCAGCCTCCCGAGTAGCTGGGATTATGGGCATACGCCGCCATGCCTGGCTAATTTTTGTATTTTTAGTAGAGACAGGGTCTCACCATGTTGACCAGGCTGATCTCAAACTCCTGACCTCAGGTGATCTATCCACCTCAGCCTCCCAAAGTGCTGGGATTACAGGTGTGAGCCACTGCTCCTGGCCAAATTTTTTTTAATGAAACAATATGCTGTTAAATAAATTCTCTAGACCTACAGCAATGGCTATGTAAGATTAAAAGGTATAGGCAAGGGAGGAAAAACTTATATAGCATGCCTGAATTTGAAATTTGGGATGCGAGATTAGGGAAAAAAAATCTAATAATCTCCGATTTAAAGAAACTCTATTAAATAAAAAGTATAAGTAGTCCACCATGAAAACACAGAGCAAGGACAGTGACCATGCGGACAGTGACCATGGGGGTGGATGGGAGGCTGGGGAGCAGGCAGTGACCACCGTTCCTCTGGGGCTCTTCCTAGCCACGTATGAGCCAAGGTAACCAGGGCACCGGCAGAACCGTCTCTGAATGGGATGAGCTCCAGTTCACAGGGCCAAGGCAGATACTCCAACGTGGGCCAGTGAGACTGAGTGGTCTTTCAATTTTTAAGCCTAATTCCCTACAGGTAAGGTAAGGTGCTTATTCAGTTTAGATTAGAGCTCTGCCAACAAGAACTTCTATAAGCGTTCCATAACTCAGGCTAGTGGTTAATGGTACAGAACACAGTGGTTTCAGTGGGTGGCAAAGACCCAGGAGTCAAGAAATAGAAATCATAAGTGTAGTCAGATCTTTCAAGGAGGTTAAAGTAAAACAAAATTAGACAAGGGAGCAAAATTCAAGTTACAGACTTTACAAAGTAGAAAACCAACAAAATGATTTCCAATGTATATATTACATATCCCAAAGATCCAAGAAAGTCAAATAAACTATTTGAAACAATGTGGGAGCTTAACGGGTTGCTGTTATGGATTGAATTGGGTGCCCCCCAAAAGGATAAGCTGAAGTTCTAACTCCTATTATCTCAGAATGTGAACTTATTTGCAAATAGGGTCTTTGAAGATGATCAAATTAAGATGAGGTCATTACTGTGAGTCCTAATCCAATGTGACTTGTGTCTTATAGAATGGGGAAATTAGGACACAGAGACATGTACATAGGGAGACCACCCTAAGAAGATGAAAGCAGGGATTGGAGTGCTGCATCTGCAAGCTAGGGAACGCCAAAGATTGCCAGCAACCACCAGAAGCTAGGAGGAAGGTGGGGTGGATTCTCCCTCAGAAGGAGTGGTCTACACTTATGACTTCACTTTCTCTCCTCCTTCTCTCTCTCTCTTTTTTTTTTTTTTTTTTTTTTTTTGAGATGGAGTTTCGCTCTTGTTGCCCAGGCTAGAGTGCAATGGCGTGACCTCATCTCACTGCAAACTCTGCCTCCTGGGTTCAAGCAATTCTCCTGCCTCGGCCTCCCTCCTTCTCTATCTTGAAGCCACTCCAGTCAGGCTTTCCTTCGGCCACCCCACTACAATTGCTCTTATCAAGGTCTTGGTGTTTTCCACATTGCTAAGCTCAAATGTCAGTTCTCACTCCTGGACTAACTTGATCCAGGATTTGAAATGTGAATCCTTTCTCCTTAACTTTGCTCAGCTTTCAGTAAAACACACACACACCCACACATACACACTAACACACAGATAAACACATACCTATTTCCTTCCTAACTTTCCGGCCACTCTTTCCCACATTCTTTTGCTGGCTTTTCCTCCTCTCCCCAGCTGTAACATTAGGTAATCCACAGGCTCAGTCCTTGGGCCTCCTGTCTATATATACTTACTCTCTAGGGGTCCCATCCAGTCTCGTGGCTTCAATGACCTTCCAGGTGCTAGTAACTCCAGCAATTAACTTCCTGCCTAGATCTCCTCTTTTTTTTTTTTTTTTTTTTTGTTGTTGTTGTTTTTGAGACAGAGTCTCACTCCATCACCCAGGCTGGAGTGCAGTGGTGCAATCCAGGCAACCTCCACCTCCCAAGTTCAAGCGATTCTCCTGCCTCAGCCTCCCGAGTAGCTGGGATTACAGGCGCCTGCCACCACACCCAGCTAATTTTTTGTATTTTTAGTACAGAAAGGGTTTTGCCATGTTGGCCAGGGTGGTCTCGAACTCCTGATCTCAAGTGATCCACCTGAAATTATTTAGGCTCAGGTCCCCAGAAGACTTCAGTCTAATTGAAGGAAAACACATAAGTGTGTGCACGTGCACACACACACAGGCGTTAACTTACACAATGATTTTCAAACTCAGTCTTCAAAGAAATGCATTATATATAAATGTAAACATATATATAAAGCCATAAAACTAGTAAAGATTAGGGTGACTGGACAACATCCATGTTGGTGAGGGTAGTGAAAAATCCACTCACAACTTTACTTAGGTACAACATTACCTTTTTGATGGGCAGTTGGGCATTAACAGCACCTAGAATAAATATACTTTGACCCAGCGATTTCACTTCTAAGAATTTATCCTAAAAAGATAACAGGGAGGAAAGAGAGTCTAAAGATAGCTATAAAAGATGTTCACTATAGTGCTGGTTATAAGAGGAAAAACAAAACAAAACAAAACAAAACAGAAAAAACAGAAATGCTCATTTAAAGGGGGAGTACATCATCATCATTATTATTATTATTATTGAGGCAGGGTCTCACTTTGTCACCTAGGCTGCAGTGGCACGATCTCAGCTCACTGCAGCCTTGACTTCTGGGGTGCAAACAATCCTCTTGCCTCAGCCTCCTGAGTATCTGGGACTATAGGCACTCATCACCATGCCTGGCTAACTTTTTAAATTTTTTGTAGAGACAAGAGTCTCGCTATGTTGCCCAGGCTGATCTTGAATTTCTGGGCTCAAGCGATCCTCCCACCTCGGTCTAGTAAAGTGGTGGGATTATAGGCAAGAGCCACTGTGCTTGGCCTATTAATCATTTTTGACTCACTGGAATAATGGAATACTTTACAGCCATTTTCAGTAACGTTTTCCTGAGGATTAACAAGAACTAGCTTGTAAAGATGTACCCAGTATAATGTTGAAATTTTTTTAAGCAGGTCATAGAACAGCATTTAGGTGTGATTTCATTGATACAAAATTGTGTGTCATGAATATTGAGTGTGTGTATGTGTGTGCAGTGAGAGAGGATGTTTAGTGAAAAGTAATTTATCTCTGGGTGATGGCATTTTAAAAGATTTTTACCTTCACCAAGTCCTGTATTATTTGCATTTTTTTCTTGAATGAGCTTGTTTATCAGGAAAATCAACAAAGCTACTCATTAAAACAACCATTTATGGAGAAAAGGAGAGAGAGATGGCTGTAGAAGGAGAAGAATCTGGGGTAAAGAGAGAGTTTGGGGTAGCTGTTGTTTTACAATAGGAGAGATGAGAATATTGACGAGGAAAAGAACCAGAAGAGAATGTCACACTGAGCACAGGCTGTAGGCCATGCAGTTTGAGTATGCTGAGGGGACCTAGAAATGGATGAGTTGGTTCCTACCCTC
Organism: Homo sapiens; assembly: GCF_000001405.40. Taxonomy (NCBI): domain Eukaryota; kingdom Metazoa; phylum Chordata; class Mammalia; order Primates; family Hominidae; genus Homo; species Homo sapiens. The sequence continues at coordinate 89,469,760 of NC_000006.12, read as the reverse complement.
AGGCAAGAGTAATAAGGGTCCACAAATGTAAAAATAATTCCAGACGAGTGACACGGGAACTACAGAAGGCAGAGGAGCACTGCAAGCTGGAAGGGTCTGGAAAGGAATGCCAGAGGACAGGTGTCGTCTCAGCTTTCCAGGTGGGTCAGATTTCTCTGCACAGATATGGGTGGTAAGAAAAGTACCACCTGCTGAAAAGAAAGCAGACTATACAGATCACCAGGGGTGACAACTGACAAGGTTAGAAAATTAAGCTGGGGCTTATGGTAAAAAGGCTGGAAGTAGGTAAGAACTTTGTACTCAGGAGGAATTTTGGGAGGGGTGTGCAGTGACCCACTCCTAACAGTCCTCTGGACATATTAAAACCCAGCAGCTGCTTGTTGGACTTACAAATTGAAAGGATTTGACATGGAGGCAGGAAAAGCCCAATGAAAAAGCTAATGTGGCAGAGATCTGAGCTAAGGTTGTGAATGAAAACAGTGGCAACAAATAAGAGTGATATGAAAGGCATCACGGTAGGGGTCTATATATAACATGAAACATTTGACAGCTACAACTGCAGTAAACATACTCTAGACAAGATTGAGTTGATTATATGAGGTTATGCTGTTAATATTTTCCATTAAGCATTTTGCTCAACTACCACATTTTTATAAACAGGTGCATCCTCCTCTCTTCCCTCTGCAATTTACTTTTGAGCTGGGTATAGGAAAGTGCAAAGGTAATTAACAGTTCTCAGGAAAACCCAAAAGCCAGGAGACAGCTTTAGTGCCTCATTAGAAAGAACTGAATTTATAAGACAAGTCCCAGGCAACAATCATTATTCTTAAGGTGAAAAATAAACAGACCCATAAATGAGAGGTGAGGAGGTAAGGGGCGGGAGGAAAGGAAGGGAGAAGCTAAGGAAGGGAAAATCAAGAGAAAAAGGTTTGCAATACAATTTTTACAAAATGATATGCCTTAGGAAAGCATCTATATTTGTCAAAATACTACTAAAAATTCTAAATACAGATTACGGGCCAGGGAAATACAAAAGGTTAGCTAGAAAAGGGCTATCCGCAGGTGTCCAACCCTTTGAATGAGGGGAGTTTTTTGCTTATCTGTGGTGACAGATACCATGAAAATTATGCACGGACTTTTTTTTTTTTTTTTTTTTTTTTTTAGCTCATCAACTATCATTAGTGTTAGCATATTTTATGTGTGGCCCAAGACAATTCTTCTTCCCATGTGGCCCAGGGAAGCCAAAAGGTTGAACACCCACGCTTCAGACACTTAAAAATAGAAAAATTAAGACAAAAAATGTAATTCTCAACAAACCTTCAAGTTCAACCATCAAAAACAGCTTAACCATGCCTAAATAAGATCGAAATATTTATAAGCAATACTGGTAGAAACTTGATTTGTGCTCTGCTGATTGATACAAATTTTACACATTCTTCTGTAGTCTATTTTTACCTTCAAATAAAAATTATAGGTAATATGGGATATTTCATTAAATGTCAAGTGAAAAAATCCAGACAGACAAGATAAATAGCCTCATTATCATTTATTAGGTAAAATGTGAATTTTTAGACTCTCTGACCGGAACTTCAGAAACTTCCTTAGGTTAAGAGACTAAACTATTAAAAAGCCATCTGTAAGACTCAAAGCCATACATGCTTGGTGTGGGTCGCCTAATTTCTTTCTGGAAGACTTTCTGCTATCAGCAGTGTCTCCTTGGACCTCTATGGGCAACTTTAGGTGGTAAAATGAGAGGCACACTGCCTCAGGAACTCCTTCAGTATAACAAGAATTTTTATGGCTGTTTTAAATTCCAAAAGTGTTTAAAGTCCTAGTACAGTTTCAAAATATACTCTAAGAGAATTCACTTCAGCTCCAGGTTTCACGAAATATATGCTTCATGTTCAGACCCTACAATGCTGCACAGATGAATGCCTCCCGCAACATAAGAAGCTGCAGGAGTTGTATGTGTAGAAGGCTGAGCAACAATCATCTATCTGCCCACAGAGGGGGAGCTCTTGGGATAACTCTCCAAAGAGAACCAGTGAAACATAAATCTTTTGGAACTGCTGCAGTCTTTCTAAGAATCCCACCTTTCCAGTCATAGAAAGCACTGTGATACTAAGCATTATGAACACTGCTCTAAAACCACAAAATCTGTGGGCCTTCCATCTTGACTTTTGATCTACATGGGGAGCTACTGAAAAGTACAGTGCATAAACCCTGTGGCTGACTGTTAAGAGTTAAAATACTAAGATAGTGTCTAGTAAATAGTTAAGGAATCAACCAAGATAATCATAAGCATCACACAAAATGGGATTCATAACACCCAATCAGGATGAATGAAGAAGTGTATTCCACCAACAAAGCAAACTCCAAAAGTTAAATCAACTTACCAACAAGTACTTGGTGTACTCAGAGAAAAAAATGTCCCAGCATATCTATAAATAATATACCCCATATACTATAATATAAATATCCACTGATTTGTTGTTTTTCTCTAAGAGACCTCATGAATGAAGCTTAATTGACCAACCTTAATTTAACAAAGTTGTTGAAACTAAGTCTTTTTTTTTTTTAATTAGGAGACAGGGTCTCGCTATGTTGCCCAGGCTAGACTTGAACTCCTGAGCCCAAGTACTACTCCTGCCTCAGCTTCCTGAACAGCTAGACTACGGCACATGCCACTGCACCCAGCTTGCTTGAAAAAAATCTTGTGAAGTCAACTGACAGCTTTTCTATATAAAAATCTCTAGCCAGGCACAGTGGCTCACACCTGAAATCCCAGCACTTTGGGAGGCCAATATGGGAGAATAACTTGAGCTCAGGAGTTTAAGACCAGCCTGGAAAACAAGATAAGACCCCATTTCTATAAAAAGATTAAAAATTAGCCGGGTTTGGTGGCACGGGCCTGTTATCCCAGCTTCTTGAGATGCTGAGGTGAGAGGATTGCTTGAGCCTGGGAGGTTGAGGCTGCAGTGAGTCATGATCACACGACAGCACTCTAGCCTAGGTGACAGAGTGAGACCTTGTCTCAAAAAACAAACCAAACAAACACACAAACAACAAAAAAAACCTCTTACAAATTCACAATTTACAGGAAGGTGAAGATTTTGAAAGAAAAATGTGCACAAAAAATTCACAGGCATTTCACATACATACAGAATAAAAATACAAAGGCTAAAAACGTACAAAATATTCAGCCTTCTTTATAATCAAAGAAGAATAAAATGATAAGATAAAATGTTTTTATCTATCAAGTTGAAAGTTTAAAAACCAAGAATAATCAATACTGACAAAAAGGCAAGACAACAAATTCTCATGTATTGCTGGCAAAATTTCTAGGAGGAAATTTGGCAATATGTGTCAAAAGTCTGAAAACTATAAGTAAATATCTTTTGACTCAGTAATTCCATTTCTCTTCAAGGAAAGTAACCTCAAGTGTGAAATTAATGTACAAAAAATGTTTGTTCAAGCATTACATATAAAAATAAAAAACTAGAACCACCTAAAGGTTCAACACTATGGAAACAGCTTAATAAATACATAACTATATCTACTCAGTGTAGCTCTATGTTTTAAATATAATGATTTTGAAAATTGAGTAGAATGGGAAAACCCTCATGATATATTATTAGGGGACAAAGTTATAAAACAGCATGAAGAGTATGATGTCCACTGTGTATACAAAAAAATATACAAGAAATAGTGGTTACCTATGGGTAGAAAGACTGGAGAGGATTATCTTCTTTTCTGCTCATTTCCTATATTATCTGCTTTTCTACAATGAATATGTATTAATTTTGCTGGCAAAGTACTTTATCCATAATAACCTAATGAGGCAAGTACTATTAATATCCTCATTAAAATTTTTTTTTAAATTAATTTATTTATTTTTGAGATAGGGTCTCACTCTGTCACCCAAGCTAGAGCACACTGGTACTATCACATCTCACTGCAGCATTGATCTCCCGGGCTCAAGTGATCCTCCTACCTCAGCCTCCCAAGCAAATGGGACCACAGGTATGTGCTACCACACCTGGCTAATTTTAAAAAATTTTTTGTAGAGATGGGGTCTCACCATGTTGCCCAGGCTGGTCTTGGATTCTTGGCTTCAAGCAATCCTCCCACCTTGACCTCCCAAAGCACTGGGATTATGGGTGTCAGCCACCACACCTAGCCTATTCCCATTTTAAACAGAGGAAACTGGGGCACCAGGGTTAAGTAGCTTGCCCAAGGTCATGCAGTCATGGAGCCCAGATTCATCCAAAGTTGACCTGCCTCCAGAGCCTGATTTCTTAATCCCTTTGCAAATATTCACATTAAAAAAAAAATAATTAGGCCTGGTGCAGTGGCTCATACTTGTAATCCCTGCACTTTGGGAGGCTGAGGTGGGCGGATCACTTGAGGTCAGGAGTTCAAGATCAGCCTGGCCAGCATGGTGAAACCCCATCTCTACTAAAAATACAAAAAATTAGCCAGGCTTGGTGGCAGGCACCTGTAATCCCAGTTACTCAGGAGGCTGAGGCAGGAGAATTACTTGAACCCAGGAGGCAGAGGTTGCTGTGAGCCGAGATTGCTCCACTGCACTCCAGCCTGGGCCACAGAGCACGACTCCATCTCAAAAAAAAAAAAAAAAATTAAAGCAATGTGTCAGAAAATCTATAATTACATGCACTACAAATTCTTAAAGAAAGAGGATCTAAGTGGGCCAGAATTTTCGGAGCAAATAGGGAGGGGGAATTTCAGGGCAAACTGGGAAGCTGATAGTTCCCTCCTTTCAGGTTGTGTCTTTGTTTGTACTCAGATTATCTGAAAAGTCACCTATTCCCTTCTCTACCACCATTCTTCCTCCCTTCAACACAGACACAAACAAATAGCATTATTGAAATCTTATGCCGCATGTGGCAGCACTCCCCTGCCTCTGTCCTGGCCCACCCAATTCCCTGAGAATTCTTTTCCTGCTTCAAAGGCCAAGGTAGGTCCCATCAATAACCCCTCAGAATTCTATGCAGACGTAAAAATGTAACTCACATTCTAGGATAAAATAATGTCTTTTCCATTTTACTTCCAAATAGAAATGCATACAATTTTCCCCTAAGGAAGTTACAAGGTAGTTTAGATGAAAGCAAAGTAAGTTCTTGGAAATGCATTATTAAAATACAGAAGACTCTTGACAAACTCTGGTGGGTCACATGTGAATAGGCAAGAACACAGAATCTTTTCCTGTGTATCATGTGATGTTCCTGCTCTAGCCTCCAAACAAAGGCCTGACAGATATAAGCGCTTGCAGTTAACACTGTGAACCACCTAGGGCACCTTGGGATTTCTGTATGGAGGCAAGGATGATTAAGTTGGAAGGGACTAAAGAAACGTTTTCTGTATCCTAGAGGGAAAAATATTAAGAATCAGTATAAAACAAGCTCTAACCATCTGTTAATTCTTTTTTTTTCCTTTTCTCTTTTTTCTCTGTTATTCTAAAATTGGACATTTGATCAAGTTAAAAAGAAGTGAAGTTCCTGCCAGTGGAGGCAGGAATTTAGACTACTAGATAAAATATCACCACTAGTGTTACAATTAACTTATTACAAAACAAGGACAGTTTTTTAACTTCAAGGACTAATAACGGTACTCCCCAGCTAGAGTTCATAAAGAATTATTTTGTTTTGTTATTCCAGATCTTATTAAAGGCAAGACTCTATTACTGAAGGGCTGTGGCCTTACACCTGATAAATTAGAGATTGATTCATATGTCCAGTACGCAGATATACATTATCATATTTTTGTTTTGCAAGAGTGAATCTAACAAGGAAGGAGACTAGTGAGGATGAGCTCCTTCAATGAGAAAGATTTATTGAAGCAGACCCCAAAATGAGGGTCAATTGCTTTTTTTTATAAAATAAGATTTTTGACTGGGCGTGGTGGCTTATGCTTGTATTCCCAGCACTTTGGGAGGCCAAGGCGGGCAGATCACCTGAGGTCAGGAGTTCAAGAACAGCCTGCCAGACATGGTGAAGCCCCATCTCTACTAAAAATACAAAGAAATTAGCTGGGCATGGTGGCGGGCACCTGTAATCCCAGCTACTCGGGAGGCTGAGGCAGGAGAATTGCTTGAACCCAGGAGGCGGAGGTTGCAGTGGGCCAAGATCGCACCATAGCACTCCAGCCTGGGTGACAGACAGTTTTCATATATCCTTTGAAAAAGTTATAAGGTCTCCAACTTGATGAAATACTGTGTTAAAATATAATTATTTGAAAAGTATTGTATGAACCTTAAAAAATGTTCATATCTTGCACCCAGTACTTTAATTTTTGGTAATTCATCTTTAGGAATTAATTGGATAGAGTACAAAACATTCATGTACAATACTTTCTGTGTTTTTTAAATGACATTCCAGAGGCTTCCTTAATGTCTAATAATAGGAAACCAGTAAAATTATGGTATATCCATACGATAAAATATTTTGCAGTTATTAAAAATTGTTTTAAAAAAATTAATAACAAAATGCTCAGAAAAAATACTAAATGAAAAAATAAGTGATAAAACTGCTCTTATATATTTTACTTCAAAAAGCATATATATTAGAAATTATAGCCAGGTATGATGGCTCATGGCTGTAATCCCAACACTCTGGGAGGCCAAGGTGGGAGGATCACTTGAGGCCAGGACTTTGAAACAAGTCAGGGCAACATAGTAGGATTTTTTGTTTTCACAAAAAAGAATTTTTTAAAAAATTAGCTGGGCATGGTGGCACATGACTATAGTCCTACTTGGGAAGCTGAGGCAGGAGGATCACTTGAGCCCAGGAGTTTGAGCGAGCTCTGATAGCACCACTGCATTTCAGGCTGGGTAACAGACTAATACCTTGTCTCTTAGAAAAAAAAAAAAAAAAAACTAAAAACTCATCTTGGTGGTCAATACATAGGGGTACTCGTGTACTTTTCTACAATGTAAAAACATCTCTAAAAATAAATAAGACAGCTCCAGTAACTTAAGAGATTTGTTAAAACAGAAAGTCTGTTATGGGAATTGCCCAAAGATAATCTTTTTATTGTCTTACGCAATAGACTTTGTTCTGTCTCTAAAACAAAATGCAATATATTAAATATGAAAGACAGAACAGAGGCATATGAAACCCACTCAGATCAGGACTTAAAATGGTACTGGTATTTCAGAAGCAATCTAGTTAGTGTAATCAGTCACTGTGATTCCTATATATGTCCTATATGTGTTAGGACTGTATTCTTCAGTATTTACTAGTTGGAGGTGCTTCACTCCAGTCCCCTCTCCTGCAGCTCAGAGATGTCTTTGTTTCTAAGGCACGCAGATAGAAGCCATCAGACAGCTTGTATTACATGTCTGGAAAAAACTGTTTATTATTCACCCATCTCTGCTACAAATAAATTTCAATAACCTTGACTCTGTAAAAACAGTTTAACCCCAAAAGAAGATAAACACTGTAAACTTCCTTCATTTTTATTTATGTATTTATTATTATTATTATTATTATTATTATTATTATTATTTTGAGATGGAGTCTCACTCTGTTGCCCAGGCTGGAGTGCAGTGGCGTGATCTCGGCCCACTGCAACCTCCACCTCCCGGGTTCAAGCGATTCTCCTGCCTCAGCCCCCTGAGTAGCTGGAATTACAGGCATGCACCACTATGTCTGGCTAATTTTTGTATTTTTAGTAGAGACAGGGTTTCACCATATTGGCCAGGTTGGTCTCGAACCCCTGAACTCAGGTGATCCGCCCACCTTGGCCTCCCAAAGTGCTAGGATTACAAGCGTGAGCCACTGTGCCCGGCCCATTTCACTTTTAAAACTAGCACTGGTTATCTCTAATGAGCTTGTGGAGTACAGTAGAACATAAATATAATAGTTATATTTTTATGATATGAATTGTACAAAACTCAGTGTGACAACTACTCAATTTATTAGACAAGCTTCCAGGGATGTAAAGATTCAATAACATCATTTCTCATACTCTATTCACAAAAGTCTGGGTTGAATGTTGATTCATTTCTGCAGCCGTATGAAGTTCAAACAAACTACAATACATTAGAGAGCTTATCTAATACACTAGAGAGCTTATACTACCATATTTTAATAATATTCCTAATTTTCTTTTATGAATGATACCAAAGCCTCTTTATTTAGCAAATGATACTGAGTTGTTATGAGTGAATGTGAACTGCTAAAAAAAACTGAATTCTAAATTATTAGCATCAGCTCTGCAACGGACATATGTTGGCTTAACATAAAGCCATGAATCTCTTACTTCTCACTGTTGTATCACTTGGGTAACTACATAACTTCCTACAAACAGCGCATAATACTGCAGCACATAAGAAATCTCATCTCTCACTAATTCTATTCTCTCCCATCAACTAATGTACTCTTATATCATATGTGCCTTTATGTGAAAGGCATATATGATACCTGAAACTGCTTATCCCAATTTCAAAAAGTTCAGTTTCTTCCAAGGTATATGTAAATCTCAAGGAACTATTAACAAAACTCTCCTTTGAATTCCAAAACACCAAGCCAGGTGCGGTGGCTCACTCCTGTAATCCCAACACTTCAGGAGGCAGAGACTGACGGTTCACTTGAGGTCAGGAGTTAGAGACTAGCATGGCCAATATGGCAAAACCCTGTCTCTACCAAAAAAACAATAAATAAATACAAACATTAGCCGGGCATGATGGCACATGCCTGTAATCCCAGTTACTCAGGAGGCTGAGGCAGGAGAATCGCTTGAACCCGGGAGGCAGAAGTTGCAGTGAGCTGTGAACAGCTTACTGCACTCCAGCCTCGATGACAGAGGGAGACTCGGTCTCAAAAAAAAAGAATTCCAAAACACCGATGTAGTATTAGTACATTCCAGTAAGTGTAGATATGGTGACTCTGAGATAATTATTTCATTTCTTTCTCTCCCTCTCCACTCTCTCATTCTGAAATGATCCTAAGTAGCAAATTTAATAAAAAAAACTTGAGAGAAAAATAACCTCATTAAAAAAAAGAAAATTGGCTGGGTGCTCACGCCTGTAATCCCAGCACTTTGGGAGGCCAAGACAGCCGGATTGCCTGGGGTCAGGAGTTCGAGACCAGCCTGGCCAACATGGTGAAACCCCGTCTCTACTAAAAATACAAAAATTAGCCAGGTGTGGTGGCAGGCGTCTGTAATCCCAGCTACTCAGAGGCTGAGGCAGGAGAATCACTTGAACCTGGGAGGCAGAGGTTGCAGTGAGCTGAGATTGCGCCATTGCACTCCAGCCTGGGCGACAAGCGAGACTTTGTCTCAAAAAAAACAAAAAACAAAAAAAACTTGCTAATCTATAAGGTATTTTTGAAACTTACTTTCAAAATTTTGAAATTTTAATAGTTACTTATCTAAGTTGCTTTGGCATATAAATATTGTCTATATTCTCTCTCTTAAAAAGAAAAAAAGTCAGGATCTAGGAGAATTGGAAAATTATATTTTAAAACTTTAAGTAAAAAAAGAAAAAATTTGTTAATTGATATTATAATAACTACATTATTATCCAAATTCATCAATGCCAGGTAAGTTTCCTGTCTCTGTGATCATGATCTTTCAGGTCTCATTTTTCTCATATCTAGTGTGCTATAGGAAAAGGCTGTCTGGATACTCAGTTTGGAAACATGAGGAAGAGCCCCAATAGGGCAATTTCTAAAAGACTGCCACAAAGGGAAAGTGAATGATTTGAATAAAAAGTAATACTTTATTTCTTAGAATGTATGCTCTCCAGGATATATTCCAAGGATAATATTTAATCAATTTTATACAGTAGCAGCATGGTTCTAGAAACATTAGAAATACTACTGTCAGCTTTCTTTGTCCATAATAATTAAGCAGAGTAAATGTTTATGGAAAGAAGATAGAGCCTGATACGTCTCCTTATAACTGTCATAATGTTTAAATAAAAACCACCCTAAGCTGGGCACAGCAGCTTGTACCTGTATTTCCAGCTCCTCAGGAGGCTGAGGCAGGAGGATTGCTTCAGGTCAGGAGTCCAAGACCAACTTGTGCAACACAGCAAGACTCTATCTCTAAAAATATTTTTTAAAATTAGCTGAGCATGGTGGCACACACCTGTATAGTTCTAGCTACTCAGGAATCTGAAGCAGGAGGATCACTTGAGCCCAGGAGTTAAAGGCTGCAGTGAGCTTAAAACAACCCTAACCCTTACAAGGCTGGTGAAATCCTTAGATGGCATTGGAAATAGAGGCTAGAGGACTGAACCAAGAATGGACATTCAAGAGTTCAGTCCTCTGGCACAGAAGCTTTAAATTAACCTGAGGCTCCTCTAAGTTATGCTGGTTTTATGGACACTGAGGGGATGAATTTAAAGATATGTTCAGCCAGGCATGGTGGCTCATGCCTGTAATCCCAACACTTTGGGAGGCCGAGGCGGGCAGATCACCTGAGGTCGGGAGTTCGAGACCAGCCTGACCAACATGGAGAAACTCCGTCTCTACTAAAAATACAAAATTAGCTGAGTGTGGTGGCACATGCCTGTAATCCCAGCTACTCGGGAGGCTGAGGCAGGAGAATCGTTTGAACCCAGGAGACGGAGGTTGCAGTGAGCCGAGATCACATCATTGCACTCCAGCCTGGGCAACAAGAGTGAAACTCCGTCTCAATTTTAAAAAAAAAGACATATTCATTTTAAGAAGACAAAAAAAAGGTGAACTCTGAACCAACAGGACACGAAGCGCCTATACCACAGGTGTGCACACCCCTCCACACTGCCCAAGGTTGTCTGTCACCCCTTTTGCATGTCAAATGTGGGGGTGGCAGGGCATGGCAGGAGTAGCTGCCCATGGTGCTGAACCCCAAGACAGCATAGGCCAAGAACTAGCCAAGACCACGACACAGCTCCTCAGTGGAATTTCACACTGTGATGGTTAATATTGAGTGTCAACCTTATTGGATCGAAGGATGCAAAGTATTGTTCCTGGGTGTGTCTGTGAGTGTGTTGCCAGAGGAGATTAACATGTGAGTCAGTGACTGGAAGAGGCAGATCCACCCTCAATCTGGGTGGGCACCATCTAATTAGCTGCCAGCTCAGCTAGAATAAAGCTGGCAGGAGAAGATGGAAGGGCAGACTTGCTGAGTCTTCCAGCCTTCATCTTTCTCCCGTGCTGGATGCTTCCTGCCCTCAAACATCAGACTCCAGGTTCTTCAGCTTTTGGACTCTTGGACTTACACCAGTGATTTGCCAGGGGCTCTTGGGCATTTGGCCACAGACTGAAGGCTGCACTGTCAACTTCCCTACTTTTGAGGTTTTGGGATTTGGACTGATCCACCACTGGCTTCCTTGCTCCTCAACTTGCAGACAGGCTACTGTGGGACTTTAACCTTGTGAATCAATTATCCTTAATAAACTCCCTTTCATACCTACATATATCCTGTTAGTTCTGTCCCTCTAAAGAAACCTAATGCACACATATATTCTACTTTTCCACAGTTATAGCCCAAAATCATTACCAATTTTCCTCATAATTTCCACTTATTATTTTCACCATTAAAAATGATTCGTGTCTTAGTAGTTCTGGCTGCTATAACAGAATACCATAGACTCAGTGGCTTAAACAACAAACATTTATCTCTCACAGTTCTGGAGGCTAGAAAGTCTAAAATGAAGAAACCAGAAGATTTGGAATCTGGTGAGGGCCCATTTCCTGGTTCATAGAACACCATCTGCTCATTGTATCCTCACATGGTGGCAAGAGGCCTAGAAAGCTCTCTGAGGTCTCTTTTATAAGGACGTAATCCCATTCGTGAAGGCTCCAAACTCACAACTTTATTACATCCCAAAGGCCCCACCTCCTAGTACCATCACATTGAGGGTTAGGGTTTCAATATATGAATTCGCGGGGGAGACACAAACATTCAGTCTATAACAATGAGAAATTCTCTTTTCATTTACAGCAGACCAAAAAACTGAGAAAAAATATAACTCAATCAACTTATTAGGGTTCACTCAGCAAGCTGCAAAGTTATTACTTTAGCCTGAGAGTCACAATATTTCCCAGTAACATAAGCCAAAATCTACTGCCATATTTTAGAGTTCATGATCCGCCATTTGGTTTAAGACCAGTATCTTAAATAAATGATAAAGTTGAAGATAAATCTATTAATAGATAAATATATGTATTTGGATTAGTATAATGGTTTTTGTTAGTCAGATAGAGAGATTAAGCATAAAAATTTATCCTGAAAACTCTTAAAAATATTACCTCATTAAGTGAGAAGTAGAAAGATAGCATTTAGTAATGTTTAATTTTGATGACATGCACGTAAGGTAAGTGAGCATTTGAAGATGGAGACTTGCAAACAGGTTTCCCAAAAATAAGACACTTTTTACCACTCCAATTTATGGTAGTCTGTCTCCAAGACAGTTTCCAATAATCCTGAGGTCCTATAATTAACACCCTTGTGAAGGCTTCCTCCACAGTGGATCAAGGCTGGGTATGTGTGACCAATAGAACATGGTGAAAGTGGCAATACATGACTTCTGAGGCTACATGAAAAGCACTGCAGCTTGTCTTAGCATCTTGAATCACTTGCTCTGGTGGAAGCCAGCTGCCATGCCTTGAGGAAATTCAAGCAGCCAGTGGAAAGGAGATACAGCCTCCAGCAGCCACCACCAACATCCCAACCATGTGAATGCACCATCTTAGAAGGGAACCATCCCACCCCAGTCAACCTTTCAGATGACTGCAGCCCCACCTGGCATGTGACTGCAATTGCCTTTATGGACTAAGGTCTGAACCTCTCAGCCAGGTCACTTTCTAATTAATTCCTGACTGACTGATTTATTGTATTGAGATACAATAAATCATTGTTGCTGTTTTAAGCTACCAAGTTTTAGGGTAATTTGTTAGAAAGCCTTAGTAACTGGAGCATAATTTTACCCTACTTAATCCAGGCTAATCTTCAATGCTGTCCTTCATGGATGATCCTAACACTTTAATATAAAATTTCTGTGGCCATAATTTATGTTTTATGAGACTAGTGGTAAACAGCCTAGCTATTTTGATAGACAAGTAATAAAGAAAAGAAAGGTATGGACAGTGTTATGGGCAGAACAAGTTCATATATTAAAGCTCTCCCAATACCTCAGAATGTGACTATTTGGAGACAGAGCCCTGAAAGAGGTAATTAAGTTAAAATGAGGCCATTAGGGTAGGCCCTAACCCAGTCTGACTGGAGACACCAAGGATGCACACGCACAGAGGCAAGACCAAGTGAGAACACAGAGAGAAGGTGGCCATCTGAAGCCAAAGAGGCCTTGGGAGAAATCAATTCCACCAGCACCTTGGGTTTGGACTTCCAGTCTCCAAAACCGTGAGAAAATAAACTGCTATTGTTTATGTCACCCAGTCTATAGTACTTTGTTATGGCAGCCCTGGCAAACTAAGATAGAGAGTGACAGAGTTCGATATTTGTCACCTCCCAAATCTCATGCTGAAATGTAATCCACAATGTTAAAAGTGGGGCCTGCTGGGAGGTGACTGGGTCATAGGGGTGGGGCAGATCCCTCATCAATGGTGTATTAGTCCATTCTTGCACTGCTATAAAGAAATACTTAACTTTGGGAGGCCAAAGCGGGTGGATCACTTGAGGTCAGGAGTTCCAGACCAGCCTGGCCAACATGACAAAATCCTGTCTCTACTAAAAATACAAAAAATTAGTCAGGCATGATGGCATGTGCCTGTAATCCCAGTTACTCAGGAGGCTGAAGCAGGAGAATCGCTTGAACCTGGGAGGTGGAGGTTGCAGTGAGCCAAGATTGCACCACTGCAGAGCCTGGGCAACAGAGCAAGATTCCATCTCAGAAAAAAAAAAGAGAGAGAGAGAAAAGAAATACCTGAGACTGCATAATTTATAAAGAAAAGAGGTTTAATTGGTTCACGGTTCTGCAGGCTGTACAGGAAGCATGGCAATATCAGCTTCTGGGGAGGCCTCAGGAAACTTACAATTATAGCAGAAGGTGAAGGGGAAGCAGGCACATCTTACATGGCCAGAGCAGGAGGAAGAGAGAGGGGGCAGGTGTTACATGCTTTTAAAACAACAAGATCTTGTGATAACTCATTCACTATCATGAAAACAGCACCAAGAGGACGGTGCTAAACCATTCATGAGAACTCTGCCCCCATGATCCAATCACCTCCCACCCAGCCCCACCTCCAACATTGGGGATTACAATTCCACATGAGATATGGTGGGGACACAGACTGAAACCACATCAAATGGCTTAGTGTTGTCCTCATAATAGTGAGTGAGTTCTCACAAGATCTGGTTCTTTAAAAGTATATGGCACCTCCTCCACTCTGGCTCCCATTCTCACCATGTGAAGTGCCTGCTCCCCCTTCACCTTCCACCATGAGTAAAAGCTCCTTGAGGCCTCCCTGGAAGCCAAGCAGATGCCAGCACCATGCTTCCTGTACAGCCTGCTGAACTGTGAGCCAATTAAACCTCTTTTCTTTATAAAATACCCAGTCTCATCTATTTCTGTATAGCAATGCAAGAATGGCCTAATACAGACGGAAAACACATAGATTAAAAAAAAAAAAAAACACACACACACTGGGTGTGGTGGCTCACACCTGTAATCCCAGCACTTTGGGAGACCAAGGTGGGCAGATCACTTGAGATCGAGAGTTCGAGACCAGCCTGGCCAACATGACAAAACCCTGTCTCTACTAAAAATACAAAAAAAATTAGATGAGCATCATGGCACACACCTGTAATTCCAGCTACTCGGGAGGCTGAGGCAAGAGAATCGCTTGAACCCAGGAAGCAGAGGTTCCAGTGAGCTGAGATCGCACCACTGCTCATCAGCCTGGGTGACAGAGTAAGACTCCCTCTCAAACAAACAAACCTCAGAAGACAACAAAAACATCTAAAGGGACAACACCAAACTACGTTATCTAAAAATGTACATTTGGTTCGTAGAACTATAAAAAAAATACAGGGAAATGATTGCTATAAAAGAATCATGCAGGTAGTCTTCACTTTACATGATTCCAATATGTACAATTTCAATTCCAGTTTAGTTAAACTACAGCAGTGCCCCAATGACGTACCTCAAATTTTACTTACCACACTGAATTAACTTTGAGAAACAACATGAAGTACAGACTTCACAAATAGCTCTTCTGGCCACAGCTCACTATGTAATTAACAGATGTGCATCACGATCAGTGACCAATTACATCACTCCTTTCCAAGTCTCTGATTGGTCACTCCTCATCTGTTATTCAGTTCTTGCACAGAGAGCAAACCAAGTATCTGTGTTGCTTCCTGATCTCCCAGGGATAAACCCACATAACTTTTACAAAATGAATAAATTGAAGGAAGAAACTGGCCAACAAAGATGAAAGTGTAGCAAAGAAATGAAAAGTGATTAACACTGGAAGTAAAATATGAAAAGAATGTAAACAGAGTTACATATAGAAGAAATAGCTGACCATGGGAATGTCAGCATCACCACCATGCGAAGACTCTAGATGTGCACCCATAAGACCTTCATAAAGAAAAATTACTGACTTACATGAGAAAAGTGGTTGAGATGAAAAAAAATGAAGAAATGACACCAGCAAAAACTTCGCATTAAAGGAACTCTTGCCAGGCATGGTGGCTCATGCCTGTAATCCCAGCACTTTGGGAGGGTGAGGCGGGTGGATCACCTGAGGTCAGGAGTTCAAGACCATCCTGGCCAAAATGGTGAAACTCCGTCTCTACTAAAAATACGAAAAGTTAGCCGGGCGTGGTGGCAGGTGCCTGTAGTCCCAGCTACTCCGGAGGCTAAGGCAGGAGAATGGCGTGAACCCATGAGGCTGAGCTTGCAGTGAGCCGAGATCATGCCACTGCACTCAAGCCTGGGCGACAGAGCGAGACTCCATCTCAAAAAATTAAAAAATAAAATAAAATAAAATAAAATAAAAATATTAAATAAATAAATAAATAAATAAAAAATACAAAAATTAGCTGGGTGGCGTGCACCTGTAGTCTCAGCTACTCGGCAGGCCGAGGCAGGAGAATAGCTTGAACCTGGGAGGCAAAGGTTGCAGTGAGCCAAGACTGCGCTACAGCACTCCTAACTAGGCGACAGAGTGAGACTCCATCTCAAAAAAAAAGGAATTGTTGGAGGCACTTCCCAACATTGAAAGCACAAAGTATAAAATCTTGGAAGCTGATCCAAACTTCAAAAGGAGTATAAAAATTCATCAAGGCAAAGAAAAGATGCTTGTTGTATATCATAAGTTATATGATGAGAAAAAAGAAGGCAAGCACTATTCAAACTACTCTTGATAAGTTTTTACAAAGAAATAAAACCTTTTATTCTAATGTTGCTAATGTTTTAAATTACAGGGTATAACACTTTACTATGTTTTCATTTCCCTATACAATTATAACAGAGAGTAAAAGGGCTTTTAATGTTTTGACAAAAATTTTAAAAGGTTCCAGAACAGTCAGTCACAATTTTTCCCACTGATTATTAGGATAGCTTATCAGTGTTTCAGCATGAGCTATCATTTTTACAGTACCATAATGTTGTGTAAAGCAAGAACCGCCTGTAGTTACTTTTGGAAGAAGGGAATGACAATTGGGATGGAAAACAAGGAGGAGCTTCTGGGGTGACTGGCAAAGTTCTATTTCTGACCAGAGTGATGGTTTTATGAGGGTGTTTGCCTTATGAAAATTTGTGAGGCTAAAATAATGTTACTGGCTCAAATCCATGGGAGCCGCAGACTAGTTCATGAGGACCAGTCTGAACCATCAGTCCAGCGGTCACCTTTCTAAGAAAAAAGAAAAGAAAAGCCACAGAAAGTTACTTGGCAGAGGGCACAAAGGCTGCTGTCTGACATGAAATCAGAACCCAGGCCTTCCTGGCCGCCAGGTTTACACTCCTCTCTTTAAAACCTGCCAGTCTTTCATGAAACAGACTTCTCGTAAAGGGCATCTTTATTGTCCATTTCCAAGTGAGGTAATTCAGCCAGGTTTGGGTGCGGGGTCTGGGGATTTAGCACATTACTTACTGCTAATCAGAAAGAAAAAAAAAATTGTCAGGCCAAAAGAGAGTCACTGGCTTCAAAAAAATTTATTTATTTAAATTATTTCTCAAGTGGAGGGTTCAGGCTTTGCAGACAATAGTAAAACAGTTTGCCTCCCTGATCCTAGTGCAACAATACATTCAGCCTTAATGAATGTCATTTACTCTGTGGGGCTCAGGCAGCTCTGCTGTAGATTTATGACATCTGAGTAGGTTACAATCAATACTTTGGTTTCCCTTCTAGATTTAGTATTATAACATTTCCCCCCTCACTTAAATATCGAATAGCTTCTGATGTTGTTTTTTCATACAAAATCCATCAGGAGTTACATAGCTTCTACTTGCTTAAATTTGGGGAAAATGTTTTCTCTTGTACCCATCTTTCATTAACACTGTAAGAAGAACAACTTTACGTAACTGGGATATTAACTCCATCCGATTTACTTAGCTAGTAAATTCATAGCATATACTAAAAGTCTTCTGTTTTGTTTTCAGACAGGGCCTCACTCTGTGGACCAGGTTGGAGTGCAGTGATGCAATCATAGCTCACTGCAGACTCAACTCCTGGGCTCAGGTAATCCTCCTGCCTCAGCTTCCCAAGTAGCTGGGAATACCACACCTGGCTAATTTTGTTAGTGGTGCTGAGATGGGGTCTTGCTGTTTCCCAGGCTGGTTTTGAACTCCTGGCCTCATGTATTCCTCCTGCCTTGGCTTCCCAAAGTGCTGGGATTAGAGGTGTGAGCCACTATGCCCAGCCTAAAAGTCTCTTAAGATGTATTATCTTACTCTTAAAGTAAATGTCCCTGACATTAAAGGAATTTCAAAGGGTAGCAGAGGGGGTTATAATAAGAAACCACAGAAGTCCTGGAGCAAAATCAGATACAATATTTTATGTTCTATTTTTAGATGCACAAAAACATGGTCACTTTTAACACAACCAGTCAATTACAAGTACAGTGTTAGGGTTTTTGATTCTTTAAGTACCAAGGGAAGAATATAAATTAGTTAGTTTAGGACGTACAATGACAGAAATGCACTGAGCATAAAGGCAAAACTGGGTTTTGGTATATCAAAATAACAATCAGTTTTTAAAGCTGTAAGCTCTGTTTTCTTCAAAATGGGCTTTTCTCCAGGATTTAGTAATAAAATGGAAGGAAATTATGGTATCTAGAGAGAAATTAGACCTGTCACACATTTTGGAGGGGAGAAAGAAATGATACAGAGCTACCATTTTAATAATAGAAGATGGCTGTTTATTTTGCAAACTTTAGAGAATGCAGTCCACAAAGGTATTTCTACCTTCCTGACAAGGATGAGCTCCTGAAAAGAGGATGTACTTTGAATTTTATTTCATTTTATTTTTGAGATAGGGTCTCACTCTGTCACCCAGGCTGCAGTGCAGTGGCGTGATCTCAGCTCACTGCAACCTCCACCTCCCAGGCTCAAGCAGTCCTCCCATTTCAGCCTTCCGAGCAGCTGAGACCACAGGCACACGCCACCATGCCCTACTAACTTTTTGTATTTTTTGTAGAGATGGGGTTTCACCATGTTGCCCAGGTTGCTCTTGAATTCCTGGGCTCAAGCAATCCACCTACCTTGGCCTCCCAAAGTGCTAGGATTACAGGCGTTAGCCATGGCACCCGGCTGAATTTTAGTAATTTGAATTATAGAGGCATACCTTGGAGATACTGTGGTTTGGTTACAGACCCCCATAATAAAGCAAGTACCACAATAAAATGAGTCACACAATTTTTTTGGTTTCCTAGTACATATAAAAATTATGTTTACACTATATCGTAGTCTATTTACTACACCATAGTATTATGTCTAAAAGAAACAATGTACATACCTTATTTAAAAATACTTTATTGGCCAGGTGCAGTGGCTCACGCCTGTAACCCCCAGCACTCTGGGAGGCCAAAGCAGGAGCCCAGGAGATCGAGACTAGCCTAGTCAAGTTGGTGAGACCCCCATCTCTACAAAAAAAAAAAAAGTCTGCAGTGGTGCAGACTTGTAGTCCTAGGTACTTGGGAGGCTGAAGCAGGAGGATTGTTTTAGCCCAGGAATTCAAGGTGGCACTGAGCTATGATCACACTGCTGCCTCCAGCCTGGGCAACAAAGTGAGACTCCCTCTGAAAAATATATAAATAAAGATAAAAATACTTTGTTGCTAAAAATGCTGATGATCATCTGAACCTTCAGTAGGTCATAATGTTTTTGCTAGTGGAGGGCCTTGTCTCAAGCCCGGTGGCTGATGACTGATCAGGGTGATCGTTGTTGAATGTTGGGGTGGCTGTTGCAATTTCATAAAGACAACAATGAAGTTTCTGAATCAACTGATTCTTCCTCTTTTTTTTTTTTGAGATGGAGTCTCACTCTGTCGCGAGGCTCACCACAACCTGCACCTCCTGGGTTCAAGTGATTCTCCTGCCTCAGCCTCCCGAGTAGCTGGGATTATAGGCGCCTGCCACCACACCCGGCTAATTTTTGTATTTTTAGTAGAGACGAGGTTTCACTACGCTGGCCAGGCTGGTCTGGATCTCCTGACCTCAGGTGATCCACCCACCTCAGCCTCCCAAAGTGCTGAGATTACAGGCATGAGCCACCGTGCCCAGCCTGATTCTTTCTTTAATGAGATTTCTCTGTCGCATGTAACAGCTGTTTGACAGCATTTTATCCACAGAACTCCTTTCAAAATCAGAGTCAATCCTCTCCAGCCCAGTGGTTGCTTTATCAACTAATTTTATGTAATATTCTAAATTCTCTGTCATCATTTCAACAATATTCACAGCATCTTCACCCGAGATAGATTCTTTCAACCAAAAAATATCTCCAAATATGTTAAATTTTTTCGGGAGTTAGAAAAGAGAATTATAAACTGAGATGCACAATGGCAAGCCACATATGCAACTGAAGAGGGGAGGGTAAAGGGAAGCTTTTATTGGCAGAATGAGAGGTTCACATAAGGTGCTTGAAAACAGAGCTCATTGGTTTCAGGGACTCAGAGATGGCATAGGTTCATTGGTGAAAATGCCGTTACTGGGCAGGTATGCTTTTGAGAGCATCTTGTCTGAATTGCTGCAATTCTAAAGAAATAATTATTTGCAGGGTTATTTTGGAAAGTCTTTGAGACAGTCTTTATCTCAGCCATGCAAACATGAGCCTTCCCCTTCATGCTCTCCTGGCTCTAGTTTGTTTGGGTCTGACAAAAAGTGATTTCATCTGGTATCTGCAACTTTCACAAGTCTACCTCAAGAAACCACTTTCTTTGCTCATCCATAAAAAGCAACTCCTCAGCCTTTCAAGTTTTATCATGAGATTGCAGCAATTCAGTTGCATCTTCAGGCTGCACTTCTAACTGTAGTTCTCTTACTATTTCCACCACATCTGCATTTCCTTCCTCCACCAAGTCTTGAATCCCTCAAAGTGACCCGAGGGTTGGAATCAGCCTCTTCAGAACCCTGTTAATGTTGACATTTTGACCTCCTCTCATGAATCATGAATGTTCTTAATGGCATCTACAAAGGTGAATCCTTTCCAAAAGATTTTCTGTTTACTTTGCCCAGATCCATCAGAGGAATCACTTTCTTTGGCAACTATAGCCTTACAAAATGTATTTCTTTTTTTTTTTTTTTTTTTTTTGAGACGGAGTCTCGCTGTGTCTCCCAGGTTGGAGTGCAGTGGCGCGATCTCGGCTCACTGCAAGCTCCGCCTCCCAGGTTCATGCCATTCTCCTGCCTCAGCCTCCCAAGTAGCTGGGACTACAGGCGCCCGCCAACACGCCCGGCTAATTTTTTGTATTTTTAGTAGAAACGGGGTTTCACCGTGTTAGCCAAGATGGTCTCGATCTCCTGACCTCGTGATCCGCCCATCTCGGCCTCCCAAAGTGCTAGGATTACAGGCGTGAGCCACCGCACCCGGCCATATTTCTTAAATAAGACTTGAAAATAGAAATTAACTCTTTGATCCATGGGCTGAAGAATGGATGTTGTGTTTAGTAGGCATGAAAATATTAATCTCCTTGTACAATGCCATCAGAGCTCTTGGGTGACTAGGTACATTGTCAATGAGCAGTAATTTTGAAAGAAATCTTGTTTTCTAAGCAGTAGGTCTTAACAGTGGGCTTAACATATTCAGTAAACCACCTGTAAATAGATGTACTGTCATCTGGGCTTTGCTGTTCCATTTATACGGCACAGACAGAGTAGATGTAGTATAATTCTTTTTTTTTTTTTCTTTTTTGACAAGGTCTTGCTGTCACCCAGGCTGTAGTGCAGTGGCACAATCATGGCTCACTGCAGCCTCAACCTTCCAGTCTCAGGTGATCTTCCTACCTCAGCCTCCTGAGTAGCTGGAACTACAGGCACATGCCACAACACCTGGCTAATTTTTTATTTTTTGTAGAGATGGGGTTTCACCATGTTGCCCAGGCTGGTCTCAAACTCCTGGGTTCAAGCAATCTTCCTGACTTGGTCTCCTAAAATGCTGGGATTACAGGTGTGAGCCACCTCACCTGGCCAACGTATCATAATTCTTAAAATGTCCTAGGATTTTCCAAATGGTAAATGAGAACTGGCTTCAACTAAAGTCATCAGTTGCATTAGCTCCTAACCAGAGTCGGCCTATTCTTTGGATTTAAAGCCAAGCATTGTCTTGTCTTTTCTAGCTATGAAAGTCCTAAATGGAGCTGGGTGCAGTGGCTCACGCCTGTAATCCCAGCACTCTGGGAGGCCGAGGCAGGCGGATCACTTGAGGTTGGGAGTTCAAGACCAGCCTGACCAACATGGAGAAACCCCATCTCTACTGAAAAAAAAAAATTAGCTGGGCGTGGTGGCACATGCCTGTAATCCCAGCTGCTTGGGAGGCTGAGGCAGGAAAATCGCTTGAACCAGGAGGCAGAGGTTGCAGTGACCCGACATCACACCATTGCTCTCCAGCCTGGGCAACAAGAGTAAAACTCCACCTCAAAAGAAAAAGAAAGAAAAACAAAGTCCTAAATGGACTCTCCTTCCAGTAGAAGGCTGTTTCATCCACATTGAAAATCTATTCGTCAGTGTAGCCATCTTCATCAATCAACAATCTTAGCTAGAGCTTATGGATAACTTGCTGTAGCTTCAACATCAGCACTGGCTGCTTTACCTTGCACTTTTATGTTACAGAGATGGTTTCTTAAACCTCATGAACCAATCTCTGCTAGCTTCAGACTTTTTTTCTGCAGCTTCCCACCTCTCTCAGCCTTTACACAATTGATAGAGTCAGAGCCTTGTTCTGGGTTAGGCCTTGGCTTTAGGGAATGTTGTGGCTGGTTTAATCTATCTAGACCACTCAAACTTTCTCCATATCAGCAATAACAATAAGGCTGTTTCACTTTCTTGTCACTCCTGTGTACAGTGGAGTGGCCCCCCTCCCTTTTTTTTGAGACAGGGTCTCACTCTGTCACCTAAGCTGAAATACAGTGGCACAATCATAGCTCACTGCAGCCTCAACCTCCCAGGCTTAAGTGATCCTCCCACCTCAGCCTTCCCGAATAGCTAGAACTACAGGTGCATATCACCATGCCCTGCTAATTTTTTAATTTTTTGTAGAGACAGGATTTCACTACGTTGGTGTATTAGTCAATTATCATGCTGCTACAAAGAAATACCCAAGACTGGGTAGTTTATAAAGGAAAGAGGTTTAATTGACTCAGTTCCGCAGGGCTGGGGAACCCTCAGGAAACTCACAATCATGGCAGAAGAGGAAGCAAACACCTCCTTCTTCACATGGCAGCAGCAAGAAGTGCCAATCAAAAGGGGGAAAAGCCCCTTATAAAACTATCCAATCTCGTGAGAACTCACTATCACAAGAAGAGCACGAGGGTAACTGCCCCCATGATTAAATTACCTTCCACCAGGTCCCTCCCACGACACATGGGGATTATGGGAGCTACAGTTCAAGATGAGATTTGGGTGGGGACACGGCCAAACTATATCAGTTGGTCAGGCTGGTCTTGAACTCCTGGTCTAAAGCCATCCTCCTGCCTCAGCCTCCTAACGTGCTGGGATTACAAGAGTGAGCCACTGCACCCAGCCCTAGAGTAGCACTTTTAATTTCTTTCAAGAATTTTTCCTTTGCATTCACAACTTGGCTAGCCCTTTGGCACAAGAGTCCTAGCTTTCATTCTATCTTGGTTTTTGACATGCCTGCCTCACTAATATTAATTCTAACTCTTGACTTAAAGTGAAAGTTGTGAGACTCTTCCTTTCACTTGAATGCTTAGAGGCCATTGTGGGATTATTAATTCACCTAATTTTATTTAATTTATTTATTTATTTATTTAGAGACAAAGTTTCGCCCTTGTTGCCCAGGCTGGAGTGCAATGGCACGATCTTGACTCACTGCAACCTCCACCTCCCAGATTCAAGGGATTCTCCTGCCTCAGCCTCCCAAGTAGCTTGGATTATAGACATGCACCAGCATGCCCAGTTAATTTTGTATTTTTAGTAGAGACAGAGTTTCACCATGTTGGTCAGGCTGGTCTCAAACTCCTGACCTCAGGTGATTCGCCTGCCTCGGCCTCCCAAAGTGCTGGGATTACAGGCATGAGCCACTGTGCCCAGCCAATTCACCTAATTTTAATATTGCTGTGTCTTAGGGAATAGGAGGCCCAAAGAGAGGGAGAGAGATGGGTAACAGCTGGTCAGTGGAACAGCCAGAACACATACAACACTTATTAATTAAGTTCTCCTTCTTATTTGGGCACAATTCATGGTGTCCCAAAATGATTACAATAATAACATCAAAGATCTCTGATCAGCCGGGCGCAGTGGCTCATGGCTGTACCTAGCACTTTGGGAGGCCAAGGCAGGAGGATCACCTGAGGTCAGGAGTTTGAGACCAGCCTGGCCAACATGGAAAAATCCCATCTCTACTAAAAATACAAAAATTGAGCCAGGCGCAGTGGCTTACGCCTGTAAACCCAGCACTTTGGGAGGCCGAGGCGGGCAGATCACAAGGTCAGGAGATCGAGACCATCCTGACCAACATGGTGAAACCCAGTCTCTACTAAAATACAAAAATTAGCCAGGCATGGTGGTGTGCACCTGTAGTCCCAGCTACTCAGGAGGCTGAGGGAGGGGAACCACTTGAACCCAGGAGGTGGAGGTTGCGGTGAGCAGAGATTGCTTGACTGCACTCCAGCCTGGCGACAGAGGGAGACTCCATGTCAAATAAATAAATAAATAAAATACAAAAATTAGCCGGGCATGGTGGCACGTGCCTGTAATCCCAGCTACTAGTGGGGCTGAGGCAGGAGGATCACTTGAACCTGGGAGGTGGAGGTTCCAGTGAGCTAAGATCATGCCACTGCACTCCAGCCTGGGCAACAGAGCAAGACTCTATCTCAAAAAAAAAAAAAAAAAAAAAAAAGAAAGATCTCTGATCACAGATCACCGAAACAATTTTTCATAATAATAAAGAAAAAGTGTGAAATATTGTGAGAATTACCAAAGTGTGACATAGAGACACAGAGAGAGCACATGTTGTTGGAAAAATGGTATTGATAGACGCTCAACACAGAATTACCACAAGCCTTCAATTCGTGAAAAACACGTATCTGCAAAGTGCAATAAAATGAGCTATGCCTATATATCAAATATCTAGGGACTAGGGGAGCTCATTATGTAAAGGAATCCTTTGATAGTCTTACATAGATTTTTTTTTTTGACATGGAGTTTCGCTCTTGTCACTCATGTTGGAGTGCAATGGTGTGATCTTGGCTCACTGTAACCTCCGCCTCCCAGGTTCAAGCAACTCTCCTGCCTCAGCCTCCCAAGTAGCTGGGACTACAGGTGTGCGCCACCATGCCTGCCTAATTTTTTTATTTTTAGTAGAGATGGGTTTTCACTGTGTTGGCCAGGCTGGTCTCAAACTCCTGATCTCAGGTGATCCGCCCACCTCAACCTCCCAAAGTGCTGGGATTACAGGCGTGAGCCACCGCGCCCAGCCCTTAAATAGAATTTCTAAAGTCCCTATTAATAAACAGTTTTTGAAATCAATTTCCCTAGATATATCCCAACAGGAAAATATCTAATTAGTTATAAGTCTGTCATTGGATGATAAAATGTTTACTTATATTTCAAAGTACAATATATCCTGGCTTATACCCAATGCAACTTTTAGATTTTATTTCAGCAAGGTAACAAAGATGAAAAATGTTTTAAGGCATCAAAACCTCAGTTTTAAAACAGTGCTTCTAAACAGTAGCAACCTAACTTCAATCATATTGAGTACTGGAGATGTGAGGTTCTTTCATTGTTCCTTCAAGTTTTAACTTTTTCTGTTTTGTATAAAAATCCAACAGGTGCCAGGGGATTTTGCTGTTATTCATTACTGATCTGCCACTCTCTCCTAAGTTTTTGAACAGCAAATGGAGGAAAACAAAGGCTTCAGTAAGCAAGCCGTTCAATAGATATTCTGTAACTCAGGATAGTACCTTCTGGAGATTCAGAAAATTATAAACAAACAAGTATTTGTTCTTAAAGTGCCTGGACTTAGGTCCTTCCTCTCATCAAAGCTCTTTCTTTTATTAACTTTTACCTTGATTTTTAAAAAAGATGGCTAATGCAGGGCCACAGTGCTCATTTTAACTTTAATTTGTTTTCTCTTAGCATCAACAGGCAAACTGAGCTCCGATATAAACCATTCACATTCACTAAAGCCCCAGTGCCAACTTTTTCTATCATTTCTATTCGGAAGCGAAGCTGCAGAGGTCTCTGTAGATAAGCTCACACAGTGAGTGATTTGATTTATACGACAAGCTTACTGCTCTGCTCAGAAGCTAATGATTAATGCCATTGGGCATTCCCCTCTTGGTTCCAAGCTCTCCTATCAGGTAGGCAAGGCTTCAATGCTGGTTGAGACAAGAACTTTATCTAGAGCTACGAAACAATTTTTAGGAACCAAAAGACAAATTGCCATAAGGGCTCAAATTATTTAAAGGGTGCCAGCCTCAGCAACATGGCAAAATCTCTACAAAAAATACAAAAATTAGCCAGGTGTAGTGGCATGCGCCTGTAGTCCCAGCTACTCAGGTGGCTGAGATGGGAGGCTGAAGTGGGAGGATTGCTTGAACCTGAGAGGTTGAGGCTGCAGAACCATGATCACACCTCTGCATTCCAGCCTGGGTCACAGAGTGAGACCCTGTCTCAAAAAATAAAATAATTTGTGGACCACAGGTCACCTCATCAGAATCTGGGGTGATTGTTAAATGTGTGCCTCCCCAGACCTAGTGAATTAGAATCTATGGAGTAAGGCTGAGAATTCCCAAATTTTAATATATTCCCCAGATTATTCTTACATTTAAGCCAAAAATAAAATTCTAAGCTCCCCCAACCAACTGAATGGATCCTCTTCACCCCCACCCGGGTCAAAGAATTCCAAAGAAACCTGAAAAATAGGCAGGGGTGGGGGAAGCAGATGTGCTTCATTATACCTTCCCTTTTGGAGTTCAGGCACAACTGACCAGCAGTAAGATTAAAACAGAGATCTTCAAACTGACAAAACAGATTCTTTGTAGCAATAAGGTACCAATTTCCAATCTGACTCTAGTATCACATGACAGATAAAGAAGAAAATCAAAGTATTTTATCCCAAAATATGTTTCTTTGCCATATTTTGAAATGGCCCTACAAAGCCATCTTTTGTGGGGGGAAAATTGCTTCTGCAAAGAGTCTCTATTAACATAACTAGATCTTACCCCCTCTAGTCCCTCCATGTGCTAATGAGATCAACTGAGAGTCCAGCATCTTTTAAAGGTTTAAACAGAAAACATCTGCCATCTGTGGTCTCTAATGGTGGCCACCTATGAGACTTCACCTACATAATAAGAACCTTGGTCTCCACAACCCCTTATCGTAACCCAGAGACTTCTGTCTACTGATTCCAGATCTTTAGATAATAACTTTTGCAACCAATTGCCAATGAGAAAATCTTTGAACCAAACCAATACACACCTCACAGATAATGATTGCTGTCTTTTTTTTTTTTTTTTTTTTTGAGACAGGGTTTTGCTCTGTTGCCCAGGGTCTGACACTCTGTTGGAGTGCAGTGGTGCCAGTCTTGGCTCACTGGAGTCTCGACCTCCCAGGCTCAAGCGATCCTCTTACCTCAGACTCCTGAATAGCTGGGACTACAAACATGCACCACCATGCCTGGCTAATTTTTTTTTTTTTTAATAGATGGGCTTTCACTATGTTGCACAGGCTGGTCTTGAACTCCCAGGCTCAAGCAATCTGACCACCTTAGCCTCCCAAAGTGCTGGGACTATAGGCGTGAGCCACCTCACCCAGCCTGATTGGTGTCTATGCCTCCCTCAAATGTATAAAACCAAGCTGATGGGCCAGGCGCAGTGGCTCAGGCCTGTAATCCCAGCACTCTGGGGAGCCAAGGCAGGTGGATTGCTTGAGCCCAGGAGTTCGAGACCAGCCTAGGGAACATGGCGAAACCCCGTCTCTACTAAAAATACAAAAATTAACTGGGTGTGGGAGCGCATGCGTGTAATCCCAGCTACTTAGGAGACTGAGGCACGAGAAGTGCTTGAACCTGGGAGGCAGAGGCTGCATGAGCTGAGATCATGCCACTGCTCCAGCCTGGGCGACAGAGTGAGACCCTGTCTCAAAAAAATAAAAAAATAAAAATAAAACCAAGCTGTAACCCAACCACCTAGACACATGTTCCGAGGACCTCTTGAAAACCATGGCTGGCTGGGCACAGTGGCTCACGCCTGTAATCCCAACACTTTGAGAAGCCAAGGCAGGCAGATCACCTGAGGCCAGGAGTTCAAGACCAGCCTG
This sequence comes from Homo sapiens, assembly GCF_000001405.40. NCBI lineage: Eukaryota > Metazoa > Chordata > Mammalia > Primates > Hominidae > Homo > Homo sapiens. The sequence goes on along the minus strand of NC_000006.12, from coordinate 89,441,839 downwards.
ACCAACATGGTGAAACCCCATCTCTACTAAAAATACAAAGTTAGCTGGGTGTGGTGGCGCATGCCTATAATCCCAGCTACTTGGTAGGCTGAGGCAGGAGAACTGCTAAAACCCAGGAGGCGGAGGTTGCAGTGAGCCAAGATCATGCCATTGCACTCCAGCCTGGGCAATAAGAGCAAAACTCTGTCTCTCAAAAAAAAAAAAAAAAAAAAAAAAAAAGGAAAGAAAAGAAAACCAAGGCTATGGTCACTCACAGTTGGCTCAGAATAAACCTCTTTAAATGCTTTACAGGAGTTTGGCTTTTTTTGTTGACATATGCATAAGTTTGAGAAGTATTGGTCTAAGGAAGCTAACTGGAAGATAGACAGCTAACTGGAAGATAAATTCGGCCAGGTGCAGTGGCTCATGCCTGTAATCCCAGCACTTTGGGAGGCCGAGGCAGGCAGATCACTTGAGGTCAGGAGCTCCAGATGAGCCTGGCCAACATGGCCAAACCCTGTCTGTACTAAAAATATAAAAAAGTTAGCCAGGCATGGTGGCGGGTGCCTGTAATCCCAGCTACTCAGGAGGCTGAGGCAGGAGAATCACCTGAACCCGGGAGGCAGAGGTTGCAGCCAACTGAGATCACACCACTGCACTCCAGCCTGGGAGACAGAGCGAGACTCTGTCTCAAAAAAAAAGAAGATACATTCGGTAACTTGTTCAAGGTCATTTATCCCCACTATAGTGAAGTAACAGTGGGCCACAGAGATTAAGTAGGTTCTAACTAGGAACAGAGTTATTATCAAACTGAGTTATACTAATTTTGTATCTAGTGAAGGCATCATCAACATGTTTTTCTGTAAAAAAACAGATAGTAAAATATATCAGGTTTTGTGGGCCAGGTAATCTCTGTGGAAACTACTCAACTCTGCCATAGCAGTTGAAAGCAGCTATAGACACCATGCAAAGGAATGAAACAGGCATCAAGCTGGATTTGGGCCATGGCTATAATTTGCCAACCTTTAGTCTAGTACAACTTTTTTTTTTTTTTCGAGATGGGATCTTGCTATGTTGCCTAGGCTGGAGTGCAGTGGCTATTCATAGGCATGATCATATTGCACTGCAACCTCAAACTCCTGGGCTCAAGCGATCGATCCTCCCACCTTAGCCTCTCCCAAGTAGCTGGGACTACAGGTGCTCACTGCCACACCCAGCTAGTGCATCTTTAATTCCAATGAAAAGTATCAGGATATGCTACCCCAAAATATGCCACTTTGGCATAAGGATTATTTTGAGCCGAAGGCAACTGAGAAGTGGATACAAGAAAAGCTCCTTGCCTTCCCCTATTTGCTAAAAGCAGGACATAAATTAACAAAGGTGTCCCTTCTCCTCTCTCCACCAGGAAGGATAAAGGTTAGTCACAGAAGACAGCTTTAGGTCCTTAACAGCCTAGAGAAGGCACCAGAGGCATCTACATAACAAACTGCACTAACTAGCCTTTATCTGCCATTAGTTCCCCATGTATTTGCCTTCCTACAATTCGCCATCGCTAAAGACTGAAGGTCTTTTTCCTTTGTCTTGTCACTTCTCTAAAAGTGTACTGTTCTTTGTTGAAGATGCTATATAAGCCAGAGTTCTAAGAAATCTTTTTGAGAATTACTCTTTCCCTGAATTTTCTCCCATGTATATATGAAATATGCATGTTAATAAACTTCCATTTGTTTTTCTCTTGTTAACCTATGTTTTGTTACAGGGCTCCCAGCTGAGAACTCACAAGAGTAGAGGAAAAATTATTTTTTCCTTCACTACACCAATATGAGCACCATGAAACAGGAAACTTTATTTTAAAATTAGGATTTAAGGCCAGGCATGGTGGCTTAGGCCTGTAATCCCAGCACTTTGGGAGGCCAAGGTGGGCAGATCACTTGAGGTCAGGAGTTCAAGAGCAGCCTGGCTAACATGGTAAAACCCCGTCTCTACTAAAAATACAAAAATTAACCGAGTATGGTGGTGCACCTGTAATCCCAGCTACTCGGGAGGCTGAGGCACAAGAATTGCTTGAACCCAGGAGGCGGGGTTTGCAGTAAGCCAAGATGGCACTACTGCACTCCAGCCTGGGTGACAGAATGAGACCCTGTCTCGGAAAAAGAAAAAAAAGAAAATTAGGATTTAAAAGATGGTAAATTTTAATTATTTGGGCCTTTTCCTTAGGTAGAACAGCCCAATGTCAACTAGTAACAGATAAATGACGCTGAAGCATTACTAGAATTAGTGCACATTACTGAAGTTTCTCCATGACTCTAACTGGGTCTTGGGATCTTTCACATGATCTTGTAATCCTTTAATGTCTACCATTTGATGCTGTGCACCCTCTTGGGCACAAATTTACTTCAAACAAATAAGAAAAACAGATACAAATTTTACAATTTTACTTTCCCTTAAGAGCAAATAAGTAAAATTGACACATATACTTTGTGATTATGTAACACATTCCATGGCAAAAACTTTTTTTTTTGAAGGGGGAATAAGTTTCATACCTAGCCTATTGCCAGCAGCCTAAAGTAGTTTTAAACTCTTATGATAACATTAACGAAGCCATTAAGACATGCATATTCTTGTTCTTTGCTAATCTTTCTCTGCTCCGTCTTTCTCAAATGTACAATTCTCTACATGGTTGGATGATTCTGAGTAAATTAAATATGCTTCATTCCCTAATAAATGTCTGAGCCTAGATGGCTTAATAGCATTTTTATCTGCTCACATGGCAATTATGATACATTTGTTTCCTGTATAGAAGTCTTCTCCACACCCTCCACTATGAAGACATAACATTTTATTTATACAGTGTATATACATATATACAAACACATACATATATATACATATACACATATATGTTTAGAAAGTAAGAAATAGGCCAGGTGCAGTGGCTCACACCTGTAATCCCAGCACTTTAGGAGGCCGAGGCCGGCGGATCACCTGAGGTCAGGAGTTCGAAATCAGACTGGCCAATGTGGCAAAACACTGACTCTACTAAAAATACAAAAATTAGCCAGGCACAGTGGTGGCTGCCTGTAATCCTAGCTACTCAGGAGGCTGAGGCAGGAGAATCACTTGAACCTGGGTGGTGGAGGTTGTGGTGAGCCAAGATCGCACCATTGCACTCCAGCCTAGGCAACAGAGCGAGATTTTGTCTAAAAAAAAAAGTTAGAAATAAATTACATAAAGGCAGTTACACTTAATTGACCAGTTAAAACACTAGCACCTTATTGTACAAAAAATGGCTACTCATCCACCAAAGAGTTCTATTCCTTTCCCAAAGTAAATTATTTTTACTAAGAAACAGTTGCCCAGCCAGGGACTGTATTTCCTAGCTTCCTTGAATCTAGTTGAGGCCATGTGACTGGTTCTGCCAATAGAATGTAAGCAGAAGTGATGTGTTTCCCTTGCTGGTGAAGGCAGTCAACACGGTTTCCTTTTGCCATACTCTTTCCCCCTTGCAGTGACTCTGGAGACCACATGAAGATGGTGGCATCACAAGAAGGAATGAACCTTGATCCCTGAGTCACCTGAAGGACAGCTACCCAGGAGAGCTGCCCAACAGGAATAACTGATTAGGACTTGTGTGAGCTAGATTAAACCACTGAGGTTTGGAAATGTTTGTTACAGCAGTTAGCCTACCTTACAGCATACAGAATATACCTGTATCGGTGAAAGACTCAAATCATGATTTATTGAAGTATTTCTAAGATAAATGCAACTATTGAGGAATCATATGTATAAGAAGAGCTTGCAGGTTACCATTTTTGCCACTTACCTACCCCATTCATCTGAGTTTAAAACCAGTGTGAGCCTGGGCAACAAGGTGAAACCCTGTCTCTACCAAAAATACAAAAATAGTAGGGCGTGGTGTTATGTGCCTGTAGTCCCAGCTACTTAGGAGGCTGAGGTGAGAGGATGGCTTTGAGCCCAGGAGGCAGAGGTTGCAGTGAGTTGAAATTGCACCACTGCACTCTAGCCTGGGTGACAGCGAGACCTTGCCTCAAAAATAAAATAAAATAAAATGAAACCAGTCTGAATGAGTAGAGACCTACTTATTAAGTAAATTCTGATATTTAACATCTTTTCTAACACTGTGTAAATTCTATAGCTCATCTGTATCACTGGATATGAAACAAGGTAGGACGTATTGTATGCTATATTTAGAATACATTTGGAACATAAAGTGTAAACCAGAAGACACTCTTAAAATTAAATTTGCCTCCCCCAAAGCAGAATGTACTGGACTTCAGTCATTCAGTACCATCTTCATGAGTTTTTCCATAGCTGTGTACCTAATATATTATTATTTACTTCATATTTTTCTAGACCTAAGGAGGGCACAGAGAGATGTGGCAGTTGTGAGACTTCAGTTCCACATCTGCCCTATTCAGAAGTCCAAGATGTTCATTCTGGGACTTCCTTTGGCTCTTGAGGAATTGGTCCTGGAGTTTTCAGGATCCAGATGAATAGCTGGGGGCTCTGAGGAAAAAGAACTGGTCGGGCTTATCTGGGGTCTGAGCAGAAAGAAAGCCTCTTGTAACTGGTGGGGGAAAGATATGTCAGAGAACTGAAATGGGATAAGACATCCAAATAAAGGGGCCTTTTATGGGGTGGGGGTAGGTAGGAATCTGTAAATATTTCCTTATAGCGCTTACTAACCTTTTTTGACTTAGGAAACCATTTGAGAATCTGATGAAAGCTATGGAACTTCTTCCCCCTCAAACATACATAAGAGCATTCACTTAAATACTTATACATAATTTTGGGAGATCTTAGAGTATTTGTAGCCCACCACTGAACCCCAGGTTAAAAATTCTTATTTTAGTGACAAATTTAATAGCTGATCCTCAGGTTTATAAAGGAACCCACCAGTAAATAATGCAGACACTTCCCTATAAAAGAGAGAGAACATAGCTATTTCTTCCATCTCTTCCCCCTTGACGGGATGAGGAAGAGCTGGGAAATAGAGATAATGTCACCCCTAAGCTTTTCTCTGCTGCTGTCCCTAACCTCAGTGCCTTGGTACAGTCCAGCAGTGGGGCACCATCAACAGAATTTGTTTTTAAAAAACGTTTAAAAACTTTATTTTGAAATAATATTAGTCTTACATAGAAGTTGCAAAAATAGTACATGAATTCCCTATTCTGTCCTCCCCCTACCCCTGGTAACTACCATTCTACTTTCTGTCTCCATGTGTATGACTACTCTAGGTACCTAATATAAACAGAATCATACAATATTGTCCCTTCTGTGACTAACTTATTTCACCTAGCATAATGTTTTCAAAGTTTACTATTTTGGACCCCCTGACTGGGTGTTTTGCAACTATAGCAAATTAAAATGGGCAATGTAGAAAATCTGAAAATTTCAATGGAAACTAGTATACCAAACATGTCTGGACACTGCTGAACCTATTAACTGGAGGTAGTTTGCAGTTTCAACAGTAGATCATGTTACATTCCTATCCAAGACAATACATCTTTGCAAAGCTGGGTTTTCTGTGGCTGCTGTGATAAAAGCCAAATGCTGCGGAAATATTAATGTGAAACAGGAAATGAGAGTGGCAGTGTCCAACACGATCCCAAGGTTTGAAAAGTAGTATAGGCACACACATACGGTTAGTAATTATGACTTTAAAGGATGTAAAATATTTTTTCTCTCAGTTTATGTATATTATTTTTTCAAACAACTTCTAAGTAAATACTCAGTTGTTTGAACCTAACTACTAACTACTGAAACCTAAGGGAATTGTGAAAAAATTACTAACTACTGAAGCCTAAGGGAATTGTGAAAAAATTAACTCAGACACTAAGGGCTCCATGAAACCAAGTTTCAGAATCTTTGCCTTAACCAAGAAGTAACAAAACAGTGTAAGATTCACCAAGGAAAGCCATGTGACCTTGAAGAAATAAAACAAAGACAATAACACAAACATATCAACCAGGAAGAGGAATTTGGGTTGTTAAAACCATTTTTAAAGGTCACTCTTAGCTTAATCCTTCAAATCCCACACAATGCCTTCTGGATAATTTGCATTTTTAAAAAAACTTCTAAAACGCACGCACCCAAATTACTGTTTTCCCACTTCTTAGGGACTCAAGCAAAGCTTTTAAAATCACAGCCATCAATCTATGTTGGAAGAGACTGGGTCTCCCCTACACAGACAGAACACACCTTCGGGATCCGTGCCAGGGAGACAGGAGAAACTTGGAAGAAGACAGAGACTAAAAGATCCCCCGACTTTGAGACTTTCGGCTTTTTTGTGGTTTGTATCTTACCCTCAATAGCCTGCTTTTAAGTTCAATAACAATGCTCCTTGAGAAAAAAAGAAAAATAAAGAATGCTCCAGGTTATTGTGGAAATGCTTGTTGGGAAACTTCCTTTCCTCAGGGTTTTTCATATAAGCAAGGGAAAAAGTTAACACAACATCCAGAATAGTGGTTCCTTGGGTGGGAGGCGAGAAGTGAGTGGAAGGCAATGGAGAGGGGTACTCAGGGGCTCCAGGGGCCTGGCGATGTTCTAGTTCTTCAGCCGGGTGACTCGTACTTGGGTGTGATCTATTGTTATTCTTTACATTGCACTCTAAGGTTTATACTGTCTGAGTGTATGATGTATTTCACAGTGGCAGCACCAGCATCTCTATACAAGAAGGAGGCCTTGGGAGTTGGAAGTGTGCCTTGTCTCTAAGCTGAGTTGGATCGCAGGCAGTCTGCTTTTACATGGAGCATATGCTTATCTGGAAAGGCTTTGGGGAGGCTGATGAGTTTAAGTGGGAGACTAAGATTAATTTTTGGTGCCACCATGAAAAAACAAGGAGTTAATAAATTCACATTTTTAAAAATTACCATTGGTTTATACCTCCCAACACTGCGACTAGTTGTTTTCTGGTCTCTTTAATTCCTCTTCATCCCTCTTCTACCCTTCCCCCATGTCCAGTATGACCTAGAGGGCAGAAAATACTCCCCAATTTTAATTTGTATCCCTAATTTTTAAAAAATTTTTTGTTACCATATGCTAAACAAATACTAAAGATGACAAAGTGTAACATGTATCGGTATAGACACACCTACTACACTCAAGAACAAGGCTGCAGACCAGTACAGTGGCTCACACCTGTAATCCCAACACTTTGGGAGGCTGAGACAGGAGGAGTTCGAGACCAGCTTAGGCAACACAGTGAGACTCTGTCTCTAGTAAAATAAAAAAATTCAAAATTAGCCAGGTGTGGTGGTCCCAGGCTGAGGTGGGAAGATCGGTTGAGCTAAGGAGGTCAAAGCTTACAGCCTGGGCAACAGAGCGAAACTCTGTCTCAAAACAACAACAACAAAAACCCCGCCAAGGCTGCTATTGGTGTTTTGGGGATGAGAAACCCCCAATCAGTATACCATGGATGGGACCACCTTGGACCCAGGTGTGTTTGTCTTCATTGCCCAAGTTCTTTCCACTTACACTGGCCTAACAGAACCTAAGCATGAATGAATTCAACATCCAACAGGTTCGCAAAAGGTGTCTAACACACAAGAGTACAATGCCAAGCATTTCATTCCCATCACTTCACTGCATGAACACAATACTACGAGGTTATGTACAATACCTGCAGTTTAGAGTTCTAAAAACTAAGGTTTAAAGAAGTGGGTTTTCCAAAGTCACACACCTAACAAGTGGTGGAGTCAGAACTCCATCTCACGGGCCCGAAGTGGCTCTTTACTACCACGTGACCCATCTCATGCTACCTCGCGGGGGAAACATTCTTGACCAGCTTTGAGACATTCAAGTCCCTCTTGGGTCACAAATAATGCTGCACTTCCCCTCCAGTCCCCGAGATCTACCGGAAGCAACACACTTAAAAGCCCAAGATAAGCTTGGGTGAGCTGATGTCTGGACCCAAACCAGACAGCACGCCGACTCTCTGGACCCCGGGAGATGCCACTTGCTGAGGCTTCGCCGATGGGGCTCCTGAGGGGTATCGGCCCCTCTCCTGCGACTGCACCCTAGTGCTGTCGTCCAGGGCGGGGAGGGACGGGGTCATTCGGAGGCGGCCGCAGGCCAGGGACCTACCCTCCTACGCGCCGCAGACCGCGGGGTACTCGGACCCCCGCCCCCACCGCCCTTCCTTCAAACTGCAAGCGAGCAGGAGAACGAGGGACGAGCCCCAGAAGAAAGTTCTCCACCTCCCTCGCCCGAAGTTCCATATTCCAGGGAGGCAACTGATGCCAGGCGAAGAGGGAGGCGCCCCGGGGGGACCCCCTCGCGCCGGGCGTTTTCGGAGGCCGCAGGCCAGGGGGCGAGGCGCGGTGTCCGGGTCTCCTCCGCGGGCAGTCGGCGATCCTGGGGTGCCGAGGGAGCAGCGCCCCCTTCCCCCGACAGCGTCCTCCCCGACCTGAGGCGCCCACCCCGGTGTAAGCGGGGGTCCCAGGGAGCCGGCGAGGTCGCCTGGTACCTTTCTCTCCCGCGCCGGACGTCCGCGCCGCAGGGACCAAGGCCGGCGACACGGTGGGGGGCGAGGGGCGAAGACGGGGACTGGCTCCCGCTGGCTCCGGCGGCCCCAGGGCCTCGGCGCCGCCCAGCGCCGTGCCTCCAGCCGCCCGCGCGCCAGGCAGCGCTCTCGGCTCCTGCGGGTTACCTGTGGCCGAGCCCGCCGCGTCCGCCGCCGCAGGGCCCTCTGCCCCGTCCCGCCGGCCCCGCCCCACCCCTGCCGGCGGCTCCTACGCCGGTGCCGCAGCGCCTCCCAGCGGCGAGCCGGGGCACGGCAGGGACCCTCGCGAGAGAGAGGTGGCACCGCGGAGGCCCTGGGGCTGGCCCCGATCTGCAGCCCTCTCCTGGGTGGGGCCACCGCCTTCTGAAGAGTGGGAGGAAGGGGGCCTATAGTAGGGTGAGGTTTTCCGCGTGGGGGTTGCCAGGAAGTGTATTGGGAGGGGAGGAGAATTAGCAGGAGGAACCTCCCACCTTCACTCAATTCGTGGCCAAGTGGATATTTCAATATAACCATAGCTCACTTAACTGGGGCTGCTCAGTACAAACTGAACAACAATGATGAATGACCCAGATTTATTGGGGTAGCTGGAGAGGGGAAAGGAAGCCTTTATTTCTAACAGCTTGACTATAAGTATCTTGTTGGAATCATCCCATATGGAAATGGCAAAAGCATTGAGCGAGCCTGACCCCCATATTCATATCACACTTTACATACCATTATCTCAGTCTGGTTTTGTCTATTTTCATTCACAGCCACTTCTTCAATACCTAGAAGAGCTCCCTGAACACAGGAAGCATTCAATAAGCTACTGTTGAATACATGTAAGATGGATGGGATCTCATTCCACCCTTTGAAGAAGCATGGACAGGTATCTGCTCTCCAAAGGCGGAGAGATGGAAGAGGAGGCAAGCAGCACCCTAAAATGGACTATCAATCTTACCTGAGGTTTTGGGACAAGCTTATCACGAATCTGATTTTTTTTTCTTTCTTGCTTAAAATTTTTTTTTGAGACGAAGTCTCACTCTGTCACCCAGGCTGGAGTGCAATGGCACCATCTAGGCTCACTGCAACCTCCGCCTCCCAGGTTCAAGTGATTCTCCTGCCTCAGCCTCCTGAGTAGCTGGGATTACAGGTGCCCGCCACCATCCCTGGCTAATTTTTGTATTTTTAGTAGAGATGGGGTTTCACCATATTGGTCAGGCTGGTCTCGAACTCCTGACCTCGTGATCCTCCAGCCTCGGCCTCCCAAAGTGCTGGGATTACAGGCATGAGCCACTGCACCCAGCCGACTTTTCTTATTCCCTCTGAAACAGGCCTGGTTTCCAGGAGAAAAGAAACATGATGATTTCTTCCTTTTCCTTAAGATGTTTGTTTCCCTCTCTCCTTCAGGGATCATTAGGCAGGAGAGATCCCAAGAGCCTGTTTCCACACTAGGAAGGGGAAGTTCTTGATTTTCTCCTACTGCTTCTGAAATTTTCCCAACCCCATAGTCACAGCTGCAGTTTTACCTAACAGGATGTGAAATCTCTCTTCTGAGTATCCTTTGGCCTTTTCCAGACTTTTTTTTCCCCCTTAAGATGGGGCCTTGCTGTGTCACCCAGGCTGAAGTGCAGTAGCCCACTGCAGTCTTGAACTCCTGGGCTCAAGCAATCCTCCTGCCTCTGCCTCCTGAATAGTTGGGATTACAAGTGTGCACCACCATGCCCAGCTAATTTTTTTATGTTTAACACAGAGGAGGTCAAGGCTGGTCTTGAACTCCTGGGCTCAAGTAATCCTCCGGCCTCAGCCTCCCAAAGTGTTGGGATTACAGGTGTGAGCCACCGCGCCCAGCCCTTCTTCAGATTTGTGCCCCATTCCTGTTGCTCTACACCTGGAGCTGATAGAAGAACACATTTCCTTTCTCTGCTGGCTTGTAGCTCCAGGTTTCTCTCCAGGCAGGTTACTAATGAGTTCCTAGATAACCCTCAAAGTCAAAGTTTGTACACATGACCTTTCTTTTTATTTTTTGAGATGGAGTTTTGCTTTTATTGCCCAGGCTAGAGTGCAGTGGTGCAATCTCGGCTCACTGCAACCTCCACCTTCCGGTTTCAAGCAATTCTCCTGCCTCAGCCTCCCAAGTAGCTGGGATTACAGGCGCCTGCCACCACGCCCAGCTAATTTTTTTGTATTTTTAGTAGAGACGGAGTTTCACCATGTTGGTCAGGCTGATCTCGAACTGCTGACCTTGTGATCCACCTGCCTCAGCCTCCCAAAGTGCTGGGATTACAGGTGTGAGCCACCGCGCCCAGCCACATGACCTTTCAATGTGATCATTTCTCTCTTGTACTTTTCCACATTGAGTTTTCCTAGCTAGTCCCTCGAATAAACTTCCAAAGATGCAAATGCTCAGTTTCCCTGATAGGCTTTTAAAACATCACCAGAAAGTCACATTGAGATGAGATTTTAAGTTATATTTGTGGGTAGTCAGAGCAATGACCCCGAAAGAAACAGAAAGCCCAAGCCAGCCTGCAAGACATGTGAGCGCTCCTGGGAACTGACTGGTCTGCTTTTGTTCCCAGACTTTGATTAATGGGGATTCCTGGCAGGAGGTCTCATGAGAGCCAAAGCAGGCAGTGGCTGAGCTGCTTGGAGATCTTGCTTGCTTATCTCCAAGTGGGCAGACAGTCTTTGGGCGACCAACGAAGAAGACTCCTAAATCTCCCTCTTTATGAGAAGGGCTCCCAGGCTGCAGCTCTGTTCTTGCCCCTACGTTCAGCTCAATCACAGCCAGCCTCTTATATTCACCCTAGCTCACCCTCCTTCTGCCTTGTGAGAAAGAAGTTTGCTCTGCAAATGATCATTTTCACTGCTTTGTGATAATATAATCTGCTCCTATTTTCAACAACATGTCTTTAATGAGCTGACTGCATTAGCTGTCTTTCATGTTGTTAGCTTCAACGCAGCCTTCAACACACCATTCTGGCTTCCATCCCTGCCACTCCACTGAAACTGCCTTTGCTAAAGCTTCCACTCAAGGAAGAACCCTTCCATCTGCCGCTCTATAATCATATCCTTCTCTTTCAGAGGAAACCACCATCCTAAGTTTTGTGTTAATAATTATGTTATCACAAATATATGTGTCCCTAAACACTACATGGTTTGTTTTTGCGTGTTTTTGAGCTTTTTTAAAATAGAATCATTCTGCATTATTCCCATGCAACTTGCAGCTTTTGCCCAGCATTATGTTTCTGAGATTCACCTATCTGATTTCTCTGTTATATAGGTATTTTGTTGTAAAAACATAACACAATTTAATTACCCATTCTACTTTTGGATGTTGGATTGGCTCCAGTTTTTGCTATTGCAAACAGTGTTGCTGTGAATATTCTTAAATATTTCTCCGATACATGTGTGTAAGAATGTTTTTTAGGATATATACCTAGAAGTGGAATCATCAGGTCTTAAGGTAAGTGCACGTTCAAATTTACTAGGTAATGTCAAACTGTCTAAACTGGTTGTTTTCTAAAATTGTTTTCTAAAGTGGTCATACCAATTTTCATTTCTAACACCTGTATATGAAAGTCATCTGGCCGGGCATGGTGGCTCACGCCTGTAAATCCCAGCACTTTGGGAGGTCGAGGCGGGTGGATCACGAAGTCAGGAGATCGAGACCATCCTGGCTAACACGGTGAAACCCCATCTCTACTAAAAATACAAAAAATTAGCCTGGCATGGTGGCGGACGCCTGTAGTCCCAGCTACTCGGGAGGCTGAGGCAGGAGAATGGCGTGAACCCAGGAGGTGGAGCTTGCAGTGAGATCGTGCCACTGCACTCCAGCCTGGGTGACAGAGCGGGACTCCGTCTCAGAAAAAAAAAAAAGAAAGTCATCCATGTCCCACAATCTTTGCCAGCACTTGTTTTCATCTAAATGATCTCTCATAATAGTTGTAGTTTGTATTTCCCCAATTACCAGTATGGCTGAGCATCTTTAATGTTTAATAGCTAGTCCTGTTTCCTCTTTTGTTAATTGATGGTGTCTTTTGCCTTGTTTCATGTGTTTTGAGAAGTCCTTTCTGACCCCAAGGATATAAAAATATTCTCCCATATTTTATTTCAAGTGTTACAATTTTGTCTTTCATGTGTAAGTCCACATTCTATCTGAAATTCATTTCTCCTTTCATTTGCAATGCCAGAACTCTCTTACAATGGATTTTTATACACATATAGGTTTGTTTTCGGTCCTCTATTTTGTTCCATTTGTCTATCCCTCTGCTAGCATCATACTGCCTGAAATCTTTGGTTTTCTTTTTTTTTTCTTTCTCTTTCTCTCTTTCTTTTCTCTTTTTTTTTCTTTTTGAAAGAGCCTCGCTCTGTTGCCCAGGCCAGAGCATAGTAACATGATCTTGGCTCACTGCAACCTCCTTCTCCTGGGTTCAAGTGATTCTCCTGCCTCAGCCTCCTGAGTAGCTGGGATTACAGTTGCATGCCACCACGCCCAGCTAATTTTTTTAAAATTATTTTTTAGTAGAGACAGGGTTTCACCGTGTTGGCCAGGCTGGTCTTGAACTCCTGACCTCAAGTGATCCACCCGCCTTGGCCTCCCAAAGTGCTGGGATTACAGGTGTGAGCCACTGTGCCTAGCCTGTGGTTTTATTTCAAGTGTTGATTTCCAAATATACAAGTCCTACCCTGACTTATTTCTCTTTTTTATTTATACAGATCTCAAGTATTCTTAGCTCTTTTCTCCTTCATAGACATTTTCTAATTCATTTGTTATGATAAACTTGAGATTTTAATTTGAAATCTCAAATCTCAGTAAATATATGTGGTGGATTGCATTGTTCATTCACAATTATTCGTACCCTTTCCATCTTTGCCATGCTTTTCTATAGGTCGGGTAAACCAGTCTGCTCCATTGGTTTTGGGCTTGTGTTGACTTGCCTTGGCAAACACCACATTGGAACAGAAGCTTAAAATATGTTGTATGCTTTAGTGCTTCCCCTACCTCCCTTGAGCTTCTGCCATTTGCCATGAGAATATCATGCCCCAAAGAGTGGCTGCACCTTCCGTGGGGATCCAGAATGAAAAGACAAATGGAATCATGCAGAGTCCAATATGGCCACAAAAAGTCTGCAGCCTTCATGTAATAGAAGCAAGAATGTTTCCTACTACTGCTATTTGGAAAAAATTGGCATCTTTATGATATTAAGTCATTGGTACAATGTGTGTGTGTGTGTGTGTGTGTGTGTGTGTGTAGCTCTGTGCAATTTTATCACATATGTAGTTTCATATAACCACCATTCTATCAAAATACAGAACTATGCCATCACCACAAAGAATCATCCTCATGCTACTTAATTATAGTTACACCCAACCCCCTCCCCGACACCATCCCTAATCTCTGACAACCACTAATCTGTTCTCCATCTCTATAATTTTGTCATTTTAAGAATGTTACGTAGGCCAGGCGCGGTGGCTCATGCCTGTAATCCCAGCACTTTGGGAGGCCAAGGCGGGGGCGGATCACTTGAGGTCAGGAGTTCAAGACCAGCCTGGCCAAAACGGCAAAACTCCATCTCTACCAAAAATAACAAAAATTAGCTGGGCATGGTGGCATGCCTGTAGTCCCAGCTACTCGAGAGGCTGAGGCAGAAGAATCGCTTGAACCCAGGAGGCAGAGGTTGCAGTGAGCCGAGATCACACCACTGCACTCCAGCCTGGGCAACAAAGCAAGATTCCATCTCAAAAAAACCCAGAATATTATGTAAATGAAATCATACAGTATGTGGCCTTTTGAGGCTGCCTTTTTCTTCATTCAGCATAATGCCCTTGAGATTCATCCAAGTTGTTGTGTGTGTCAACTGTTGATTCTTTCCATTGCTAAGTAGTATTCCACAGTGTGGATATACTACAGTTTGTTTAGCCATTCACCCATTGAACAGCATCTGGGTTTGGGTTATTATGAATAAAGCTGCTGTGAACATTCATATACATGTTTTCATATGAACATAGTTTTCACTTCTCTGGGATAAGTAACCAGAAGGGCAATTGCTGGGTCATTTTGTAGTCGCATGTTTAGTGTTTAAGAAACTGCCAAACTGTTTTCCAGGGTGGCTATACCATTTTACACTTCCCACCACCAATGTATGAGATATCTGAGTTTTCTGTATCCTTGCCAGCATTTGGTGTTGTCACTATTTTTTAATTTCAGTCATTTTGGTAGTTATGTGGTAGTATCTCACTGTGGTCTTAATAATTTGCATTTCTGGGCAGGGGGTGGTAGCTCACGCCTGTAATTCCAACACTTTGGGAGGCTGAGGAGGGATGATTGCTTGGGGTTAGGGGCTCAAGACCAACCGGGGCAACATAGTGAGACCCTGTCTCTACAAAAAAATTTTTTTTAATTAGCAGGGCATAGTGGCACAAGCCTGTAGTCCTAGCTAATTGGCAGGCTGAGACAGGAGGATTGCTTGAGCCCAGGAATTCAGGGCTGCAGTGAGCTATGACTGTACTCTAGCCTGGGTGACAAAGTGAGACCCTTCTCTAATAATAATAATAATAATTTGCATGCCTTAATGTCTAATGGTGTTGAACATCTTTTCATGTGCTTATTTGACATTACTATATCCTTGTCGGTGAAATGTTTTTTGCTATTTTCTAATTGGATTTTTTCCCCTAAGTTTTGAGAATTCCTTATACTTTCTAGATATGAGGCTTCTGTCAGATATGTGGTTAGCAAATATTTTACCCTAGTCCTTAGCTTGTCTTTGCATCCTCTTAACAGGGTCTTTGCAGTGAAAAAGTTTTTTTAATCTTGACAAAGTCCAATTTATCAATTTTTTATCTTATGAATAAAATAAAATAAATGGCACAATTCTAGTGTCACAATTCTTTTGTTTCATTTTCCAATCTTATGCAGTCAAGGATCTACAGTACATCGTGGAATAGGAGTGGTGATAGTGGGCATCCTTCTCTGTTCCTAACTTTAAGCTTCTGATTTTCTGATCTGTCTTCCTTCCACATTTTCAGTTCCTAAGGTAAGGGGACTATAGTTATCAGTTACATTGTGTTTGGCTACAAGAGTGTGCTTGCCTAGAGTGGCTTAAACAACAAAAACATGTAGGCTGGGCAGGGTGGTTCACACCTGTAATCCCAGCACTTTGGGAAGCTAAGGTGGGAGGAGCTAAGGAGGATCGCTTGAGACCAGGAGGTCAAGAATGCAGTGAGCCATGATTGTGTCACTGCACTCCAGCCAAGGTGACAGAGTGAGACCCTGTCTCAAAAAAAAATAATAATAATAATTTATATGATAAACATATGTGGCCTTGGGTTCTTTCTGTCATTCTACTGTACCACCCTCAGTTTTGGCTTTTGTCTTTGATGACATCCAGTCAAGAAAGGTTGCAGGCTTTCTCACAGTATTTATTTCAACTGGGGAACAACTTCGTATCAGATGCCCCTGAGACATATATCCTTTCACATGTCATTGGTTATCACTGGATGACAAAGATAGGGGAATGGTTACCATAATTACCATAGACTAACCATGATTCAACTTCTGGTCTGGGGTTCCTTCCCTGAGTGTGTTGATACCCAACATTTAAAGTTACCAAACTAGGCTGTGTGCAGTGGCTTACGCCTGTAATCCCAACACTTTGGGAGCCCAAGGCAGGTGGATCACCTGAAGTCAGGAGTTAGAGGCCAGCCTGGCCAACCTGGTGAAACTCCGTCTCTACCAAAAATACAAAAATTAGCTGGGCATGGTAGTGGGTGCCTGTAATCCCAGCTATTCAGGAGGCTGAGGCAGGAGAATCACTTGAACCTGGGAGGCGGAGGTTGCAGTGAGCCGAGATCAAGCCATTGCACTCCAGCCTGGGTGACAGAGCATGCCTCCATCTCAATAAATGAATAAATAAATAAAGTTACCAAACTAAGGATGAAGGAGGTGAGAGGGAGGAACCGGTTATGCTGCCAACAATGTCTGCCAAACATCTATTTGACTTTGTATTCCCTGTGCCTGGCAATGGCAGATACATTTGGAGGTTTCTGTTTGGCTTATACCCCTTTATTAGGAAATAACTTCTCCATCCCTGAGGGTAGACCTCTGCAGCCACACAGCTGCATCTCCAGCCATAGTGGAGGGGACCATTAATTCAGTCTTCAACACATATTTATCGGGACTTGACCACCATCAAGCTATTTATGTATATATATATATATGCTGCACATAAAGTACAATGTAAGTGGTATACAGTACAATTATATTTCGTCCAGATTATAGCTACTGTGCTAGGCACTGAGAATAGAATGGTGGACAAAAGAAGATGGTCCCACAGTCTAGTTGTGAATACAGTCCTCAATCAAATCTTAAATTACAATTGAGACAAATGCTCTAGAGGACTAGTACCTAGTGATATGTAGTGCACAATTAGGGGATTAGGCCAGGAGTGAACCACTGGCTCAAACTCAGCCAATCAGATTTTCTTGCCTGGGAATTAAAGATAATAATAGCTAACACTTATATAGTGCTTACTGTCTGATATGGTTTGGCTCTGTGTCCCCACCCAAATCTCATTTTGAATTGTACTCCCATAATTCCCACGTGTTGTGGGAGGGGCCCAGTGGGAGATAATTGAATCATGGGGGTGGTTTCCCCATACTGTTCTTGTGTTAGTGAATAAGTCTCATAAGATCTGATGGTTTTATCAAGGGTTTCTGCTTTTGCGTCTTCCTCATTCTCTCCTTGCCTGCTGCCATCCATGTAAGACAGGACTTGCTCCTCCTTGCCTTCCACCATGATTGTGAGGCTTCTCCAGCCACGTGGAACTGTAAGCCCAATTAAACCTCCTTCTTTTGTAAAATTGCCCAGTCTCAGGTATGTCTTTATCAGCAGCACGAAAACAGAGTAATACATGGTCCTAAATTATTTTATATAGTTTAATGGATTTAATTCCTTCCCACAACCCTACTGAGGTATGTTACATTATCAGTAGTTTAGAGATGAGTAAATTGAGGCACAGAGAGGTTAAGTAACTTGCTACAGGTCACACAGATACTAAGGATGGAGTTAGGATTTAAACCTAGGAAGCCTGATTCCAGAGGATGGGCCCACTATCACTGGGACCAGGAGGGTGGGGCAGCTGTCTCCTGCCCTCTGGTAGGAAAAGCACAGAAAGCCAATTTTCATGCAGAGAGAGAAGAATAAAGGGAGAAGTGCAGAGAGAAGTAAAAGCAAGGTCCCCCCTCCAGCGTTTTTTGAGACAGGGTCTTACTCTCTGTCACCTACACTAGAGCGCAGTGGTGCCGTTGTAGCTTACTGCAGCCACAAACTCCTGGGCTCAAGTGATTCTTCCGCCTCTGCCTCCCAAGTAGCTGGGATTACAGGCACATGCCACCGTGTCTAGGTAATTTTATTTTTTATTTTTGGTAGAGATAGAGTCTTGTTTTGTTGCTCAGGCTGGTCTTGAACTCCTGACTTCAAGTGATCCTCTTGCCTTGGCCTCACAAAGTGCTGGGATTATAGGGATGAGCCACCGCACCCAGCCATGGTCCCTTTCTTGAGGAGTCTCAATTGTCTCCTGTAATATCCAGAGACACCTTTACCAGGATCCTTTGAATATGATATGACTCCTGAATTTCATCACCAAGTATATGATCAAGTTCATCCATCCTTTCTTCTCTCCACTCATAAAGGATATATATTGTGTCAGTTGCTGCAAAGTTTAGAGCACCCCATCCACATGGCTTAAGCTGAACTTCCCAACTGGTTCGCCACCACCACTTGGGTGCCATAAATGGCTTACAGGTATGGCCAAGTTTTTGATCCCCTCAGCCTTTAGGGCAGCTAGGCAAGGCCTGAGGGTGACTAAAGTCTTCAGGCCAGTCACCTCTGGCTGTAAGTAGCCTGTCCATTTACACAGAATTGTACCATACAAATAGTATCTTTCTTTTTTCTTTTCTTGTAAGAGATGGGGTCTTGTTCTGTTGCTCAGGCTGGAATGCAGTGGTGCGATCATAGCTCACTGTGGCCTCGAACTCTTGGGCTCAAGAAATCCTCCTGCCTCAGCCAATTTTTAAATTTCTTTGTAGAGATGGGAGTTTTGCTATATTGCCCAGGTTGGTCTTAAACTCCTGTTCAAGCAATCCTCCCACCTCAGTCTTCCAAAGAGCTGGAATTATAGGAGTGAGCCACCGCTTAGGTCCAAATAGTATCATTTTCTATGTGTGCCATTACCATAGAAGGTGGGGAAGCACTAGCTTAAGGAATAGACTTATAATTTTCTCCTGAAATAAGAAGTGTGGGCTCTTTCTGCTGCCATCTTTATATTCCCTGCACAGGTCTGGCACTGAATCTTGCAGTGAAGAATCAGTACCAGAACTCAAGGAACAAAATTCCACAGAATAAGCCCAGGTGGCAGCAGCAGCCGCATTTGATGAAGAACCAGTCAAGAAAGCAAAACACAGTCAGAGTGAAGGGTAGGCACATAGCCAGGCACGGTGGCTCACAGCTGTAATCCCAGCACTTTGGGAGGCCGAGGCAGATAGATCACTTGAGGTCAGGAGTTCGAGACCAGCCTGGGCAACATGGTGAAACCCCATCTCTAGTCTAAGTACTAGTCTAGTATTTGTACTAAAAATACAAAAGTTAGCCAAGTATGGTGGCACGTTCCTGTAATCCCAGATACTCAGGAGGCTGAGGCAGGAGAATCACTTGAACTCAGGAGGCAGAGGTTGCAGTGAGCTGAGATTGCACCACTGCACTCCAGCCTGGGCGACAGAGTGAAACTCCGTCTCAAAAGACAGAAAGAAAGAAAAGAAAAGAAGGCACAGAAGGCTATGGCTATGTCCAAACTGGGTCTGTGAAAGGCTATGAGGGTTACTAGAGTCGCTATCCCGAAATCTAAGAATATCCTCTTTGTCATCACAAAACCAGATGTCTACAAGAGCCTAGCTTCAAACACCTACATAGTTTGGCTTGGGGAGGGGGGAGCGGGGAACTAAGATCAAAGATTTATCTCAACAAGCACAGCTAAGAGCTGCTGAGAAGTTCAAAGTTCAAGGTGAAGTTGTCTCAAACATTCAAGAAAACATGCAGACTTAACTATATAAGAGGAGAGGTAAGAGGAGGAGGTTGAGGAAGCAGGTGTGAAACTTAAGGATATAGGATTGGTCTTGTCACAAGCAAATGTGTGAGCAAAGGCAGTCGGAGTCCTGAAGAACAACAGTGCTGATATTGTAAATGCTATCATGGAATTAATGTAATCTGAAGATGAGGATCTTTTTGTGTGTGTTTCAAAAGAGTAACTGCAGCTTGGTTTGAAATTTGTGCTGTTTGTATTATTAATAAAGTTATGGCTTCTTGTTGGGTGAAAAAAAAGAAGTTTGAGGTAGGCATTTCCCAGTTAGAGTGCAGCTGTTCAGCAAGGTCATCTAGAGCTTTCCTCTCTTTATGCTGCTATTCCCATGATGGACTTTTATCTTCAACCTCAGGTTGCATGGTTATTTCATGGTTGCAAGATGGCCTCCCCACCTCCAAGTACCATGTTCTTACAAATGGGGTTCAAATTGGGAAATGGTGGTATCAGGGGACTCTTCTGATTCGTCAGTCTCTTTTATCAGGAAGCAAACTCTTTCCTAGAAGTTCCCCAGCAGGATTCCTCCTCACAGCTTACTGAACAGATGTGAAAGGGTCTTGGAGTTTAAGTATCTGATTTTCCCTGCTCTAATTTGGAAAGTGGGCTTGTAGAAGGTTTGGGAATGGCTTGGAGGTAGCTGACTGATAGTGCCTGCTATTTTTGTGTAAGTACACAGTATGTACACATACTGTGTAAGTGACAGTTCTGAGACTTCATTCTAGTGAATTTTTAATGAGGTTGTTTCTCTTGGAGTATCTGCTTACTTATATCATTGAATATATAAGTTGTTGTAACTCTCCCATCCAAAGCAGGGGTTGCCAAGTCCAAACTGATCTACAGACATGTGGAGCATTTAATACCTCTGTACTGCCGACTCTGTTGTCAAGAGAGAGCTTTCTGCTCTCATGTGATAGCACTATTTACATCAGAAGCTTGTCCTTAAAAGTCTATATGAATAAAAAGTTAAATTTGTTTTTTAGAGACAGGTTCTTGGTATGTTGCCCAAGCTGGCCTTGCAGTCCTGAGCTTAAGTGATCCTTCAGCCTCAGGCGCCCAAGTAGCTGGGACTTACAGGAGCCTGCCACTGAACCTGGATAAAAGTTAATTTATTTTTATTTATTTATTTATTTTTGTTGAGACAGAGTCTCACTCTGTCACCCAGGCTGGAATGCAGTGTCATGATCTCGGCTCACTGCAACTTCCTTCCCCCAGGTTCAAGCGATTCTCTTGCCTCAGCCTCCCAAGTAGCTGGGATTACAGGTACCTGCCACTGTGCCCAGCTGATTTTTTTTTGTATTTTTAGTAGAGACGGGGTTTCACCATCTTGGCCAGGCTGGTCTTGAACTCCTGACCTCGTAATCCACCTGCCTCAGCCTTCCAAAGTGCTGCGATTACAGGTGTGAGCCACCGTGCCCGGCCAATTTATTTTTATTTATTTTTATTTATTTATTTTTGAGATGGAGTCTTGCTCTGTCACCCAGGCTGGAGTGCAATGGCACAATCTCGGCATACTGCTACCTCCACCTCCCGGGTTCAATGATTCCCTGCCTCAACCTCCTGAGTAGCTGGGATTACAGGCACATGCCACCACGCCCGGCTAATTTTTGTATTTTTATTAGAGACTAGAGATGGGGTTTCACCATGTTGGCCAGGCTGGTCTTGAATTTCTGACCTCAAGTGATCCGCCCGCTTTGGCCTTCCAAAGTGCTGGGATTACAGGCGTGAGCCACCACGCCCTGCCTAAAAGTTAATTTTTATTAAAATTTACTTTTTTACACAGGAAAAGTTCCTGTGTAGCAATTCCATCTCACTAGGTTGAGACTTTTTTTTGGATAACCACAAATGTCATCTTTGGTTCATTCATGGCTTGTAGTCAGAAAACTTCATTTATTTATTCAATTTATAGAATAAATAAATATTTATTTATTTCAAAGACAACATGATAGACATCTAAGAAATGGCCAAAATTGCAGGATTAAGAGAGATTGCTCTGTAGCAATACACAGTAACTAGAATGTTAGAAATCTAGGACCCTGATTCACTTCTCACCT
Organism: Homo sapiens; assembly: GCF_000001405.40. Taxonomy (NCBI): domain Eukaryota; kingdom Metazoa; phylum Chordata; class Mammalia; order Primates; family Hominidae; genus Homo; species Homo sapiens. The sequence continues at coordinate 89,420,174 of NC_000006.12, read as the reverse complement.
CCCAATCCTGTTCCTATCTGGGTCTTACATATTTTGATAAACAGCATTAGCTTACATCTGGTTGCTCAAATCAAATGCTTGGGAGGAGTCCTTTCCCTTACCACCCACATTAAATCTATCAATACATCTTATCTGTTCCACCTCCAAAATTTATCTCAAATCTATCAACTCCTCTCCATTTCCACTGTTCTCACTCATTTCTCTCTTACCACTCCAGTGGCCTACCTGTTATTTCTGCTTCCACCTGTAAGTCCTCTAAAATCCATTTTTCCCATATCAGCCAGAATATGTTCATCAGTTCATCAGTTATCTACCGCTGCAGAACAAATGACCTGAAATCTTTTTTTTTGTTTTTTTCTTTTTTTTTTTTTTTTTTGAGACATAGTCTCTCTGTCGCTCAGGCTGGAGTGCAATGGCGTGATCTTGGCTCACTGCAACTTCCACCTCCCAGGCTCAAATGATTCTCATGCCTCAGCCTCCCAAGTAGTTGGGACTACAGATGCGCTCCACCATGCCCAGCTAATTTTTTTGTATTTTTACTAGAGACGGGATTTTACCATGTTGGCCAGGCTGATCTTGAACTCCTGACAAGTGATCCAACCACCTCGGCCTCCCAAAGTGCTACTCCTGACAAGTGATCCAACCACCTCGGCCTCCCAAAGTGCTAGGAGTGGCTAGGTGTGAGCCACTCCGTCCAGCCCACCCCGAATCTTAATTTTTTTTTTTTTTTGAGACGGAGTTTCACTCTTGACACCCAGGCTATAGTGCAATGGCACGATTTCGGCTCACTGCAACCTCCACCTCTTGGGTTCAAGTGATTCTGCTGCCTCAGCCTCCTGAGTAGCTGGGACTGCAGGCGCCGGCCACCACACCCGGCTAATTTTTGTACTTTCAGTAGAGACAGGGTTTCACCATTTGGCCAGGCTGGTATCGAACTCCTGACCTGAGGTGATCTGCCCACCTCGGCCTCCCAAAGTGCTGGGATTACAGGCGTGAGACACTGTGCCCAGCCACTTAATGATTAAAACAAAAAAACAAAAAACAAAAAACAGTCATTTTATTTGCTCACAATTCTGTGGGTTAGCTGAGCAGGGCAAGTTCAACTGGAATAGGAAGGCTGTATTGCACGTAGTGTGGGCTGGACCTTCTCACATGACTGAAGTTTGGGCTGGACAACCCAAGGTGGTGTCACTCACGTGTCTAGCCCCTCAGCAGGGATGGCTGGAACGCTGGGGCCTCATGCTCTGGCATGCTCCAGGACCTCACTATCCATGGGGCCTCTCCAGCAGGCTGGCCCAGTATTCTTTCCATATGGCTCAAGGCTCCAAGAAAGCAGCAAGACCTCTTATAGCCCAATCTCAGAAGCTGCACTATGTCCCTGTCACTTCTACCACATTCTGTTGGTTAAAGCAAGTCACAGGGCCTGCCCAGATTCAGGAGGAGTGGAAACAGAGGGAGAAATGGCAAAGGCCCATTTGCAAAAGGGCATGTGAGGTGGGATGGATGGTTGTGGCCACCTTTGGAAGCAATCTAACAGAGTGAGCTTGAATTTATTTATTTTTTTAATTTTATTTCTTAATTTTTGAAACAGGGTCTTGCCTTGTTGCCCATACTGGAATGCAGTGGCACTACTGTAGCTCACTGTAACCTCAAACTCCTGGGCTCAAGTGATCTTCCCACCTTAGCCTCCTGAGTAGCTGGGACTACAGGCTCACACCACCATGCCCACCTAATTTTTAATTTTTTTTTTTTTTGTAGAGGTAGGGTCTTGCTCTGCTGCCCAGGCTGGTCTTGACCTCCTGGCCTCAAGTGATCCTCCTGCCTCTGCTTCCCAAAATGTTGGGGCTATAGGCATGAGCCACCATACCTGGCCTAGAGTGAGCTTTAAGAAAAGTATACAACACATTTCACCCACCTCCCTCCCTCCCTCCTTTCCTCCCTCCCTGCTTTCCTCCCTCCCTCCCTTCCTTCCTTCCTTTTTTTTTTCTTTTTTCTCTCTTTTTTTTTTTTTGGCCTTGCTCTGTCACCCAGGCTGGAGTGCAGTGGCACAGTCTCAGCTCACTCCAGCCTCGACCTTTTGGCTCGGGCAATACTCCCACCTCAGCCTCCTGAGTAGCTAGGATTACAGTTGCATGCCACCACACCTGGCTAATTTTTTCTGTTTTTTGGTGGAGACAAGGTGTCCTGTGTTGCCCAGACTGGTCAGGAACTCTTGGGCTCAAAAAGATTATCCTGCCTTGGTCTCCCAAAGTGCTGGCATTACAGGTACAAGCCACTGCGCCTAGCTACCTCCCTTCTTAAACTTCTTCAGTGCTTCCAGTGGCACTTAGAATACAATCCAAGCTCCCTACCCTGGCTGAAAAAACTACCTGTCCCTTGTGCCTGCCATCCTCCTGCTCTTTCATTACATTGGCCTTTTTTTTCCTCCAACACCAAACCCTGCCCCTTCTTGGTTTTTCCAGTTGCTGAAAACAGTAGTTCCTGGGAAACACTCTCCATCCTGGCTTTCATTTTGCTCTCTCCTTCTCCTGGTCAGCTAAAATGTCACCTTTTTAGAGAGGTCTTCTCTGGCTACCCCATCAAAATCGGCCTCCTTCCCTCACCCTCAGCTACTCTTTCACCTCCCTCTGTTTTTTTCCTTCAAAGCACAGATCTGAAAATTCCATCTTCTTCATTTTCTTTCTTTAAAAAATGTTCGTCAACCGTTAAGGTGATGAAGTTATAAAGTATAAATCTCTGTAATGGTTATGAGTATGTCTGCACATTTGAAGCCAAGTGTTTCCCTCTAGAGAGACCTGGGGGGCTGTAGGTCAGGAGAGAGAGAAACTAGCTTTTCATTGGATATTCTTTTGTGTTGTTGGACTACTTTACTATGTGCATGTTTTTAAAATCATAAAACATTTTAATAATATCTCTTTCATGAGGGACTGCCTCTCAAAAATTATTCAATAATTTTTAATGAATTTTAATGACATTAGATCATCAAATGTCTTAGGTGAACTGGAGGCTGTGAGCTGCCCTCTTTAGAAATTTGTTTGGCTTCCCTGGGTTAGAATGAGTCCAGCAGGATTCTGTAGAAGGCTCTTTCCTTTGCTTGCTTCAAGAGAGGATGAATAGCTTTAAATACATATTTTAAAAGAAAGCGTGAAAAGCTTTCAACATGTGAATCCCAGGAACCAGGCACAATGCCATGAGATGCCTCAAAATACCCTAAGATGCAGGATGCAGGCTGTATTTAATTGCTTGCCCTATTCAGGACTGCAATTACTCTGCCTACATTGTACAGGTTTCTTTTAAATAGCTCTCATATTCCTTGTCATCACAAGACATCTAATTGGTAACAGCAAAATAATTCACTGAAATCAGGAAACAAACTTCTTCCCTTTAAAATTCAAATTTTCAAGCCAAAGTACACTTGGATTTTATACTTAGGCTTAGCATACAGTATAGAAATAATATAAACCAGAAAGGGTACTAAATTACTTGCCATTTGTCTTCCTAGTAAAAGGAATGACAATCCACAGTTGTATTATAACAAGAAGTTTTCTTTCTTTTGTTGGTTAGGAAGCTTTTCAGTTTTTTGTTTGTTTGTTTGTTTTGTTTTTTGTTTTCCCTTTTCTCTTAGTGAATCCTGCAAATTAAATCCGGCTGAGACAACAGATCCATTTTTTGAGTGTCTATATGAGCTTTGCTTCTTTACTTAGGAGATTGGGAGCAGCTAATCACTTCCCTTCTACCGTTTTCAGTTCAATGGCTTTAATGTAGAGTTTAGCCTTAGGCCATTAAATGGGACTAAGGCAGGGGTGTCCAATCTTTTGACTTCCCTGGGCCACACTGGAAGAAGAATTAATTGTCTTGAGCCATATATAAAATATACTAACACTAATGATAGCTGATGAGCTAAAAAAAAAAATTGCAAAAACGTCTCATAATGTTTTAAGAAAATTTATAGATTTGTGTTGGGCTGCATTCAAAGCCATCCTGGGCCATGGGGTGTATAAGTTTGGATTAAGGTTTCATGTCAGGCTGTCTGAGTTCCAAAGTAGTTCCTCCATCCATTCTGTGCAGTACCTTGGGTGACTTGTTTAAATTGAGTTTTCTTATCTATAAAGTAGAGGGGATGATATCACTTTCTTAGAGGGAATATTTTAAAGTTCATATTATCTTGGAACAGTGCCTCCTTATTTGTAGAAAATCTCAGTAAATGTTAGTTGGCTAAATTTTAATGGGTAATAGACAAAGCTCTTCTTTCATGATGCTAAAAATGTCTAAAAATTAAGAGTTTTTTTTTTTTAAGAAGGAAAAGTTAGTTGAAATAAAATAAGCATTTAGTCGTCGTGATATTGTAGTCTCTTCAGATCTCAGGCAGTCTTGGACAGATGAAGGCCTAAGACTTATGCTCTTTTTGCATGTCAGCTCATTCCTAGTTGCTCTCTTGTAGCTAACACTTCATATTTACCCACACTGTGGCATTTCCCAAGGTTTGGAGCAAGTAGAAAACTTGGCTGCTATTTCTTCCTGAAGTTTCTCTCAGAAATAGGCTAGATCTGTGTGAAGAGCCATATACTATCTTCCTCCGTTCTTCCCACCCTTCTTTTCTTCTTCTCTTCCTCCCTCCCTTCCTTCTCTCCTTCTTTTCTTTCTCCCATCTCTCTTTTTTTCCATAAGCATTTATTAAGCACCTGTCAAGTATAAGCCATGGTTACATACTTGCCATGGTTACATACCACAGCAGAAACCATGGGTAGCCCAGAGACCAATCTTCACATTCTTCAGAGCACTCTCCTGGGGAGACATCCCCAGACATAGGCTGAGCTCCAGTGCAGAGCGGCCAAGGCAGCAGCCAATTCACTGAGCAGATCCCACGCTGAGTTTCTTAAAGGCTTTCAGGGTTCTTGTAGTGTTTTTCAGTTTTTATTTAAATTCAGAAAGATTCTACACACATGATTTTTTAAATTCAAGAACTTCTATTTCTAGGATATTTTCAACATATCTCTTCTTTGAAAGCTGACAGTATTCAAATGATGTCAGCAAAAGAAAAAAAGCAATCAAGGCTTTTCCTGTTCTGTTCAACTATACATTTCTGAAATGGTAGTAAATTAGAATATCTTAAATCTGTATATGACTCTTTAGCTTGGGGTAGAATATAATTGAGGATTTGACTTCTACTGATTTTTTTGTGGGATTTTATTTTATTCTTATTCTTAAGAATGGTCCAGGTTGGGTGCGGTGGCTCATGCCTGTAATCCCAGCACTTTGGGAGGCCGAAGTGGGTGGATCACCTGAGGTCAGGAGTTCGAGACCAGCCTGGCCAACATGGTGAAACGCTGTCTCTACTAAAAATACAAAAATTAGCTGGGTGTGGTGGTGCATGCCTGTAGTCCCAGCTACTCAGGGGCTGAGGCAAGAGAATCGCTTGAACCTGGGGGGTAGGGGTTGCAGTGAGCTGAGATCATGTCACTACACTCCATCCTGGGTGATAGAGTGAGACTCCATGTTAAAAGAAAAAAACAAAAGAATGGTCCAATTCTCAAGTATCTTGGAGTGTGCCCCAATCTATTGTTTCCTTCTAAGATCTCTCTTCCTGGGGAAGTTAGAGGATCATCAGACATTTCTGTCCTTTCTAGTCCATAGGCACAGTGGGGCTGTTGGATTATGACCTGCCCTTTCCTGATCCCTTGAGTCCATGGGTCTTACACACTTGGCAACCTGCCCAGGAATGCCCTATACGTCTGAGTCTGGGTTGACCTTGGACAGTCTTCTAGATCTCCTAAATTGTTATTTGCAGTTTGAATCAGACCAGTTCAAAGGCCACTTGAGGATGGTGGGCTAGCTATAGAATAGCTGAAAGTCCTCAGCCACACTCTGGGAGGCCCTCCTCCCTGGGGTTTCCTTTGACGGAAGGGATGAAAATAGGCTAGGAAAATTACTCCTAGGAAATGAGCTTTGTAAGTACCTGAGATTTTTTTTCCGCCTCATTTAATCTTCCTAATAATCCTTAGAAGGAGTGATGTTCTATTGATAAGCAATCGGGTTTAGAAGGGCATAAGTAACTTGCCTCTGATGGGAGTATGTAGTGCCTGCTTGTGTTGGTGATGCTCCTTGCACCTCACCCCACCCAGGGACCCACTCCCTGCCCTCCCTATCCAATCTCTGTCCTGGACTAGGTTCCAGGCTCCCTTGCCTTCTGGCTACCAGATGGGTTTGGCCAATGGGAGACACAGGAGAGTGGAGGGAGGATGGATGGAGAGAAAGAGAGGTCTTTGCTCTCTCCTTGATGTGAGGCCGTTCTGGCAGCAGCAGCTTCCTCATCAGTTACAGCTCCTGTTTTGTGGCCCCTCTCCAGGACTCTAGCTCCCTTCCTCACTCCTGTAAATTTAGGGGTGGTGTTATCTTCCCACTATCGCTAATACCTGCATTGATTCCCTAAACTCTGTCCACACCCCTGTAAATTGTTCCTTCACTTGAAGGCTTCAGTTAAAGTCTTTGCACATACCGTCTGTTTCATCCTGGGAAGAACCTTAACTGATACAGTCATACCAAATTATACTGCCTGCCTCCCTTGGAAAATCTCAGGACCTTTCCCATTAGAAGCAGCCACCTTCTGGAAAGTGTCTGCATCCACCTTCTGCACTCAGAAATACTAAAAAAAATCCAGGACATGAGTCATGATTTGGTAGACTGTGAGCTCCTTCAGGGCAGGAACACTGCCCTGAGCATTCTTGGACCCTCTACTTAGCCCAGCCTCAGGCATATAGGAGGTGGTTAATAAATGTTTCCTATGGAGGTTAGCACCCTTGGGCCCTGAGAGTCTCCTGCCCTAGCTTCCTCCCTCCGCTTCTGCACCGCACCACCGGCTGAGCTGCTGGCACCTGTAGGAGCTGGATCATCATGCTGACCGGCCGGTTTTTTCTTATTGTGCTCCACAGAAGGAAGTTCATCCACGTAATTTTTTGCAGTACCCAGAAAGGGTGGGTACAGTGTGTTCCGTGGTGAAAAGCTTGTGAAGGAGGAATGCAGGTTTTAGAGTCTCACTCCACGTTGCTGCTATTCCTATTTGAGAATTGCCCCCCCACCACCGCCACTCCCCTACTCCCACAAAAGCCTTGAAATATTTTATTCATGTGGGATTACAGTCTATGCAACAATGAGACATGAGGAGGTGGCCATGAATAGCCCCCGAGTGTGTTATACACTGAGACCTTTTCCAAAGGGCTGCAGAGGAATTATTTAGTCTAAGCAGCCACGAGTCATGTGATTTCTTCAGAAACATTTACGTCTGGGTAGGCCTGCTTTTTAAATATTCTTGGTGGGAAGCACTTTGAACCATAAAGGCACACTAAAAGACAATTGCTATGGAGACTGCGCCTCCACTGTGCATTTATCTGAGTTCTCCGCCTGGGGCTCTTGAGCGTCCACAGGGTGTCCTGGGCACGCTGCTCTGGGGTGGGGGATCTGGGCGCCACAGTGTTGGGAGGCCACCCGCTTGGGACCCTAGCTCAGGACTGTAAGCAGGAGGCATCCGCCCACGGTAGACGCTCTGCGGGCGTGTGGGAGTGGGACGGCGGGGGGGACATTGAGGGTGTGCGGCGCCCCCTCCCCTGCCTGTGCGGGGACCACGTGAAGGAGAGGCGCGTGGGGGCCCCTGGCGCGCAGCCGCGGTGGGTGACGGCCGGCGTCCCGGGGGCCCCGTGTACGGGGCGTGTGTCGGTGTGAGTCTGGGAGGGTGCAGGGGCCCCGCGCCTCCCCGGTCTCCTCGTGCGTGTGCGTGTGCGTGTGCATGTGTGTCCTCGGCCCAGCGCCCCGCCGAGTGGTGCCCGCGGCCGGGCGAGCGCGCGCGCGCCCGTGCGGGGTGTGTATGTGAGTATGTGACAGTGTGTGTCAGGTGACTCGGGTCACGCAGTCTCTCTCTCTCTCCCTCCTCCGGGAGGAACTGCCGCGCTCCGGCTGACTCCTCCGCCGGCGGGCGGGGCGGGGGAGGGGGCTTCGGGCGCGCTGGGAACCGCGGGACCCGGACCTGGGCGCCGCCCGCCGGGGGACGCGCGGCCCCCGCTTCCGCCGGGCCCCGCTGAGCTCTAGACAAACCTCCGCTTCAGAAATAGGCTGCGGGCGGCCGGCTAGGAGGCTTGGCCCCCACCCCGGGACCCCCGCCGTCCCCGGGCCGGCCGGCCGGTGGGCACGATGAGCCAGGTGCTGGGGAAGCCGCAGCCGCAGGACGAGGACGACGCGGAGGAGGAGGAGGAGGAGGATGAGCTGGTGGGGCTAGCGGACTACGGAGACGGGCCCGACTCCTCCGACGCCGATCCGGACAGCGGCACAGAGGAGGGAGGTGAGCGCCCGGCCCCCGCGTCCTCGGCTCGCGCCCCTTTCCTCCCCTTGGCGCCTTCCCGCCCCCAGCCCGGCCGTGCGCGAGCCACCGACTTGGAGGGGGTCCAGGGGAGCGGGTCCAGTTGAGGGTTTGGGGTGGGGAGGGACGCCAAAAGCCCGACCTCGAGCTGCCAAATGAGGGAGCGCGGTGCTGGTGGCGGAGGGGCAACCAGGATCGGTGGAAAAGGGGAAGGAGGGAGTAAGCGTCTGGGCTGGAGGAGCGCGCGCTTCTGCCCCTTTCAGAGCCGGTGCCTCCCGCGCCCCTCACCCCAAGCTCTCCGCAGCGTCTGGCGGTTGGGGAGGGGAGGGGACCGCGGGCGCGCCCTGGGACCTCTCTCCCAGAACGGTGCTGTTGAAGCCAGGGTCAGATGTCGTGGCTAAAAAAAGGCAGCCGGCGGCGGCGTGACTGGCAGGGTCGTCGGCAGCTGCGGGTGTCAGTCTCGCCCCGCGTCGCCGCGGGAGGGGCCCACCCAGGTAGTGGCTGGGGAGACCCGCGGGGCGGCGGGGGGATGCTCGCCAAGCTGTTGTGGGAGTCTCCGAGAGGCCGCAGATTTCCCGGGATCCACGCAAACACCGTTGTCAGGACACCTTATCTGCTCTCGGTATCACCACCTGGACATGGCAGTGCCTGCCCGGGAGTGAGCGCGCGGCGGGGAATTCTTTGCTTCAATAGTGAAGCAAACTCTTTTTCCTGTTCTAGAAGCGGGTTTTAGCAATCGTTCAGCTTGTGGGGGCTTCCTGCATTTTCTTAAGGTGTAAGGAAGTTGAGAGCCTTTTAGTATTCCAGAGAGGTTAAACTTTTTTTAGTTTCCCTCAGAAGCGAGCAAAAGTTCCTTTACTGTAAGGTCACTTGGAAAGGTCAATAGAAAGCGGCTGTTAAACATGATGTTATTCTCAGTGAAACTGTATGCATCCAAGAGAAGGAACTAACTTTAATGTTTCACACTGAAGAAATTGTGTGAGAGATACAAGTACCTTTGTGACTATTGATTTTTAAAGAACTTTTATTGAGAATTCACTGAACTTATTTTAAATTCTCTATGCAAAGCTTTTCTCACTAGGGTAGTTTCATTATTCTACATCTGGCAGGCACGACTTTCAATGAATCAGAAAGGAAATAAAGTTAACTATGCCTTGCGCCTGGTAGATGAGAAAGCAGCCTCTCAAGTCACCCTTTTTCATAGCGTTTTCTCTCTTGGGATGATTTGTGCTAATTCCTCATTTGCTTAAACTGATGTGTGCACCTTTGTGCTTTCTGTCTTCTGCACTCCCGGTAATTGGTCTTACCGTTGAGCACCAGGCCACATTTTTGTAGATAAAGGCTTTCAGCCGTTTTATTGGAGTCTCTAGAGCTACCTTCCGTAATTAAATTGTTCAGTCGCCTCATTATTATTCAAATTCCATTTGTTAGCTCCTCCCAGATTCTTAGAAGACTCCGGAGAGATGCAGAATAGGGATGTATTTGCAAGGTATTTGAAATGGTGGACACAGTAGGGTGTGTGTGGGATTCTCTTTTTTAAAAAAGAAAAAAAGTGGGGGGGCGGAGGGGCCATATCCAGGAGGGAAAGCCCTGTAATTTGATACTGTCCTGAGGCCTGGAGGGTCCAGAAAAAGTACTGGACCCCTCGTTTATTCTGCAGTTCTTTAAGTGGGCACTTTTAAAATTTGATTTGGGGACTTGAAATTGAAGTGAAATTAAAGCCCTGCTTGAGGGATGGGATTCCCGGAACAAAGGGCTTCCCCAGAGCCCAGACTTGGAGGCTCCTTAGCTGTTAACGTAAAGGCAAACTTGCCTGTAACTGATTTTTGGTGACTCGCATAATAAAATCCTTCTGAATGGGCTTTTGGGATCAGCTTGGGATCTTGCTATAAAAGGATTAAATATATTTATATTGTGAGAAGAGCAACATGTTTGCTCGGCAAACGTTGCTTAAGCCTGGTCTCTGTCCACCTGGGCCTGCAGTGGATAGGTGGTCTGCTTCTCAGACTTCCTCCGTTATATTTTGGCCTCTGTTCTTTCCAGATTTCCCTGGCTTTGACTTTTGGGTTTAGGCCTTGATGCAGAATCCCTTGTCAGGACATTTGCTCTCTAGTGTCAGATAGGCTCCTCAGTCAGCAATTCCAGCGAGGACTGCTCCTGATGGCTGTCAGGCCAGCTGATATGGTCTGGGGAGTGGGGATTGGGAGGAGGAGGTTGGGAGTTGTGACTTCCCTTCCTGTGCCCTTCAAAAGGCTGATTCACGTGTTGCATTATAATCTTGTTTTATTTTTGGTAAAATTTACATTTACCTACTCTCAAACTTAAGAAATAGAATGTAGGGAAAAAAAGGAGTTATTCTGAGAAAAGATGTACTTTGAACCACTAGCAAAGCATTTCTCTAATGAACCCCCACTCCCCTTTCCCCTTCCTAATAGCTTGGTTTAGTGCCTGCACTTAGTGGAGACGTGGGACTTTTTCCACTAAGTTCAGAAATCTACCCTGGTGGGTGGGAGGCTGAGGGTGGGATGTGGGACCAACTAGTATTGCCAGTTAAGTTGCAAAGCAATTTATCAGGAGCTGTGCAAGAGAAGTGGACTAAAGGTGGATATGTAATGCAATTTTCATTTCCCTCAGTCTGTAGGACTTATAAAGGAACCTCTGGTCTTATTTTTAAACCGAGTATGCCTTGTAAATTTTACCACATTGTACTGAGTTTGAAAACATAGGGCAACTAAGGTGAGACTTAAATTGCACTTCTCTGGCTTCCACTCCATATTTTATTCATGAATAGCAAAAGTGTTCTCAGGCACATTAGTTCTGTTAGGGCAGATTTGGGCACCTCTCAACCTTCCTTTCATGGTAGTTAATTGCAGGTAAGGTGAGTCTCACCTTCAATCCCCACACTCCAGATAAAACTACCAGAGAGGAGGGAATGGTTAGGCCGTTAAAAACAATTGCACCAAAAATAATGATTATTTTTAGATTCATGGACTTTAAATCTTTTGATAAATTACTGTGCTTTAAAAACTGTAATAACAGGGAAAGCAATTACAAGATCATATTTAATCAGAAAGTAAAATTGTTTTCCCCCCAAAACCCCTCCCATTTTTTAGGAGAAACTTGGCTAACGTAAGCTGCTCACCCACAGTCCAGTGAAGTTCGGTCTTTGCCTTCATAGCAGCCTGTGCGCACCCTTAGGGTCTGAGGAAGTGACTGTGTAGGTGGTTTCTGGAGGCATGAAAGATCCAGGGTCTTCCTTCCTGAAGGATGTAGATGGGGTGAATCCAGCAATTCATATGTATTAATCATTAGTTCATTAATGTTAGCCTTTTGTGGGGAAGGGACTGGGTCTCTCTATATTGCCTAGGCTGGTCTCGGACTTGTGGGCTCAAGCAATCTTCCTGCTTCAGCCTCCCAAGTAGCTAGGATTATAGGCATGCATGACTGTGCATGGCTTTTTCCTAAAATAATTTTAAAAATATTAGGGAATTCACCTTTTCATTGTTCCTTGGAAGTAAGTAGAGATAACAGTTATACTGATACTGAAATCATGGCTCAGAGATACCAGGGGGCTTTTCTACTGCCCTATCATGAGCTAGAAATGAGCGAAGTATTTAGAAGAGGATCAAGTATATGGAAATGTAAGCCCCTTTTCTTGTAATTCTGCCTTATCCAAAAAGAGCTGGCTTGACTACAGCCCTGGACACAGCTTATCTCTTAGATTTCCTTCTGGCCCTGGAAATACAGAAGAGTTGGAACAGATGAAACTACATAATAGGTTAAAATGATGTGCCCAAAGTTAAACTTTAGGTAAATACTTGTTCGAATGCCTGTATTTAGAGAGTATCTTTCTATATCAGATGTTTTATAAACCTGTGTCAGTGATTCAGGGCATCAGAGAGTACTGACTCTCTACTTTTATTAGCGATCTCTTCCATTTTAATACTAGATAGAGGGTAGTCTAATGGAAACGGGAGGCACAAACAGCAAGTTCTGGATAAGAGCCGATGACTTTGGGTTTGAGAGATCATCTTTTGTCTTTCAAAGATAACTGAGTCTGCCCCAAGTTCACCCCCTGTGTTATTCAATCCTCCCCCAGCCCATAGTAAATGCTGGTGACAATCAATTTCACTTTTAGCACAGACACTTCGTTCCTGCTCATTTTTCTTCTTTCTTTCCTTCTTTTGAGATGGAGCCTCACTCTGTTGCCCAGGCTGGAGTGCAGTGGCATGATCTCGGCTCACTGCAACCTCCACCTTCTGGGTTCAGGTGATTCTCCTGCCTCAGCCTCCCCAATAGGTGGGATTGATTACAGGTGCCCACCACAATGCCCAGCTAATTTTTGTATTTTTAGTAGAGATGAGGTTTCACCATGTTGACCAGGCTGGTCTTAAACTCCTGACCTCAAGTGATCCACCTGCCTTGGCCTCCCAAAGTACTGGGATTACAGGCATGAGCCACCGCGCCCGGCCTCTTCCTTCTTTCTTCTCTACCTCCTTTATTCTTTTGGTATCCTTTTATTTTTTAAAAAAATATTTTTTGTTCTCCCTCCTGTGCCAGAGCCTTAGAGTTCTCTTGTGATGGCCTTTCCTGGTTCTGCTGTGACACTGCAGACAAAAAGTTTCTTCACTCCTGGGCTACAGGGTCCAGGGTGCTTGCTGGTCGACCTTCTCCTCTTGTGGTCCTCTGAGAAAGACTTCGGCTCCATTTCTCAGTGTATAAAATAGAGGACTGCGTAAAGCCAACCTTAGTGCACTCTCAAAGTGATTGTTAAAAAGTTTGTAAGAATACCTTTCCCTTTTTGCAGGCACATTGGTAAATCAGAACATTTTTACCAATGTAAAACGGGAAAAGTTCGCTTGTCCCCCTTGCAGGGTGTGTGATGGGGGTTTGGCTAGATTCTTAAGTGCTCTGCTGCTCAAACCTCTAGGGGAGCACACAGACAGGCAAGCTGTGGGGCTCTGATCCCACGACAGTGTCTAGGGGTGGATGTTTACAGCTCCTGAAGCCCCAGTGGGCATGTGTTACAGGGTGCTCTTTTAGTTTTGCCATCTATGGGCTTGTGTTAACCAGCTCAGTTAGACCCTCTACCTTGTTGCAAGGACCGAGTGCTTTCTGTATCCTGGGTTCTTGCCTTGGTGTACCGGAAGAATCGGATCACACCTGGGCTTGGAGAATGAGTGCAAGATTTTATTGAATAGAAGTAGCTCTCAGCAGATAGGGGAGCCAGAAGGGAGACGGTTTTTCCCTGGAGTCAGGCAGCTGTTTTCTGACCACTCCGGCCAAACTGGTGTGCTCCCAACGTCCTCTCGACGTCTAACTGCTTGAATCTTCTTCCACCAATCCACTCCTCTCGATGTCCAGCCGCTTGTGTGTTCCTCCACTGATGTGCTCCTCTCGACGTCCAGCTGCTTCTGTGTCTGCCTTGCTTGGGTCTTGGGTTTCTGTAGGCACAGGATGGGGATGTGGCAGGCCACGGTGGTCTTGCAACATTTGGGCCGGAAATGCCTGACCTCACCTAGGCCTGTGGGGGTGCAGCCCTAGCCAGGGACCATGCCCTTCTCTCTGCCTGGCACTTCCCTTCTCCCTTCCATACCGTTTAAAGGGACCACACCCTTCCCTTCCCAGCACTCCCCTTATCATTAGGACTGCTACTGAATACATATGTTAAGGAAATATTCATATGTGGTATTTATCATGTTTTTTAGTTATTTGCCAGTGTGACTTGAGAGGATTTCATAAAGATTTAGTTTTCACGCTAAATAAAAGAATCACCTTCAAAAATCTTTATGCCTTTGAAAAATATGTGTTCTGTTTGCATTTAATTTTCCTTACTAAGTAGTTAATCAAATGGACAGTGAATCTTCGTGATTTTTGCATAGCTTTTGTTAGTAGTAGTATTAGTCATATGATTCATTCCCACTTGGGTTGGAATTTCTTATTGAACTCCTGGGTCTTGAATGTATAAGTAGTTCCATTGATCAACGTAAGCTTCAGAAATTTAAAGGAGCCACAGAGAAAGCTGCAAATAGAAACACACCAGGGGCCTCTTCCTAAAACCATAAGCACATAGACGCTTAAGCGTTTGTTGATTCCACAGAATACTAATAGCGAAGAAATTCTAATTTTCCCTTAAGGTTGAGTGAGCCTCTTACTATAGTCACATTCCACTGAAGACCCTCTCGTTGCCTAGGCTTGGGGTGGGAAAAAAGAAGGGGAGTGTGTTTGTGTGCCTGCGTGTGTCCTGTGCGTGTGTCCTTGTGTGCCTGTGTGTGTGTCCGTGTGTATGCGTGTATGCTGATAGAGGAGGAAATGAAGGCTCATGGGCAAGGGGACATGTATGGGGTCACATAGCTAGTAAATGGAGAGTTGGGACTTGAATCCTAGTCTGACACTAACCTAGTACTTTTTCAACCATTCCATTTGCCATCACTTCGCCACTATGTTATCTCTTTTTTTTTTTTTTTTTTTTTTGAGACGGAGTCTTGCTCTGTCACCCAGGCTGGAGTGCAGTGGTGCGATCTCGGCTCACTGCAAGCTCCGCCTCCCAGGTTCACGCCATTCTCCTGCCTCAGCCTCCCCAGCAGCTGGGACTACAGGCGCACGCTGCCACACCTGGCTGATTTTTTTGTATTTTTTTTAGTAGAGACGGGTTTTCACCGTGTTAGCCAGGATGATCTCGATCTCCTGACCTCGTGATCCGCCCACCTTGGCCTCCCAAAGTGCTGGGATTACAGGTGTGAGCCACCGTGCCTGGCCACTATGTTATCTTAATTCTTGCATTAAATAGTTTATTTTCCTGTTTTGAGCCTATTCAAAGATGCTACCTCTCAGAGAACTCTCCTTAATTATAATACTTCTCAATAGAATTTCTGAAGTGCATTTCATATGATATCTCATTCTTCCTGTAGAGATCCTTGAGCTTAGGATGGCAGGGCCAACCTTAAGAGCTGTGTAAGGAGGTGAACATTGGCTTTCAATTCCCATTTTCCTGATTTCTGGTTTCTTCTTTGTTGTAAGCATTCCTAACCCTCAGATCAGTCAGGCAGGGTCCCCAGGCAGCCCTGTTGTACTCGAGGCACTAATCCATCTTTTTCTCCCTTCTTTTTTTACTAAGGCCTGTTGGTTTTTGACAGGGCTCTGCTGGTTACTGGATAATTCCGGATTAAGTGATTAGCCTTCAGGTGTTAAAGACTGATAATGGCTCAATTTGATGACCCCTCCCCATAGTGCTGTTCCTTGGGTGATTGAATTTCCTGGGGTCTACAGCAGTCCAGTTCGAAGGCTGAGATCTCTGGAAAATCTGGGTATTGATAGCACCAAGTGGAGGAGAGGTGAGGTCTATTTGGTGTCCCTGACCACAGTAAATAAACTTCACCTAGGCATAAAGCTGATCCTCTTGATACCCAGTTCCAAGTGCTGATCTGGGCCAAAGTCAGACATGAATTTTCTTTTTAAAGCTTCAGTTAATTTAGCCTCAAATTCTGCTCAGTCACTTTCATGTAATCATCCCAACAAACATCTATTGAGTGTTTGTTGTGGGTAAGCACTGAGGCCTCAGTTTGTTTTAACAACAATTTTAATTTTGTTAAGCTACAAACTGCAAAATCGTGTGTTTGTATTTTTCTATACTTTGTGTTACACAGGCCATTGGGCCCAAATTTTAGACTAATAGGAAAAAGCCCCCTTTGGAATATAATATTAAAATTTTACAGAAAGGCAGAAGTTGCTTACCAATACCTAATATCCCTTCAAATGACAACCGTTTTTTATTCTTCAAGCACG
Source organism: Homo sapiens (assembly GCF_000001405.40). Lineage (NCBI taxonomy): Eukaryota > Metazoa > Chordata > Mammalia > Primates > Hominidae > Homo > Homo sapiens. Next base: position 89,404,042 of record NC_000006.12, on the reverse strand, counting down.
TGTGTAATAACCCATATGGGAAAAATGGCAAAAGGCCACATTGATGTCTTCTAAATATAGAGAATAAAGATTTAAATCAAGAAGTTGCCAGGCTCAGTGGCTAATGCCTGTAATCCCAACACTTTGGGATGCCAAGGTGGGAGGATTGCTTGAGCCCAGGTGTTCAAGACCAGCCTGGACAACATGGCGAGACCCTGCTTCTAACCACCATCCCCCAACAAAAAAAATGAAAAAATTAGCTAGGTGTGGTGGAGGTGGTGTGTGCCTGTAGTCCTCGCTACTTGGGAGGCTGAGGCAGAAGGATCACTTGAGCCCAGGAGTTTGAGGCTGCAGTGAGCTATGATTGAGCCACTCACTGAGCTCCAGCCTGAGAGACAGAGTGAGACCCTCTCTCTCAAAAAAAAAAAAAAAAAAAGAAAAAGAAAACCAATCAGGAAGTCTATTATCATCCATGGCCATATGTATATATATATCCCCAGATAAAGAACACTTTGTTGCCTTATAGTATTCCACAGACATAAAGGTTCTCAATGCCTAGATGTTCCCTAAGTACCTTTGAATTGGTACTTTACACCTTGACAGTTTTTTGTTTTTTTTTTTGACAGAGTCTTGCTCTGTCGCCCAGGCTGGGGTGCAGTGGCGCGATCTCTGCTCACTGCAAGCTCCGCCTCCTGGGTTCACGCCATTCTCCTGCTTCAGCCTCCTGAGTAGCTGGGACTACAGGCGCCCGCCACCATGCCCAGCTAATTTTTTGTATTTTTAGTAGACACGGGGTTTCACCGTGTTAGCCAGGATGGTCTCGATTGATCTCCTGACCTCGTGATCCACCCGCCTCAGCCTCCCAAAGTGCTGAGATTACAGGCGTGAGCCACCGCGCCCGGCCGACAGTTTTTAAAAATGTCATTGTGGTAAAAACACCTAACATGAGATCTGTCTTAATATGTTTTTAAGCATATAATATGCTATTGTAGGTACACTGTTGTATATCAGATCCCTAGAGCTTACTCAGCCTGCTTGACTGAAACATCATGGCCATTGATGAGTATCTGCATGGGAGGTGTCATTGACATTTGTAAAGGATGAGTGTTACCACCTTGAGAGATGACACTGTGTGCTATGTAGGTGGTCAGTAAATGGCAACCACAGGTTGATGAGAGGTTGGAGTGGGTTGGTTTGAGCTGTTTCGCTGTGGCCAAGGCTAAAACTCCTCAAACATGCCCTCACTTTCACCCAACGAGGTCAGGGGGAAAAGGACCATCAGGCATGGGCTAGCTCAGCAGCCTTCATTCCCTGCTTCAAGCCTGTCACATTTTTACCTCCCTTCTGAGGCCCTGAGTCCTTTCCCAATGTGAGCTGCAGACCAGCAAGCCCCTCAGACTCAACAAGTTCAAATATTTGTTCAGCTGCTTGGTGGCTAGCTGCCTAGCTAGGGTTAGGAAGCCCCTAACCTTCTTGGTGGCTGGGCTGCCAGGTCAGGAACCCAGGGCTTCTGTCTCCCTTGTCCCTCATGCCTAATGTGACACAGATTTGCACTCACAAGTCCTGTTTCCACAGCCTGTGCCTTAGTTCTTTGTCATTTGTGTTCTAGAACAACCTCCTAATTCCATACTGGGACCCGCAAGGGAGTCTGTTTCTGGAGTGAACTTAATGAAATGTAAATCATATTAATCTCCCCTTAAAATCCTTAGTGATTTCCAGGCCGGGCTCAGTGGCTCATGCCTGTAATCCCAGCACTTTGGGAGGCCGAGGCTGGCGGATCATGAGGTCAGGAGTTCAAGACCAGCCTGGCCAACATGGTGAAGCCTCGTCTCTACTAAAAATACAAAAATTAACCAGGTGTGCTGGTGCGTGCCTGTAATCCCAGCTACTCGGGAGGCTGAGGCAGGAGAACTGATTGAACCTGGGAGGCGGAGGTTGCAGTGAGCTGAGATTGCACCACTACACTCTAGCCTGGGTGACACAGCTGGACTCCATCCCCCACCAAAAAAAAAAAAAAAAAAAAAATCCTTAGGATTTCCTCAGTGCTTTCAGGGTAAAATCCAAACTTCCCAGTATCACCCTCCTGAGCTAGCCTGTCACCTCTCCATCAACTAATTTCTTCAAAGATATGTATTGAACTCATGCCATGTGCTACCTTGTATTTTGCCTGTGCATATGTGAGAGAGACAAACAAAAAACAAGTAAACAAACAGGAAGACAGACATACTAAAGATGGACTATTAATAGTAATAAGGACTATTAAAAAGGCCCAGGGTTATGGCCCAGGAAGTGATAGTGCCTGATTTAGCAGTGGGGGTGACATTGCAGCTGGGCTGAGCTGAAGAAGGAGGTCTTCTAGATGGAGGGAAGAGCAAAGTGAGATCCTGAGCTGAGGAACCTTCTGGAAGGCCAGTGTTGCTGGAGGAGAGGGAACAAGTGGAGAAGATGAAACAGGCATGGGTGAGGGGGAAAAGAAGGCATTTGGATTTTATTCTAAATGCTGTGGGGGGCCGGGCGAGGTGGTTCACGCATGTTATCCCAGCACTTTGGGAGGCTGAGGCAGATGGATCACCCAAGGTCAGGAGTTCAAGACCAGCCTGGTCAACATGGCGAAACCCTGTCTACTAAAAATATAAAAATTAGCTGAGTGTGGTGTCAGGCGCCCGTAATCCTAGCTACTCAGGAGACTGAGGTAGGAGAATCGCTCGAACCTGGGAGGAAGAGGTTGCAGTGAGCTAAGATTGCGCCACAGCACTCTAGCCTGGGCAATAGAGCAAGACTCTGTCTCAAAAAAAAAAAAATATATTGTGGGGAAGCCCCTGGACAGAGTGTTGCCTCATCTTGCCTTCAAACTGCATTCCCTAACCTCCAGTTTCCTGAACTTGCAAATCTCTTCCTGGAACAACCTTTCCCTCATTCATCTGTTCCATGCCTCCTCTCCTTTAAGACTCAGATATTACTCCTCCAGGGAGCCTCTCTCAGTGCCTAGAACACCTAGCTGGCCGTGCATGGTAATTGCCAGTTTGTCATGTCTGTATTCCCCTCTGATTGCTGGGGGATGAATCGTTTTTCTTTGTGTCTGCAGCCCTGCCTCACACTTGGCCAGTGTTCAGGGAACCTTCCTGAAATTAGAACAAACTGCCTGCTTGAACATTTCATCTCACTACAGCAACTTTCTGGGTAGGTTGAAGGGGAGCCCTCCTGTAGCGGATTTTTGAAGACTTGTCCCCCGATTGCTCCTTTTAGGGGGGCTGTCATCCTTCATTCTCTTTTGCCTACCTAGAAGCCTGAGGCAGAGGGTAATGCCTAGGGAGGTGTTGGTGGAGAAAGCCCAGCCTTCTGCAGGAGGCTGAGAGGCTGAAGTGCCTCCCTTCCTGGCATAAGCTCACTGCCTCTACCATGCCTATTGTAGAGTGAGACCCTTTGGGGAACTCAGAGCTGTACTCTAGGGGACTTTTTTTTTTTTTTAGTGCCTGTCCTTGAACCCTGGATCCTCAGATTAACGCTTTACCTGGGCTAAGCTACCCAGGCTCTATGAGGTTCTTAAGTGGAGGTACTTGAGGAGAGGGTGAGAGGAGATTAGAGGGAAGATTTTTGTCAGCAGTCCATTTCCGATATATAAGAAACCTTTCCTGATGTAAAGCCATGGCCTACTACATTTTTTACCCTGGCCCACAGTAAAAAACATTTATACTCTGAGCGAGTACCCACATACATGCAAATAAACCCAGGGAAATTTCACCAAGCCGTAATTTTACTCTTGTGCTGTACCATGTGCTCCGATATTTTCTAGTTTTTTGTTTTTAAATCTCTTTATTGTTATTTAATGCTGTTGCTGTTTAATCCCCACAAGTTGATTTTATGAAGACTAATGTGTTCTGACTTAAGGATTTGAAGAGCAACTGGAATGAAGCCATTTTGTAGAACACCTCAAGGAGAAGGTCCCCTGTAAATTTTAATTCATGAGATAAGCAAATTAGACTACAGTTTAGTATTAAATGTTACAAACAGAGCTGATTGGTGGTGAAGGTTCTGGGTGAGCACTCCACCAATACCAGTCATATGACCTTGGGCAGTTTACTTCCCCGAGATTCCTCAGGGGTAGAACAGACTTATGCTCCCTCACTGGGCCGGTGAAGTTTGTAGAAATGTCCCACCCAGACCGGGAATGGTGGGTCATGCCTGTAATCCCAGCACTTTGGGAGGCTGAAGTGGGAGGATCACTTGAGCGTAGGAGTTTCAGACCAGCCTGGGCAACATAGGGAGACCTCGTCTCTACAAAAAAAAAAAAAAAAATAGCTGGGCATGGTGGTACAAAGTGCAGTGGCATAATCACAGCTCACTGCAGCCTTAACTTCTGGGCTCAGGTGATCCTCCTATCTCAGCCTCCTGAGTAGCTGGGACTATAGGCACGAGCCACTACAACTTGCTAATTAAAAAAAATATATATTTTTAGTAGAGAGAGGGTTTTGCCATGTTGCCCAGGCTGATCTTGAACTCCTGGGCTCAAGCAATTTGCCCTCCTTGGCCTCTCAAAGTGCTGGGATTATAGGCATGAGCCATTGTACCCAGCCTGCACAGCGTATTTCCATACACCCTAGCTGAATGTAATAAAATGCATCTATTCGGAACTAGGGAGTCCCTGCAAAGTTGATGGTGTTCTTGCTGATCCAGGCCACCCTTTCTCAGCTGTTTAATGGTTGGTGGCCCATGATTGAATTTGGCAGGCAGGGAAAAGGAAATACTTCAGCTGTATGTGTTGTTGCAGCTGTATGTGTATTTAGTTCCCAGCATTTCTGTGTATGTAAACATGCATACATACTCCCTCCCCCCTTCACAGTGGTGTCTGTCACCTCGCCACCCTCCCAGGAGGAGGAGATTCAACTTCTACAGGTCATCAGCGTGGATGATCATACCACATAGAGACTTACAGACCCTGCTGGAGAAACATTAAAATCTACGCCCATATCTAGCAGTATAAATTGGGAAGAAAGGCATTTATAAACACATGAATATTTTTGCACTTGTACATAATTTAACGAGGAGTTTTGCTTGCATTAATTGGGGGCAGTGTTGCACAGCAGAAATAGAATGCATAGACCATGAGTGGGCCAGCCCTCCGTTTGAATGTTACTTGACCTTTCTAAGCCTGTAAACTTTAAATCATGAGATATGCAAATTAGAGTATAGTATTTAATGTGACAGACAGCTGATTGGTGGTAAAGGCTCTGATTGGTAGTGAAGGCTCTAGGTGGTGAAGGCTGTAGGTGAGCACTCCACCAAAACCAGAATTTCTTCACCTGTGAAATGGGGATAATAATATCTATTCTTGAAGGAGCATGAATGGGATGAAGCATGTAGAGTGCCTAAAGTAGTGCCTGGCACATTGTAGGCACCTTCATACATGATAGCCATGAGTTCTCATTGCATGCATATTTTCCTGTTCCATGTAAGGCATTGTGCCTTTGCTTACATTTGGACTTCCCTCTTCTGGAGGAGCTCCTGCCTGCTCCTTCTCTCAACCCCATCCAAATTCTGCAGTACTTTAAATCTGCATTCATAATCTGTGTGATCCACTGGGTCTCTCCCCTGGCCCACAAGCATTTCCCTCCACTTTGCATTGTTTAAACACTTGCTGTTTGGGATGTGATAGCAGAGCAACTATAACTGTTAGGGTTTCCGTTCTTATCTTTAAGGTTACATTTTTTTATGACAGCTGTAACTGTCAATTACAACAATTAATTGACATAACACATATTTGATACGTTTTCACATATATATGCACCTGTGAAACCATCAGCACAGTCAAGATAAAGAACATATCCATCACTTCCAAACGTTTTCCCATACTTCTTCCTCCCTCTGACCTTTCCTTACTGCCTACTGCCTCTTCCATTTCTTTTTTTCTTTTTTTTTTTGAGATGGAGTTTTGCTCTTGTCACTCAGGCTGGAGCGCAGTGACGCAATCTTGGCTCACTAACTTCCACCTCCTGGGTTCAAGTGATTCTCTTGCCTCAGCCTCCCAAGTAGCTGCAATTACAGGTGCCCACCACCATGCCAAGCTAATTTTTGTATATTTAGTAGAGACAGGGTTTCGCCATGTTGGCCAGGCTAGTCTTGAACTCCTGACCTCAGGTGATCCACCCACCTTGGCCTCCCACAGTGCTGGGATTACAGGTATGAGCCACTGTGCCCAGCCCTGCCTCTTTCATTTCTTAGGTAACCACTGATACGCTATTTGCCACTGTAGATTAGATTAGTTTACATTTTTTAAAAAAATTTTATGAAAAAGGAGTAATGGCTTCTTTCATTAGGCATAATTAGAGATTCATCCAGGTTATGTGTATCAATAGTTTATTTTTTTATTGCTGAGATGCATCACAATTTGTGTATCTAGTCAACTGCTAGTGGACTTTTGGGTTGTTTACAGGTTTTTTTTGTTTTTTTTTGTTTTTTTTTTGAGACGGAGTCTCGCTCTGTTGCCCAGGCTGGAGTGCAGTGGCGCGATCTCGGCTCACTGCAAGCTCCGCCTCCCGGGTTCACGCCATTCTCCTGCCTCAGCCTCCCGAGTAGCTGGACTACAGGTGTTTACAGTTTTTGACTATTACAAATAAAGTTGTTATGATCCTTTATGTACACGTTATTATATGGACAAAAACTTTCATTTCTCTTAGGTAAAAACTCAGCAGTGGAATGGAAGGGATAGTATGACAGGTGTGTATGTTCAACTTCTTAAGAAACCACCAAACTGTTTTCCAAAATAGTATCATTTTACATTTCTACCAGCAGTGTATGAGAGTTCTAGTACCTCCACATCCTTGCCAACACTTGTTACTCTGATTCTTCCTAATTTTAGCTGTCTTAGTGGGTATGTAATAGTATCTCATTATAGTTTTGATTTACATTTTATAATGATTAATGATGTATTGAGTATCTTTTCCTGTGCTTTTTTACCTTCCATAAATCTTCTTGGGCAAGTTGTCTCTTCAAATCTTTTGCTTGTTTCACTTTTAAAATTGGGTCAGCCGGGTGTGGTGGCTCATGCCTGTAATCCCAGCAATTCGGGAGGCCGAGGTGGGTGGATCACTTGAAGTCAGGAGTTCGAGACCAGCCTGGCCGACATGGTGAAACCCCATCTCTACTAAAAATACAAAATTAGCCGAACATGGTGGTGCACACCTGTAATCCCATCCACTCAGGAGGCTGAGGCAGGAGAATCACTTGAACCCAGGAGGTGGAGGTTGCAGTGAGCCAAGATCATGCCACTGAACACTCCAGCCTGTGTGACAGAGCAAGACTCTGTCTCAAAAAAAAAAAAAAAAAAAAAAAAAAAAATTGGGTCATTGGTTGGGTGCAGCAGCTCATGCCTGTAATCCCAGCACTTTGGGAGGCTGAGGTGGGTGGATTGCTTGAGCCCAGGAGTTCAAGACCAGCCTGGGCAACATGGCGAAACCCCATCTCTACAAAAAATTAGCTCAGCATGATGGGGCGCGCCTGTAGTCCCAGCTCCTCTGGAGGCTGAGTCCAGGAGGATCACTTGAGCCTGAGAGGTGGAGGTTGCAGTGAGCTCTGATTGCGCCACTGCACTCCAGCCTGGGCAACAGAGCAAGACTCTCAGTAAATAAATAAATAAATAAATAAAATAAAATTGAGTCATTTCTTATTAATAAGTTTTGAGAGTTCTTCATATATTCTGCATACAAGTCCCTTCCCAGATACATTATTTGCAGATACTTTCTTCTAGTCTGTGTCTTGTCTTTATTACTTAACAATGTCATTTGATGTTTTTCTTTTACTTTATTATTTTTTTTGAGAGTTGCTGCTGTCTTTTAAGTCCCAACAAATTCTTCATTTTTGTATTTGTTGTGCTTTTCTTTCTAAATTTTATTATTGTTATTTTAGTTTTCATGGGTATTGAAGTTTTATTTTAATAAAATCCAGTTTACCAATTTTTGGGGGAGGGTGTCATATCTAAGAAATTTTTGCCTAACGCAAAGTCATAAATATTTTACCCTAGAAGTTTCATAGTTTTAGATCTTACAGTTAGACCAAGACCAATTTTGAGTTGATGTGAGTTGAATTTTTTTTTTTTTTGGCATATGGATGTCCAGTTGGTCCATCAGTCATTTGGTGAAAATGACTGTCCTTTCTTCTTGGAGGTGGCTTTACCTCTTGGTGAAAAATCATTTGTCTATGTAAGTGTGGGTTTATTTCCCTGTCTGTTCCAGTGATCTGTTTGTCTATTTGTCTGTCTTTACACCAACACTCACAGTTTGGACTGGATTTCTAAGTTTCTCTGAGATGGGAACCATGTTTTACATATTTTTTGTCTAACCAACATTTACCAAGCAACTACTTTGGGCCCATTAACCCACATATTTATTGTATGCATAAAACAGAAACCCTAAGAGCACAACTGAAAGAGAAAATGTGGAGTTGAAATCACAATTTAAGGAGTATTTAATATTTTGAAACATTTGTGTTTGGCAAATAAAGTGAAAGGGAATATCAAAGGTTTTCAGTGAACTTGTGCATCTTTGGAATTAAACATAAAACAGCATGTCAGTTGTCTCTTTTTACTTTGTAAATTTTGTTTTATCTTATTTACTTATTTTCATTGACAGATTATAGTTCTATCGATTTAAGTTGTTATTTCTTTTCCCTTCTTTCTTTGTTTTAGAGTTGGGGTCTTGCTATTACCCAGGCTGTTCTCAAACCCCTGGGCTCAAGCAGTCCTTCTGCCTCAGCCTCCCAAGTAGCTGGGACCACAGGCATGTCCAACAAATTGTTGTTTCTTTCTTTTTGAGACAGGTTCTTAACTCTGTTGCCCAGGCTGGAGTGCAGTGGCACAATCATGGCTCACTGCAGCCTCAATCTCTTGAGCTCAAGGGATCCTCCCACCTCAGCCTTCCAAGTAGCTGTGACTACAGGTGCTTACCACCAGGTCCGGCTAATTTTTAAATTTTTTTTGTAGAGATGAGGTCTCTTTATGTTGACCAGGCTGGTCTCAAACTCTTGGGCTCAAGTGATCCTCCCACCTCAACCTCCCAAAGTGCTGAGATTACAGGTGTGCACCACCAGGCCTGGCCACCTTCCCATTTCAGTGTCCCTCATGACTCCCTAGACATTAAAAATTGTTTTTCTTTCCTTTTCAAAGCCAATTTTAATTATATATGTATGTGAATATATTTCATTTTTAAAATTAAAACCAAATTCCTTTTCATGATCCTCCTAAATTCTCCTTCTACCTACACTTTGCCATTTGCTGTGTATCCTTCTGGACCGTTTTAAAATGCATTTTTGTACATATTTATATTTTCATTTATATTTGAAATGGTTATCCTTAAATTAAAAAAAATACTTAACTATGCTTTTCTAGCAGCAACCGTAGCATTCTTTGACTTACCTCTCTTTTACCATTCATTGTTTTCCATTGCTGATTACATTGTACTCATTTTGGGTGTATTTTTCTTTCAGGAGTTACATCCTTGAGTAATTATTTCAAAGGGATTAAGTGGGAAATAAACTTCCTAAGTCCTTGAATATCTGAAAATATCTTTATTTCACTCTCAGATTTGAAAAATAATATGATTGGTATATTAATGAGTTCACAGATTTTTTTTCCTTTTGTCTTTTTAAGATCTGTTCTGTTGTCTTCTCATATCTGTGTTGTTGATAAGCATCTGATGCCTTTCTAGTTCTTTCATAGGTAATTGTTTCCCCCTCTAAGGATTTTATTGTTATCCTTGATTTAAAAAATTTTTTTTCACTTCTCTTTTTGTTCCTATAGATATCCTTGATATTTTGAAGTTACACTATGATTTTTTTTTTTAGGTGTGGGCTTGTTTTTAAGTTTCTCCATTTTATTTTGTGAGTCTGTTCATTTTGAGTTTTATCTTTTGTTAATTTAGGAAAGGCTTCTCTATTATTTAGTTAAATGTTGCTTCCTCCCCATATTCTGCATTCTCTCCTTTTGGAACTTCTTTAGTAAAATAATGGTTCTTCTGAATCTTATTCCTGATGCCACTTTAACTTTGATTTCATACTTTCCAGTGCTCTATTCTTTTGTACTGCATCTTGAGAGACTTTGACTAGCCAGTCCACTATTTCCATCTTCATCTGTGTTTATTCTGCTTTTTAATCCATACATTCATACATTTTTATTGCCAAGATCTATATACCCCTTTTTCATAACTGCTCTTCCTCTGAAACTGTCTGTTCTTGTTTCATGAATGCCATATTTTCTTACATCTCTGAGTCTCTGAAGTATATTTAGCTTGACAGTTTGCTGTGATTCTGTTATTAACTCTGCTTCTTCAGGTGTACATTCTTACATTTGTTGAGTCTATGTTGTCTTCCATAATCTTGGCATTACTCGAATATTTGATGTTCAAGGAAATGTTGGAGGGAAGATGGTACTGTATCCACCTCTGATAGTGCTCTTCTCCACACATTGTAGTGAGAGTTAGGAGAGGTGAGAGGACTTTGAGGGCAGTAGTGGGGATGCTTCCTTGTCCTTCTGGGCATCACTAGCACTGGGGGCACTGCCTTCCTTCTCATGCCCAACCTCCTCCATTTACTGCTTTCACCTAGAAGATATCCTAGTGTGTGTAGGGTAAGTTTGGGTGAGTGGGCCATGGTGCACAGAGTTTATCTGCTTGGCTGTTTTCACTGTTATTCTCCAAATAATGACTCTGTTGCTTGTCTTCATATTCCTTCCTGTTGTGGGATTCCACCAGTTCTACACTCTACAGCAGAACTCTGCCATTCATAGTCAAGGACTGCAGATTCCCTCTTCAATCTCATCTTTGTGTTTCTTAAGGATTTCCTGGTTGTCAATTTTGAGTTCTCCTTTTTGTTTCAAACTTAACTATCCATGTTTCATTGTGCACCTATTTGTTTATTATGCACAACATTTCTATTATTTTTAGGGAGTTAGCATGGGAAGGGAAGATGAACATGTTATCTGTCTGATATTTTTAAACTTGAAGTCCTGTTTCATTTTCAGTTCATGCCCTGCTCTTGCTAAGATTGACTTGTAATGGCAGTACTGTGACTGGGTAGCATGTAATCACTGATGAAGAAGAAAGCTGGTTAGATTTTGGGCCATTTGCTTCCACATTACTGCCTATACTGTATGTCATCAGCAATGTGTTGAACTGGATTCAGTTGAACTGGAAAAGTATGGGTGGATAAGGTGGGGCTGAGGAGTTGCTTATAGTGGAGTAATATCTATGCACATCTGTACCTGCTTAATTTTTCTTTATTCAGTCATTGTCTTATCTGAAATATGTATGTTTGCCTACACCTATTGCAAATTCAAACATCAAAGTATTATATATAGTAAATGAAATTTACTAAGATATTATCAAGTATTAACAAGTGTTTTAGACAATTGTAGAGTTTTGGGGGAAAATTGTTGGTTACAATAGGGAAATAAAACGTTACTTTTCAGTCTGTATTGGATTAGGTTAGACCAGAGAAAAAGACATGATGAGGTATAGTTAAGAAGGAAATAAGAAATTTAGGAAAATAATTTAATGTATATACATCTCTATATTTTATATTCTTTTTTTTTTTTTTCGAGACAGGGTTTTGCACTGTTGTCCAGGCTGGAGTGCAGTAGTGCAATCAAAGCTCACGGCAGCCTTGAACTCCTGGGCTTAAGGGATCCTCCCACTTTAGCCTCCCAAATGGCTGGGATGACAGCTGCATGCCACCATGCCCAGCCAATTAAAAAGAATTTTTTTTTGTAGAGACAAAGGTCTCTCTATGCTGCCCAGACTGGTCTCAAACTCCTGGCCTCAGGTGATCCTCCCACCTCAGCCTTCCAAAGTGCTGGCATTATAGGCATGAGCCACTGTGCCCAGCTCCTTTTCTTTTCTTAAGACGTTGGTTCCTTTTCTTGATCCTTCTTTGAGTTTCATACTGGGTTTTTTATTTTTGTGTATTTACTCATGAAACCTTTTAAAAAAATTGAGATATACTTTATATACCATAGTATTTGCTCTTTTAAAGTACAGAGCTCAATGGATTTTAGTATATTCACAAAGGTGTGCAATTATCACCACTGTTTAATTCCAGGGATTTTTTTTTTTTTTTTTTTTGAGATAGGGTCTCACTTTGTCACCCAGGCTAGAGTGCAGTGGTATGACCTCAGCTCACTGCAGCCTCAACCTCCTGGGCTCAAGGGATCCTTCTGCCTCAGCTCTTAGAGTAGCTGGGACTACAGGTGCGTGCCACCACACCTGGCTAATTTTTAGCATTTTTTTTTGTAGAGATGGGGTTTTGACATGTTGCCCAGGCTGGTCTCAAACTCCTGAGCTCAAGCAGTCCACCTGCCTTGGCCTCCCAAAGTGCTATGATTACAGGTGTGAGCCACCATGCCTGGCAAATTCCAGAACATTTTTATCACTCCAAAGAAACTACATACCAGTTAACAGTCGCTCTCTATTTTCCCTTCTCTCTAGCCACTGGCAACCACTAACTACTTTTTGTCTCTATGGATCTGTCCATTCTGAACATTTCATGTAAATAGAATCATACAATAGATAACATTTTGTGTCTGTTCTTTCACTTAGCATTATTATTTTCAGTGTTCATCCATATTGTAGCATGAATTGGTACTTTATTCCTTTTTTATGGCTGAATAATATTCCATTGTATTTTTTTTTTTTTTGAGACAGGGTCTCACTCTGTCACCCAAACTGTAGTGCAGTGGCATGATTGTGGCTCACTGCAGCCTCGAGCCACTGGGCTCAAGGGATCCTTCCACCTTGGTCTCCTGAGTAGCTGGAATTACAGATGCATGCTGCCATACTCAGCTAATTTTTAAAGTTTTTGTAGAGATGGGGTCTTACTATGTTGCCCAGGCTGATCTTGAACTCCTGGCCTCAAGCAACCCTCCTGCCTCAGCCTCCCAAAGTACTGGGATTATAGACATGAGCCACCATTCCTAGCCTGTATTCCATTGTACCGCATTCTTTTCATCCATTCATGAGTTGATGGGTGTTGGGCAGTTTCTACTTTTGGGCTATTGTGAATAATGCTGCTGTGAACATTCGTGTAGAAGTTTTTGCCTGGATATATGATTTCAATTTTTTTTGGTATATTTGGAGGAGTGGAATTACTAGGTCATATGGTGACTGTATGTTTAATCTTTTTTTAAGACAGAGTGTCACTCTGTTGCCCAGGCTGGAGTGCAGGGGCGCCATCTCAGTTCACTGCAACTGCTGCCTCCCAGGTTCAAGTGATTCTCTTGCCTCAGCCTCCCAAGTAGCTGGGATTACAGGTGCCTGCCACCATGTCTGGCTAATTTTTGTATTTTTAGTAGAGATGGGGTTTCACCATGTTGGCCAGGCTGGTCTCAAACTCCTGACCTCAAGTGATCTGCCTGCCTTGACCTCTCAAAGTGCTGAGATTACAGGTGTGAGCCACCATGCCCAGCCTATGTTTGAGGAACTGCCAAACTGTTTTTCAAAGTGCAACATTTTGTATTCCCACCAGTGGCATATGAAGGTTCCAGTTTCTCTACATCTTCACTAACACATGTTATTATCTGTCATTTTGATTATAGCCATCCTAGTAGGTGTGAAGTGGGATCTCAATGTGGTTTTTACTTGTACTTCTCTGATGGCTAATGACATGGAGCACCTTTTCATATGTGTATTGGCCTTTAGTGTCTCTTTGGAGAAATGTCTATTCGCATCCTTTGCTCATTTTTTATTGGGTTGTCATTTATTGTTGAATTATAAGCATTCTTTATATATTCGGGATACTAGACTCTTATCACATGTATGATTTGCAAATGTTTTCTCCCATTCTGTATGTTGTCTTTTTACTTTTAAAATTTTTGATGAAGTCCAGTTTATCTGTTTTTTTTTCTGTTGCTTGTGCTTTTGCTGTGATAGCTAAGAAACCATTGCCTAATGCAAGGTTGCCAAGATTTACACCTATGTTGCCTTCTTAAATAAAACATTTTGATTTAAGAGTTTTATAGTTTTAGCTCTTCAACTTAGATGTTTGATCCATTTGAGTTAATTTTTGTATATGGTATGACATAAGGGTCTAACTTCATTCTTTTGCATGTGGATATCCAGTTGGCCCAGCACCATTTGCTGAATGTCTTAGTTTTAATAATTGTTTTAGGTCCTTGATCTCATTTATTGTAACAGCCCTATGAGATGTTTATTTTCATTATCAAGTCCATTTTGTAGATTTTGAAATTGAGTCTCAAAAGCTAAGTATCTTTTTCAAGGTCTGATAGTTTAAACCCCAAGTCTTGCTGACTTCACAGCCTTAACACTGAACCACGGTCTATACTTCCTTTACTCCTGTGAAATATACACGCTCTTGGTCAATTAGGAAGGCTGCTTACCAATTAAGCGGTTTTCTAGGACTAAAGAACATTGTGGAATTAATACTATATGTTTCAAGAACGAAGGAAAGAGAGAGCCCTACAGGGTTTTGAGCTGTTACACCAACTTCTTTTTTTTTTTTTTTTTTTTTGAGACGGAGTCTCACACTGTTGCTCAGGCTGGAGTGCAGTGGCATGATCTCGGCCCACTGCAAGCTCCGCCTCCCAGGTTCATGCCATTCTCCTGCCTCAGCCTCCTGAGTAGCTGGGACTACAGGTGCCCGCCACCACGCCTGGCTAATTTTTTTGTATTTTTAGTAGAGATGGAGTTTCACCGTGTTAGCCAGGGTGGTCTTGATCTGCTGACCTCGTGATCCGCCCGTCTCGGCCTCCCAAAGTGCTGGGATTACAGGTGTGAGCCATGCGCCCGGCCCACCAACTCCTACTTTTATCCAGTAATGCCTAATCCCTCTAGGACCCTTAGCAAAGGATTTTAAGATTGAATTTTTGTTACCAGGAACTGGTGTAGTGCTGGCCTCTAGAACTTTCTGTGAGGATAAGAATGTTCTATGTCAGGGATCCCCAAACCCCGGGCCACAGACCTGTACCAGTCTGTGGCCTGTTAGGAACTGCGCTGCATGGCAGAAGGTGAGCAGTGGGGGAGCAAGCGAAGTTTCGTCTGTATTTACAGCCACTCCCCATTGCTCGCATTACTGCCTGAGCTCTGCCTCCTGTCAGATCAGCAGTGGCATTAGATTCTCATAGGAGTGCAAACCCTGTTGTGAACTGCACATGTGAGGGATTTAGGTTGCACGCTCCTTATGAGAATCCAGTGCCTGATGATCTGTCATTGTCTCCCATCAACCCCACATGGGACTGTCTAGTTGCAGGAAAACAAGCTCAGGGCTCCCATTGATTCTACATTATGGTGACTTGAGAATTATTTCATTATATAGGACAATGCAATAATAATAGAAATAAACTGCCTAATAAATGTAACCAGCTTGAATCATCCTGAAACCACCCCACCATCCCACTGGTCCCTGGAAAAATTGTTTTCCACAAAACTGGTCCCAGGTGCCAAAAAGGTTGGGGACTGCTGTTCTGTGTCTGTGCTGTCCAATACGTTAGCCACTTGCTGGATGTGGCTATTGAGTACTTGCCACGATGAAACTGAGGAACCCCCAAATTTTTATTGTGATAAAATATATATAACATCATAACATTTACAGTTTTAGCCATTTTTGGCGGTGAGGGCCACATAACAATGTGACTGTTATGCGCCCCTCACCACCATCCATCTCCAGAATGTTCTCATATTCCCCCAGCTGAAACTACATACCCATTAAACATAGAACTCCCCATTCGTCTTTTCCCCCAACCCCTGAAAACATTCTGTGTCTATGAATTTGGCTTCTCTAGAAACATCATAGGAGGAGGATTTGAATTTCTAATTTTAATCGATTTTAATTTAAATAGCTGTATTTGGCTAGTAGCTACCTTACTGGATGGGGGCCCTGAGCCAGGGTGGGCCTGAGAGATGTCTGCCTTTCACAAACTTTGCATCTGCTGTGTAACACAATCCAAACCTGCGACATCTAGTCCAAGGCCCATTTTCCAGGCCTTCGTGGCTTGGGAGAGTACTAGCCAGAGGAGGGTGACTAAGAGAGGCATAACTCACGTCAACAAGCATCTCTTTAGTGATGGCTTCTCAGAGAACAATATGGCTCCTGAATGCTCAGACCTGGATTCTTTCCACAGTCTGCTCCAGGAAATAAATCTCTCTTCACGCTCCTGAGTCCCTGCTTGTGATGTGGCATTATATTGGTGTCTGGCCTCCGGGATGGTGTAAGAAGTGGCGAGACTCTATTGTTGAGTGTTTTGCACTTAGCAAAAGCTGTCCCCTTTGCCTGGTGGGAAGTATAGACCAGCGGTTAAGTGTTAAGGTTGTGAAGTCAGCAAGACTTGGGGTTTAAGTGGAGGGACTGTAGTTAGCACTCTTTGGAAGAGTGGCATCATCTGTGAATCATAAATCACATTTGAGGTGGAAGTGAAACTCCTCTAATTAACCTCTGTGAAAGCATCTCACCTTCATTCTCATTTTGTGGTTTCTCCAGTTCTGGACTTCAGTGACCCCTTCAGCACTGAAGTGAAGCCGAGAATCCTGCTCATGGGCCTGAGGAGAAGCGGCAAGTCGTCTATTCAGAAAGTTGTCTTTCACAAAATGTCTCCCAACGAAACTCTGTTCTTGGAGAGCACTAATAAGATATGCCGGGAAGATGTTTCCAACAGCTCCTTTGTCAATTTTCAGATTTGGGACTTCCCAGGACAGATTGACTTTTTTGACCCTACATTTGACTATGAGATGATCTTCCGGGGAACAGGAGCACTGATATTTGTCATTGACTCACAGGTAAAGCTCAGAGTCTCAGGGGTATGATGGCCTGGCCGGTCCCCTCCACCCCACCCCATGTTTTTGGTTTGGTTTTTAAACTCTGGAATAGGCCTTTCTACCAAACAAGTGTTTCTTGGTCAGGGCTCTCAGACTTTGCCAAAGTTAAAAGGCTCCAGCCGTGACCAACAATCAACCCATTGAGCATTAGGGAACAATTGACACTTCAGCAAATCATAGACCTAGGAAACCTCACTGATGGAGGGGCCCATTTAGGCCAAATATGTCATCCCCACTATGGTACCGCTAGTCAACATCTACAAAAGATCACAGGTTCTCTGCAACAAAAACATGTGTATAAATTTACATTTTAAACTGTTTATTATTTCCTATGAAGATAAAGTTCTAGGTGTGAAAATTTTTCTTCTGAAATAAATTATTATAATTATTGCTTAAGATAATATAATTATGTATTTTATAGATGATTATTACATATAAAAAGTAAAATTTGAGATAAATATCCCTCTTTAGAAGATGGATATTTGATATTTTTTCCACTTCATATATCCATGCTTGAATAAGACAATATTTGGCATCAGTTCCATTTTTGTTTTCTGTTTATATAGTTATAAGCACTGAGAAACTTTATTCACATAAGTAAGTAGGTGGATATGAGGTGAGTTTTATTCTAGCATTCATACTGCTATTCAGATTCCTTCCAAGTTATATCCCCTAAATTACCAAGTTTTCTATCATGAAAAATTAT
This sequence comes from Homo sapiens, assembly GCF_000001405.40. Lineage (NCBI taxonomy): Eukaryota > Metazoa > Chordata > Mammalia > Primates > Hominidae > Homo > Homo sapiens. The sequence goes on along the minus strand of NC_000006.12, from coordinate 89,386,549 downwards.
TTTTAGTAGTTTAACAACAGGCTTCCAGAGTAGGTTCTCCTTTCACTTTGTTGGACGCAAAGAATTGGGAACCTGTTTCCTATGCTTTGAAGAGCCCCATTCCCAGTCGCGAGTCATTCCCTGTATCAGGTTCTTTTCTAGCATTCCACATTGGCTCCTTGGCACCCTGGGTTTTTTACATCCTGAGGCTTTTCTGCTGTAGTTGGTGTAAAGGGGAGGCAAAGGGAGACAGTAGGACCACAAGTGTGTCAGGCAGATACATTTTAGGAAGGGGATGTGCAGCAGGATAGGGGCATTGGTGCTTTCCAAACTATCCATGTCTGGGGCTCTTAGAAAATGCCCATGACATATGGCCCAGCCTGAAGGCTCCCCAAGGGCTCCCTTTTGCAGCTGGGGGGAAATAAATGGCATCAGCCCTTCTCAGCATGCGCTGAACCAACTCTGAGGTTCAGGTTGTGCCCTTTCCCTGGAACTGTGGACCCACAGTGAGACAGGTTGGCCAGCTGCGGGTGTGCATCGCCCCGCTAAGCACACCTGGCCCTTCTAGGAGCACCAGAGCTGTTAGGGCTGAAGTGTTACAAAGACTATTCCCGATAATATCATTCTGAGCCCATGCTCGAGAACCATCCTCTGAGTAGACTCCCCATGCCTGAGAGGATCGTAAGTTCATTCAGGATCTAGGTGCCTGTTTAATAATAATAACAAAATTTTCAACTAAGCCTCTCAGTTCCAAGTGGCTGCATTTGTGTACGTGTATGGCTGTGGGAGCATGGCCAATGGTTAGAAGGGTTCTTCCTTTCCTTTTTGGTAGGGGTGTGGAGGAGGGAGACTTCAAATCCAATGCCTGATCTGTGATCAGCAGTTTACTCTCTTCCCATGGGCCTACCCAGAAACACGTGTTACCTGCACCACGTCCAGGGCCTGCTGTCAGCAGCTGCTTTCCTGACTGTCCCACTTGTACTGACCTGTTTTCTGGCCCATCTGTGGTCTTGGCAGTATCCCCTGCTTTACTGTCTCAGGTCTGCCAGCACCATAAATTAGGGAGCTTAGTGCTCAAGGGGAGTGGATGGGGTGTGTGCACACTGCTGTAGGGAAGGGGAGGCTCCAGGGATGTCATGCTCATCTCTCTCTTCTAAGCTCCATTTTTCTCCCTAAGTCACGCAGCAGCTGTTTCTGTAGTTGTTGAACTGGGTAGCTGTAGTAGTCCTACCCATGGGTGAGTAGATTTCCAACCAGATGACTCATCATTTCAAGACAATGGATTAGTAAGTACTTACTTAAATACCACGTTGTGCTTACATAGCAATTTGCATTTATGGGAATTCAAATTTACAGTGTAATCTATTTTTAGGTGTTTCTAATATGGTTATAATGTGGCGAAAATAGGTACATCTGCCTATTTTTAAATTGAAGGCAGACCTTCAATTTAGGTTGGTAAATGTGTTTTTTATTTTAATTTTGTTTCTTGAAGTTTTTTTTCTTCCTCAGACGAGGTCTCACTATGTTGCCCAGGCTGGAGTGCAGTGGCTATTCACAAGTGTGATTATAACCCGCTACAGCCTCAAAGTCCTGGGCTCAAGTGATCCTACTGTTTCAACCTCCCAGGTAGCTGGGACTACAGATGCATGCTACTATCCTTGGCTCTTCTCTTGGGTGTTTTTTGTGGGGCAGAGAAAGATATAGGAATGTTTGAGAAGTTCATTTTTTAAAGGTATACTTTTTTTTTTTTTTTTTTTGAGACGGAGTCTTGCTCTGTCGCCTAAGCTGGAGTCCAGTGGCGCCATCTTGGCTCACTGCAAGTCCACCTCCTGGGTTCACGCCATTTTCCTGCCTCAGCCTCCCGAGTAGCTGGGACTGCAGGCGCCCGCCACCACACCCGGCTAATTTTTTGATTTTTAGTAGAGATGGGGTTTCACCATGTTAGCCAGGATGGTCTCGATCTCTTGACCTCATGATCCATCCATCTCAGCCTCCCAAAGTGCTGGGATTACAGGCGTGAGCCACCACGCCTGGCCTAAAGTTATACTTTTTAAAAAGAGAAGGCTGGGCACAGTGGCTCATGTCTATAATCCAAACACTTTGGGAGGCCAAGGCTGGAGGACCACTTAGGCCCAGGAGTTTGAGGCTGCAGTAAGCTATGATTGTGCCATTGCACTCTAACCTGGGTGACAGAGCAAGACCTTATCTCGAAAAGAGAAAAAAACCACACATAAAAATAAACAGTAGGAAAAGCATTGTTGAATGCTGTAATTTATTTAAAATAAGGAATAATTAAATAAGCAGTTTCAAAACCTAATATACTTTTCTGTTGGAAGCAGAATGTAAAAATCATGTTTGCAGGAACCTTTATGGGATGTGATTAGAAGCACTGACAGGAAAATCAAAACTTTAGGGAAGTGTCTCCACAGCACTTGAGTGTCCTTTCCTTTCTTTCTTTTTTTTTTTTTTTAGATGGAGTCTCACTCTGTCACCAGGCTGGAGTGCAGTGGTGCGATCTTGGCTCACTGCAATCCCCGCCAACTGGGTTCAAGTGATTCTCCTCCCTCAGCCTCCTGAGTAGCCACCACACCCAGCTAAGTTTTATATTTTTAGTAGAGACAGGATTTCACAATGTTGGCCAGGATGGTCTCGATCTCTTGACCTCGTGATCCACCCGCCTCGGCCTCCCAAAGTGCTGAGATTACAGTCATGAGCCACTACGCCTGGCCCCTTTCCTTTATTTCTAAGCAATACTATTTTGTTCTCACTCCTCATATTTTTATTTTTTGTTCATGAATTCCTTACAGTCACAGGATTGCCGGATAAATATATCCCCCAGGAGTAAATGTGTCCTCACAGAATGTCATAAAATAAAAAAGAATGAAAGCAAGAGTGGTTCCCATGATCTGTGGTGACACCCCAGCCCCGCTCCCCAGCCTACAGAATGCACCATATCTCCTGAAGCCATTGCACATGTGCTATGGATCCAAAAGAGAGTTTCTTCTTGACCTGTGCTGGTGCTTGTGACCTGCCCATAATCCCCAGATCTAATTTCAGAGTAGAAACTATGCAGTGTATTTTACCTTAATTTTTATTTGTCAAAGAAAGTAATAAACGATGGGAAAAATCACCTGCAATCCCTCTGTTCTAACCAACCAAGTATTTTCTTTTTTTTAGTCCTTGTAGCTGCATGCTGCTTTTTCAGTTAGTTGGTAATCAGACCATTTTATATGCTTGGCAGGGAGGTTAGAGTAGCAATTTCCAATCTTTGGAGATGTGATGCTCTCTTGACATTGGGTAGTTTTGCTCACAGACATGTTCCCTTAACTCCCCTCCTCAGTTAAAGACAGCAATAACACTTTTCTTGAGGTGTAATTTACATGCAATAAAATGCATTCATTTTAAGTGTACAGTTCAACAGGTTTGACCAATGTGTACACCATGTAACCACCCCTCCTTCAAGATATAGAATATTTCCACCACCCCAAAGGTTCCCTTGTGCCCTTTCTCAGGTGATCCCCTGAAACACTCAGCCCCAGGCAACCACTGCAGTGCTGTCACTTTAGTTTGCCTTTTCTAGAATTTCATCTATGTGGAACCATACAGTAATACCTTTAGTTTTTAATGCTTAATCTGCTGACCCAGAATCCGACATTTGCCTTTCATTTAATTTAATTTTTTTTTTTATTTTTTTTGAGATGGAGTCTTGCTCTGTTGCCCAGGCTGGAGTGCAGTGGCACGATCTTGGCTCACTGCAACCTCCGCCTCCCAGGTTTAAGCAATTCTCCTGCCTCAGCCTCCTGAGTAGCTGGGATTACAGGCATGCGCCACCCTGCCCAGCTAATTTTTGTATTTTTTTAGTAGAGACGGGGTTTCACCATGTTGGTCAGGCTGGTCTCGAACTCCTGACCTCGTGATCTGCCCGCCTTGGCCTCCCAAAGGGCTGGGATTACAGGCGTGAGCCACCGCGCCCGGCCTCATTTTATTTAATTTTTACAGGCAGGCTCTCACTCTGTTACCTAGGTTGGAGTGCAGTGGCAAGATCATAGCTCATTGTAACCTCAAATTCCTGAGTTCAAGGAATTCTCCTGCCTCAGCCTCCGAGTAGCTGGGACTACAGGTGTGCACCACCAAGTCTGGTTAATTACATATATATATATATATATATATTTCTAGAGATAGGGGTCTCACTGTGTTGTTCAGGCCGGTCTTGAACTCAAGCAGTCCTCTCCAGTAGGTGGGATTACAGGCACAAGCCACTGCTCCTGGCTTTTGTCCTTTATTCTAAACAACTCTGTAGAGTGTGAAGGATGGGAAGGACTCCATTTGCGGTTTTTCCCTCTTCATAGTTTCCTATTTGTATAATTAATATTTGATTTGCCTAGAGACTAGGGATACATTTTTACTGATGTTTGGAGCATAGAAGAATGCCAGAAAACACCCCCAATTATATTGGCTTTCTGTTTTTTCCAGGTTTGGAGGCACAAGTGGCGGGGCAGAGGGGGAAGGCATTTAGATTCTGTCCTACAGGTCTCTTTCCTTTTTTTTTTTTTGCCATAAAAACAAGACCTGTTCACACCCTTCAAATTGGCAATAAGAGATCTGACACCACCAATTGTTGGTGAGGGTCTGAAGCATCAGATGCTGTTTACAGACTTCCAGGTACAGTCAAGGCACTCCTACCTATGACCTGACAAGTCACCCTTCAGAGTAAGCCACATGTACATGAGACTGTACATATATCATTGTAATCACATATACATGGGAATAATGTCCATCAGCAGGCAAATATAAATTATAGATCATCCATAAAAGGAAGTTTTATAGAGCCATTAAAAGGAACTAATGCACTGTAGTTATGTACTACAGATAACATTCAGCATAGGTGAATCTCACTGACATAGTGTTGAATGAAAAAGGCAAACTATAATATACACACAACTTAATATTTCTTTCCATTTTTAAACAATGTAAATGAATTATATGTGATGTTTGGGGATATATATGTCTGTATTAATGTATACATGAGTGAGAATAAATACTAAACTTGGGATAGTGGTTGTCTCTAGAGGATGAGGGGGTAGAGGGATAGCATGGGTTGGGAGGATGAGGAGAAACACAGAGGGCTTTTGTGTAGGTGTTTTATTTCCTAAATAGAGATAAATACACAGGTGTTCATTATATAGGCATGGGAAGAAGAAAAAAGTTAGTATTGTTTGGGGCAATTCCTCTAGACCAGGGGACTTTTTCTGTAAAGGGGCAGATGGCAAACATCTTAAGCTTTGTAGACTGTACTGTCTCTGAGGAGTTTCTCTAGAGGAAACTTACTCAACTCTGCCATTGTAGCACAAAAGCAGCCTTAGACAATATGAAAGCAAATGAGCATGTTCCAATACAACTTACTTTTAAGAAACAGGCACAGGGCCTGCAGACGGTGGTCTGCTGACTTCTGCACTGAACCAGTGGTTCTTAAAATTGCTCCTCAGCTCCTTCCCCACCCGCCCAGTGGCCTGTATCATGCCTCCATCTCTAATTGTTCATCACAGTTCACAAGAGACTGGAAAAGTTAGGAGGAACAGTATTCTGGGGAAGGTCTTATGTGGAGTAGGGTCCGTTTCTCTTCCTGAAACCGCAACTCTGATCTTTTTTTTTTTTTTTCTTTTTGTGACCGAGTCTTACTCTGTCATCCAGGCTGGAGTACAGTGGTGTGATCTCAGCTCACTGCAATCTCTGCCTCCTGGGTTCAAGCAATTCTCCTGCCTCAGCCTCCCGAGTAGCTGGGACTACAGGCGCATGCCACCACGCCTGGCTAATTTTTTGTATTTTTAGTAGAGAAGGGGTTTCACCGTGTTAGCCAGGATGGTCTCAATCTCCTGACCTCATGATCCACCTGCCTGGGCCTCCCAAAGTTCTGGGATTACAGGCTTGAGCCACCACGCCCAGCCAACTCTGATCTTTATGACTGTCATCAACCTCAGTCATAACTGCCTAAATCAGCTGCATTTTTTTAGCCTTTCTTCTTCCTCTCTTTGTTAACAGAACTTAAATTTTCACACTGGAATTATAAGAAGCCAGCTTGTTGAGGGGAACCTTTGCAACGTATTTCGGGGGGTTGCAGCCACATGGTTTCCAGGTGAAGAGTGTGTGTGGGAGGCTCAGGAAGCAAAGCGGCCTTCTCTCACAGGCGTTGCCTTTGGTCCTAGGATGATTACATGGAAGCCCTGGCCAGGCTCCACCTCACGGTGACCAGGGCCTACAAAGTGAATACTGACATCAACTTCGAGGTGTTTATTCATAAAGTGGATGGTCTGTCAGATGACCACAAAATTGAAACCCAAAGAGATATTCACCAGAGGGCAAACGATGACCTTGCAGATGCTGGATTAGAAAAAATTCACCTCAGGTGAGAACAGAAACCCCTTAAGGATCCCAATAAAGGATGGAAGAAAGCAAGTTTGGGGTTCGGAGTCACCATGATTGGCTTGGCATGGGCAGTAATTTACCTTCTTTTTACCCTGTTTCATGCTGTAGATGGATAGGATTAGGGGAAAATGAGCTTTGCATGTGCTAATGCTAATCTTTAGTGAAAGCGATGTTTTTTTGTTTTTTAACAAATGGTCAAAGCTAAGGTTCTCCCCTCACATGAGAAACACATTATAGAAAACCTATGAATATAATTTTAGTAGTTAGTTGATGCTAAAGTTTACAGTTCTTGATAAAGATATTATCTGTAATTATAAGTAAAGGAGTAGTCTGAAAACAATCCAAATAGGAATCCTCACAAAGGAAAACAATGTTTCCATCATTTTTTGTGAGGTAGTACATGCATCATTTTGTAAATTGGGAAATGGAAAAAAAATAGTTGCTTCAATATCAAGAATATAAGTTACTAATTGGACAACCTAAGAGGCTTGTGTAAAGATGATCTGGCATGGATTGTCTTGCAGAATGTCAGGAAGCTGGGATGGACACAGATTGCTGCGGTTGTAAGCTTGCCAGTTGGCAGATGAGAATAGGCACAGCAGATGAGAATAGGCACAGCTCGGGCTTTTTGGGAGGTGGGGAGGAATGGCTTGTTTTTTACCGAGGTCACTGTAAATTCTGAAGGGGGCTGGACTGTATGTGTTAGGACTATACATACAGAAGGCAGATTACCGGTGTTTTGACATAGCCTAAGCAGCCTGTTCCTCATTCAAAGGGAAAACATGATGAAATACCGTTTCCTCTTTCAGCTTTTATCTGACAAGCATATATGATCATTCAATATTTGAAGCTTTTAGCAAAGTTGTTCAGAAACTGATTCCACAACTCCCAACTCTGGAGAATTTGCTGAACATCTTTATCTCAGTAAGTAAATAATATTCCTGTTTGAGTCACTTGTAGAATTTGAAAATAACATTGCAAGAGTGAAAAAGATCTTATTTCCGATTGCTTCTATAGCATTTCAAGGTCATTTAAGTATTACTTTTAAAGATTACTCCTACGTGTTCTTTTAGATCCTTTAAAATTTAACTCCCAGCCCAGCTTGATGGCTCACGCCCCACTTTGGGAGGTTGAGGCGTTACGATGGCTTGAGGCCAGGAGGTTGGGACCAGTTTAGGTAACATAGTGAGATCCTGTCTATACAAAAAAAATGTAAAAACTAGCCAGGTGTGGTAGCACATGCCTGTAGTCCCAGCTACTTGGGAGGCTGTGGTGGAAGGAGTACTTACTTGAGCCCAGGAGTTTGAGGCTAAAGTGAGCCATGATTGTGCCACTGCACTCCAGCCTGGGCATCAGAGCGAGAACTTGTCTCTAAAAATAAAATATAACTACTCAGATGCATTCCTGCACTTCACTGGTATAATTGGAGGGTTTATTCAAGCCTGTAGGCAATCATTCAATATTAATAGAGCCCCACCAGAGGTAGGGAACATAAAACTTGGCTTTATTGATAAGACGCAAACTGTTGAATAGCTTTTTATAAGTTTAACATGCTATGAGTGATGTGCTGAATGAACCCTACACATCACCAGCTCCAGGTAGGCGCTGCTGAGTTGAATTGAGGCAGACCTATTGGTTATACTCACGTTTACTCTGTCACTACACAATTTTGAGTGTGTTTGTTTAGTGTTTCTAAGCTTATTTTAAAATTTACAGTCAGTAAAAGTATTTTTACTTGGCCTTTTCCTAATTGCAGGTATGTATCTCTACGAGTTAGGAAATATTGCTCAATTTGGTTACCTAAAATAAATAATTTGTGGTCATTCGAATTCTTTTTTTTTTTTTGAGACGGAGTTTTGCTCTTGTTGCCCAGGCTGGAGTGCAATGGCGCCATCTCGGCTCACCGCTACCTCCGCCTCCTGGGTTCAAGCAGTTCTCCTTCCTCAGCCTCCCGAGTAGCTGGGATTACAGGCATGCACCACCACGCCTGGCTAATTTTGTATTTTTAGTAGAGACAGGTTTCTCCCGGTTGGTCAGGCTGGTTTCGAACTCCTGGCCTCAGGTGATCTGCCCGCCTTGGCCTCCCAAAGTGCTGGGATTACAGGCGTGAGCCACCATGCCCGGCCTCTACTTTTTATTTCTTATGCAAGTCCAGTATAGAGAAGTTTATGACAGTGAAGTTTAAATTGTAATAAAATGATACAATTTAAATTTTTAGTAGCGAGTTTTGCTCATTTTGTATTTTACATTAAGAATGGCATTCAATTTTGTGTAGTCATGACATGGTCTGAAGTTGACTGTTGCTTTAAGGCAACTTTTTTTTTTAAATTTCAGAATTCTGGAATTGAAAAGGCATTTCTATTTGATGTGGTCAGTAAAATTTATATTGCAACTGATAGTACTCCGGTGGATATGCAAACCTATGAGCTCTGCTGTGATATGATAGATGTGGTTATTGACATCTCTTGTATTTATGGGTAAGTACAACATTCTTAAAGGCCACAATCAAGCCATCCTTCCTTCATAACCTTTCAGGCATTTTGCATTTACATTTACTTACTTAACTTTAACATTTTTGTCTTAAATGACTGAAATCTATAAATAAATATACCAGTTAGCATGCAATAATAACAGTTATTGAGCAAATGCCACGCATTATGCTAATCTCATTGCATGCTTCCTATTATTTATTTCAATTTTTTAGCAATAGGGTGTCCCTGTGTTGTCCAGGATAGATCACTCCTGGGCTCAAATGATCCTCTCACCTCAGCCTCTCGAGTAGCTGGGATTATAGGCATGAGCCACTGTGCCCAGGTTATCATTTAATTCTCAACTATTCGATGTGGCAGGAATTACATTTGACCCTTGAACAACACAGGGGTTGGGGTACCAACCCTTTGAACAGTCAAAAAGCCACATATATTTCCCCCCTGACAAACTTAACTATTAATACTAATAGTCTACTGTTGACTGGAAGCCTTACCAATAACATGAATGATTGATTAACACACATTTTGTATGTTATGTATTACGCACTGTATTCTTAACAATAAAGTGAGCTACAGAGAAGAAATTATAAGAAAGAATATATTTACTATTTATTAAATGGAAGTGGGTCATCATAAAGGTCTTTACCCTCATTGTCTTCACATTGAGTAGGCTGAGGAGGAGGAAGAGAAGGGGTTGATTTTGCTGTCTTAGGAGTGGCAGAAGCGGAAGAAAATCCATGTATAAGTGGACCTAGGCAGTTCAAATCTGTGTTGTTTAAGGTCAACTGTAGTGTATTCACTTTACAGATGAAAAAACTGAGGTTCAGAGTGGTTACATTTCTTACTCTTGCTCACACTATCAGTAAGGATTGGAACTGGAGTTTCAACTCAGATCTGATTCCTGATCCTCTGCTGAAAAAAATCTGTTAACATACCGTTCTTAGAAAACAGAGCTTCCTATACACTTAATATAAAATAAACAAGGAGTGGGGGAAACTGATTATGTTACCCGATGTAGAAACAATTCTACATAATTATAAATGTGCTGAACAGGTGGTGTACAGACTGACTAGGTGTGAACTAGTTGTTCATCTTATTAAGATGTTAAGGTGTTGCTATCTGTATTGTATCTGACATCCTCATCTAATCGATGAGGTAAAGCTTTTGCTCATCTTCCTCTTTACTCACTGCCTGTGACCTGCCTTACACAGCTTGACGCTCTGCCTTTCAGCTTTTGTGAGAGTCTAGTCTCCATTTTTCTCTTCCATTGCTTAAAAATCCTTTGCCCACTCAGCTCGGATTCTCTCTGTTAACTGTTAGACACACACACACACACACACACACACACACACACACACCACACACACATGGAAAGTGATACTTACAAGATTGTATTGAGGATGAAATATCATTAGGCTCATAACGTGCCTTTACCTGGTAGACTCTGGATAAATGTAGCTGCCATAATTTATTATTACTGTTATAATTAAACGCTGACATCTGGCTTTAGAAATAAACCTTATTGCCCAAGATTACTGCCCTGAAGCATTCTATTATTTTTAAACCGTTTAAATGGATGACCTTGAAATAGTCATGGAAGATGAACGCACCCTGATTACAGTGCAGATTGCCATGGTAATCAAGTACAATGAACAACACAATTAATCTGGCACATGCTTAACAATGTGCATGATCATTATTGTGCCATATGGTCATTAGCTGTAAGTGGTAAGTTGTTCATGTAAATGATGTTAATCAGAGTTACTTTTACCCAGCTAAAACAAACATGGGGAGGGAGGGGTTAGGAGGAGGTGGCCTGGCTTTGCCGTCAGATTGGTTTTTCTGTGGTGGAGTACAGTGTTCTGAGAACCCACAGGATTCAGTAAGAACCAGTCTGGGTCACAGATGGTTTGTGGGCTCTGGGGTTTCCTCAGATTGTTTGCTGGAGCAGCAACAAGCCAGTCCTGTTAACCAGCAGGAGGCAGGGTTGTGTGCAGAGCCTGGGGCCCTCTTAGGCAATGAGGAAGCAGGTGCCCTTGTAACTGGAGGCCTTGCTGCCCCTCCCCACCTGCCCAGTGGAGACCAGCAGGCCCTAGAATCAGGTGACCTGGTGCCTCAGGAATCTCTCAGCTGAGGCTGTGCCCCAGCTGGCAGCTCTGTGCTCACTCATGCACACACATGCACACGCACATATATGCACACACACATGCACACACTTTAAAATATGTTCTATCTTCATGTGTTTTCATTGCTTATAGATGAAAAACTTGAGTAGTAAAACAGTTTTTGCAGTTGCAAACCTCATCAATTTCTACTTGTAATTTTTGGTGGAGTCTGTTTTTCTAATTTGTTTAATGTTTACCTTTTTCTGATTGTGAAAGTAATACATGCTTATTGCAGAAAATACATAAAAGTCTAAAGAATAAAATTAAAGTAGCCCATAATCTCACCACCTAGAGACAGTCAGTGTTTACATTTTATATAGTTTGTTCTTATTTCCATGTGTAATTTTTAGGATAATGAGATCACATTTGTATGTGAAATTTTTCATCCTGCTTTTTTCATTTAACATTACCACCTGATAATTTTCCTGTATTATTAAATGCTGTTAATAAACAGTGTTTAATATCTATATAGTATTATATTTACTTGGAAATTTTAAATGCTATTTTCTTCATTGGGTAAAACATGTTAAATGTTTCAGTTTCTTGTTCTCAGAACATTACTTATAAGCAAGAGAGATTGAGCCTTAAAATATAGTAGTTAAAACAGTGCAATGGAAGTTAATGAATTCTGTTAAAGCATCTTTAACATTTGATGTCCAGCACTTAAAAGGTTTTTCTTTAATGTTTTGGTAGGTTATAGTGAGTTGAATCCTTTAAAAAAAACAAAAAATACGAACTTCCACAATTTACTTTTTTTTTTTTTGAGATGGAGTTTCGCTCTTGTTGCCCAGGCTGGAGTGCAATGGCATGATCTCGGCTCACTGCAACCCCCGCCTCCCGGGTTCAAGTGATTCTCCTCCCTCAGCCTCCCGAGTAGCTGGGATTACAGGCATGCACTACCACGCCTAGCTAATTTTGTATTTTTAGTAGAGACGGAGTTTCTCCATGTTGGTCAGGCTGTTCTCGAACTCCCAACCTCAGGCGATCCACCTCGGCCTCCCAAAGTGCTGGGATTATAGGCCTGAGCCACCGTGCCCACCCTCACAATTTACTTTTAAGTGGCCATGTATATGGCAGCTTAAAATACTCTCAAAACTAAAAACCTACATTTCCTAAAAATACTCTTGTGCAATTCAGGCTTTTCATTAAATCTGGCTTGATACTGTACCCCCTTGTGTATTTACAGGATTAAAGCATTAACTTTGAAATTAGCCATATCTAGGTTTGAGGTCCTGACTTTACCCCTATCGTCAGCTTTGACCAAGTTATCTTATTTTCCCCTAGCCTCAGTTTCCTTAGAAACTTAGAGGATTCTTATAGCAGACAGAGGATAATGCATTTTAAGAACTAAGAATGGTTAATATCACATAGTAAGCTTTAATAAATGCTAGTTCTCAGTGAATGTGGTAAGGTTTAACACAATTCCAATTAAGTCAAATTTCTGGTCAGTTATTCATAAATTTGGGGAGTAAAAATAAATCAGAAAATTTATGTACAGTTTTAGGTAAGGGGGAAAAGGTTTAGGGAAGTGTCCTTTGCCTGTGAGGAAAGGATTCATAACACTTTTATTACACAGGTATCTTCAGAGGGTCCAGTTTCAGTCATTAAAGCCATGATAATAAGTGTGTATTTTATGTTCTCAGCATTATGCTTAGTGCTACATATGCATTATTTCATTTAATCTTCATTAGAAAACTTTGAAATAATTACTGTTAGTGTACATATGAGGAAATTGAGGCTCAAAGAAGTTATTCGACTTGTCCAAGCTCACATAGCTAGCAAATAAAAGAAATGAGATTCAAACCCAAGTCACTTGTGTCTGCACACCACACCTTTTCTTAAATAGACCTATATATCTTTTTTTTTTTTTTTTTTTGAGACGGAGTCCTGCTCTGTCACCCAGGCTAGAGTACAGTGGCACAATCTCGGCTCACGGCAACGTCTGCCTCCTGGGTTCAAGGGATTCTTCTGCCTCAGCCTCCCGAGTAGCTGGGACTACAGGTGTGCGCCACCACGTGGTGCCTGTCTAATTTTTGTATTTTTAGTAGAGATGGGGTTTCACCCATATTGGCCAGGCTGGTCTTGAACTCATGACCTCGTGATCTACCTGTCTCCCAAGTGCTAGGATTACAGGCGTGAGCCACTGCGCCTGGCCAAATAGACCTATATATCTTATTTAACTCTTTATTTTGAAAAAAAGTTAAAACCTACAGAAAATATACAAGGGTAGTAAAATGAACTCCTGTATAACTCTTCACTGGGATTCATCAGTTTTTACCAATTTGCCATATTTGCTGCATCTCTCTTTTTCTAATACATATTGTGTATCTATTTCTTTTCAGTGAACCATTTGAGAGTAAATTGAACCAGTTCACAGTTCAGCAAATTTAGCATGGCTACATTATTATCTAATATATAGACGATATTCAGATTTTACCAGTGGTCCCAATTCTATCTTTTATAGCAGTTTTTCCCAATTCAGGATCCAGTCTAGCACTTGGCTTTCAGGTCTCTTTAGACTCCTTGAATTTGGAACATATCTTCAGCCTTTCTTAGTCTTTCATCAGACCACGCTTTTGACAGCCTGGCTATTCTAGGTGAGAAAACAAGAAGCCCTTGGCCACGGAGGTGGGGAGAGCTAACCTCATCCTTCAACTGGCTTCTTCAGGTGCCTGGAGAGTGTCCCAGCTGCTGCAGACAGCCACTCATTGTCAGTAGGAAATGACTGTTGAGGACTGTGTATGTTTTTGTGCCTGTGTGTTTCTGAGCTCTTTTGCTGAAAGGCACTGCAAGTGTAAACAACTTATGATTATCACTTTTTGTGGCTTAAAGCCGGTCTCTTGTCACTGGCTTACAGTTTCTAGTTCTTTCTCAATGGTCACATGTTTTGGTTTCTGTCCCCATTTAGTCTCAAAGAAGATGGAGCAGGAACCCCCTATGACAAGGAATCCACAGCCATCATAAAGCTTAATAATACAACCGTGCTTTATTTAAAAGAGGTGACAAAGTTCCTGGCTCTCGTTTGCTTTGTCAGAGAGGAAAGCTTTGAAAGAAAAGGTAACTTTTTGGTGTGATTTAAAAGAAGCATTAAAAGAAGCATCAGACTGCTACTGCATGTATTGTTTGTTGAATGTGGGTGGACAACAGCATAGCCCTCGAAACTTCCAGATGCCAGTCACAGGCCCTCTTGGCTTGGAGTTCAGAGCGGGGCGGGCTCCTGCCCCCAGTGTCAGCTTCTGGGCCAGTGAACTGGCCTGCCCTCTAGTGGTGCATCTGCGATTGCAGCGAGGTGGAAGTGGAACCCCATGATCCTCCCAGGGGCCTTGGCATCTCTGCTAGGGGGAAGCTAGTTGGGGCACTGTTGCCAGGCTGTGAATGAAGTCTCTTACCAGGGAGCAGACTCCCAGCCTATACTGAGGGTGGAGGTCTCCACTTTGCTCCACACCTCTAGAAGGTCTTAGGTAACCGTGTGATCTTTTGTTCTTCCCATGTAAAGGAGGGGACAACAGGTGGTTTGACTTCTGTTCAGCCTCAAAATACTTCTTAAATCTTCAGAACACAGGGATGGCATCATGATTCCGGAAAGGGAAGACCATGAATATATTTAACTCCACCAAATTTTTTTTAGGATCAAATTCAGTTTTATTTTGAAACAAAAGCAATTAAACTAATTTCCCCCTTCTATAATATCTAAACAAAAGTTACTAACAGAAGTCCCTAGCTTACTGATATGGCTAGGGACTTTTGTTAGTAATAGGGTATGGTTTACTAATTTGTTGGGTAAAAGAAAATCTCCAACAAATAGTTACATATCCTGAATATGTTATAGTAACATATCCTGAAATAGCCTTTTTCTTCTATATTATAAGCAATATAAGCCCATTAAATTAAAAATGCTTTGAAAATTTAGGAAAGTATGTAGAATAAAACCAGGTATTTCACCATCTAGAGCTAAACCCATGTTAAATTTCTGGGATTTTCTTTCTCCCTTTCTCTCTCTTTTTTGAGACAGGATCTCGCTCTGTTACTTAGGCTGGAGTGCAGTGGCACAGTCATGGCTTTCTGCAGCTTTGACCACCCGGGCCCAAGTGATCCTCCCACCTCATCCTCCCATGTAGCTAGGACCACAGACACATGTCAACAACCTGGAATTTTTTTTTGTTTTTGGTAGAGATTGGGGTCTCACCATGTTTCCTAGGCTGGTCTCAAACTCCTCGGCTCAAGTGATCCTCCCACCTCGACATCCCAAAGTGCTGGGATTAAAGGAGTGAGCCACCACGTCTGGCCCTTCTCTCTTATTTCCTCTCCCTCCTACCCTCGCTCCTTTTCTCCCTTCCTTCATTCCTTTTTTTCCTTCCTTCCAACAAAACTGGGGCCATATTGTCTAATATAGTTTTATATTCTAATATAGTTTTATATTTAATACAAATATGAAAATATTTATATTTTATATTACATATATTTCACTTACGTATATCATGAAATTTTCCTAATTCATTGGCCATGAAAACTTAATTTACATTGTTTATTTTTATCAGAAAAGTAATAGATTCTTTTAGAAAATTTAGAAATAATATTTAGCAAAAAAACAATAATTATCGATGTTTCTCATTCAGATAACTACTCTTAACATTTCCTGTATACTTTTCCAGTCCTTTCTTGCATATGCATTTTCTAAAAGGACTATGATAGATTGTATGATGAATTCTACTTTATAACCTTCACTTAAATTATTACAGACATGTTTCCAATTCACCGTCTTTTTTTAACCACATCATTTTAATGATTGTATTAGATTCTTCTATTTTCAGACATCTATGTTGTTTCTAGATTTTAATGTTATAAATAATATCATTATGACCTCTTTTGCACTAAATATTTATGTGCATCTTTGGTTGTTTCCTAAGGAAAAATTTAAAGTGGAATTACTTAGATCAAAAGGGTAGGCCCATTTTGGGGGCTTCTAATGCATATTACCAAAATGTTCTTCAGAAAGATTTTCTGGTTTTATGCTGCGAAGAGAATATGAATACTTATTTTGCTGTGTTCTTATCAATATTGGGTATTAGTATTTTTAAAAGTTGTTAACTGAAAACTGGTATATTATGTGAATTTACATTTTCTTGCTGCTTAGTGATGTCCTGTATTTTTCCTGTGTGTACCATGACTGACCAAATTGCCTTTTGTGTCCTTTGGCCTCAGAACTGTAAATTAAATGGTGTTCATCTTTTACTCCTTATTTTCATCTTGCTAGAAACAAGAACAGATTATATAATAGATCACGGAATTTTAAAGATAGACAGGAATACACCTTGTTTCACCCTCTCATGTCACAGATGATTTTACTCAGGCCTAGAAAATATAAATGACTTTCTCTCAACATCACACCACCACTTTATGGCAGTCAGGGCTAAAGGTTGCTGGCCTCAAGTGATCCTCCCTGCTCAGCCTCCCGAAGTGCTGTGCTGTGCCTGGCCTCCTGGTGTGCCTGGTGCCTGGGTGTTTTTATTGTGCAGCTAGGGTTGAGAACTCCTGAACCAGAGAAGGATGTGGGGCCTTATGAACTGTAGGTGGGGTGAAGAGAGTGTTTATTTTGTTTATGTCTCTGTTCATGTATTTTCAAAAACTTTTCATGAGGGTTGAAATAGCAAACACTGTTTATGGATATTTACTGTCTTTAAAAAGCCTCAGTTGTGAACTTTTACTTAAAATTCCAAACACAGCAAGATTACTGTTACATTTTGAAATGTGCAAAGATATGTAAGTTAAGGTTTGTCAAGAACAATAGGGGCGGGTGCCAGTGGTTCATGCCTATGATCCCAGCACTTTGGGAGGCCAAAGTGGAAGGATTGCTTGAGCCTAGAGGTTCAAGACCATCCTGGGCAACATAGTGAGACCTCATCTCTAGGAAAAATTCAAAAATGAGGTGGGAGGATTGCTTGAGCCCAGGAGGTTGAGACTGCAATGAGCTGTGATTGAGCCTTGCACTCCCACCTGGGTGACAGAGTGAGACCCTGCCTCAGAAATAAGAACAGGATATGTCTGAAATTTCCCAAGTTGAGTATTTCATTGTACCCTTCTCATTGAGCCAAGTTCTTTTAGCTAAGCTTTTTAAGACAGTTTGTTGCACATAAAAGCAGAGAATCTTGAGGCTCTCACATCTCATATTCAAATTGCCATTTAAAAATCGTTCCTTTGCTCCTTTGTTTTTATTACTTTTCCCCTTGCTTGTGACATTGGTCTTTCCTTGAGGAAATTGACTCCTGGTTTTACTGCACTAGTGGTTCACTCTCTCTGCAGAAGCAGCAGAGGGCACTACTCAGAGGTTTTCCTGCTCCTGGAAACCGAGACGGTGCCCTCCCCGCCCTCCCCTTGCAGTTAGTTGTATAACTAGTTTGAAGAATTTAATCCTTGGCCGGAATCCTAATTCTTCCTTTGGACGCGGCTCTAGAAGCATCCACTGATAGATAGAAATAATTGTTGGGCTAGTTATTTTAATAAATTCAAAGATAGTAAATAGAACTGACCACCTTATCCTAATTGGTGTAAACATAATGTTGCTCTCAGGACTTTTACAAATTACTAGTAATGATGAAAAATGCACTCATCAAGACTTTGGATTATCTTTTATTCTATTTTTTGTGTCACTGATACATTTCTGAAAACACAAGAAGATTCCCTCCTACTATTTCTCCACTTAAAATACTTAATACTGAAAAGCTGAGTGTCATTGGTTGTTGAATTTCTGCTGGAGTTGGCGAGATGACTGTTAACACTCTAAAATTAGGGGCTTCGCTTTCCCTCGGGCTTATGAGAATGGTTTAAATATAATAGATACTCAGTAAATATTTATTGATTGATACACAGCTTTGGGATCCCAAGTCAGGATCTGCCTCTACTCAGTCTAATAATGCCCTTTGGGGAGAAACATTTTTCATTACAGATTTCTCTTAATTGTAAGAAATCTTTAATTCTGAAAGGTTAAAAAAAAAGTTCAGTTCAGTCGTTCTTTAAATCTTTTGGGTCATAGGAACCTTTGAAAATATGGTCTATGCTCTGCAACCTTGCATCAGGAAAAATCTTCCTTCACAAGACTTTGCCTATAATTCCTAAAGATTTATAGCAATTTCTGAAGGCCAGCTGCAGACATCCCAGGGAAATCTCTGGTCCTTACGCTAAGACCATCCTCTACTGCCCCCTACTGGCTTGTCCTGGCCATGGGTCCCATGAAAAGATGGAGATTATTTCTACGTGACATTTATAAATATTTTTGTTCTCTTCTCCAGGGCTAATTGACTATAATTTTCATTGCTTCCGGAAGGCCATTCATGAAGTTTTTGAGGTGAGAATGAAAGTAGTAAAATCTCGAAAGGTTCAGAATCGGCTGCAGAAGAAAAAGAGAGCCACCCCTAATGGGACCCCTAGAGTGCTGCTGTAGGTGAGGTTTCAGGAATGTCTTTTGAAATCAGACCTTATCCATGAGGCTGCTGCGCCATGTTGCACTAAAGGAAGAGGAAGAAGGAGATTGGGACACATACCATTGATTTGTTGTTAAAAAAAAAAAATTCCTGCAACCCTCTTGATCTTCTCTTTTATAAATAAAGTAAGCACTTTGAAGCAAAAACTTGTATATTAACAGTGATGTGAAATCCATTGTCATTTCATTACACAAATGTAAACTTTTATGGTCTGTAGTCAAAAAAATCCCGTGTGAGAACTGCCAGGAATTGTACATATTTTGCACTTTTTCATGTTTCTCATTGAACTGAACTTTGATAAAACGACTTTTCTAAGCTTTTTTTCTGTACTTGGTGTCAAGGACATGCATACTGTAGTCCATATCTATATGGCAATCAGAAATTAATCAAAAAGTGATGCATTGGTAATGACTTTTTGTAAATTTGGAAATCTTTGCTACCAATTGTTGAGAAAAATCATTTTTCAGTGGAGCTGGAACAGATTGGAGCTACAAGCTCCAGGAGCAATAAGAACTGTCCCCTATTTATAATGGGTGTAAACAGTTTTGTAGAATAATGCTAGCACCAGACTTACCTAAAAATTTCTATAGCAGTGGCTGTGCTTCCCTGCTCAACGGTTTTTATGAAGCTGTTTACCTCAACACACATCTCTATAATCACTTTATACAGAGAGGTTATTTCTTTTTGTTGCATTAGTATTCTTTTGAAACTTTGGGACCAGATTTCCAAAATGGTGCCGAACACTGGAGAGAAGTAAGAATGTCACTGAATTGTAGGGTTTCTGGAGGCTTTTCTGTACCTACCACCCAGGGCTAAAGTAACATCAGAGGCCTAAAGTTGTTCCAAAAGTATGTGATTGGCAACTGCAGACTAAAAAACATAGATACAATTCTGGACTTTTGGCCCTGTGCGATGGTCTGGTGTGCTGCATTTAAAATGCTTATTCAGGACCAGTTCTTTATTGCTCCATGACCATAGTGAATAGAACAAATCGCAGAACCCCACCATGGAGCTCAATCCTGTTAGTCACTTTTGTCACCTCCACATCTCCTTCTCACTGGTGATAACATGCCTCATGTACTCCACTTGTTCCCACCTTATGATTAAGCCAAGCTCAGCCTGCCACCAGCATGCTCTGCAAGGCTGAAGAGTCATCCTGAAGACCCCTAAAGGTCAGTGGGAAAAGGATGGCTGGAGAGACATTACAATTAGCTGTGTAATTGTTTCTGTGAAATTATTTCACTTATGTTTACTTTAGACTAACAGGAAATTAAGAGTCCTAAATCTACCCCTATGCCAAATCATTCCAAGTAGATAATTTTACGTGCATCTCAAGGGTTAGCACCCTAAGGCATGCTTGTGGGGCATTAGAAAATGAGATTTTTTTTTTTTTAAAGCAGAGCCTCCTAAGAACATCAAAGTTGGTCCTAGCAAAATATATAAAGTCCCTAAAGCAACTTATACTTGAAACTTTTTTTTTTTTTTTTTTTAGAGGGGGGCCTCATTCTGTTGCTTGTGCTGGAATACATTGGTACAATCATAGCTCACTGTTACCTCTTGGGCTCAAGGGATCCTTCCACCTCAGCCTCCCTAGTAGCTAGAACTACAGGTGTGCACAACCACGCCCGGCTAATTCTTAAATTTTGTTTTTGTAGAGACAGGATCTCACTGTGTTGCCCAAGATGGTCTCAAACTCCTGGCCCCAAGCAATCCTCCTGCCTTGGCCTCCTCAAATGCTGAGATTACAGGCCTGAGCTACTGTGCCCAGCCTAAACTTTCCCACTTCTCTCTGTGGCTTCTTTCCAACCTCTCTCCTTCCTCTCCCCAAGTCCTGTTTCTTTGAAGCTGGTAACTGAATTTAAGATGATATCTGGTTGGTGTTTAAGGTTTGAGCCTCCCAAGGTTCTGTGCATTTTGAAAGGAGATTTCTAAAAATAATTAAGGTGCCCTAACTCCTTTCCTCATGATTCCTACTCCGAAACCTGGATGGTTAGGAGCCCAGGGCTCCCTGATTTCCAGAGCTATATCCTGTTGGACCTTTGCCAACAGACCTGACACTTAGGGGTTATTGTTATAAATCTAATTCTCTAATATTTTTTACATGTTGTTTCACTTTGAATAAGCAAATGAAGAATCAGTTTTCTAATATGACTTTATCCTCAAGCTAGAGACACTAGCCTATTTGGTAAATCACACATTACTTAGGTATATTTATTACTATAACCAGGTTGGAGCTTCCATGTTTAAGCTGGGTATATGATGGGTTTTTGTTAAAATGTGCCTTAAAAAGCCTATTACTTCAAGAGCAAATGATTCTTTGGGGGAAAGGCAAAAATAATTCTATGACATAGGGCCCAAGTTCATGGTAGTAAGTGTACTCTTTGATTAATCACACGCTAATATAGATTACTGCCTCTAACTTTGTAAGTGTGGCAATGACTTCTTAATTAAAGAAAGATGCAGGAGTTATGTCTAAGCGTTCAGTTTTTCAAATCTGTGTTATTGGAAATGTCTTCAAGTCATTTTGCATTGTATTTTTGATATGAGAGGCAGCTTATTGCGATGTGTATGGCCATGTTTCATTCTCAAATTTAATTCTATAAATACAAATCCTAAATACATGGCTACAGCAACTGCACTGGAACATTTTTGCTTGGTTTTAGGGATTGAGAACTTGCCTTGCAGGTTTCCTTCCTCAAAAGGAGCAGGGCAGTCCTTTCCCTGTTGAGTCAATTAGAATTTTTACATAGAGGTGAGACTGTGAATTATTTTGGTTATTTTCAGTGATGTAGATTAGTGTGAATGACCAGGGTGGAATGTTTTTGAAGGAATATAAAGCAAAAACTGGTTGACATTCACAAACTGTTCTTTTGTGAACATATTTTGGACCCTTAAATATGACTAAAATCACAGCAATATTGTTACATACGGGTTATATGCCAACTCTGTTTGAAATATACTCTGGAAAAACAGCTGAATTGTCTTGGTTATTAAAGTATGGTATGTATTCAACTTGTACAGACTGGATGTAATTTGTAATCAGGTATAGTCCATGTTTTACTTTAAGCAGTACATCACTTAATAACCATTGTTAAGCCATTGCTTTCAAGAATGTTAACTGCCAATTTAAAAGCATGTGTCCTAGGTTCATGCTTTGGTAAAGCTCTCATTTCAAGTGTATTCATAGCTAAGCTTTCTGGGAGCAGAATTGTCTCTTTGGTGAAAAGGAAGTACAGCCTTTCCTGTTTCTGAGGTTGCTTACCATACATGTATGTCACTGTTTCATTGGCCCTGTTACATCCATTTGGTAAAATTTATTTGTCCTGATTAACCAGCTCTCATTTTATGGAAATGATGATAAATCTCACTACTTAAATTTAATTTATGCTTTTATTTTTAAACTCTCTTACATCTCCACATTTTTGATGGGTACATGCCAGTTAGGGCTGTAGAACTGTTACTTCAGTAAACTTCAGATATTAACTCTTGCTGCTGTGGCCCTAATCCCCTAGTCATATGGAAATCCTTTTCCTAACAGTTTACCTTATCATTCTTAACTTTGCTTAGTAAGATTCCATCCTACAATGACCTTTTTCAGATCCCCTAGGAGTTCTCAGAGAGGGGCTAGCATTAGATGTTATATCTCAAATATGAAATCCTGTTCCTGGTTGGAAAACCTGATCTGAAATAATTATTTCCAAGATTTTCCATCAGTAGTGATGTTGAGCTTAAGAGAAAGAAAATTTTGTCTTCAACAGAAGTATTTAGTAATAACAGATACTGATTGAGTACACACAATATGCCGCAGGCACTGCTCTGAAGTACTTTTGCATAACTAAAATTCATAAATCCAAGAGGTAAGTACTGTTACCATTTCTATTTTTCAGATGAGGCAACCAAGGTCAAAAAGATGAAATAATAACTTGCTCAAGATCATATAGCTAGTAAGCCCACTTTCCCAACTACAACTATAAGCAGCTTCACCAAATGTTTTAAAAAAAATACCTTCCTTTCACAAATATGAAGAGGGGCACTTAGAGGATTTGTCTGGTGGACTAAGACTATGGGGTGTGCCATGCCATTTGAGGATGCAAAAGGAGGGCGGTATTCAGGAGAGTGTGTCAGAGCCCACCAGATACATTGGAGTTTATCCACCTAAACTACTAATTACTACATGGGCATGAATGCTGGCATATTGAGAAGTACCTATTCTTACATGAGCTCCCCTGGCATATTTATAGAACCAATAGGAGCAGTCTTCTAAATGTACTTCACCCAGAGAAGAAAGTCAAAGATCATGCATTTTTATTCCTAACCCATTAAATAACTCTAATGCTGAAGATGGTATTAAGTGTCTAAATATCTAAAGAAAATATAAATACCTTTTATAGCCATTTGGTTTTCTAATAGGCAATAGTATATTTCAAGCTCAGAAATCTAAGAATAAGCCTTTGGTCTTAACTGTATTCAACTTTTTACCTTGAGATTTCAATATATGTAAAAAAAATAAAATACTGATCTGGAATAAAATCCAAAAAGGTATATTTCCATCCTAATTCTTTTTTGACCTTCAGATCTATATCTTAAATTGCAACTAGCATGCTTTTGCTAGAATCTTCTATAGGTGAAAAGCCTCAAATCTAATATGTCTAAAATTGGCTTCCTTCTTGCTAAATCACCTATGATGGTGTGACTTTCCTCCCTGTGCTTCTGCCAGACACTTGGGCCTCATTCTTGACTCTTCCCTCCCCTCCTGTTCACCTGCAGTCAGTCACTCGGTTCTTTCAGCTCAGCCTTACAAAGGTCTATTGAATCTGTTCTCTCCATCTCCTCTGCCATTATCTTGGTTTAGACCACCATCTCCTTTTTACTTGGATTTCAGTATTTTTTTTTTTTTTTTGAGAGACAGTCTCATTATGTTGCCCATGCTGGAGTGCAGTGGCATGATCCCAGCATACCATAACCTCAAACTCCTAGGCCCAAGTGATTCTCCTGCTTCAGCCTCCCAAGTAGCTAGGACTACAGGTGTGCACCACCACACCTGGCTAATTTTTGTTTGTTTTTTTGTAGAGATGGAATGTCGCTATGTTGCCCAGGCTGGTCTCAAACTCCTGGGCTCAAGTGATCCTCCCATCTTGGGCTCCCAAAGTGCTTGGATTATAGACATGAGCAACTGCATCGGACCTTTCAGTAGCTATTTAACCAGTGTCTCTCTACCCCATTCATCCATCCATCCATCCATCCATCCATCCATCCATCCATCCATCCATCCATCCATCCTTCATACAGACCCCGAGTGGCCTCTCTCAACCACCACAATTCTGACCTTCCTTGCTTCCTGACCTTCTTAAGCTTCCTTGCTTAACACCCTCCAGGTCTGAAGCTCTCCATGACTCCTAGATATCAGCCCAAACTCCTTAGCAGAGTTCACAAGACCCTGCTCCCTGGCCTTGCTGCATCTCCGGACTTGGTTTATTCTCCCTCAATGTGTTGAGGACAAGCATGACCAAAAGAGTGTGGGGTAAATAAAAGGAGCCATGAGTTTTGATTCTTTTGTCAATAATGATTGCTAAATCTCCTATGATGGTGTGACTTTCTGAGGGAAATTAACAATGTTCTTTTATCCAACAGATATTTATAGGGTTCCAATTATATTCCAGACTCTGTGCTAGAGAAATGGCTAAAAGGCAGATACTGGAGATGAAAGGATTTTAATATCTAAAAATAATGAAAAATAAACTAATTTTTGATAGGTCCTTATAGATGTCAGTTTTTAGAACTGCAGTTGTGTAGGACTTTACCACTGTGCGCAGCAGAGACCATGGATAATAACTAGCATCCAAGAAATTGAGTTGTTCAACCAATAGATCAATAGCTATATTTACTATTAATTTAATGTAAGACTAAATAGAAGAAGTAGGCTGTAAATTCGAAATGTTTATTGACATGTAGTGCTTTTCCTTGTAATTAAGAGGTGAATTATCTTAAAAGTAGGAAGTTTTAAATGTTATTTTAATATTCATACTTTTCCAGCTTAATACATGTATGACATCAATATCACTTCCAGAATTGGATTTAATAAAAAGTTTATTTGGCCGGGCGCGGTGGCTCACATCTGTAATCCCAGCACTTTGGGAGGCTGAGGTGGGCGGACCATGAGGTCAGGAGTTCAAGACCATCCTGGCCAACATAGTGAAACCCTGTCTCTACTAAAAATACACAAAATTAGCCCAGTGTGGTGGTGTGCGCCTGTAATCCCAGCTACTCAGGAGGGTGAGGCGGGAGAATCGTGTGAGCCCAGGAGGCAGAGGTTGCAGTGAGCCAATATCGCACCATTGCACTCCAGCCCAGGCGACAGTGCGAGACTCCATCTCAACAAACAAACAAACAAAAGTTTATTTTACTTTTCTACCCTTTTCAATCTGTTCGTACCAGGGAACTATTTATAAGAGTGTCGCCTAAGAATGTTTATATTCTCTTAACATGTCATCAGGAACAGTAGAATATGTGAGAAAAATCTGATGGTAAATGCAAAACTCTTTCACATCATTCAGAATTTTGAAAGGCTGGGTGATTTTAAAATGTGTCATACTTGTCCTAGAGGTCCTCAAAAGACCTACTTTTATCATAAATTACAGTTAAGTTCAGGCAGTGATCTTATTTCAGTTGTATCATCAGTATTTTGCAATAGTCCTGGGAAAGTGAAAATATAAGCTCTAGTAGTCTCGTTCATGATTTTAAGATACCAATTTGAAGTATCATATTATTCCAAGAAACAACTTAATTCCAGGATTTAAAAAAAAATCCAAAACAATATTGTTAGAACAGTGCAACAAATATTTACAAGTCAATAGTCTTTTCTTTGTAGAATATTACATTTATGGTTTCAATAAATGATTTAGCAGTTAAAGCTGAGATGAAGTGTGGTTCTCATATTCAATCTTGAAAAACTAAACCATCTTTAAAAAGTAGAACGTCCATGTGAACTCATGCCTGAAGCCATGTTTGAACGCTAGATAAAATTGCCCTGGGACAGAACTGTAGTTCACCTTTATGAAATCAATTTTAAACTTGTTATTGTGAGCCACAATAAATACAGTTCACATTGCAAACTATCACACACTCATACAAATGTTACTAAAAAAAACTTACCAAGTTATATCCTCTCTACATGCAATGCATTCTGGTATTTTCTCTTTCATTTGCTTTTTTTAAAAAGATCTCACAATCCACTAATGAGTCACAACCTGTGGTTTGTAAAGTAGTGTTAGAATGAACCCATTGGCCACATCAGAAATATCTAAGGATTTTCTTTCCAACCTAAAATCTTTTCCTTCTCTGTTAATTAAGAGATCTTAACAAATGGGAAATTCTGAGTAAGTTCCTGAATTTTTCTTTCATTTGATCATGGCCTTCTAGTGTTTACTAAAGTGGTTTTTCTTTTCACTGCCATCCTTGGGTATTTTTGTATGCTGGGTTGTATTACGGGTGAAGGGTTGATGGGGTTGTAGGCCTGAGAGGATCATTTTTATTACAGACTCTATCCTTGACTATAATATGATAGCGTTACATGGAGTTTAGTGACTCATGAGCTCATGTCTGACTCCTAAGGGGTCCTTTGTTAATTCAGATGACATTGGTCTTATCCGTTATCAAGAATCCATGAGTTTGGCTGGGTGTGGTGGTTCATGCCTGTAATCCTAGCACTTTGGGAGGCCGAGGCGGGTGGATCACAAAGTCAGGAGTTCAAGACCAGCCTGACCAACATGGTGAAACCCCGTCTCTACTAAAAATACAAAAATTAGCCAGGAGTGGTGGCACGCACCTATAATCCCAGCTACTCAGGAGGTTGAGGCAGGAGATTCGCTTGAACCCGGGAAGCAGAGGTTGCAGTGAGCCGAGATCGCGCCACTGGGCGCCAGCCTGGGCAACAGAGCGAGACTCCGTCTCAAAAAAAAAAAAAAAAAAAAAAAGAATCCATGAGTTTGCCCTTTTGTGCTATTTTGAAAGGGAGCTGATCCAGTGACTACACTCAGGAGGGTGGGGGCATTAACTGGTGTCCAGCTGCCTGAGACCTTGACCATCTTGCTTCCTCAATCTTTCCTAATAAGCTCCTGGGGCCAGCAGGGTTATTCTATTCTTCCAAAATTGAGAGTCATGAAACCAATCCCCCTCTCATGAAAGGCCAACTATGATAGAGCAATTTAAACCTCAGTCCCATGCTAACCCTCATCACCACGTGGAGAATTCCATTCCTACAAGCTGCTTTTGTTTGCCTTCTGCTTTCATTATTGCCTAAGTCCCTAAGAGGGCTGCTACTCAGTTTTCTCCCCTCTGGCTTTGCAGAGAGCTAAGCCCCATAGTACTCAACTTTCCTCACCTAGATAGCCAATAACTTGGAACTAATTCTGGCCTTCTCCCAGACTGCTTATAAGGTGGCCTTGGTAATTAGGCTTTTGTTTCTTTTCCCTGGGAAGCAGTGCAGTAAAGGGGGTGACTGCGGGAGACAGTCCTATGTATCTTTCCATCTCCGTAGGAGAGGAAGGAATTCACTTAGCTTTATAAGGTGCAAGAAACGGTGCCACCAATACACATAGTACTGTTTCATTTAATGCTCTAGGCCCATATTTTCCAAAGTTACCTGATTTTATGAATCATCTAGAGTGCTTAAGGATGCAGATTCCCAGCCCCATCCCGGTCTTCTTGAATCAGAATCTCCAGGGAGAAATACAGAAATCTGTATTTTTAAATAAGGACCCTAAACAATTCTTATAATTTGTGAGACACTGTTTTCTCTGTAGTTGTTTAAAGGGATAGGGAGGGGAAATGGTAGGGGATTAGGGTTGCAATCACCTAGGGGAGCTTTCTTGCATCCTCCATACCTACATACACATCAACACCCCAAGTGTTAGCATTTTTTCCAACTTGATTATGCAGCTTTAAGAGTTTATATTATTTAACCTATATTTCAAATGTAGACTTTTGTGAATGTAAATAATTTTAAGTCTATTTAAACCATTTATTGATTCAGTATTTAAATACTCATTTACATCTAATAGCACAAATTATGCAAATGGTACTAATTTAGAAAAATTGGTTTTTCCTCAAACAATTTTATTCAAATACTTCACATGCATCGTTTACAACTGGGTCTCTATCATCACTGAAACAACATTGTGAGTCCTCTAACAGTTCCCTCCTAGTTATCTAAGGTAGAGCATGCCTTACATTGAGTAGAATGCTGTCAGTGGAGATTTTACTACATCTCGAGAACCACTTGTTAAACATCAGGGTTTTTTTCCTACATATTCATAATCACCATAAATAAGTACTTCTTGTATTTCTCTGTTCAATAATTATTTAAAAGCCTACTTAATGATCTCCAATACTTGTTATCCAAAGTCATACCCTCAGGAATAATTAATCAATATGTCTTTGCCTTTTTTCCCCTGATTTTGCTAGGTGACCTTTATAAGACAGAAAATTGCCATTACTTGTGACCCTTTCACGACATATTGTCTTCCTGAAGAGTATTTTGTTCAAAAAGGACAAAGACAAAAACACAAGGTGACTCTCTTTTCTGAGGAATGATATTTTTGGAAAAATTTTGCTTTCCATTCTGCATATATGGTATATATTACTATTTAATAGCATCTGTACCCACCCCCTTTTTTTGCATAGAGACAGGGTCTCACCATGTTAGCCAGGCTGGTCTTGAATTTCTGGCCTCAAGCGATCCTCCCCTCCACCTCCACCTCCCAAAGTTTTAGGATTACAGGTATGAGCCATCGCGCCCAGCCAGCATCTGTACCTAGACCCAACTTGAATTCCCCAAAGAAGTTAAACTGGCTCCAGTATTTTCTCACAAGATGCTAGAAGGCAAATTGTGGCATACCTATACCTTCTGGTTGGTTAGTGCTGAAAAAAGTACAGGACTACTTTTGAGAAGTTGACGATGTGGTTATCATTCAAAGTTTGCCTATAATTGTAACTTGGGTTTTAATGGGAAGCAGTGTAGTACTGATTGTTCTGAAGACAATAATATTGTCGAAATGCCCCATGGCTGCAGAATTACTGTAAGAATTTCATAAATCATGTATATGCTGTGCATTGTCTGGAGACTGAAGAATGTTTTTCATATCTATGACAATATTTTTTGGAAGTTTGTAGATGCTATAATCGTGAATAAAATACAAATTTGTTTAGAAGTATTGAACTCAGACAATTCTTGACTTTTGAAACTGAAACTACTCCCAGGGAAGAGCAGACTTCTAAGCTGTTCAGGTTAGTTTGTTGGTAACCAAGTTTCATCAATCAGCAAGTGGCTAAAAGGGGTCCAGGGAATGACAAATTGGGGTGACAGGATATGTGACACAAGAAGAAAGGTAGAGACAGGACAGCACTTTGAATAGCTATTAGGAGAGGACTCAGAAGGGGGGAAGGAGAACACACTTTCGAAACAGTTGGCAGCTGTCTGCCAGCACACCGCCAAGTGCACACCATTTTCTCCCCCAGAAACGACAGTTTTAGTTGCAGGTGTTTCCTTTAGAGCTAAACTTAGAAAATGAAATAACTCAAACTCATTAGTTCATCAGAACTAAGGAGTAAATATTGTAATTTTGTTACTAATTTTTAAAGCACCTTTCAATTTTGAGAAAAACAAGATGCAGTCTATGCAAATAAAGCAAAAGCACAATGCTAAGCAGCCTTCCTTTTCCTCATCCCTAACACCAAAAGTTGTAATTTTGAGAGAGATAGATAATTCAAAGCTATGGTAGCAAATTGGGTCTCAAAGAAAAGACAAATTAAGAAAGCTACACTAAAAATTACTTTAATAATGTTGCAAACAACTCTTTACTATTTTATTTAGAAAACACTTCTTTGCTTACTTATAGGGAAACCTTTTAAAATGAGAAATGGTACACAAGTCGTCTGGTGAAGGAACCTACTAAACTAGTATTCTAAGCACTCTACTGTATTTCAAATATATTTGCTTGATATCCCTCCATAATATTTTCTCCTGAAATATATTAGAAAAGTGTTAAAATAGAATGAACAAGCAAGACCTATCTTGAACATAGGAGAAACTGAGAAGAAAAAAAAAAAAACAGAAGCATTTTCTCTCCTAGATCTTTCAGCTGGCTGCCAGATGGTAAGCAAAAGCATAACTATTAGACCTGCAATTGCACTAAGGTGAGGCACCCAAAAACTGAGAGCTCCTTCCTGCCTGACATTTTTGTTCAGGTAACCAGAGTTTAAACTTGTGTCCCTGGTAATAACACAACTAACATCTCCATTACATTAATACCAGCTACATCCCCATGGGAAAATGTTCCATGTTTCTTATTAACCAATCCCAAGGGGAAATCCTGGGGGTAAAACAAGAGAAAAAACTATAGCAGGTGGTTTTTTTTTTTTTCTGAAAAAAAAAAAATTATAAAGTATTCAAGGTAATTAACAAAATGTTTACAATAAAGTCTACACTTGATCTTAGCCAAAAGACTGAGAAGCGATGCAATAAAATTTATATATGGCTTTCTGAGGTTTTTTTTTTTTTAAATTTTACTCTAGGAAGACATTGATGTAAAATAAGCTGATTCACACTATCAGTTTAAGTGATAATAACAATGCAACTGGCAAAACAAGTAATCCAGTTAGCTAATGGCAGATATTTTAAGTATAGAAAAGTATATGTGGTATAATGGGATATCAGTTCTTAAAATATCTATGCCTTATAAACAAAACCTCAAGGTAAATATACCAAAATCTGTATCATGTCCTTTTCTAAGCAGGAGGATTATGGGAGATTTGGATTTTGTTCATATTCCACATATTGAACCACTGTATTACTTTTATGATCAAGAAGAAAATCATTTAAAAAAAAGTTTCTAGTGCTAAAGAATAAGTAAAATGTGTGAACCAAGAATAGCTCGGAGGTTGTAAGAAGCATATACTTTTTTCAAATAGTGGAAAACTCAAATGTCACAAAACAGCCTGATTCTTTTTAGTGTAGCAAAAAAACCCAAGTTTCAGAGTCAGAAGACCTGGACTTGAATCAGGGTTCTTTCATTTTCTAGATAAGTCACTGAAGTTTTTTTTGAATAAGTCATTGAAGCTTTAAGAACCTTTATAAAATATATTTCAAAGTATTCAAACCAAATCAAGAAATAGATGAAAATCTAGAAAAATTTCCTCTCATTAACATAAAAAATCATATGCCAGAAAGATAATAATCTGTAGTTGAAAAAACTGAGAAGTAGACACTTGATTTCTCTGAGACCTAAATTATCTTCATCTGTAAAATGGGTATAAATAATCAGTGCCACTTCCAAGGCTGTTATGAAGAATAAATGAGTTGATGTTATGTCAAGTGCCTGATAAACAGTAGATGCTAAAAAACTATAGTCCAGACCTTGCACAAGGATGCAAATGGCGGTGGAGAAAGGGCCTGCACTTCAAAGGACTTCTGGTTCCTAACTAAGGAAAAGATGAATTACACAGGTCAAGGATTGTGGTTCTAAGATGTTTTCTAAGATTCTGAAACATTTTAAACCTCATCTTTTGTCATTTTTATTAGTTACGAAGTCGGCTTTAAGGATTAAAAAAAAAAATCTTAAAATGAAAAAAAAAAGGAGTTTTCCTTAGGATCATCAAAAGTAAAGAAAAAATTACCCCAAATTTGATCTTGGATTAAAACTTTACCTGATATAATTTGTAAATTTTTCTTGAAAGAAATAAGTGTTCTAGTTTAAAAAAATAAGCAATTTTTGGATAAGAAATTTTCCAAGGAAATGAGCTCCCTTCCCACCCAGCTGTCAGTCAAGAATTTAGTAACCTTTAAATAAAATTACTCTTCTCTTTGTATCTGTCTTTTTGAGACAGGGTCTCGCTCTATCACCCAGGCTGGAGTGCAGTGGCACCATCATGACTCACTGCAGCCTGCTCCTCCTCTTCCATCCCCCAGAGCTCAACTGATCCTCCCTTCTCAGCCTCCAGAGTAGCTGGGACCACAGGTACGTATGCCCGGCTAATTTTTGAGTGTGTGTATATTTTTAGTAGAGATGGGTGTCACCATGTTGCTCAGGCTGATCTCGAATTCCTGAGCTCAAGTGATCTGCCCACCTTGGCCTTTTTTTTTTTTTTTTTTTTTTGAGATGGAGTCTCATTCTGTCTCCCAGGTTGATCTCGGCTCACTGCAACCTCCGCCTTCTGGGTTCAAGTGATTCTCCTACCTCAGCCTCCCGAGAAGCTGGGATTACAGGCATGCACCACCACACCCAGCTAATTTTTGTATTTTTAGTAGAGACAGGTTTTTGCCATGTTGGCCAGGCTGGTCTCCAACTCCTGACCTCAGGTGACCTGCCCGCCTTGGCCTCCCAAAGTGCTGGGATTACAGGCATGAGCCACCACACCTGCCAGCCACTTCTCTTTTCTCTGTAAATGTCTCTGCTGAGAGAAATTTTGGAATTGGCTTTGATCTTGGAGCATGATTGTAATTAAGCTTTGATATGTGCCCATAATTAAATTGTTATGGGCACATGTCCACAATAAATTGTTGTTATTGTTGTTAACCAAGGAAGGAGAGATTGTTATTCCTACTGAACCAGTCCTATGGGAGAAGAGCCCCAGGGAGCAGTGGAGGTGGTGGTGGCTAAAGGAGAGCCCCAGAGGACAACTGCACCCAGAGATTGATGGACCTTGGAGGCTGAATAGCAAAAGGCTTCTAGTACTCAGCTATCAAATAGGAACGCATTATATACAGCACCTGCTTTGCAGGCCTTGCTGTGGTAGGGCCTACTGCACAAATTAGGGGCTTTTGTAGAGCTGTGGCAGGAGAGGGTGTCAAGTGTCAGTTAATCTGAAGATTCAACACAATGAATGAATGAAGCAGCATTGGAGTTTGGTTTTGTTTGCATATCTCAGTCAGTCAGATTATCAGTTTACTATACAGAAAACAACATCAGGGAATGATTTAAAATATACCATCTAATTTTAGATATCCTTCACTTTTTTACTCCCAATTTCATCAAGAAACTCACAGATTTAGATTAACTTTAACAATAGAAAACAAATCAAATTTAAGAGTTTATGTCTTTATATAACAGAATAAAACTTGCCCAACCTGATTAACCCTTTCTATCCTCCCCACCTTCCCAATCCCTCCCTCCTTTCCTTTAGTAAGGTCCCTACTCCTTAAGTCTTTTGAACTCAGTCCTCTCTCGATCCCACACATTGGACAATGAAGCAGTAAGTGTGTCCTTTGAAGTTTAACCTTTCATATTTGTATGCTTTCCCTCACATTAAATGTAATTCCTTTTTTTGACAGCTTTTACATCTAAACAAACCAAAAAAAACAAAACTCCTGCAATGCCTAAAACATGTCGTGCACCTAACACACTACCCGAGAAAAAAATTGTTATGAATATCCAACTCTGGCCAGAGCCGTGGCTCACGCCTGTAACCCCAGCACTTTGGAAGGCCGAGGCGGGCGGATCGCTTGAGTCCAGGAGTTCGAGACGAGCCTGGCCAACACGGTGAAACCGTGTCTCTAACAAAAATACAAAAAATTAACCGGGCATGGTGGCACACACCTGTGGTCCCAGCCACGCTGGAGGCTGAGGTGGGAGGATCGCTTGGGCCCGGGAGGTAGAGGCTGCAGTGAGCCAAGATCGCGCCACTGCATCCCAGCCTGGGCGACAGAGCGGTGACACCGTCACACACACACACAAAATAAAAAATAAAAAAAATCCTATTCCATTTCCTTGTCACTGGCTTTCCCCCTCCTCACTTAACCCCCGCCCCTCGCAACAGCAACTGAATCTAAAAACAAAGCCTTTCCCAGACCCTGCGGGACCGCGCGCGGGCAGCCGGCTGCGGACAGCTTTGCAGCCGGAGCCCGGCGCCCCCTCCGAGCTCTCGAGGGCCCGGGGGTCCCGGACCTCGCCTACAGCGGGCAGGGCCGGGACGAGAGGACGAGGACGCCGCTCGCTCCTGCACCTCCCCAAGCCGGCTTCGCCGGGCGGGCGGCGGCTGGGTAGTGACCGACCGCCACGAAGCTACTGCCACGTCAGGGCAACTTCACAAATCCCGGACGAGGGCGGGTGACGCAAGCCGGGCGGCCGCGGCAGGGCTGGGCCTGCGACTACCCGAGGAGGCTGACCTCCAGCCCGGGCGCCCGGTTCAGCGCCGCCCCGGCCGGCGCCGGTGCCTGCCAGGCACTCAGGGAGGCGGGGGCGCAGTGGAGGAGGCGGCGCCATCGCGAAGCGAGCGCCTCGCCCGCACTCAGCCTTGCCACCCCGCCCGCAGTCCAGGCTGGACTGGGCGGCATTTGCCGAGGCTCCTCGGCCAGGCCCCGTCCGCCCGAGCCGCGCTGAGACCCGGGCAGCGGCCGCGTGGAGAGGAGGTGGCAGCGGCCCGGGAGGCCGGAGCCAAGCCAGCGACCCACCATGGAGACCCGCTACAACCTGAAGAGTCCGGGTGAGCAGGGCTGGGGCCCCTGGGCGAGGAGGGCGGAGTGACCCTGGACCCCGGGGTGGTCGCCGCCTCGGTCCCCTCGCGTCTGGCGCCACTCGCGGCTCAGCTCCTGGTTTCGCGCTCTACGCGAGACCGCCGCCTGCCCGGGAAGTACAGGCCGCAGGGCGAGGTGGCCGGGTGGACGTCCGCTGCCAATCCCCCGGCCGGCCAGCGCGCCCCGCAGCACCCAGCCTCTCCCTTTTCTCATCTTCGCCTGGTCCCGTAGAGCTGGGTCAGAAACTCATCCCTGAGAACAGGTGTAAAGGTGATGTCGGTGGGCGATAGTCATCAACCCCCTCGCTGTACCTGGTCGCTATTCCCTCCCTGTCGCTGCCACCGGACTTCTATTTACTTCTATTTACTGCCGGCTGATTTACTCACATTTGAGGAGTTGGTCGTTTAAATATCCTATTTGCAGCACTTGGGCGAATACAATTACAGACATAAAGGAAATGTTCTGTAACTAAACCAGTTAACTATAGAGCTAAAGCAAAACAAAACAACAACAAAAAAACACCTCGTTGAGCCCTGTTCTTGAGAGCTAACCTTGATTTTTGCCAGACTGGCTAATATGAAATGTATCTGTATTCAGTCGTAGCGATTCCTTTCCTGCATTTAATGATCCTGCTTTATATTTACACAAGCAGTCCCAGCAATCCTAGCCTCTAATTACTTTCTGGTGCATTATAAAGATAAGCAACTAGCTTTCTCAGCTTAATAAAACAGGCTTGAAATGAATCATTGGATCCTCTAAATGGTATTTTTTCTATCTGTACCTTGATACATTTTGTCAGGGGGAAGAAACTCCACAGTTAACTCTGCATGATAAACTCTAGGATATTAGTGATGATTTCACCAACTTTTGCTGTTGCTTAAAATTTCCTTCCAAAAAAAGCTGTTTCTCAGTAGGAATTAGCAAGACTAGCATCCTTGTGGAAAGAGTTGACACTGTGAATCTTTGGGTTTTTTGTAAGGTTTCAGAATATGCAAAAACCCCAGA
Organism: Homo sapiens; assembly: GCF_000001405.40. Classification (NCBI taxonomy): domain Eukaryota; kingdom Metazoa; phylum Chordata; class Mammalia; order Primates; family Hominidae; genus Homo; species Homo sapiens. The sequence goes on along the minus strand of NC_000006.12, from coordinate 89,351,502 downwards.
AAAGCCTGAGGATATTGATTGGAGGGAGCTTTGTTAGCCTGAGTGCTGTCAGGCTAAGAAATGTCCTTAGGTGACCAAGTGTGTAGAACTGGTCATAATATTTTAGGAGCCACTGACTCCTTAAAAAAATCTGATGAAGACCTGGCACGGTGGCACACGCTTGTAATCCCAGCACTTTGGGAGGCTTGAGCCCAGGAGGTGGAGAGCAGCCTGGCCAACATGGTGAAACCCCGTCTCTACTAAAAACACAAAAATCAGCCGGGCATGGTGGTGGCGCACTCCTGTAGTTCCAGCCACTCGGGAGGCTGAGGCAGGAGGATGGCTTGACCCGGGGAGGAGGTTGCAGTGAGCCGAGATCGCGCCACTGCACTCCAGTGTGGGCGACAGAGCGAGACTCCATCTCAAAAAAAAAAAAAAAAAAAAAAAAAAAAAAGAGAATCCCGGGGTGGGGAGGGAGGAAGAAAAGACCAAAGAGAAAGAGGGAAAGAAAAGCTTAATTTTTAAGCTAGATGGTAAAATGATTGAATTATTTACATTGTGGTATATTTAACTGGAGCTGTTTGGGTAAAAATGTATGGTGGCTCCCTGGTCACACGGTTCCTTAGGACAGCAGAGGTGCTTAGTGAAAGGTCCAGAGGATAATGCACATGTGAGTAGTAGTGCAGTTTAGAATGGAGAACTGGTGGAACCCAAGAGATTGTTGTCAGAAAACATCGCTCAATTTCGATAGGTTAGACTTAATACTATGATGATAAGCTTTTAAAAATCTCCAGAATTTTGTATATTTCCAAAGTATGTGAACTATTGTCAGCTGGTTGAGCTTTGGTTGACATGCTTCTAGCTGTGTCATAAATTGCTTCCTTTTTCTGGTTTCATTTCCTCAAAGATAGTGTTGCTGCTCTAAAAAAAAAAACACAATGCTTCTTAAAAATCTATTTTTGTTAGTGTGTGAATTATTTGGAGTTCATGGAGAAGTTGAATTAGGTAAGATATGGGACTTACTGAAAATGCTGGGAGGCATTGTGAAAATACTTCCTTCCTTTGCTTTATTCTCAGTCCTGTGGTATTTTTAGAGTAATGCCTGTGTGAAGGGGAGCAACTGAAAACTCCAATTTCCTGTGTATGGCAGGGTGCACACACACACACACGTAAAATACCAACATACCAGACAAACAAAAAACAACCACACAATGTGAGGGATATAATCTTTTACTCTTTATCTGATGTGGGATTGTCTTTGATGTATGAGTGGAAAGATTAAGTGAAGACAATACAGATAGCTGGTTAAGGGCCAGTGTACTAGCATGTGGATATAGTAAATTTTTTCATTTCATAGGTGGGGAAACTTTTTGCTTTATGGTTTTTTTTTGGAATGGACTTGTGATTATGGATAGAGCTGTTGTGTAGGATCACCTCACAGTAGTTGTCTGTGGTAGTTGTCAGTAGTTGTCTATGGATCTGCTACTGTAGTAGCAGTAGTTGTCTATGGATCATGCTACTTGTCTATAATCTGTCAATAGTTGTCTATGGATCAAGCTACTTGACCCGTGTTTGGGTCTGCTCTGGCCAAGGAAGTAGGGTCTTATAGTACAAAGTGAAGAAATGTGTATAAAGCACCTCCTTTGGCAGCTTCTTCATCAGGGGGCCATTGACATGTGCAGCAGGTGGTGGGAGTATAAGAGACTGGTGCAAAAGTACCCACTGCCTCCACCAGAAGTCTAAGAGTTACCTATCCATGCCATTGGTGTCAACTGCACCTTCCCACTAATCCACTCAAGGTTTCATGTCCAACTCAGGCCCTTCTCGTAAGCTATAGATACACAGAACTTATGGTGACTCAACATCTTCATTTCCCATAGAGTGAAAAAAATCTCTGTAAGTATAAAGACAAAACTCATCAGTTTTCTTCTCCTCCCCTAAACTTGCAGTTTACCCTAGTATTTCATATCTCAGGGATAGACAGCACTCAGGCACCTATGGGAGTCATTTTTTATTTCTTGGTCGCTTCCTTGCTCCATCCCTGCCCTGAAACACACAACTCAATACACACACAGAAACACATATATCTAATCAGTCACTGTTGTCACCAGATCAATCAAAACAAAAACTGATTACCCCCAAATTGAAAAATTTTCAGTAGCTTTCTGATAGCTGTCAATAAAGTTCAAAGTAAACTGCTTAGCTTGGCCTACAGGGCTGCTCATGATTGACCCTGCCCTTCCTCACCAGCCTCACTGTCCACCACTCTTATGCTCTTCCTCATTTTCTTTTTTTTTGAGGCAGGGTCTCCCAGCCTGGAGTGCAGTGGTGCCATCACAGCTCACTACAGCCTCAACCTCCTGGGCTGAAGTGATTCTTCCACCTCTGCCTCCCGAGTAGCAGGGACCACAGGTGTGTGCCACCACACCCAGCTAATTTGTGTATTTTTTGTAGAGACGAGGGTTTCACCATGTTGCCCAGGCTGGTCTCAAACGCCTGAGCTCAAGTGTTCCCTCCACCTTGGCTTCCCAAAGTGGTGAGATTACAGGTGAGAGCCACTGCACCAGGCCTGCGTTTTTACCTATCCATTTTGCCTGAATGACTCTCTAGCTGGAGTAGCTTTTCTCACTTAGGTGCTTTGGTTCCTGTTGGAACCTCTGCTTAGAATGCCTTCCTTTAAATCCATCTGAAATTCCTATAGTTCTTCAAGCTTTAAGGTTCAGCCTTGTCTAGCTCCCCTAGGCAGACTAAAGTAGTTCCTATATATACTTGTACATATATACTTGGTCAATATTACCACTTGGTTGTAATTATTTTCATGTCTTTCTCTACTGACTGTTACGGAAGACAAGAAGCAGGTCTTGGTCATTGTTTTATCTCCAACACTCAGACATTCTTTAAATGTTTGTTGAACTGATACATTTGCAGGGTCCTCCTGGGCAGAAACATCACTCTGTAGGCATTTGCTTAAGTACCTTCATTATGGGAGCAGGAAGAGGCAGTTAGGGAGCATGCCTTCCTTAATATACCTGTCTCCTGCATTTCACTCATGCTTTGGGAATTGATAATATCAAGATAATTGCTTTTGAAGAGGAATCCATATATGGGAAGCAGTGGCCTGTAGAAGATCCCTTTATTTTTAGCTGTATACAAACCCCAATGTGAGGCTAGTGAGCTAGCCAAGGTGTGTGAAGAATGCTAATGCCTAGGCCCACAGCACCTAGAGCATGGCTCCAGAGTGTCCATGTGGCCTCTATAAGAAAGAAGAACAAGAGCAGGCATCCAGGTGCCACCCCTTCCTTTCCTGGCACATCTTATCTCACCACAGTGAAAGGATTCCATGGAAAAACCTTTCCAAGAGATAGGAGAGGAGCTGGAATAAAAGTTTCCTCTCTAGCCATGTAGAAGCAAGAGATGGAGTATCAGGAGGGGCAGACTATGCTGTAGCCCGGTTGCCAGGCAGCACTGTGAACCATGACTGTTTCCTAACAGTGGTATTTCTCCTCAGGAGCCAGGGAGCCATATCATAAGGCCAGCGAAATCTGCTGAGGCATGGTTTTGAGTTAGGAAGAATCATTGAGAAGGCCTTATATACCAGTCCATTTTCAACCTTAATGACTCAGGGACTGGGCAGGAAGGAGGGGTGAAAAGGAAAGGAGAATTTTGTGGAGAAATTATTGACTCTTATTTGACAGATGTAAACATCAGATCAAGTGACTTGTTCAAGGACTTAGAGCTACAAAATGTCAGAGTCAGAATTTTAATGCAGCTCTAAATCGAGTCCCTGTTTCTTTTCACTGAAGCATTCATAATATATGTTATTTTTGCAAAAAAAATAGCTTATGGAAACAAGAGACTAATCTCACCTTTTGGCTACATGACCTTAGCTCTTACATGGTATGTGCCTGAGTGACTTATGAACTAATTAGCTATTTAGCTGTTGAACCAATGATTGTTCCTTTACAGGATTGGTACAGATACATTCTTATAACAATTCTGACCCTTTATACATCTCTCATAATATCCAGGTACAAGTTTTGAGTGTTTATTTTCTTCTCTCCTGTTGAACTGAACTGAGTAGGGAAGAGGCAGAGAAAATGCGATAAGGGTATAGAATGACATAAAATCTGACTTCAGCTTAATCATTATTGAGTTCAGCCAGTTGACGAGGAATGAAGGAAAAACAATCTTTTTGGCATCTCCAAACTAATTAACTTCATAACAGCTTCCATAATTGCATTTCTATCTAATAATATTAACTTAAAGGAATGATATGTTTATGTGGCTTTAAAGCAGGGTTTTCCATCTTTGTTCTATGGGTCCCTTCAGGAGTGAAATGGAAGGACAGGGAGTAGATAGTCCGCAGGCCCTTCCACTGGCCTCTGCAACCAAAGCGGCTCTGTGGTTTTTGTTTCACCTGTTGGGGTTCTCATTAAGCTTTCTTTGAATGAAGGATTTTGTTTTATTAAATAAGTTTAATTGTTTTATTAAGTAAGTTTAAAAACCATTGCCTTTAATCGGATTCTGAGAGCTATGTTGAGAGAAGATAGTAAAATTTAATTCAACTAATATTTGAGTACTTACCATGTGCTAAGCCCTGAGGAGACTGTACTGCTACAGCTACACTGTCATTACTATTGCTTAGCAGGAAAAACAGATATTAAACAAGTAATTACAAGTGAGATGAACTTCATAAGAGGAAAAATACAGTGTTATGATGGCATAGAGCAAGGAGACTCAACCTGGTCTCTAGGGCAGTGGTTTCTAAACCTAACCAGAGTAATTCAGAGAGCATTCCTAGTCTCTACCCCTCCCTAGGACGCCTCAGAGATTTTGATCTGCCCAGATTGAAATCTCCAAGCACTGTAGGGGGTGGGGGGCAGGGGGCAACCAGGGAAGGTGTCATAGAGACATTCCTGAGAAGTTACTTAAAGGTCTAGGGTAGCCAGACTAGACGGTGAGGCGGAGGATGGGGCCGGAGCAGCCTGGGCCCTGAGGAAAGCTGTATAGAAAGGCTGAGAGTGGAGGGGAGGTAAAGTGTGTTCAGGGAATTGACCAAAGCCCAGTCTCTAGACTTGGAGGGAGAGGGTGTCTCAGTATGTACATATTTCTAATATAGCATTTATCATTCTGTTTTGTATTGACTGCACCTCCCAGCCGTCAGTCTTTAGTGACCAAAGCCATATTTTGTTTACGCATGAAGCTGTAGCATCTAGTACCTAGTAGGAACTCAAGAAATAGTTGATGATCCAGTGAACAAAGTCTCTGCATATAGGGGCTTAGTTCAGAGTAAGAAATGGAAAAGAATATTAATAATTGTGAAGTAGGATAGTAACAACTTTTTTTTGGCCAGGCATGCTGATTCCCGCCTGTAATCTCAGCACTTTGGAAGGCTGAGGTAGGAGGATTGCCCGAGACCAGCCTGGGCAAGACAGGGGGACCCCAGCTCTACAAAAAATTTAAAAATTAGCCAGGCATGGTGGTGCATGCCTGTGGTCTCAGCTATTGGGGAGGCCAAGGTGGGAGGACTGCATGAGCTTGGGAGGTTGAGGCTTCAGTGAGTGAGCTGTGTTCGTACCACTGCCCTCCGGCCTGGAGGGCTTTTTTTTTTTTTTTTAGACGTAGTTTCGCTCTTGTTGCCCAGGCTGGAGTGCAACAGCACGATCTCAGCTCACTGCAGCCTCCACTTCCTGGGTTTAAGCGATTCTCCTGCCTCAGCCTCCCTAGTAGCTGGGATTATAGGCATGTGCCATCACACCAGGCTAATTTTGTATTTTTAGTAGAGATGGGGTTTCACTATGCTGGTCAGGCTGGTTTCAAACTCCTGACCTCAGGTGATCCACCTGCCTCGGCCTCCCAAAGTGCTGGGATTACAGGCCTAAGCCACCGTGCCTGGTTTTGTTTGTTTGTTTGTTTGTTTTATTGAGATAGTCTCTCTCTGAAGCCCAGGCTGGAGTGCAATGGCACGACCTCAGCTCACTGCAACCTCCACCTCCTGGGTGCAAGCGATTCTCCTGCCTCAGCCTCCCGAGTAGCTGGGATTACAGGCGTCCGCCACCATGCCTGGCTAATTTTTGTATTTTTAGTAGAGACAGGGTTTCACCATGTTGGCCAGGCTAGTCTCGAACTCTTGACCTCAGGTGATCCACTCGCCTCGGTCTCCCAAAGTGCTAGGATTACAGGCATGAGCCACCACGCCTGGCCTCAAATGCAATTTTATGCAAAAGTCTTGATACATACCAAACCATTGTGGTTATATACATGTAGGGGTTCCTTCTCAGTTAATCTCTCTCCCCATAACATTCCAACCTGTGCCTCTACACATTTTACTTTTATTATTACCTCTTCCTATTCATATCTACCTGGGGAGTTTCTACTGTTATTTCTTTCACATTCAGTACCTGACTCCTTTTCTCTTCCATTTGCTCTAAAGTTAGATGCCCAGCCTGTCCTCCCAGCATCTGGTGCATACCTCTCTTTTGAGCTACATCAGTGGTTGCAAACCCAGTTTTGAGAAGCCTTTTCCCTAACTCAGCCATCCCACTGCAGTATCCTGACATGTTTTAGCACCAAAAGCTTGAAATGAGAGGGGTTGGGATCCAGAGTGCATATCAAAGGATTGAATTTTGAGAGCCAATAGAAGACAGAGGGTGCAGATACAGATAGGATTGTAGATTGTGATAGGCATCTGAGCAGCTCCTGCTAGCAGTCATTCATCAGGGAGATAAAAAGCTGGGTGCCATTAACTGAAAGAGAGGAGAAATTAGACTAGGTGGGAAATAATCTTGGAGTGCTAGGTGGAAAGAGTAGGCTGGAAGGCCTACTAGAGAAATGTGGGGACATTAGGTGGCATTGTATCCCAGTAGAGGTTGTTGGTAATGACTTGTAATGGCATTACTGCACCATCCTCTCTGACTTTTTTTCCTCCTTTCAGTGATGCTCAGCTGTTTGGGTATAGACAGCAAATAAGATGGTTGGGTTGGGTCAGGCACAGTTGGATTTTATTAAGGGAGTGTACAAGAGGGACTCCTAAGAGCCAAGGGTGTGGATAAAGAGGAAAATGAATATAAGTATAGGAGGGGTGAAGAAAGTTGTGGGGTCAGTGGACTGGAGGTTTTAGTGAAGCTGAAGGATCATTTCAAGAAGGAATTTCATCGGGGCTTTGGAGAGTCAGTGAATTCAGGGGACAGTCCATTCATTTAATGCAAGATAGTGGATGGAAAGTCCCAAGAGTTGGAGGATATAGAGGTGTTTCCTGTTCACCGAGCATGAGATCCAGAGAATACATTTTTTGTTAATAAAGACATTTTAACAGGTAGAGCCAAATTGCCTGTGTTGGAATCCCATCTCTGTCATTTACTAGCTGTGTGACTATATAATCTCTCCGTGTCTCGGCTTCTTCATCTGGAAAATGGGGATAAAAATAATACCTATCTAGTAATGTTGTATTAAGGGTTAAATGAGTTATTAATGTCTGTAAAAGCACTTCAATAAATACCACCATATAGGAAGTATATATAAGTACTTATTAAATAAAAATAGTGTCTTCACTATATATTTAATATATAACTCTTTTAAAGTGTTAATGCCTAGCAACTGTTTCCTTCCTCTCCCCCTCTATTTATTCCCATAATCTTATAATTAAACCTTTGCCATATGCTCATTTGCACTAGTTCTCTACACATTTTTTCATTAGGCTCGTAAGACTGTGCTAATCATTCAGAAAAGTATATTTTAAATATCTCTATTTTATGAATTTTATTTTAGCTGTTAAACGTTTAATGAAAGAAGCGGCAGAATTGAAAGATCCAACAGATCATTACCATGCGCAGCCTTTAGAGGTTAGTTTCTATCTCCATGTTCTTCATATGGATTTTAATATTTAAAACAAATTTTTTAAAATTGCTTTTCATTGCTTTGAGTCATTACAGATGTGTGTGATGTAGTTTGACGTTTTATTCACCATATTTCATGAATATTTCATTAGCCATTCCAAATCACTTTAGAAGAAACGGATTTTGTGGTCTTTATAAAATGGGTCTCAGATGCTAAGTTGAGGTTAGATCTTTTTTTTTTTTTTTTTTTTTTTGAGGCGGAGTCTCACTGTGTTGCCCAGGCTGGAGTGCAGTGATGTGATCTCGGCTCACTGCAACCTCTACCTCCCAGGTTCAAGCAATTCTCCTGCCTCAGCCTCCTGAATAGCTGGGATTACAGGCCCCCACCACCACGCCCGGCTAATTTTTGTATTTTTAGTAGAGACAGGGTTTCACCATGTTGGTCAGGCTGGTCTCAAACTCCTGACCTCGTGATCCACCCGCCTTGGCCTCCCAAAGTGCTGGGATTACAGGCGTGAGCCACTGCACCCGGCCGAGGTTAGATCTTGAGTCTGAGGGAGGGGAGGTGGAAAGAACCCCAGATACTTTACAGTTTGGAAGCCTTTTGATGGGTCTCCGTAGCTACTCAAGGCTTTTTGTATAAACATCTCGGCCTCTCTCAGTCTTCTCATTTGTAAAAGGAGGGTATTTAAATATACCCAGGCAGGTTTTCATGGTAACAGTGGGAATAAAAATATCATAACTTAAGTGCAAGTATTTTGTAAACTGAAAAGTACATGGTAACTGTAAGATGACATTAAATACATTAGTATTACCATTTTATAAATAAGCTCTTAGGCATCTATAAGGGATAATTTTTAAAGATTTGTTAAAATAACCCAAACATAGTAATTTTTTGATTATATAATTATCATAATTTGCTATTCTTTCAAGGATTAATTTCCAATTTAAACCTGTAAGTTACTTATGAATATATAACAACACTCAGAAATTTTTAATGTGTTTATTATAAAATATTTTAGCTCAATGGAACATGAAAGCTAGATTAAATAGCTTTTACTTATAAATTTAATTTATCACTTATAGTCTCGAGACATCTCATGCATTAGAAACTATACTAGCAATAATATAAAGCATTTAATTTTTCTTGCTTGGTAATATTTCTAATATTCAGATAAAATGATCAAACTTTTCAATATTATTAATTCCTTGTGGATTATTGTTTTTGTTCAGGATAACCTTTTTGAATGGCACTTCACGGTTAGAGGGCCCCCAGACTCCGATTTTGATGGAGGAGTTTATCACGGGCGGATAGTACTGCCACCAGAGTATCCCATGAAACCACCAAGCATTATTCTCCTAACGGTAAGAATTTTGGATTTTTAGAGTGCTTGTGGCTTCACTCTTCCTGGTAGCTGCAAAATATAGTAAGCAAATCATTTTCATTAAGAAATAATAGAACAGTATAATTTTGCTTTTGGGGTCCAGGCCCTGGGACTACAATTTTTTTCCTCCAAAATAATTCCTAGGAAGCTGATGCATCTGAGAAGTAAAAATGATACAACTGAATGCATAAATGTCATATCATGGTTGTTAGGATTCAATGAATTAATATATGCCAAGTGCTGGGCATACACATCTGGCACTTCATAAGTACTCACTAAAGGGTAGCTAATGTTATTGTACCTTGTAATCATATTGTCTCCTTTAACTTCCCACCTTTCTTACACTCTCTTCCTCAGTTTTCTCATCTTTACAATGAGAATAATGATACCTACCTCATTGAGTTTATGTGGGATGAAAAGTATCAAGATCTTATTGTATAGCTCTTAGAATAGAGCCTGACACAGAATACTCAATAAGTGTTAGCATTATTATTACTGTTTATATCTCAGATTTTCTCTCTTTCTCTCCAAATTTACACATCTTTTCTTCATGTGAAGGAAAACTTTTTTTTTTTTTTAAGAGACACGGTCTTTCTCTGTTGCCCAGGCTGGAGCGCAGTAGCACGATCATAGCTCACTGTAGCCTCAAACTCCTGGGCTCAAGCTATCCTCCCACCTCAGCCTCCTGAGTAGCTGGGACTATAGGCACATGCCACTGCACCCAGCTAATTAAAAAGTTTTTTGGTAGAGACATGGTCTCATTGGTCTTGAACTACTGGCCTCAGGCAGTCCTCCCATCTCAGCCTCCCAAAGTGCTAGGATGACAGGTGTCACCATCATACCTGGCCAAGGAAAACTATTGATCTAATTCCTCTTTAATTGTTAAGCTTTTCTTCTCTCATTTCCTTTAACTATGTTTAATTATCCCCTAACCTTGAAAAAAGCAAAAACAAACACAAAAACCATTCCCTGTATCTGTTATCACTTTAAGCTGTGCCTATTTTTCTCTTTGGTAACCTCCAAGGCATCCTTTCCGTAGTTTGGCCTGCTGCAGTCCACCTTCCACACATAGTGCCCTGTTGAAACATGAAACTACACCAATCTCAGAGACCAGTTTGAGAAATCTCACTGCTTCTCCTCAGCCTTCATCCTGTTCTCAGTTAAACATCTTACCCACACGGAGTAGCAAATGGTGAAACAACAGGTATTCATCAATAAATACCAAATTAGGCCGGGCGCGGTGGCTCACGCCTGTAATCCCAGCACTTTGGGAGGCCGAGGCGGGTGGATCATGAGGTCAGGAGATCGAGACCATCCTGGCTAACAAGGTGAAACCCCGTCTCTACTAAAAATACAAAAAATTAGCCGGGCGCGGTGGCGGGCGCCTGTAGTCCCAGCTACTCGGGAGGCTGAGGCAGGAGAATGGCGTGAACCCGGGAAGCGGAGCTTGCAGTGAGCCGAGATTGCGCCACTGCAGTCCGCAGTCCAGCCTGGGCGACAGAGCGAGACTCCATCTCAAAAAAAAAAAACATAAATAAATAAATAAATAAATAAATAAATACCAAATTAATGCTGCTTTTACCTCTATTTTGTATAACAGAGAGAACATTTGTTTAAGAGCCAATAGGCCTAGATTCTGACTGGTGCTCTTTCCATTACACTATGGGTGGGTTACACAATGTCTTTAAAATTGTTTTCTCATCAGTCAAAATGAATGTTGTGTTTGGTAATTGTAATCACACCATAAAGTACCTGACATATAGAAGCTGCTTAATAAGTATTAGCTGATATAGAGAACTGCTAATGCTGGCAGTAGAGTTGGAGCAGGGTCCTGGAGACACTCTACTGTGTCAGGAGTCATTTTATTTAGTTGCTAGATCATGGGGAGAGCTAAGTGGTCTTCGGGGAGGGAGGGGCTGGTGCATGGGGAGACTGGTGGTGGTGGAGGACAGTAGTTAGCAGCAGCTCTTTACCAACAAATACAGGTATATTTCAATAGTTAGCCAATGGTATGGTCATACTAACCACACTGGCTGAGAATCAGCCCTGATTTTCAACATTACACTCTTTCTGGTTCACTTCTTTTTTGAAAAGTCTTCTCCAACTTTCATTCAATAAGTATTTATTTATCCTTTCATTCATCACTCCTCTGAAAATCACACCTCTCTCAGAGCCTTTCTCCCCATGTCTTTCCTCACTAACATCTAGTTAGGTGATACTGAGTCCTTAGGTTTCGTCCTGGCCTCTTGAATGTCTTCTCTTTTAGATTCTTTTTTTTTTTTTAACTTGAGATAGGGTCTCACTCTGTCACCCAGGCTGGAGTCCAATAGCATGATCACAGCTCACTGCAGCCTTGATGTCCCACACTCAAATGATCCTCCCACGTCAGCCTCCTGAGTAGCTGAGACTATAGTCACACATACCACGCTTGGCTAAATTTTTTTTATTTTTATTTTTTGTAGAGACAGGGTTTCACTTTGTTGCCCAGGCTGGTCTCAAACTCCTGGCCTCAAGTGACCTTCCTACCTTAGCCTCCCAAGTGCTGGGATTACAGACATGAGTCACCATGCCTGGCCTCTTTTAGATTCTTAACTGAGCCTAGCTCCATACTAGGCACAGGGTAGGACATTAGTAAATCCTCTCCCCTCCCCTCCCCTCCCCCACTCCTTCCCTCCTCCCCTTCCCCCTCCCCTCTCCTTCCCCCCTCTCCTTCCCCCTTCCCCTCCCCACCCCTCTTCCCTCCCCATCCCTTCCCCCCTCCCCTCCCCACTTCCCTCCCTTCCCCCCTCCCCTCCCCTCTCTCCTCCCCCATCCCCTCTCCTCCCCCCTCCCCCCCTCTCCTCCCCTCCTCTCCTCTTTTTTTTTCTTTTCTTGGGGACAGGGTCTCACACTGTCACCCAGGCTGGCATGCAGCAATGCAGTCATAGTTCACTGTGGCCTTGAACTCCTGGGCTCAAGTAATCTTCCTGTCTTAGCCTCCCAAGTAGGTAGGACTAGAGGCACATGCCACCACTCCTGGCTAATTTTCTTTCTTTTCTTTTTTTGGTGACAGTGTCTCACTAAGTTGCTCAAGCTGGCCTTGAACTCCTGGCCTCAAGTGATCCTCCTGCCTCAGTCTCCCAGAGTGCTAGGATTACAGGCGTGAGCCACTTCGCTGGCCAGTAAAACTTTACATGTTAATTATTTAGATTTCACTTGTGCAACTCAGTTTCAAAAGGTGCTGTAAAACACCTTCTAAAAACAGCTTTTATTATTCAGCATCCAACAAGTATTTTTGGAGTCTATAAGGACAAAAAATCTGTGTCCCATGAGAGGTTACATTTAAAAAAAAATCTTTTTGGCCGGGCGCGGTGGCTCATGCCTGTAATCCCAGCACTTTGGGAGGCCAAGGTGGGCAGATCACAAGGTCAGGATATCGAGACCATCCTGGCTAACACGGTGAAACCCCGTCTCTACTAAAAATACAAAACATTAGCCAGGCCTGGTGGCAGGCGCCTGTAGTTCCAGCTACTTGGGAGGCTGAGGCAGGAGAATGGCGTGAACCCGGGAGGTGGATCTTGCAGTGAGCTGATATCACACCACTGCACTCCAGCCTGGGTGACAGAGCGAGACTCCATCTCAAAAAAAAAAAAAAAAAAAAAAAAAACAAACTTTTTAAGATAATCTCTAAAATTATTATATATAAATAGTATATTTTTACAGAAAGTATAAACATTAAGCACATGTATTTAATTTTCTAAATGCATTGTTTATTCCTCAGGCTAATGGTCGATTTGAAGTGGGCAAGAAAATCTGTTTGAGCATCTCAGGCCATCATCCTGAAACTTGGCAGCCTTCGTGGAGTAGTAAGTGTTAATTTATAGTGAATATAAATCTCATAACTTCAGTCAATTCATAGTTATGAAGTATAATACTCTGATTTTTTCTTTTTCCAGAATAAACCCAGTTGCTTTTACAAAGCAATTTAGATTGATATTTACTTTTTTATTTCAGTAAGGACAGCATTATTAGCCATCATTGGGTTTATGCCAACAAAAGGAGAGGGAGCCATAGGTTCTCTAGATTACACTCCTGAGGAAAGAAGAGCACTTGCCAAAAAGTAAGTTTTGCATTTCATTCTTCTTGAGGTCTGAATAGTATTCAGGGTAATGGCTATTAGGAGGTAGGGCCTACCTCTTACTATGTGACTTATTTTCTGAGTGACTGTAGCTACAGGATCTTATCTCAGTTTTGCTCTTTTAGGAATTCAGTTGTAATAATTTCCTTGGAGTGACCAGAATCTAAGTAATTTATTTAATGCTATCTAGTCTTAAAAAGTAGTTGATACTATTTCACTATTTTTAAAAAATTCAGTGGGAGATATATTCTCCTGGAAAACAATACCAGTCATTTGTTTCCACTATGGCATTATAGATGGAAAAGAACCAGAGCAATTATTTGTAGCTTTCCACAAGATTACAAACCTCTTGAGGGCCAAGAGGTAATCCACTTTATCCATCTTTGCATCTAGCTCATAGCAAGTGCTTAATAAATGATCTGGAATAAAGCAAAAGAGATTTTATCAAGTTGTGATTGCCCAGTGGCAATCACAAACAGAGAAGTGATGCCTTCTCTGTTTTTTTCAGGTGCAGGTGCACTTTTGTCTATATGACCAAGATCAGTCCTTCCATTCAGAGTAGCCCCTCTTTGAGTAGTGCTGATACCTAATTTTTGATGTTGATAATTTTTCTGCTCTGGAGTCTGCTGCCTACCACCCTTCAGACATATTATGTTAATTAAATTATATCATATTTTACCCTAGCACACCCCAGAGTAGGCCCTCTACAGATATTTGCTAAATCAGTTAGATTTTAGCATCTGGAAGATTTGGTAGACTTCTTGGTCTTATAAGCAACTTTTCTTTTTAAACCTTATTTCCAAACTATGGGTATGTACTTTATTTATACAGCTCTTCATAGATTACACTATGTACTTTGAATACATAGTATTTGTTTTCATTCGATTTACTACGTTGGTTTTTTTATCTTGATGCCTTTATCCAGTTGATTTCATGTGCGAGGTAAAAAAAAAAAAAAAAGAACTGGAGTTCTTGTTCTTCTAGGCTTCTCACTGTATATTCTAGATTCTCAGTCTATAATAGAAACCTTTTAAAAAATGATTTTGGGCCGGGCATGGTGGCTCACACTTGTAATCCCAGCTCTTTGGCAGGCCAAGACAGGTGGATTGCTTGAGTTCAGGAGTTCGAGACCAGCCTGGGTAAAATGGCGAAACTGCAGCTCTACAAAAAAATACAAAAATTAGCTGGGCGTGGTGGCACGTGCCTGTAGTCTCAGCTACTTAGAGACTGAGGTGGAAGGATTGCTTGACCTGGGGAGGTTGAGACTGCAGTGAGCCATGATTGTGCCACTGCACTCAAGCCTGTGGGACAGAGTTGAGACCTTGTCTCAAAAAAAAAAAACAAAGATTTTTGCATTCAACCGTGGTAGCATGCTACCATTGTGGATAAACTAATACATTCAAAATAAACACTCCCCTTAAGGTTCATCTGACTCAGTTAAAAGTGAATACATTTTGAAGCAAATAATTTGTATATAACCAATTCTCAAAGGTGTGTGGTCAACAGTGCCACTTCTGGTAAAACAAGAAATACTCATCAATAAATACTAAATTAGGCTGGGCACAGTGGCTCATGCTTGTAATCCCAGGACTTTGGGAAGCTGAGGCAGGAGGATCGCTTGAGCCTAGGAGTTCTGGACCAATCTGGATAACACAGGGAGACACTGTCTCTACAAAAAAAAAAATAATAATAAAATGAAATAAAAAAAAAAAATAAAATAAAATAAAAATTAGCGGGGTGTGGTGGCACACACCTGTGGTCCTAGCTACTTGGGAGGCTGAAGTGGGAAGATCACTGGGGTCTGGGAGGTTGAGGCTGCAGCAAGCCATGATTGCACCACTGCATTCCAGCCTGGGTGATAGAACGAGGAGACCCTGTCTCAAACAAACAAACAAACAAACAGAAAAACTAAATTATTGCTACTTTTACATATATTTTGTTTATATGATATTTCATAATTTTAAATAGCATGTTCTTCAAGACCTAAGGTTTTTTAATAGAACTAGAAGTACTATGAAAAACAATTTTTTAGAAGGAAGTTTAACAGTGTAACAATATATGTTTTATATATGATGCATGTTTACTTTCAGTCATTCATATCCTCAGAGGACTCTTGTAAACTTCAAGGAAGTTTTGACTATATCTGGAATACAAAGGGAAAAATGGAAAAACAAATATATTTTAGAAAATAATCTAGTTAACAGACATATCCTGAGTCTCTACCTAATGTATAATCAGCAATAAATTAAGTCTTTGGATTTTCTGCAAGTTCTCCCAAGTCTTTCAAGTTATACTGCTATTTGTGAGGGGTTTTTTTTTCCCTAGAAATATCTGTAAATTCTATGTTTAATTAGTTTCTTTACTGCTTTATATATATTTCTGCTAACAGATAATTTGATCTTGTTAAAGGACTTTTTTCACAGCCTTAAAATAGGTTTGTTATATGTGATCTCAAGGACAGTATAATAGACAATTTTCTCATTGTATAGATGTAAAACTTATTTTTCTTTAGATAGTTTATTGGAAAAAATAGCATCTGAGCCCTGGATTTTTTTAAAGCCAGCCTAACATTTACTTGTCTCAGGACTATAATCATTACATTAATTTTCTAATTCATAGCATGTGGATAAATGTGATGTGGAATTTTCCAGTGTTCCTTTCTTTTAAGTTTAATGATCGAGCATTTGAGTGTCTCAGTGAGAGGGAATTAAACATTTAACTATTTATTTTCATTTAAAAAATCTTTTTCTACTAGATCACAAGATTTCTGTTGTGAAGGATGTGGCTCTGCCATGAAGGATGTCCTGTTGCCTTTAAAATCTGGAAGCGATTCAAGCCAAGCTGACCAAGAAGCCAAAGAACTGGCTAGGCAAATAAGCTTTAAGGTACTATAAATTCTTAAATAAATGCTAATCTTGCAACCCTTTTGTTTACTGCTGGATTCTGCATAGAAAGGAAAGCGATGCAGTTCTATTACAATATGACATTTGCCAATGTTTTTCTTTTTTCATATTTTTATATTTTTAATTTCTGTGGTTACATAGTAGGTGTATATATGTATAGGGTACATGAAATGTTTTAATACTGGCATGGAATGTTTTTCTTATTACAAAATTCCTAACTACATTCATGAAAGCTTTATAGAATAGTGAGGGAGTGAAACTTGAACTCTGGTATACAATGCCAGGGTTCAAATCCCAGCTCTGTTGCTTATTAGTAGTATGATGTCAGACATATTAATTAACCACTTTGTGCCTTTTTATTATCTATAAATAATAATGGTACCTAAATCATAGGATTGCTGTGAGGATTGAATTAATATATGTAATACATGTGTTGCATTCAGAACTGTCCCTGGTGCTTAATAAATTCTAGCTATTATTACAGAATATATAGATAAGCAACAAGAAGAAAATGATGGCCGGGCGCGGTGGCTCACGCCTGTAATCCCAGCACTTTGGGAGGCCAAGGCGGGCGGATCACCTGAAGTCAGGAGTTCGAGACCAGCCTCAACATGGAGAAACCCCGTCTCTACTAAAAATACAAAATTAGCCAAGCATGGTGGTACATGCCTGTAATCCCAGCTACTCGGGAGGCTGAGGCAGGAGAATTGCTTGAACCTGGGAGGCAGAGGTTGCGGTGAGCCGAGATCGCGCCATTGCACTCCAGCCTGGGCAACAAGAGCGAAACTCCATCTCAAAAAAAAAAAAAAGAAAAAAGAAAAAGAAAATGACATTCATAATCTCACCGCCAAGAAATAGCTACTGTTAATATTTTGGCATCCCTCCTATATATCCCTTTTTTCTGTATATGTTTTACCCGAACATAGGATTATATAATATTTTAATACTTTGAGTATTAAATATTTAATTATTGAAGGTATTAGCTGGGCGCAGTGGCTCACGCCTGTAATCCCAGCACTTTGGGAGGCCGAGACAGGCAGATCACGAGGTCAGGAGATTGAGACCATCCAGGCTAACACGGTGAAACCCTGTCTCTACTAAAAATACAAAAAATTAGCTCGGCATGGTGGTGTGTGCCTGTAATCCCAGCTACTTGGGAGGCTGAGTCAGGAGAATCGCTTGAACCTGGAAGGTGGAGGTTGCAGTGAGCCAAGATTGTGCCTCTGCACTCCAGCCTGGGTGACAGAGTGAGACTCCATCTCAAAAAAATATAAATAAATAAATACATACATACATACAGACGTAAAGTATTAAGTATTTAATCCTTCTGGAATTTAATTAGCTTCACAAACAGAAATGTCAACCTGCATTAAGCAGCATGCTCTCTTCCTCTTCCCTCTCCACTTCTCTATGGACTGTCTGTCTTTCCAGGTCCAGTTCCCTTCTCTTTTATTGTAGTGCCTGGAGGAGGAGTTGCTCAGAACATGTTTACTTTCTTCCTTCTGAGGATTCCTATTACACTTAAAATTGCTTCTGAAAAATCTCAGGACCAAATGTGTTTTGTACATGAGAATTTTTCAGACTTAAGAAAAGATCTTACATATACCATATATTAACTAACCTGCCGTGCGATCTGGGGCAGCACCTCATAATCAAATCCATTAGGATTTCTTCAGCAAATCTGGGAATATTACATTAATGTGGGATTAATGTTTACACTAATGTGGGATAAAGACTATTCATAGGTTCACATCAGCTCATATCAGGCTTTGCCTAAAAATTACCAAAAAAACCTTGAGTTTTGAGAGCTTTTTAGCATTGTGGATTGTGAACCATGGGTGTTAGTTTTGTCCCTCATCAAGTAACGGCTTCTTGAGAACAGGTGTTGTGTATGCTTCTTCCTATGATACCTAGTACAGTGTTGGACACAAGAGTGCTCAGTGATTAACTGCCTGATAATAGATATTAAACTAGCAATTAAAATAAATCCAACAGAGAGGATTTAGCAGGTTGTAGATTGTGTATGTTTCCTGTTGTTTCCTGTTGTCACACTGCTCTTGGGTCTATCTTGTTTATAGGCAGAAGTCAATTCATCTGGAAAGACTATCTCTGAGTCAGACTTAAACCACTCTTTTTCACTAACTGATTTACAAGATGATATACCTACAACATTCCAGGGTGCTACGGCCAGTACATCGGTATGGCTCTTATCTTTTAATATATATGTATGTCTCTATCATTATCACTGTTTGCAATAGGAGGAGAAGATCCTGGATCAAATATCTGAAAAATTTGGTTCTCTTAACAACTGGATTCTAACTCATCAGTCCCGCTAATGAATTATTATGTTGAGCAAGTTGTTCATGCTTTCTGGCCTCAGTTTTCTTTTTTTGTTAAATGGGGCTGGATTAAATAATTTTTGTCTTGTCCCTCCAGAATTCTGTGATTCTCTGAAAAGTTAATTTTAATATAGTGTTAGACTGAATAAAACAAAATATCCATATGTTAGCCACTTTCTAAATAGACACTATTTTTGGCAGGATTGTTCAGCTGCATTAAGGTACTGACTTAATAAAGTCGTAGAGCCAAAAATTTACTTAGACTTGCTCTGTCCAACACAGTAGCCACCAGCCACATGCAGGTGTCTACATTTAAATTTAATCAAAATCAAGTAGAATTTAAAATTCAGTTCCTCAGTCACACCACATTTCAAGTGCTCCATAGCCACATGTGGCTAATGGGTACCATATTGGACAGTGTAGACATAAACATTACTATCATCACAAAATTCTGTTGGACAATGCTACCTCGTATATACTAAGTGTCCAATAAATAATTGTTGAATAAAAGAATGAATGCTATGAGTGTTGTTAGTGGTGCCCTGACCTGTTGTCTAAGAAATTGTTTGGCCTAGGTGATCAGAGAGAGTGATTTAAAAAATATGACTGGATTGGTGCCAAAAAATAAGGATTATGGGAAAAAAATGATTTTCCTTCCTATATATAAAAGATTAACTGTCTTTGGAAGTCTTTTTGGTAACAGATTGTTTGGTTAAGTAGTCACATTTTTTTTGTTGTTGTTTCTCCAGTTTATTGAAGACTTTAAAGGGTGAGGGAAAATTGAAATAGAAGTTGGGCAAATATAGATTTGCCCTTTACCCAGCAATAACGTACGTAAAGTGGGAGTGAATAGTCTTGAGTGAGTCTCTCCTATTCAGAGAGTGAGCTGGGCAGAGAAAAGTTGGTTGAAGAAGAACAGGGTGGTAGTCTAGGGGGACTGAAGATGGAGGTCCAAGAAAAAAGTGTGTAGCGATGAGTTTAAATCATTTTTGTGTGATCCCAATGTAATTTTATGAATTGCAGGGGAAAACAATGAATTAATTTTAAGGTCAATATGTTTTAGTTCAAGATATTGAAAAAGCTTTCTAATTACTTTTTATTTCATAGTTTTTTTTCTAATAGAAGCATTCTATTACAAAAAGGAAGGTGGTAATCTTTTTTCACCTTTTAGGACAGCCTCCTAATGTTTGTGATGTATTTAAATCTTTTGTGTATTTTCAATCTATGTTAAGTCCCCTTGTTACATATTCCAGTTATACTTATTCCAGTTGTAATTTACTTTGTAATTATTTATTGTCTATCTCTCTTCCCAGAATGTAAGTTCTGTGAGGGTCAGGGGTCTCTTTCCGCTTCTCCACTGTATCCCCAGTGCCTGGCTTAGTGCCTTCTATATAGTAGATTGCCAATGTTTGTTTGTTGATTGAATGAATGAATCTTAGGATTGGTACTTTAAAAAATGCTAAGAATACAATTAAATAAATCAAGAAGTTTAAGTAAATTAGAGTGTACAAATAATGATGTTATTATAGTAGTATTTCTTGTTTTGATTTAGTACATAAAACTTAGAATTCTTATTCATAGATACAGGTCATTAATTGAGACTATTTTTAGTGAAAATACCAACAAGCAATAAATTGTCTAAAATTGCAAGTTAAGTTTTTAATTATATTTACATATAAACTATCTCAGAGTATGATTATATAATTTGACCACTATGAAAGTAACTGAAACCTGGTTTGGCTAAGGGTGGTTATTTTACATTAAGTATAATATAAATTAATTGAGATGTTATACATCAAATCCCAGATAAGCTATGATTTTTTTGTTGTTGTTAGCCTGAAGGAGAGGCAAGAGATTGCCACAACTCTAAATACCTCAGATAACATCAGGCCATCTGTTGCTTTTTAATGCAGATATTTTAGCATCAAAAAGCAATGGGAAATGTAGAAATGGGAAAAACACTGAAGGCAGTTTTGTTCTTGCAGTCTGTCAGATTTTCTCCTTTTCCCAGGGTAGGGATCGAGGTTCTGAATAAGCCATTTCATTTTATAATAAAAAGCAAAACTCCCTCACACATGCTGGTTATTCTAGAAAAATTTATATATATATCACTAGGGACTTAACTAAGAATGTGATTTTTTATCTTTTTAAGGGAGAGTCTCACTCTGTTGCTCAGGTTGGAGTGCAGGCATGTGATCATAGCTCACCGAAGCCTCAACCTCCTGAGCTCAAGTGATCCTCTTGCCTTAACCTCCCAAGTAGCTAGGACCACAGGTGGGCATGACCACACCTGGCTAAGTTTTAAAATTTTTCTGTAGAGATAGTGTCTCACTATGTTGGCCAGACTGGTCTCAGATGCCTGGGCTCAAGCAGTCCTCCTGCCTCAACCTCCCAAAGTGCTGTATGATTGTTTTAAATAGGAAAAAATTTAGAATTTTATAATATCAAGGCACTTAATTTTTAGTTAGTGATATACCATCCAAAAGGCATCTGAGGCTGGGCACGTTGGTTCATGCCTATAATCCCAGCACTTTGGGAGGCCAAGGCAGGAGGATCGCTTGATCCCAGGAGTTCAAGACCAGCCTGGGCAATGTAACAAGATCCCATCTCTAAAAAAATAATGATTAAAAAAATAGAGACAAAAGGCATCTGAAACATAGGAACCTAATTAAAACATTATATGTATATACATATTTTCATTAAGCGTATGTGTTAAAATATCATCTAGACCAATGTTTTAAGGGATTGTTTTTCTAAATATATTAATAAAACTATTAAAAGGCCAAAAAGCTGTCCTAACTTATGACTTTTTTTTGAACCTAAATTTAGATGCCCCTCAAGGGATGTATTATTAGTAACAATCATTCTTGGTAGTGTTGCCCTTAGTCATATGTTGTCCTCTGAGATTGTGTATTCTTGAATAGATAACAAGTGTATTTACAAATCTTCTTTGCCAGTTTCAAACAAAGTTTCTTAAAATTTCCTAGTACGGACTCCAGAATTCCTCAGCAGCATCCTTTCATCAACCTACCCAACCTGTAGCTAAGAATACCTCCATGAGCCCTCGACAGCGCCGGGCCCAGCAGCAGAGTCAGAGAAGGTTGTCTACTTCACCAGATGTAATCCAGGGCCACCAGCCAAGAGACAACCACACTGATCATGGTGGGTCAGCTGTACTGATTGTCATCCTGACTTTGGCATTGGCAGCTCTTATATTCCGACGAATATATCTGGCAAACGAATACATATTTGACTTTGAGTTATAATATGGTTTTGTGACTTATGAGCTGTGACTCAACTGCTTCATTAAACATTCTGCATTGGGTATAATCTAAGAATTGTTTACAAAAAGATTATTTTGTATTTACCCTTCATTCCTTTTTTTGATCCTTGTAAGTTTAGTATAAATATATCTAGACATTCAGACTGTGTCTAGCAGTTACGTCCTGCTTAAAGGGACTAGAAGTCAAAGTTCCTTGTCTCACTATTTGATCTGCTTTGCAGGGAAATAACTTGTTTTTTCTCATGTTTCATCTTCTTTTTATGTAAATTTGTAATACTTTCCTATATTGCCCTTTGAAATTTTTGGATAAAAGATGATGTTTTAAGTTCCAATGAGTATTACTAGTTACTCAATACCACTTATTGAGTACTCTGTTTCTACGTATGTAGAATGTATAGGGATAGAAGAGTTGAAAAGGGAAAGCAAAACTCCTCAAGTAGCTTCCTTAAAATGTCATTCATAGGAGATGTACTGGAATTGCTCATTCTGTGACTTTATTTGTGTCCTAAACATTCTTCAGTGAAAATAATTTTATTTCAGTCAAACATTTATGAGGAAATGAGATCACATCTTTGTCACTGGATGCTACTTGAAGAGGGAGTACTTTGTAACCACTTTGATATGCTGTTATCACCACCCCCTGCCCTCTGCTGCCATAATCACACAAATTTAAAAAGAAAGAAAACAGTCTTCCATAGATTTTTAAGGAAGAAAGGGCCCAAGCCAGGAGATCGCTTGGTTTTCTTCCAGAAGTTAAATGGGGGGATCTGAAGATTTGAATGTTTGGTCTGCTTTGAAATGTATGTCTTTTGGGATGTATTATATGCCTAGCTTTATAATCAGTATAAATTTTAATTATTCCAGGAATATGCATAATATTGAAATATTTCATGTCCTATTTTAATAGAAAACCTCAGGGCCCAAGTAACAGTGATAGAAGTTAGAAAAACCTTTACTTAGAATTGTCCACCTAGTCAGAGCCCAAGAAAGAATTTTCAGTGGAAAAATCAATATATAACTTAGTGCTAGCTAGCGCCACAGACTCTAGTAGATAATATTATCATCATAATGGCTGGTGAAACCATATAATCACAGAAAAACATTGCCTTCAGCATGTTCAGTTCGCAGCACTGAGGGCACTCTTGAGGGTGTTGTTAATGAAGATTTAATTTTTAAATACAGGTGGTTCCAAGCTTTCAAATAGGTTATGCTCCAAAAGTGTTATTTGTAAGTTAATTTTTTTACAAGTCAAACAATGTTGGAAGTGGTATTTAGGTTCTAGATCGGTCCACGAAAGTTAGCCCATATGTATATCTTGAATAGTATAGGGGAGGGTATTCATAAAGTCCTTATGTGGTTTTAACTAAGTGAAATTATGGACAAGAGAAATAATTGTAAAATCGTCTTAAAGGAAAATTTAATTTTTACTCCTGTTTATGGGACATTCGTTCTATTAACTGTCAGACACAATTTCTGTTTTCATCTGAGAGCCAGTTTTCCTTTATTTCTACATCTAAAATAAGAACATATTGTACACTATTATATAATACAGAATTGTCTTAAACTTTAATAAATTCGCATTTTAAAGGTGTTTACAGATTATTTTTTATATCTGTAGCTGAATTTGTTAAAGTCTAAAAAGCTCAAGGACTTTATGAAGATCTCATTATATGAGGAAAATCATAGGTTACCATTTTATAACTCTATTGCCATAAGAAAATACACTCTAAAATCTTGATTTGAAACATATTAGAAACCTTGATTCAGTGCTCAGTGGTCTCCTAGTAAGAAGTCACCGACGGTAGCGTCATATGAGAAGAAAGAAATCCCCACCACCTCAACCTCTGCTGAGATTGTGTGCTAGGAACAGCCTTCCCTCCGTTTCCCCTCAGTCAAACTTGAGCCAGCCTCTGGATCGATGTGATCTTATTGCATGTTTCCATGGGGTGTACCTATACTTTAAGCCAATCCTGCTGCATTCACTGCTAAGTTAAATAAAAAGCCAAGAAGATTTTGCACTGTGCAGATCCTTTGCTATCTGACTTGCATCTCTTCCCCCACCTGTCAGCTAGCCACCTGCTTGTTTGTGTTGGGATATTTTTTAGCACCTGAAGCACCATCTGAAAGGGGCACCATTTTCTTCTTCCCTTTGATCTCACATATGCTCCCTAAAAATCCTTAAGTTGTCAATCTGATCCCCAGTGTGAGGTTAATGAGCAAAATTGGTCTTTGGGGCCCTTTTTGTCCAAGCCCCACTGAAAGGCCTCTTCAGAAAACTATTATCTTTAAAGCCCTACTTTAACTCCTTAATTCCAGCATACAGCTAAAACTGGATGTATATTCTGGCAAGTAAAGGCTGAGGACTCCTCTTTAATCCTCAGATCTAGATAACTCATGACATTTTATTTGACCAACATAGCACATGATGAGATATCAAGGTAATTAAAATAGCATGCTTGAAAAAAAAATACGTAATCTGTTTCACCTGTAACTGTTTAAGCCAATAAACTTTTCAAAATTTATGTAATGTGGGGCTTTTATGTAGCACTTTACGTTTTCATGCTGCTTATTGTTTTATTCTACTGAAAAAAATGAATTTCAAGATTCTCAACTTTTTTAATTTCAAAAATTGTTTATTGTTTTGACTATAGGAATACAAAATTTCCTATTTTGGGAGAATAAGAACTCTTTTTGTCATTTTTGGCTATGAATAAACTTTCTGGTCTTTTGAGACCACCCATTTTTATAGATCAGAATCAGAAAACAGGTAAACCTCACTCACACATTTGGACTCATTTGAACAAAAATCTAGGCCAAAATACTGAAAAGCCTATGTGTTTTTTTAATTGGAAGTATATGTAAGGTTAATGCATTTAGTGAACGTGACTAACAAAGACTAATGTGCACATTAACAGATGTACTTTTTAAGGTTTTATGGGAGGCTGTGCATTGCTCAAAAGCTGTTGGGAACGCCTTCTGAACAGTTGCCTTCAGAACTAGTTTGAGCTGCTCAATAAAACCAGTGACTTTACTCATACCTTGTTTTTGACCAAAGGTTGTATTCTTTACATCATCCAGTCTTGTCTCTCATCCATTCTACCTCCTAGAATATTTCTCTCTCATCTTTCCACTTCCCTAACTAGGCACTATATCCTATTTAGCTATTAACTCCTCCAAATTGGTGCAGTAACCTCCTAACAGGTCTCTAGTCTCACCCCATTCCTTACATTGCAGCCAGAGTTTTCAATATACAGACCTGATCTCTTCTCTCCTGTTGCTCTTAGATAGGGTGAAACCCTTAACATAAAGCACAAGGCTGTGCATGACTAGAGTCCCACCTAGGTGTCTGGCATAATCAGACCTCAGCAAATGCCTTTGGGGCCTTCCCACAGCTCTGACCTCGATCCACTGGGGCTATACCCTGCCCTGAGAAAAATGAGTAAATAAAGTTATACCATCCACTACCTCATACACCATATAAGAAAATTAACTCAAAATGGATCAAAGGCCTAAATGTAAGAGTTAAAACTATAAAATTCTTGGAAA
This sequence comes from Homo sapiens, assembly GCF_000001405.40. Classification (NCBI taxonomy): domain Eukaryota; kingdom Metazoa; phylum Chordata; class Mammalia; order Primates; family Hominidae; genus Homo; species Homo sapiens. Next base: position 89,326,115 of record NC_000006.12, on the reverse strand, counting down.
CTTAGTAAACGTGACAATGGGATATGCAGTGGTTTCTTAAATATGATATCAAAAGCACAAGCAGGTCTGGCATGGTGGCTCAGGCCTATAATCTCAGCATTTTGGGAGGTGGAGGATCACTTGAGGCTGGGAGTTTGAAACCAGCCTGGGCAACATAGCAAGACCCTGTGTCTACAAAAAATTTAAAAAAAATTAGCCTGTAGCCCTAGCTATGCAGGAGGTGGAGGTGGGAGAATTGCTTGAACCCAGGAGTTTGAGGTTACAGCGAGCTGTGATAGCACCACTGCACTCCAGCCTGGGCCACAGAGCAAGATCGTACCTCTTAAAAAAAAAAAAAGAAAAACACAAGCAACCAAAAAAAAAAGAAAATTATATTTCTTTAAATAAAAAACTCTTGTGTATCAAACAACACCACTAAGAAAGTGAAAAGACAACACAATGGGAGAAAATATTTGCAGATCACATATCTAATAAGGGACTTGTATCTGAAATATCTAAATAATTACAATTCAGTAATAAAAAGGAAATAACCTGATTTTAAAATGGCAAATAATTTGAATAGAGATTTCTACAAAGAAGATATCCAAATGCCCAATAAGCACCTGAAAAGAAGCTCAACATCCTTAGTCATTAGGGAAATGCACATTAAAACCACAGTGATTCCAGTTTACACTCACAAGGATGGTCAGAACAAAAAAGCCAGATAACAAGTGTTCGTGAGGATGTGGAGATATTGGAACTCGCATACATTGCTGGTGGGAAGGTAAAATGGTGCAGCCACTTTGAAAAACAATTTGGCAGTTCCTCAAAAGGTTAAATATAAAGTTACCATATGACCCAGCAATTTCACTGCCACATATAATATCCAAAAGGAATGAAAACATTTACACACAACCTTGTACACAAATATTCATAGCAGCATTATTTTTAATAGCCCCAAAGCAGAAACTCAAATGCCCAGCTGATGGATAAGCAATATGTTGTATCTATACATACAACATATTGTATGTATATGGAAATGGAATTGTATGTCTATGGACATATTGTATGTCTATGGAAAATGGAATATTATGGCCATAAAAAAGAATGAAGTGATGATATATGCTTCATTGATGAACCCTGGAAACATTACGCTGAGTGAATGAAATCAGACACAAAAGGCTGCATATTATATCATTCTAATTACATAAAATGTCTAGAATTGACAAATTCATAGAGACAGAAACTAGTGTTGGTTGCCAGGGGCTGAAGGGAATGGGAAAGGGGAATGACTTCTAATGGGTATGAGTCTTCTTTTAGGGGAGCTGCATAACGGAATATTCCAAAAGCCACACATTAAAGGGGTGAGTTTATGGTATGTGAATGATATTTCAATAAAGTTGTGATTAAAAAAATAATTATACCATCCTACAATGGTTTTCTCCTGACTGTAATTACAATAATTGAACTATTGATAAAAGGGCTTTAAAGTAAAAAATTGGTAGGACCTAAAGTTGTCTACATGCAACAAAACAAATATTTATTGAAAACCACCACCTTAAGCTGCCTTTACAAAAATTATAACTGAGAAAATTATGACAGTAAAAGAGATCTGACCTGACTCTTATCTTGCTTCTGACCTCCCAGCTGCCCTTGTTCATTCCTGAGCGTAGGTTAAACTAACTTTGGGAGGAACTTAGTTTATAGTTTAACTTTGAAACAAAGACAGTAACAGCCCTTTTCCAAAACAAGCCCTCTATCCACCAAATTATCTTGAAAAGCCACGATCGCTGAGTTTTCCAGGAGTCTGATTTGAGTAATAATAAAACTCCAGTCTTCCATACAACCAGCTCTGCATGAATTGAACTCTTTATTCCAATTCCCCTGTCTTGATGAATTGGCTTTGCCTGGACAGTGCGCAAGGGGAACTTGTTGGGTGATTACACATCCAGGCACAATCCTAGGGTTCAAGCCAGTCCTTTATAAGCTTATTCCAAATGGAAGTAAGGAAAAGAAAGATCCTTTGAACAAAATCTATGGAAAAGAACTTTAATAGGCCTCATGCCTCCCACTACTAAGGCTTCAGGAGGAGAAGGACTTTTAAACAAATTCCCTTGATGATTCTGAGGCGTGGTCAGATTTGGGAACCACTGAATTAGTCCCTGTAATGAATTACTCCCAGCCTCAAGTACCTATTTAACCCATTGTCATTTGGCTTCCTGCTGCATTTCACAAGTGAAACTGCATTTACGGAAGTCAGGAATGATGTGCTGTTGCCAGATCCAGTAACCTATTTTCTGCCTTTGCCTTGCTTGACTTCTTCACAGCACTGCATGTTGACTACCCTCCTCCTTGAAGCTCCTTCTTTGGTTTTCATAGTCAACTTCTTTTCTAGTTCTTCTGTAAGAAGAAAATAAAATTTTGGAACCTCCTAGATTTATTAAGCCACGGGGAAAAGTTAAGCCCTGGAAACTGACTCACAGCACATGGCTGTTTTTCCTCTCTGGTACATGACCATTACTTCCTGACCTTTGTGTTGAAATGTTATACGCTAACCAGACACCTCATTCTTCATTCAAACCTAGGCTAAATGACATTGGAAATGGAGACTCTTGTGATTGTTACCTCTATGCAACAGAATGTTAAGCAACCCTCTTAGAGTGTAATCAATAGCAGCCAATCAAATCTTACACATGAGCCTTTGTAGAGGAAACGTAATTCTGTTCAACACCACCATTTTGTTTTGTTTTGTTTTGATTTGTATAAACAATCCTCATTTTTTCCCACACTTGGTGCAACTGATCACCATTCTTGGGTGTAGCTCTGCTTCCCTGATGGCCACCCTCATACTTTGCACTTGAATGAACTCTAACTGGATCCTGAGACTTTTCATTATTTTAGGTTGACATTTCTATGCTTTTGTTCTGGCTGCTCCATCCATCCTTTAAGAGTGAAGATTCTCCAAGATTCTGTGCTTGAACTTTGACCTCTTAATATGTCCCTGAAGATTTCATCCTTTCCTATAGCTAAACTACCACCTGCAAAATAAAAATAAAATCATTTTCAGGTCTTAGTCATGAATTCTTTGTCTAGGCCAATGTCTGTAAGAGTTTTTCTCATGTTATCTTCTAGAATTTTTATGGTTACAGGTCTTAGATTTAAGTCTTTGATCCATCTTGAGTTGATTTTTGTATAAGGTGAGAGATGAGGATCCAGTTTCATTCTTCTACATGTCACTTGCCAGTTTTCCCAGCACCATCTATTAAATAGGGTGTCCATTCCCCAATTTATGTTTTTGTTTGCTTTGTCAAAGACCAGTTGGCTGTATGTATGTGACTTTATTTCTATGTTCTCTATTTTGTTTTGTTAGTCTACATGCCTAATTTTATGCCAGTACCATGCTTTTTGGTAACTATAGCCTTGTAGTATAACTTGAAGTCCGGCAATGTGATGCCTCCAGATTTGTTTCTTTTGCTTAGGATTGCTTTGGCTATTTGGGCTCTTTTTTGATTCCATATGAATTTGAGGATAGCTTTTTCTAATTCTGCAAAAAATGATGTTGGTATTTTGATGAGAATTGTATTGAATCTGTAGATTGCTTTGGGCAGTCTGGTCATTTTCACAATATTGATTCTTCCAATCCATGAGCATGGGTTTTGTGTTCCATTTGTGTCATCTATGATTTCTTTCAGCAGTGTTTTGTAGTTCTCCTTGTGGAGATCTTTCACCACCTTGGTTAAGTATATTCCTAGGTATTTTATTTTATTTTATTTTATTTTATTTTCATTTTTGCAGCTGTTGTAAAAGGGATTGAGTTCTTGATTTGATTTTCAGCTTGCTTGTTGTTGGTGTATAAAACTGTATGTTCTCATTTATAAGTGGGAGCTAAACTGTGAGTACCTAAAGGCATACAGGGTGATATAATGGACTTAGAAGAGACCTTGAAAGGGAAGGTTGGGAAGGGGGCTAGGGATAAAAAACTACTCGGGTGACAGGTGCACCAAAATCTCAGAATCTACCACTATAGAATTCATCCATGTAACAAAAAACCACTTGTACCCCCAAAGCTATTGAAATAAAAATAAAAGAAAAATCCTAAGTGCCTGACTGAATGAACCCCTCTTGGCCAAGGTGACCCCAGAAAAACTTTAAAAACTATGTCTCCCAGCCATGGGAAGGTCAGTCATGCCTCACTGAACCCCCTTCCTCACTAACACTCGCCAGACTTTCCTAAGAGTTAAACAGAAACCAAACTTAGAAAGACAAAGAACACAAGACACTCCTTTGCTGACTTTAGCCAATTGCTTAATGCTGCAGGGGAACTTCCCTCCCCTCCTGCAGTTTCCACACGACAACTGACAAGGCATTCCTTCCTGATAAGTGACCACTGACCGCAGAGTGGTTCTGCAGTTCTGTCCATGAAGGCTGCACACAAGGTACTTCTGTGTCTTCCGTTTCACCTTTTGAGGTATAGAGACTAATTTTGCTGCATTTTAACATTGTCTCCACCCTAACATGAAAATGGGACGTATGTGACATACATGTTTGCTTATCACCTGTGATCTCCTCTCATAAATATTCATAGCCCTCATATCCTGACAAATATGCATGCCTAGCCAATCCTCAAGTATAAAACTCCCATAACATGCTCCCTCCCTAGAAGTGCCTGCTTTCTGTCTCAGCCTGAGGCTTTGTTTCCCAGCCTGCAGGTTACAATTCTCTATAAGAAATAAATTTCTCCTTTCCAAACGTATGGGTCTCATGATTTTAAGTTGACATGCCATACGCTAATGCCTCTGTTGGGGGCAGAAAATGATTCAGCATGTTGCGTGCTTTGAAAATTGAAAGGCCTCAGAAATAAGTCTCAAAAGCAAGGTCTCTCTCTGACCTTTCTCCCATATCCCTGTCTGCTCCTCTTTTTAAAAACACTTTTATCTTTGTATATATTTAGAGGGTACACGTGCAGATTTCTTACATGCATATATATTGCTTAGTGGTGACATCTGGGCCTTCAGTGTAACCATCACCCAAATAGTGAACATTGTATCCAATAGATAATTTTTCTGTTTTTTGTTTGTTTTTGAGACAGAGTCTTTCTCTAGTCGCCCAGGCTGGAGTGCAATGGCGCAATATCAGCTCACTGCAACCTCCGCCTCCCGGGCTCAAGGGATTCTCCTGCCTCAGCTTCCCAAGTAGCTGGGACTACAGGCACATGCTACCATGCCTAGCTAATTTTTTGTATTTATATTTGTATTTATTATAGAGATGGCATTTCACCATGTTGGCCAGGCTGGTCTCGAACTCCTGACCTCAGGTGATTCACCCACCTCGGCCTCCCCAAGTGCTGGGATTACAGGCGTGAGCCACCATGCCTGGCCTCAATAGGTAATTTTTCAACCCTCACCCCCGCTTCCACCCTTCCACATTTTGAAGTCTCCAGTATCTATTATTCTACTCGGTATGTCCATGTATACCCATTGTTTAGCTCCCACTTATATAACATGCAGTATTTAACTTTCTGTTTCTAAGTTATTTCACTTAGGATCATGGCCTCCAGTTCTATCCATGTTGCTGCAAAAGATGTTATTTCATTCTTTTTCATGTCTAAGTAGCATCCCATGGCATAAATAGATACCTTATTTTTTTCTATCCAATCCTTTGTTGATGGACACTTAGGTTGATTCTGTATCTTTGGTATGGAAGTTGCCTCCTTAGTGCAGGAGGCAGCACATCAGTCTCATGTCTTTGCTATCGTAAATAGTGCAGTGATAAACGTATTGTAAGAGTTAAAGAAAAAGGAAAGAAACATGAAAAGTGGCTCAACAGTCAAAGACAGGTTTATTTTGGAGAATAAACCTGAGAGGGGCTTCTGGCCGATTTTTGGTCAGGAGTGTTCTCTCTTACAGACTAAGGATATTTAAGGGTTTAGGAAGAGGGGAGCTTATTGTAGGTTCAGAGTGTTTCTATGTGAGGAAAAGGTTACTGTGGGGTTGAAATGTCTCTGGTTAGAGAGGAAGCTATCTCCGGGTTGGCATGTTTCTGGTTGGAGCGGGTTTATCTTAGGGGTTGGAATGTTTCTGGTTATTCTGACGTTAGCCATTAGGCTGATGTTTTGGGGCTGGATTTAGGCAGTTTTGTTTTGTTTTTTAATCAAGGGAAATTTAAAATGGTGGTGTTTGTCCAAGATGGTGAAGCTCCTGCTCTGTTACATATGAGTGCAGTATTTTTTGATATCTTTTGGGTATATACCTAGTAGTGGAACTGCTGAATTGAATAGTTGTTCTATTTTTAGTTCTTTGAGAACTATCCATTCTGTTTTCCATAGAGGTTGTACAAATTCACATTCCCACCAACAGTGTATAAGTATTCCCTTTTCTCTGCATTCTCGTGAACATCTTTTGTTTTTAGACTTTATAATAATAGCCATTCTGACTAGTGCAAAATGGTACCTCATTGTGGTTTTAATTTGCATTTCTATGATGGTTAGTGATGTTGAGCATTTTATTTTATATGCTTGTTGCTGCTTGTGTGTCTTCATTTGAAAAATGTTCTTGTCCTTTGCCCACTTTTTAATGGAGTTACTTGTTTTTGTTGTTGTTGTTGTTGAGTTCTTTGTAGATTCTGGATATTAGCCCTTTGATGCATAGTTTGCAAATATTTTTTCTTACTCTATGGGTTGTCTGTGTACTCTGTTGATTGTTTCTTTTGCTGTGCAGGAAGCTTTTGAGTTTAGTTAGGCCCCGTTTGTCTATTTTTGGTTTTGTTGCACTGGCTTTTGAGGACTTGGTCATAAATTATTTGCCCAGGCCGTAGGTATGTGGCTTTATTTCTGGATTGTATATTCTGTTCCATTGATCTATGTGTTGATTTTTATATCAGTATTATGCTGCTTTGGTTACTACAGCCTTGTAGCATAATTGAAGTCAGGTAAAACCTCTAGCTTTGTTCTTTTTGCTTAGGATTGGTTTGGCTATTCAGGCTCTTTTGGATTCTATGTGAATTTTAGAATTTTTTTTTTCTAATTCTGTGAAAAATGATTTTGATAATTTGATAGGGAATGCATTGAATCTGTAGATTGCTTTGGGCAGTATGGCCATTTCAATGATATTGATCCTGCCAATCCTTGAGCATGGGATGTTTTTTCATTTTTGTTTGTGTCATCTAGGATTTCTTTCATAAGTGTTTTGTAGTTCTTAAAGAGATCTTTCACCTCCTTGGTTAAATATATTCCTAGGTATTTTATTTTATTTTTGTAGCTATTGTAAAAGAGATTGCCTTCTTAATTTGGTCCTTGGCTAGATCTTTACTGGTGTGTGGGAACACTACTGATTTCTGTACATTAATTTTGTATTGTGAAACTTTACAAAATTCATTTATCAAATCTAAGAGGGCTTTTATGGAGTCTTTTTTAATTTTTCATCATCCTCCATGGTTGGATTTTGTGGAGTTTTTAGGGTTTTCTAGAAACAAGATCATATCATCAGCAAACACGGATAATTTGACTTTCTCTTTTCCAATTTAGAAGTTTTTTATTTCTTTCTCTTGCCTGATTGGTCTGGTGAGGACTTCCAGTACTATATTAAATAAGAGTGGTGAAAGTGGGCATCCTTGTCTTCTTCCACTTCTTAGAATGTTTTCAACTTTCCCCCATTAAGTATGATGTTGGCTGTGGGTTTGTCATATATGAGCTTTATTATGTTGAGATATCTTCCTTCTATGCCTAGTTTGTTGAGAATTTTTATGATGAAGGGAAGCTGAATTTTATCGAACACTTTCTCTGCATCTATTGAGATGACCACATAGTTTTCCTTAATTCTGTTTATGTGATGTATCATGTTTATTGACTTGTGTATGTTGAACCATCCTTGTATCCTTGGGATAAATCGTACCTCATCATGGTGTATAAACTTTTTGATGTGCTGTTGTTTTCAATTTGTGGTATTTTGTTGAGGATTTTTTGCATCTATATTCATTGGGAATATTGGTCTGTAGTTTTTTTTGTTGTTGTTGTGTCCTTGTCTGGTTTTGGTATCAGGGTGATACTGGTCCCATAGAATGAGTTAGGGAGAATTCCCTCCTCCTTGATTTTTTGGAATAGTTTCAGGAGGATTGGTTTTAGTTCTTTGTATGTTTGGTAGAATTTGTCTGTAAATCCATCTGGTCCTGGACTATTTTAGTTTTTGGGAGATTTTTTTTATTACTGATTCAATCTTGCTACTTGTTATTGGTCTGTTCAGGAGGTCTATTTCTTCCTGGTTCAATCTCAGGAGATTATGTGTTTCCAGAAATGTATTCATTTCCTCTAGGTTTTCTAGTTTGTGAGCATAAAGCTGTTCATAACAGACTCTGATGATCTTTTGTATTTCTGTGGTATCATTTGTAATGTCTCCCTTTTCATTTCTGATTGTGTTTATTTGGAGCTTCTCTCTTCTTTTCTTGGTTAGTCTAGCTAGTGGTTTGTCAATTTTCTTTATCTTTTCAAAAAAACAACTTTTTTTTTTATTGATCCTTTGTATCGTTTTATTGGTCTCTATTTCATTTAGTTCTGCTCTGATCTTTGTTATTCCTTTTATTCTGCTAACTCAGGGTTTGGTTTCTTCTGCTTTTCTCGTTCCTTGAGGTGCCATAGGAGTTTGTTAGTTTGTGATCTTTCTACTTTTTTGATATGGGCATTGAATACTGTAAATTTCTCTCTTAGCACTGCTTTTGTTATATGCCACAGGCTTTGGTATGCTGTACTTTTTTTCATTTCAAAAAGTTTTTAAATTTCTGTCTGAATTTCTTTGTTAACCTACTGATTGGTCAGGCTCTCTGCTCTTCTTGCACAAAGAACTGGGAGGGACTCTCTGGAATTTCCCTATCTAAGAAAGTTTAAATGCACTTAAGACCCCCTACCTAGGGATCTCACAAAATAACCAGGAAAAATCAACCATCTGAGAAGAGAAGAGACTGGGAGTTCTCACTGCACCCAGATAGACTTTTCATCTAGTCTTCTGAGGGCAGCTTTAAGAGATTACCTGTTGGACTTTATCTGTATAAGACAACTTTAGTTCCTGTGTAGTTCCACCCCTCACTTTCCTCCTGGGTCCATTCATCCTCCCTAATGATTTACTGTCCCTCAAAAGAATTGCCTACATCCCCCATCTCTTCCTTATGAAAAAGGGTATATAAATGTCTGTACCATGCTGGGTAATTGGGTAATCATGATGTGATTTTCCTCCATGCATGTTAATAAATCTGTATGCCTTTTCCCCTATTAATCTTCCTTTTGTCAGTTGATTTTTTGGTGATCCTCCATGGGGCAAAGGGAAAACTTTCACTTGGTCTCTACAGCTCCAGATCTATTTCTATAGTCTAGAAATAGAACTAGACTTTCTCCTGAACTCCAGGCTCATGCTCTAGCTTTTTTTTTTTTTTTTTTTTTTTTGGAGACGGAGTCATGCTCTGTCGCCCAGGCTGGAGTGCAGTGGTGTGATCTTGGCTCACTGCAGCCTCTGCCTCCCAGGTTCAAGTGATTCTCCTGCCTCAGCCTCCTGAATAGCTGGGATTAACAGGCACGTACCACCACACCTGGCTAATTTTTGTATTTTTAGTAGAAATGGGGTTTCACCACGTTGGCCAGGCTGGTCTTGAACTTCTGACCTCAGGTAATCCACCTGCCTCTGCCAAAGTGCTGGGATTACAAGTGTGAGCCACCGTAGAATTCTTGATATTATTGTTGACTTTTCTGTCTCTCACCTTCTACTCTATCTGCACAGGCACCAAATGTATGCTACCGCAGAACTAACTTGAGTATCTCACTCTTCTGTCTTCCTTTCTCTTCTTCCTTCTTCGCTTCCCTCAGAGCAGGACCTTATTCTCTTTTGTCATCATAAGTTCCCTGATTCGACTGATCCCAATTAGGAATTATTTCAAAAATAAAGTAGATCATGCCATCTCACTTTGCTTAAGGGAATCAAAGAGCTTCTTTTGATTCTGTCATTTATACATAGTAAAATCCCAATTCTGTTTCACTTACGGCTATCCCACCTCCTGATCTCTGTCCTCATCTCCCTATGTTTCTACCATGAAATTTTCCATTGCCAGGACATAGCAAGCAATGAGTAGTTTTTAAACATATTCTATTTTGTTCAGTAGGTTAGACATAACCACATGTATCTCTACAATTCTAATGTGCTTAATTCCATATCCCAGGATAGGAATAAAGCCTAATTTATGATTGATTTTATACATTTTAGGGTTAAAGGCCAAAGTTAATTTAATGCTTATGGTAGGAAGAAAAGCTTACATAATCATGAATTCTATGATTAATGTCATCCTTGAAACTAAAAATGTATTTTATGCTTTGATGTTTTCACTGGAAAAAGTTGATCTATATTTGTGAGAAAGGAAGTATCCTTGCTCATAGGCAAAGCATATTCTCTTAGCTCCATAAATAAATCAACCCTAAGGAAACAGGTCATTCATGTTTACTCAGCATTTCCTGAACACATTTATGTACCCATCTAAATGTCCACCAAGTCCTCTCTGCAAATCTACTTGGAATCCGAGCTGACCCCCTGGTGGATGGGACAGACTGGTTTTATGCAGCCAGAAGATGGACCAATAATCTCAGCACAAAGCTGGCATGTTCAAGAGATTTAATTTTTTATATAACAGCTTTAGCCAAAGCTATTCTAGGATTCAGTGGAAGCAGAATTTCATGAGGACAAACTTCTCGACTAATGGCCAATCACTAATCAGCAGGGAGGGCAAAGCCTGGTGTTTGTGTCATGGCCCGGAGTGGAGGGGGTGAGTGGGGCGTCAGTATCAAATAGTAAATCGGGACAACTAGCCTGGCCAGCCTTGCCCTCACAGCCCCTCAGAGCAGCCCGTCAGGAGGCAGCAGATGGATCAATGGTCAAGCCAGGGGGGATTTGCTCTGCCACAGGCTACTGGAAAGCAGCTTTTTGCCTCACAGATGTCCACAAAATGCCTTATTTTACAAGACTCATTTTGTTCTTGTTTTGCTTGATGGTTCTCGTGGAGAGCAGAAAACCCAAGAGGAAGCGATGGACAGGGCAGGTGGAAATGCCCAAGCCAAGGTAAAGTCATAGGTGGGAAAGGAGGGAGGTTACCCTGCATAGTAGCAGCAGCAGTGGCACAGTGGGATGGCTCCCCAGGGGGCTAAGGTCCTATTGAGATATCGCCCTATGAGAATGAGAACCCAGCTACTTCACTGAACGCAGCCTCTCCCTGGGCACACATACTCTATGTGTCACAAGCATTGAGAGCAGAACTAGACTGGGATGAGCCTTCCTTCGGATGCCTGCGTTCAGCCAAAGCATTTTGATTTGAGGCAGATATAAATAGTTGGAGACGTAGTGGGTAAAATCATTCTCTGTACAAATCACATTGTGCTGCTTTGTTTCTCAGGGTTACAACCGATGACCTGCTAAATAATTACACTCAAGTATTTTGGGGAGAACTGTATATAGGAACCTAGCCTGAACTATTAAGAAAAAAATGCATACGGGAGTTGTCTTCCTTAAATTATTTGCCAGAGAATAACTTTATAATGATATTGGGTTTCATTTTACTGTTTTGAATCTTAGAAGAGGTGTTCAGAAATTTGCTTAATTATCAGAAATATATGTGTGAACAACAGTGAATGCAATTTCATGATGTAATGGAGACATTCCCAAGAAATAATAGCCCAGGATCTGCATTCAAAATCATTACATTACAAATCTAAGTTCCTTAGGAAGTTTATTTTGAATTGACATACGAAGCATCATACTCCAGGCCTGAAGTAGACATAAGGACTGTTAGACATGGAGATAAGAAAAGAACAAGCAGCTAAGATATAAACACCATGTGTGGCATGTTACACATTTATTTTCCATTCTACTAAGCATCAGATAAACTAGTGGTTTTGAATATAAATTAATATCTTGAGGCACATTTTCTAGGTCAGTCCCCAAACATTTTTGAACATGCGCTGCTGTCAATGACAAGTTTTTGAAACTGTACCTCTAATACATGCATATTTACTTACAAATCACATACATGTGCTGTTATAAATATGTATGTTAAAGTTTAATTGATTTCTTATTTTTAGAAAAAAAAAAAAAAAACCCTGAATATAAATAAGAGTTACAGCCTCTACTTCCAGTATCCCAGTGGCAACTGCTGCTCTGGGAGAGGTTATTACTCTCTTTTGTTTATTTGTTTGTTTGTTTTTTGAGATGGACTCTCTGTCACCCAGGCTGGAGTGCAGTGGCGCAATCTTGGCTCACTGCAACCTCCACCTCCCGGGTTCAAGCGATTCTCCTGCCTCAGCCTCCCGAGTAGCTGGGATTACAGGCGTGCACCAGCATGCCTGGCTAATTTTTGTATTTTTAGTAGAGACAGGGTTTCACCATGTTGGCCAGGCTGGTCTCAAACTTCTGACCTCAAGTGATCCACCCACCTTGGCCTCCCAAAGTGCTAGGATTACAGGCAGAAGCCACCACACCCAGCCTATAATTACTCTCTCTGGAGCCTAGTCCTACTCAGCGGAAGGCAAACAGATCAAAACCCTCAGAGGCCCTGCTCTGAACAACCCATGCGGGTTGGGTTGCCAGAACCATAGGCTGTTAAACTGGAAGGAGCCTCAGATGTCATCGGCCCAGCAAGTCCCCTGAACTCTAATTTTGGGAAACGTGAATGGCTGTTGAGTGAAATGGGGTTCCAGGGCCACCAAAACGTGGAAAACCCTGGTTTAGACCATTTTCAACAGATGTCTCTACAGCAGAACTTTTAGAACCTTTGTTATGCAAATAGGCACTGTGAGAATCTTGAAGAGAGGGATAAATTATGCAGGGCTTCTCAGAAACAACTAAAAAATCCACAGTTTTTTGGACTGTCTTGTGGGATTCCTACTCCATGGAGCACACACTGGGAAACTGTCCAAGTCAACTCATTTGACAGATGCTGAAATGGCTCAGGGGCATGAGTAAGTCACACGGCCTGCTAGTGGCTTCCCAACACTAGAATGTAGGTTCCTGATTTACTTAGACTGGAGGAAAATCTGTTCAAAACTGTCTATTCTGTAAGAACTGGGGTTCAGCACAAGTCCCTTGGGGTGCCCAGGGACCCCACTCAGCAGCCTGGGCTTGGCGGCACCTCCGTCTCACTTTTCCTCAGAAGTCCACAGTCTCATTCCCAAACCCGCGCATGAGCCTGGGCACAGCTGGGCTCTGACTCTTAGTGGGGAGGAGACTTTGTTGAAATCCAGCCCATGAGGTGTTAAAGTGGGAAAAGATGAACACATACATTTCAAGGAAGTAAAATATTTATTAAACTGAGGCTGGGGGAAAAGGACAGGGAATGTGGTTCTGGGCCTTTCTGCATCCATGAGAATGCACACACAGTCAGACAGTCAACAGGGTGACGCCTCCTTGTGAACATTTCAGCCAAGCCTCTGACAATTTATTTTTCCAAATTACTTTCATTATTGACACGCAGGTGTCAAGCTATACGAACAAATAAGAAAATGACCAGACCCCTTCTGATTACAGTCTTAGAGTGCTTTCTCTCTTTAGGATTGCTCCTTTTCTTAGAAGTCCTGTTCACACACACGGTCACACTCACACACATACCGCATGCCACATATGTGACTTCACGGGCACACACTATGCACATGGTCACCCTCACACATGCACACTGTGAAGACTTCTTTGAACCTGGAAGCCTTCCCTGCCTCACCCCAGCCAAGGCATGCACACAGAACAATGATTCCGCCCAGCAGCTGCTTTTACAAAGACCAGCCCCTATTTTCTGCTGCTTTGTGTCTCTGTGTACTAAATGGCTGCAGAGTGAGTCTGTTTCCTCTTGGCTGTTATTGGTTTTGTTCTGTTCTCCCAGCTCTCAGCCTTCCAACTTTATTCCTACTCCTCCTGGCCTGCTGCCAAAGTTGGCCTCCTGACCACACGATTGCCCTTCTTTCTTGCCAAGGGAGGCACTTCTCCCTTGAGAGCTGACTCTGGGCTGTGCCCTGGACAGTACTGTCAGGCCCCTGCAGGTCTCAACGTGGAGCCCCCTCTGTAGCTTCCTTCCCCATCTGCTGCCTCCTCACTACCCCTACCTCGGCCATCCTTCCTGGGTCTGCACTGTGGTTCTGTTCCGCTGGAGGCAGGAGCAGCTTTGCTTTCCAGCCACACAGTGACCCTCATCCACTGCTGAGGGTCTTGGCAAAGGAAAAGGAGTTGGGAATTCAGGAAAATCAGGTTCAGACCTTGGTTCTGCCGCCATCTAGCGTATGTGGCCATGTTTCCTGCTCTCTCTGAACCTCCGTTTCTCCAGCTGAAAAGGGGGGTGGTGAGCCCTTCCCCATGGGGATGATGTGAAGATGGGGTGAGGTCTGCCTAACGTCCTGCAGTTCAGGGCCTGCACAGGGAGGAGGGGCACCCACGAACACCTGATTATCCTGGTTGCTGTTATTGCCAAAAAACCACAACACGGTGACATCAGCCCTGCTTCCAAAGGCATAGTGGATCCATTTTTCTTCTTCCCTCACCCCTCACCCAAAGGCCGGGTTTGAGGTTCCATGAAGGTCCTGGCTGCCCTGCCATGGGTGGGTGGGGGCTCAGGAAGGAGTCTAGGGTCTGAGGGCCGAGACTGTGTGGGCCATCTCCTGTGAAAGGATGAATGGAGAGCATATGGCTCATACAAATAGCCCAAGGCTCAGGATCTTAGTGGCTTGATCTCTTAAAAAAACTCTGGGCCCTCAATGGCAGTGGGATTTAAATCTCTCTCTTGTTGGGGTGGGTGGCATTCTGGGACTTCCGCTCTCCTAAGCCTTTTCCTAAATGGATGTAAAACTGTGCTGACCAGGAGGGATTTACTCCCTGTGAGTCAGAGGGGCAGTGAGCCGGCTGCACTTACGGTTTAATGTCTATGATCTGCTAAGCCCTCGGGCTGAGCTCTTCATCTGCCTTCCGGAGGCGTCTTTCATGGGCGTCTGCACGTGGCACCTCACACGGTCACTGCCCAGAGACCCAGGCCTGGCCCCACTTGACTCCTGGAGGCAAGGCTTGAGGAAGAGATCAGTGTGTGTGTGTGAAAGCTCCTTGGCAGCACCCGACCATGACTACACATGGCTTAAGGGGACTGGACAGTCCCGTATTTCAGCCACAGGGGAGGAAGTTAAATTGGACTTTCCTCTTTGACCTGTGAAGCTATAATAGGCTTGTCTAAAAGCGAATCTTATCATAGCTTCCTCTTCCATCTGCCTAACACTCTTCGTTGTCTTCCCATTACCTTTGGATAAAGACAGAATTCTTAACATGACTCTCAAGGCTCTGCCTGGCCTGGCCTCTGCTTGTCCCTGCAGCTTCATTCTCTTCATTCATTCCCACCACACCCCCCACCCCCTCCCGCTTCTCATCTAATGCTCACTCATTCTTCAACCTACGCCACTTCAAACTGAGTGCGGCCCAAACCAAACTATGCATGCATTGAGTTCAGATGCCTATAGGATACTCAATTAGGGATGCTGAGTTAGGAATCAGATATAAAGGTTGAGAGTAGAGGGTAGGGATTTAAGAACATCAGCATGTTGATGACAATTTAAGCCATCAACTTAGGTGAGTCTGCCAAAGAGAGGGTAGAGAGAGAAGATGGCTGGGACAAGGTCCTGGGGACACTGACATTTAAGGGATGGGGTGAAGAATAGGGGGATGCTGCAGTGGAGAAGCGCCTGTCAGAGAGGTAGGAGGAAAACCAGAGTACTTTGTTCTGAAAGACACAGTTTCTGGCAGAAGCAGGGACCTTCCTGTCTGCAGCTGTGGAGAAGCCAGACCTCAGCAAGAGCACCTGTAGGACCAGGGGTTGGGCATAAGTAGGCAAGAGGGCTTGGAGTGAGGCGGTGCCAGCAGCCTGTGGAAGATGGCTATTTGGAAGAGTTAATTATTTACTGGGGGGGAAATAAATTTTTTTTTAGGTGGAACAGTGAGGATTTTTAGGGCAATGAAACTATTCTATATGATACCATAATGGTGGATATACATCATTATACATTTGTCCAAACCCAGAGAATATCAACACTAGGCTGAGGATGGTGTCTCATGCCTGTAATCCCAGCAGTTTGGGAGGCTGCAGCAAGAAGATCTCTTGAGGCCAAGAGTAACATAGTGAGACCCTGTCTCTACAAAAAAAAAAAAAAAAAGATTAGCCAGGCACGGTGGCATGTGCCTGTTAACCCCAGCTGCTCAGGAGGCTGAGGTGGGAGGATCACTTGAGCCCAGGAGTTTGAGGCTGCAGTGAGCTACAATTGCACAACTGCACTCCAGCCTGGGTAACAGAGCAAGACCCTGTCTCTAAAAATAATAATAATAAGAAGAAGAAGAAGCATGGGTGCTAATGCTAATGCTGTGTCAATGCAGGATTATCAATTGTAACAAATGCACCAACCCAGGGGGGATGCTGATAGTGGGGAGGCCATGCATGTTTAGGGGCAGAGGGCATATAGAAACTCTGTACCTTCTGCTCAATTATGCTGCAAACCTAAAATTACTCTAAAAAAAGTCTTAAACATTTTTTTAAAAAAGGAAATGTTTAAATAATATAACCAACACACCTATATTGCCATCACTTTCAATGCATTTTGCATGAATTGAGAGCTAGAGGAAGATGTGGAGTTTAGATGGGTTTTCTGCTTAGTTGTAATTCCAGGTGGGAGAGCCTAGAATCCAGTTTGAATACTGGTGGGAATGAGCCATGAAAGGGGGAGAAGCTGAGGAAGCTGTGGGGAGGGGGCATGAGGGCAGGGTTCAAAGGACTCTGTAAGAAGGGGCATTAGGCACTTCTGCTGAGCCTCAGTTACCTCACCACCTACACGTCTGGAGGATGTGCAAATAGGGCAGGACAATGTGGAAGGCAGCAGCAGGGTGGAAGGACAAGAGGGTGGGTGAGTTTGGAAAGCAGATGTGAGAGTGGCTGAGTGAGATGGCTGCCAAATGGGAGGCTGTCCTCATGCAAGTCAGGCTCTCCTCAGGACATTTGCTCTGCTGTTTTCTCAGAATTACTTCCTTCAGGTCCTCTCATGACTCCCTCCCTCCCTCCAGGACTCAGAAGAATCACCAGTCACCTCATCTAAACAGCCCTCTATTCCAACCCATAGCTCTCTATTCCTTACCCTACTTTGTCACGTGATTTATCTGTCCACTGGTTTATCGTCCACCTCCCCGACTAGGTTGGAAGCCCTGTGAGGACCGTGAATATATGCCCTCCCCATGGCTCGGGCAGTGTCTGCACAGAGTAGGGGCTCTATAGAAACGTAGATGCTCTATAAAAATATGTTGCACAAATCAATTTGAGTCTAGGAATTGGGGAACTGTGTGACCAGGGTGTGGGACAACTGTCTGTGTGGATGTTGACATCCTCAAGGTTGATGGGAGGAACTAAATGGAGAGAAAGAGAAGCAGGTTGTTCCTGAGCCCTCAAGCGGGTGGGGAAATGACTGGGAGGTCTGGGGCAGTGAGAAGCTGGGCCAGGCAGTGTTAGAAGTAGGGGTGTAAATCGGAAAGCCCTGGCTTATAGGGGAATCTGGGGTGGGCAGGCTAACTTTTATATTAGCACCAAACAATAAAACTTTTGGTGATTATGGAAATGTTATTTATTTATTTAATTTTTTTTTATTATCACACTCCACTGAGGTAATGGAAAGATTATATAGCTGCACTGTTCAGTACAGTAGCAACGAGCTGCATGGGGCTATCGAACACATATGTGTGGCTAGTATAATGGAAAAACCGAACAGTCATTTATTTAGCTTTCATTAATTGAAATAGCCATATGTGTCTAGTGGCCACTTTATTGATCAGTGCAGCTTTAGGCCTCCCATTGAATTATGCCATCTGGGCAGAGCCGGTGAGGAATGAAACTTAAGGATTTCATAAGAGGATGCCTCCAAGATCAGAACCTCCAGAGAGGAAACCATCACTTTCCTCTTACAGAGTTTAAACAGGAAACACACCTGTTGCCCTCAAAAGTGAATGAAGGCCGAGCGCGGTGGCTCATGCCTGTAACCCCAGCACTTTGGGAGGCCAAGGCAGGTAGATCACCTGAGGGCAGGAGTTCGAGACCAGCCTGACCAACATGGTGGTCCCGTCTCTACTAAAAATACAAAAATTAGCTGGGTGTGGTGGCGGGTGCCTGTAATTCCAGCTACTCGGGAGGCTGAGGGAGGAGAATCACTTGAACCCAGGAGGCAGAGGTTGCAGTGAGCCAAGATCTCACCATTGAACTCCAGTCTGGCGACAGAGCAAGACTCCATCTCAAAAAAAAAAAAAAAAAAAAAGTGAATGAAGTTTGACAAGAACAGGGAGGAAAATAGAGGTATATGTAAATAAACAACAAACACTCAAAACCAAATCTCCATTGATTTCTAAAAACCTTCAATATGCTGCACACAACAGTCACAGGCCCTGAGGGCTCTGGTTTCTTCAGCAGGTGAGTTAGCAGTTTCTCACTTGCTACTACTAAGTTGTCAGCACCAACAGGTGCCCTGGGCAGCTCTCAGGACATTGCCAAAGGCATTAGATTAAGGCTTATCCTAGCGGTTCTCAAATGTTGCTCTACCTTGGAATCATCCAGGAGCTTTAATAAATTTCCAGTGCTGAGACCTCCATCCCAACCAGTCAAATTCAAATCTCTAGGGGTGGGATTTAGGCATCATTGGTTTTAATATCTCCCCAGGTGATTATAATCTGTAGCTAAGTTTGAGAATCATAGGTCTAGCCAACATAACACAAAGCCACATAGAGTTTATTATCATTAAGGTATTCCAAGATCTAAAAATGCTAAGTTTGGAATGACTGTGATTCTTAGCCTTGATTGCATGGGAATAGCTAGGGAATTCACCCCAGAGAGGTGAATTTGGTTGTTCTGGGGTACAGCCTGGGCATCAGGGTTTTTAAAAGCCACTTGAGATGATTCTAAAGTGTGGTTAAGGCTGAGAAGCATCTGGGTTACAGATGATGTTGACCAAATGTACTAGAATGGAATTGGTTTAAATTTCTCCTAGAAGTTGTTTGTGTGGTCATGTTGCTACCTTTTATTGAATGCCTGCTACATGCCGGGCATTGTGCTAAGTGCAATGGACAGAGATAAACCCTAGCCTAACGCTCTTAGAAGGCTAAGTGAGACATGTACACAAAGTAACTTCAGTGCCAGGCACAAACCAAAAGCCTATAAGAGGAACAGGTAACGTACTGTGGATTAGCCTGGCTGTGTGAAGGTTCCTTCTCTTCCTCCTTTTTCCTTTTTCCTTCTTTCCATCTTTTTTCTTTTTTTCTCTTTCCTTCTTTCCTTTTCTCTCTCTTTTTTTTTGTTTAGTAATAACTGTCAGCAGACAATTGCCTTAGAACATTTTGGATCTGACTGCTTTAGTGTGCAGTTGTGGTGAAGAAAATGATCTGGAAAGAGTGAGCGTGAAAGAAAGAAGAGAGAATCACTCCTTTGCCGTCACCTGGTTTAGAGGAAGGACTGACCAGGGCTGTGTCCTGGGCTCCAGCTCTGGGTGCACCACCTAGGTGGATGGTCAGAGCAACTCTGTCCTCCACTGGCTGTGAATTGTCTTTCTAAGGAGGAAGGCTTTGTCCCAGGGTAGGTTCTGCAGACCTGGACTGAAGTAAGGAGCATCATATTTGGCAAAGATAAAACCAGCATTTAAAAGTTTTGACTATATTTGTCTTAGAAGTATATTTATCACAAAACCATTCTTATAACATCACGAGAATTTTTTTTTTTTTTAAACACAGGGTCTCACTCTGTTACTCAGGCTAGAATGCTCACTGCAACCTCAACCTCCCAGGCTCAAGTGATCCTTCTGTCTCAGCCTCTCAATTTGCTGGGACCAGAGGCATATGCCATCACACTTGGTTATTACATTTTTTTTTTAAAGGGACGGGGTCTTGCTATGTTGCCCAGGCTGGTCTCAAACTCCTGGGCTCAAACCATTCTCCTACCTGGGCCTTCCAAAGTGATAGGAATACAGATGTGAGCCACTGCACTCGGCCAAGAAATTAAAAAAAAAAAATCATGATCTTCCAGTACTCAACACAATCATTTTCTTTTTCTTTTTTTCTCATCACACATTTATTTATTTATTTATATTTATTTACTTATCCTGGGTGAGATTCTTATTTATTTTTAAGACTTCTATTTTAGGTTCAGGGGTATACATGCAGACTCGGTATAGAGGTAAACTTGTGTCACAGGGGTTTGTTGTACAGATGATTTTGACACCCAGGTACGAAGCCCCGTACTCGACAGTTATTTTTTCTGATCCTTTCCCTCCTCCCACCCTCCACACTCAAGTAGGCCCCAGTGTCTTTTGTTCCCCTCTTTGTGTCCATGTGTTCTCATCACTTAGCTCCCACTCAGAAGTAAGAATACATGTGGTATTTGATTTTCTGTTCCTCCTTCCAGTTCCATCCATGTTCCAGCTAAAGGACATAATCTCATGCTTTTTGTGTGTGTGTGTGTGTGAGACAGGGTCTTTGTCACCTAGGCTGGAGAGCAGTGTCATGATCATGGCTCACTGCAGCCCTGACCTCCCTCCTGGGCTCAAGTGATTTTCCCACCTCAGCCTCCCAAGTAGCTGGATGTGGCACCATGTTGCTCAGGCTAGCCTTGAACTCCTGGGCTCAAGTGATCTGCCTGCCTTGGCCTCCCAAGTGCTGGGATTACAGGTGTGAGCCACCACCCCCAGCTGATCAAATTCTTTTTTATGGCTGCAGAGTATTTCATGGTATATGTGTATTACATTTTCTTTTTCTTTTTTTCTGGAGAGCAATGGCACAATTTCAGCACACTGCAACCTCCACCTCTCGGGTTCAAGTGATTCTCATGCCTCAGCCTCCTGTGTAGCTGGGATTACAGACATACACCACTATGCCCAGCTCATTTCTGTAGTTTTAGTAGAGACAGGGTTTTGCCATGTTGGCCAGCCTGGTCTTGAATTCCTGGCCTGTGATCCACCTGCCTTGGCCTCCCAAAGTGCTGGGATTACAGCTGTGAGCCACCATGTGTGGCCATACCACGTTGTCTTTATTCAATCTGTCACTGATGAGCATTTAGGTTGATTCCATCTCTCTGCTATTGTGAATAGTGTTGCAATGAACATGCATGTGTCTTTATGGGAAAACAATTTACATTCCTTTAGCTATATACCCAGTAATGAGATTGCTGGGTAGAATGGTAGTTCTGTTTTTAGCTTTTTGAGGAATCACAACACTGCTTGCCACAATGGTTGAACTAATTTATATTCCCATCAACAGTGTATAAACGTTCTCTTTTCTCTGCAACCTCACCAGAATCTGTTATTTTTTGACTTTGTAATAATAGTGATTCTGACTGGTGTGAGACGGTATCTCATTGTGGTTTTGATTTGCATTTCTCTAATGATCAGTGTTATTGAACTGTTTTTCATATGTTTTTTGGCTGAGTGTATGTCTTCTTTTGAAAAGCATCTGTTCATGTCCTTTGCCCACTTTTTTTCTTTTTTTTTTTTTCTTTTTTTTGAGATGGAGTCTCACTCTCTCACCCAGGCTGGAGTGTAGTGGCACGATCTCAGCTCACTGCAACCTCTGCCTCCCAGGTTCAAGTGATTCTCGTGCCTCAGTGTCCCAAATAGCTGGGATTACAGGTGCACGCCACCACACCCAGCTAACTTTTGTTTAGTAGAGACGGGGTTTCATCATGTTGGCCAGGCTGGTCTTGAACTCCTGACATCAAGTGATCCGCCTGCCTCATCTTCTCAAAGTGATCCTCCTGCCTCAGCCTCTCAAAGTGCTGGAATTACAGGCATAAGCCACTGTGCCCACTTTTTGCCTACTTTTTAATGGGGTTTGTTTTTTTCTTGTAAATTTAAGTTCCTTATAGATGCTGGATATTAGATCTTTGTCAGATGCATAGCTTGCAAATATTTTCTCCCATTCTGTAGGGTGTCTATTTACTATGTTGATACTTTTTTTGTGCAGAAGCTCTTAAGTTTAATAAGATCCCATTTCTCAATTTTTGGTTTTGCTGTAATTGCTTTTGGTGTCTCCATCATGAAATCTTTCCCACTTCCTGTGTCTGGAATGGTATTGCCTAGGGTGTCTTCCAGGGTTTTTATAGTTTTGAGTTTTATACTTCAGTATTTAATCCATCTTGAGTTGATATTTGTATATGGTGTAAAAAACGGGTCCAATTTCAATCTTCTGCATATGGCTAGCCGGTTCTCATAACACCATGTATTGAATGAAGAGTCCTTGCCTTATTGCTTTTGTTGGCTTTGCATAAGATCAGATGGCTGTGGGTGTGTAGCCTTATTTCTGGGCTCTCTATTCTGTTCCTTTGGTCTATGTGCCTGTTTTTGTACCAGTACCATGCTGTTTTGGTTACCATAGCCTTGTAGTATAGTTGGAAGTCAGGTAATGTGATGTCTCCAGCTTTGGGTTTTTTTTTTTTTTTTTTTTTTCCTCCTTAAGATTGCTTTGGCTATTTGGGGTCTTTTTTTGATTCCAGATGAATTTTAAAATAGTTTTTCCTAGTTCTGTGAAGAATATCTCTGGTAGTTTGATAGAAATAGCATTGAATCTATAAATTGTTTTAGGCAGTATGACCATTTTAATGATATTGAGTCTTCCTATCCATGAGCATGAAATGTATTTTCATTTCTTTGTGTCATCTCTGATTTCTTTTTTTTTTTATCTGACAGCAATAGATTTATTAAGTATCCCTGAAAATATAAACACAAACCAGTAAAAAACAAATCCATAAAATGTCAGGCCTGGAGCTGCAATAAGACAGAGACAGGAGCAGCACACACGTGGCCTAGGTGGGGAGGACGGGTGTAAACACTGCAGGAGGGTGGCAAGGGAGCCCTAGCGTGAGTGACAAGCTGGTGGGGGAAAGCTGGGGACAGTGTCGACAGCAAGATGGCTCTGGAGGTCAGACACTGCTGGCCTTGGCACCGGCGCCACCTGCCCCTCACTCCAGCTGCAAGCAGCTTCACTTGGGGCCCTGGGCCTCCAATTCCTCCTCCTCATCTGCGAACATCTCACCCTCCTCCTGGGCCATGGAGTCCTGGTACTGCTGGTACTCGGACACCAGGTCATTCATGTTGCTCTTGGCCTCGGTGATCTCCATCTCGTCCATGCCCTTGCCCATGTACCAGTGTAGGAAGGCCTTGTGCTGGAACATGTCCGTGAACTGCTCTGAGATGCTTGAACAGCTCCTGGATGCCCGTGCTGTTGCTGATGAGGGTGGAAGACATCTTGAGGCTGGGGGGTGGGATGTCACACACGTCCACCTTCATGTTGTTGGGGATCCACTCCACGAAGTAGCTGCTGTTCTTGCTCTGGATGGACAGCATCTGCTCGTCCACCTCCTTCATGGACAGGCAGCCCCGGAACACGGTGGCCACTGCCAGGTAGCAGCCGTGGTGCCGGTCGCGGGCAGCCATCATGTTCTTGGCATCAAACATCTGAGGGGTGAGCTCGGGCACGGTCAGGGCCCGGTAATGCTGGCTGCCCGGGCTTCATGCCTGGCATGAAGAAGTGCAGGCAGGGGAAGGGCACCCATGTTCACCACCAGCTTGTGCAGGTCCGCATTGAGCTGGCCCGGGAAGCACAAGGAGGTAGTGATCCTGCTCATGGTGGCCAATGTCAGGTGGCTGAGGTCCCCGTAGGTGGGCGTGGCCAGCCTGAGGGTGCTGACGCAGATGTCCTAGAGCGCCTCCTTGTTGATGCAGTAGGTCTCATCTGTATTCTCCACCAGCTGGTGGATGGACAGCATGGGGTTGTAGGGCTCCACCACAGTGACACCTTGGGCGAGGGCACTACGCTGAAGGTGTTCATGATGCAGTTGGGATACTCCTCATGCATCTTGCTGATGAGCAGCGTGCCCATACCCGAGCTTGTGCCCCCGCCCAGCGAGAGGGTCAGCTGGAAACCCTACAGACCGTCGCAGTTCTCACACTTCTTCCGCACATCCAGGAGGGAATCCACCAGCTCCGCACCCTCCGTGTAGTGACCCCTGGCCCAGTTATTGCCGGCCCCACTCTGACCAAAGATTAAATTGTCAGGCCTGAAAAAATGTCCAAAAGGCCCCGAGCCGACACTGTCCATGGTCCCGGGCTCCAGGTCGACGAATGGCCCGAGGCACATACTTATGAGAAGAGGCCTCGTTGTAGTAGATGCTGATCTGCTCCAGCTCCAAGTCCGAGTTCCCCACGTAGTTGCCGCTGGGGTCTATGCCATGCTCATCACTGATGACTTCCCAGAACTTGGCCCCGATCTAGTTGCCGCACTGGCCGGCCTGAATGTGCAGGATCTCCCTCATACTGGGCGTGTCTGGCAGGCGGCTGCGGACGGGCAGGCGGGCTGGGCTGGCTGCTGACATCTCTGATTTCTTTGAGTGGTGTTTTTGCAATTCTCATTGTAGAGATCTTTCACCTCCCTGGTTAGCTGTATTCCTAGGCATTTTATTCTTTTTGTGGCAATCATGAATGGGATTTCATTCCTGATTTGGCTCTAGGCTTGACCATTGTTGGCATATAGGAATGCCAGTGATTTTTTACATTGATCTTGTATCCCAAAACTTTGCTGAAGTTGTTTATCACCTGAAGGAGCTTTTGGGCCAAAACTATGGGGTTTTCTAGATACAGAATCACATCATCTGCAAACAAGAATAGTTTGACTTCCTCTCTTCCTATTTGGATGCCCTTCATTTTGTTCTTTCTTGATTGCCCTGGCCAGGACTTACAATACTATGTTGAATAGGAGTGGTGAGAGAGGGCACCCTTGTCTTGTGCTGGTTTTCAAGGGGAATGTTTCCAGCATTTGCCCATTTAGTATGACGTTGGCTATGGGTTTGTCACATATGTATTGAAGTGTGTTTCTTTAATACCTAGTTTATTAAGAGTTTTTAATAAGGAGTGTTGAATTTTATCGAAAGCCTCTTGTGCATCCATTGAGATAATAATGTGGCTTTTGTCTTTAGTTTTATGTGATGAATCACATTTATTGATTTGCGTATGTTAAACCAAACTTGCATCCTGGGATTGAAGCCTACTTGATTGTGGTGGATTCACTTTTTGGTGGGCTGCTGGATTTGGTTTGCAAATATTTTGTTGAGGATTGTTTGCCTCAATGTTCATCAAGGATATTGGCCTAAAGCTTTCTTTTGTGTGTGTGTGTGTTTCTGCCAGGTTTTGGTATCAGGATGATGCTGGCCTCATAGAATGAACTGGGGAGGAGTCCCGCCTCCTCAATTTTTTGGAATAGTTTTAGTAGGAATGGTACCAGTTCTTTGTACATCTGGTAGAATTTGGCTGTGAATATATCAGGTCCTGGGCCTTTTTTTTTTTTTTTTTTTTTGGTTGGTACGCTATTTATTATTGATTCAACTTCAACTTCGGAGCTCATTATTGGTCTATTCAAGGAATCAATTTCTTCCTGGTTCACTATTTGGTTTGGGGTGTGTATGTGTCCAGGAATTTATCCATCTCTTCTAGGTTTTCTAGTTTGTGTACACAGAGTTGTTCATGGTAGTCTCTGATGGTTATTTGTATTTCTGTGGGGTCAGTGGTAACATCCCCTTTGTCATTTCTTTTTGTTTTTTTTTGCGACAGAGTCTCACTCTATCACCCGGGTGGCGCAATCTCCACTCACTGCAACCTGCGTCTCCTTGGTTCAAGTGATTCTTGTGCCCTAGCCTCCTGAGTAGCTGGGACTACAGGTGTGTGCCACCATGCCCAGCTAATTTTTGTATTTTTAGTAGAAATGGGGTTTCACCATGTTGGCTAGGCTGGTCTCAAACTCATGACCTCAAGCAATCTGCCCACCTCAGCTTCCCAAAGTGCTGGGATTACAGGTGTGAGCCACTGCACCTAGCCCCCTTTCTCATTTCTAATTGTGTTTATTTTGATCTTCTCCCTTTTCTTCTTTATTAGTCTAGCTAGCAGCCAATCCAACCATTTTCATCCAATTATAGCCTTTACCAAGGTAGAATGTTGTCCTGCCCAGGAGGGCATCCACTTTCAGAAGGCTCCAGAAGAACCTGGTCCTCAGGTCAGTCTACCTGTGAGGATCTGGCGTGTGTGTGGAGGGTCCTTCAGCCCTCCTTCTCCCCTGGGCCAAGAAGTAGAATGGAGAAAAGGTACCTAACA
The DNA here is from genome assembly GCF_000001405.40 of Homo sapiens. Lineage (NCBI taxonomy): Eukaryota > Metazoa > Chordata > Mammalia > Primates > Hominidae > Homo > Homo sapiens. The sequence continues at coordinate 89,299,954 of NC_000006.12, read as the reverse complement.
GGTAGATCTTGCAGGGAGTAATAGCCCAAATCATCTCACTCAATGCATTGAAGAGCCGATGGAAAATAGTTTCTTGCTTGTCTTCACAGTCACTTATATAAGAAGAACCTTGATGTGACCAAGATCCGGAAGGGAAAGCCTCAGCAGCTTCTCAGAGTGGACGAGCACGACTTCAGCATGAGACCCGCCTTCGGAGGTAGGACTGTTCTTCCTTGATGCCAGGTGGGAGGTTGGCCCCAGGGATGTGATGTGCTGCCCTCTCTGGCTCCCTCTGGCACAGCGCTTCCTCAGATGGTGCAATTTTCCCACTCACATAAATCTGACTCCATTTCCTGAGTCCCTAATTTTCCCAAGGAGAAAAGAGCAGGAAGTAGTGGAGAGGGCCGTTGACTAAAGAGGGCCCACCAGTGACTAAGCCATTTACATTCACAAAGGAGACAGGCCCTGCAGCTGCCAACTTTTTTGTCCTACAAATATAAGAGCAGGCAAGGAGAATCAGGACACAAAATAGCTCCTCTGTCATTTTTATAGAGGAAGAGGCCCATGAAGGCAGAGGTGCCCAGGATCCTCAAAAGTCCTAGTGTGGCCCTCCCTCTGCACTATTTTGGCATGTGTGTGTGTCTGGGTGTGAGTGGAATTCTGAACAAGGCATTGCAACTTTGTTGCCATGACTACCTGGGAGTTTGCTGTTTTGATGGAGTCACCTGTTTTCCAGTGCAGCAACAAGAGCTTAACTCATTACAAAGATTTCTTGCACACCTGCCCCCAAAGGTGCTCTGTTAGTCTTGGGGTCAGGGAGGGGAGGCATGGCCAGTGGGTGTCCTTCCCAGGAACTAGAGAAATGCTATGGAGAAGGTGGACAGTGTCTTAGTCAGTTCTGGCTTTCACACAAAACACCATAGATTGGGCAGTTTATAGACAATGGAAACGTATTTCTCATGTTTCCAGGGGCCGGAAGTAAGATCAAGGTGCCAACAGTTTCCATGTGTGCTGAGGGCCCACTTTCTGTTCATAGACGGTGCCTTCTCACTGTAACCTCACATAGTGGGTGGGGCAAGGCAGCTCTCTAGGGCCTCTTTTCTAAGAGCACTAATCCCACTGGTGAGGGCTCCACCCTCAGGATCTCATCACCTTCCAAAGGCCCACTTCCTAGTACCATCCCATTGCGGGTTAGGATTGCAACATACACATTTGTCAGGGACATAAACATTCAGGCCATAGCAGCTGGGAAAGGAATCAGTCATCTGCTCTGACTAGGCAGAGAGTGGGGTAAGAATAGCAGAATGTATGAGATCCCTGGGCCAACTTTCCTCTCCTCTTGGGGAAACTGAGGCACCAAGAATTTCAGTTGATGAACCTTGGCCAAGACAGACCCAGGCGGGCTGGCTTCCCTTTTTCCTTTTTCTCTGCCCTTGATCCTCTAGTAGGTCCTATCATTCTGGGGCAGTAAAAAGGAGTAGCTGTGACCTCCAGGCAGGTCACCAATCCTTTGAGCCTCCATTTGTTTGTTTATAAAATGGGGAGAGTAATCCCCACATATGGGGTTGTTGTCCAGATTAAACAAGATAATGTATGTAAAACCCCTGACAGACATTTGTTCCTGTCCCCTCTGAAAAACCCAGCTGCCAGACCTTCCTCTTGTGTGACTGTTAAGGGATTAAGAAATTAATTTATCCCAGAAGCCTATGCATTTTAAAAGGCCTCAAAGCCTCCCACTAAATTCCCTGAGCTCTGACACCTGCTAAGCAGAAGGAGAAAAGCAGGTGGCAGATTACAGGCCTGTGACTCATCTCCCTTCCAACCGCAACCTGATTGACGCCCACGGAAGGTCAAGAAGAGGCCACCATATTTCTGGTAGCTCTTGGGTTTCCTCGGGGATTCGTCATGGGCAAGCCTGCCAAGGAATTTTACGAAAATAAAGTTATACTAATAAGCAGCTTTAAAATAGCTACATCTGCTCCAGGAAGTCTAAGCAAGGCGTCCCCAAAAGCAAGAAGCTCCACTTTTCTTGCACAGCAACAGTTAAGAGCATAGAGGCGTACAGTGGCTAGGAAACACAATAACCAACAATAACATGCATGACAACTACCACTTTTTTTTTCGAGACGGAGTTTCACTTTGTCACCTAGGCTGGAGTGCAGAGGCGCAATCTCAGCTCACTGCAACCTCTGCCTCTCAGGTTCAAGCGATTCTCCTCCCTCAGCCTCCTGAATAGCTGGGATTGCAGGCATGCACCACCATGCCTAATTCTTTTGTATTTTTAGTAGAGACAGGGTTTCACCATGTTGGCCAGGCTGGTCTTGAACTCCTGACCTCAAGTGATCCACCCACCTCAGCCTCCCAAAGTGCTGGGATTACAGGCGTGTGCCACTGTGCCCAGCCACAACTACCACTTTCATAGGGATTTTTTTTTATGCCAGGCACCATTCTAATCAAGGTACATATATATATGTAATCTTATTTTAATCCTCTCATCAGTTCTACAAAGTAGATACTATTATTGTCCCCAGATGAGGAAACTGAGGCACAGAGAGGTGAAGTAAATGTCCCAGGTCAGCTGAGGTTGGACCCCCCTCCTAGCTGGGTCCCTTTCTTGTCTCCTACTTGCATGTCTTGGCGCAGAGCTGACATATTCATTAGGCGGCATAGGCACACTGCCTGGGGCCCACAACAAAATGTTTTTGCTTTATCTTAAAATAAGAAAAACAAACTTTTAAGCAGAAGTTGTTTTAATATATACTATTAATATGTTCATCATTAAACCAACACAATCATAAAATATGCTTTTTGATATTTTTTTATAGAGGAAGAGGCCCATGAAGCAAAAGTGCCCAGGGTCCTCAAAAGTCATAACGTGGCCGTGCCTCAGTGTGGTCTTTTGTGGGTGTGCACCGAGTGTGGGTGCTATTCCGAACAATGTGTTGTACCTTTTTACCCAAGGCTAGTGATGCTATCAGGAGCCTGGGCCATCACCTGGTCAGTACCTTCAGTATGTAGAAGAAGAGCCTGGGGTCCAAGGAGTTAGGTGATGGCCACCGAACAGCCAGAGGCAGAACTTAGGTTTCTTTTGTGACATCAGCTGCAAAAGCGAAAGCCTTATGAAAATGCTCCCACCAGGAGCTAGCTCTTGGAACGGCAGATGAAATCCTGCCATGTTCCCAGAAACCCTGACTCTGAGCAGAATGCTGCAACACGCCACAGTCCCCATCACGCTGCTCCTTCCTCAAGCCAGTTCCAGGAGGAAAGTGGACTCCTTGTGGTGTGACCACTGCATCTGCTGGGCCCTTCTGTGGGGCCCTCCAGAGCGTAGAGGGTCAGGACTGCTCCCTGCCCCTGCCTGGGTAAGCTTCTGACCCTGGGGAGGGCTCTGACTTTGGGGAAGCTGCTAAGGAAAGAGGCATCACCTTCCATAGAAGTCAAGATCTCAGCCACCACAGTATAGGTGGGGGCCACTCCTCCTTCCTTCCAAGCCTCCTCCCCATGGCAGTTGGTCCTCTGGGCACCTGTAATCTCCTGCAGGGCTTTCCTGGATGCCCAGATGTCACTTGGATGAAACGGGGGGAGGAGAGCACATAGTGAGGTACCAGGGCTCCCTGCCTCCATGAGTCCATAAATAAGACACCCAGAGTTCTGGCCAGCCAGGCAAGATGGGATGATCGCAGGACGGGGATTCCCACTGCTTGTGCTGTCAATGATCTTTATAACCTGAACCCTATGGGAGCATTTGAAGATGGCTTAGAGCCAAGAAACCTTCCCTGCAGGTGCTCCTGGGTGTCCCCATTTCACTCAGCACCTCATGGGCAGGTCTCTGTGAGAAAGGAGGCTGCACAGACAGCACAAAGGTGACTCTGTGCAGGTGATATAGAAGGTGTCTCATTCCCTGGAAGCAGCCCCTGACAGGCTTCTAGTTAGAAGTAGAGCCTGGGCCCCCAAAGTAACCAAAACAGCATGGTACTGGTACCAAAACAGAGACATAGACCAATGGAACAGAACCCACAGAAATAATACCACACATCTACAACCATCTGATCTTTGACAAACCTGACAAAAACAAGAAATGGGGAAACGATTCCCTATTTAATAAATGGTGCTGGGAAAACTGGCTAGCCATATGTAGAAAGCTGAAACTGGATCCCTTCCTTACACCTTATACAAAAATTAATTCAAGATGGATTAAAGACTTAAATGTTAGACCTAAAACCATAAAAACCCTAGAAGAAAACCTAGGCAATACCATTCAGGACATAGGCATGGGCAAGGACTTCATGTCTAAAACACCAAAAGCAATGGCAACAAAAGCCAAAATTGACAAATGGGATCTAATTAAACTAAAGAGCTTCTGCACAGCGAAAGAAACTACCATCAGAGTGAACAGGCAACCTACAGAATGGAAGAAAAGTTTTGCAATCTACTCATCTGACACAGGGCTAATATCCAGAATCTACAATGAACTCAAACAAATTAAAAAAAAATCCCATCAAAAAGTGGGCAAAGGATAAGAACAGATACTTCTCAAAAGACATTAATGCAGCCAACAGACACATGAAAAAATGCTCATCATCACTGGCCATCAGAGAAATGCAAATCAAAACCACAATGAGAGACCATCTCACACCAGTTAGAATGGCCATCATTAAAAAGTCAGGAAACAACAGGTGCTGGAGAGGATGTGGAGAAATAGGAACACTTTTACACTGTTGGTGGGACTGTAGACTAGTTCAACCATTGTGGAAGATAGTGTGGCGATTCCTCAAGGATCTAGAACTAGAAATACCATTTGACCCAGCCATCCCATTACTGGGTATATACCCAAAGAATTATAAATCATGCTGCTATAAAGACACATGCACATGTATGTTTACTGCAGCGCTATTCACAATAGCAAAGACTTGGAACCAACCCAAATGTCCATCAATGATAGACTGGATTAAGAAAATGTGGCACATATACACCATGGAATACAATGCAGCCATAAAAAAGGATGAGTTCATGTCCTTTTTAGGGACATGGATGAAGCTGGAAACCATCATTCTCAGCAAACTATCGCAAGGACAAAAAACCAAACACCACATGTTCTCACTCATAGGTGGGAATTGAACAATGAGAACACTTGGACACAGGTAGGGGAACATCACACACCAGGGCCTGTTGTGGGGTGGGGGGAGGGGGGAGGGATAGCATTAGGAGATATACCTAATGTAAATGACGAGCTAATGGGTGCAGCACACCAACATGGCACATGTATACATATGTAACAAACCTGCACGTTGTACACATGTACCCTAGAACTTAAAGTATAAAAAAAAAAAAGTAGAGCCTGGGCCCAACCCACCCAAAGTGCCGGCTCAGCCTAACACCCCCTTCCAGTAGCGCCCACCATACTAAGCAGGTCATTTGAGCAAAGATGTCCCTCAATATCCTCAATATTGTTGTGGACTATGTCCTCATTCCCATCTTATTTCTCCAAGAGGGACTTCCTGTGGAATGGTGTTTAAAAGTAGTTGATAGAGGCTGGGTGTGGTGGCTCATGCCTGTAATCCCAGCTCTTTGGGAGGTCAAGGTGGGTGGATTACTTGAGGCTAGGAGTTTGAGACCAACCTGGTCAACATGGTGAAAACCCATCTCTATTAAACATACAAAAATTTAGCCTGGTGTGGTGACACACGCCTGTAGTCCCAGCTACTTGGGTGGCTGAGGCATGATAATTGCTTGAACTCAGGAGGCAGAGGTTGCAGTGAGCCGAGATTGCGCCACTGCACTCCAGCCTGGGCGACGAGTGAGACTCTGGCTCAAAAACAACGAAAAATTATCGTGCTCAGACTATACCCCAGACTAATTAAATCAGAATCTCTGGGGGTGGGACCCAAGCACCAATTTTTTAAACAAAATATTTTTTAAAAATTAAAAGTAGTGGAGAGAGAGAGGAATCAGCTTAGGACTAGATACCCGTTGGGTGACCTTTTTAGTCTAGAAAGAGAAAAGATTAAAAATCTGTCAGCTTCCTAATAATCCCATGGATCAGTTGAAACAAAAATACCTTGTCTAAGCAACCAGCTGTTTGATTAGGTAGTATGCCCTGGTTAGAACCTCCAGGGGCACAGGGTTTCTCCTCCTTTTGTTGGGAGAAATGCTGCAATGCTGATTTTCTTTTATTTCTTTTATTTATCTGAGACATGGTCTCGCTCTGTTGCGCAGTCTGGAATGCAGTGGCAGGATCAGAGCTTACTGCAGCCTCAACTGTCCGGGCTCAGGTGATCCTTCCACTTCAGCCTCCTGAGTAGCTGGGGCTATAGGCGTGCACCAACGTGCCTGGCTAATTTCTTATATTTTGTGTAGAGACAGGTTTTCGCCACGTTGCCAGGCTGGTCTCGAACTTCTGGGTTCAAGTGATCTGCCCGCCTTAGCCTCCCAAAGTGCTAGGCATGAACATGAACCACTGTGCCCAGCCCTGATTTTCTTTTAAATTTCATTTTAAAAATTGTGGAGAAATATATAATATAAAATTGACCCTTTTGACCATTTTTGAGTGTACAGTTCAGTGGCATTAAGTATATTCACATTGTTACACAACTATCGCCACCATCCATCTCCAGAACTTTTTTCATCTCTCCAAACAGAAACTCTATATTCATTAAACAAGAATTCCCTATTTCTCTGTCACCCCTTCAGCCCCTGGCAACCACCATTCAACTTTCTGTCTCCATAATTGACTATTCTAACAACATCATATAGGAATTATACTACTTTTGAGTGGCTTTTATGACTGGCATATTCCATCTAGCATAATGTCTTCAAGGTACATGTTGTAGTATGTGATAGAATTTCCTTTTTTTAAAGGCTGAATATTCCACTGGATATGTATACCACATTTTGTGTATCCATTCATCTGTTGATTGACATTTGTGTTGTTTCTTCTTTTTGGCTATTGTGAATAGTGCTGCTATGAATATGGATGTGCAAATATCTGTTCAAGGCCCTACTTTTGATTCTTTTGGAAATATACCCAGAAGTGGGATTGCTAGATCATATAGTAATAGATGAGCATATATATATATATAGCTCATTTCTCTCTATATATGATATATAGATATATAATATATGATATATACGATATATCGTATATACGATATATACGATATATCGTATATACGATATATACGATATATCGTATATACGATATATACGATATATCGTATATACGATATATACGATTATATATGATATATACGATATATATCTGATATATATCAGAGATACGATATATATCTGATATATATCAGAGATACGATATATATCTGATATATATATCAGAGATACGATATATATCTGATATATATATCAGAGATACGATATATATCTGATATATATATCAGAGATACGATATATATCTGATATATATATCAGAGATACGATATATATCTGATATATATATCAGAGATACGATATATATCTGATATATATATCAGAGATACGATATATATCTGATATATATATCAGAGATACGATATATATCTGATATATATATCAGAGATACGATATATCTGATATATATATCAGAGATACGATATATATCTGATATATATATATATATATATATATATATATATAAAATTTTTTTTTGAGAAACCACCATGCTGTTTTCCACAGCGGCTGCACCATTTTACACTTCCACCAGCACAATGCTGGTTTTTAACTCAAACTGCATAGATGGGAGATACTGGAGGGATATAGTATCATCATGGAATTTTTTGAAATATATCCAAGGAGTTTGTCAGAATGGCCGGGAAAAAATGGAGACAACAAAGTAGGTCAGGTTCTCCAACCAAAATGATTTTTTTCATAAGACACATATGTATTTTTTGAGCTGCTGCTATGTGTTGGGCAGTCCTTGGCCCTAGCGACCCAGTAGGCAGCAAGACAGACATAGTCCTTGGAGTTTATGCTCTAGTTGGAAGGGCAGTTTAATGAAATCCTCATGTGGAGATACCAAATTGTGAGGGCCACTGGGAAGAAAAGGCTGGAGAGCTGTTGGGGTGCACAGCTGGGTCTGATCAGGGGCACAAGGGAAGGGCTGCCCTGGGGAAGAGCCGCCCTTGCCTGGGAAGCTCATACTATTGGAACTCTTTTCACATTAAATTACTTTGCATGAAATGAAATATTGTTCTCAAGAAGCTGATGGTCTATTGGGGGGAAACAGATAAATGATTAAGTGTAATCAAGTATGACAGAAGTGATGTAGGGTGTCTCTACTGATGGAGTAAGAGAAAGGAGGGAATGCTCAGTTCTGCCCCGAGAGGAGATTGCAGAAGCCTGCATCCAGGCAGTGACACCTGCAGTGAATCTGGAAGGATACCCAGTGTGTGAGCACCAGCGGTGAGGAAAAGGCAAGAAGAAGGGTATACCCCGGAGCAGGAAGCAGCGAAGTGTCAGGGAGCAGGAGCAGGTCCACGTGGCTGGATTATATCTAGTGTGTGCGTGTGTAGACAGGAGGGAGTGCAGAGCTGGGGCATACCAAAAGAAGGCTGGAGCAATGGGCAGCGCCGCTCTGGGAGGGCTTTGCTGAGTTCAGACTCTTGGCAGCACAGCCTAAGCTAAGGAGCAACAGGATGCGTCTTGGGCTTTAGGAAGCTCACTGTGGGCCTGTGTGGAGGAGGCTAGACGGGCTGAGGTTGGATGCAGGGCACGGGCTGGGCCCTTCAGGGATGCTCCAGGCCACAGCTGATGAGGGGCTGAAGACCACAGAAAGAAATGGAGGGACCTGAGAGATGCTACAGAGGGAAGAGAGCCAGGTCTTGGTATCCCACAGAATCAGAGGAACCTAGGGCACCTCCTGAGTGTGTGACCTGGGTGAGGCCATTCACTGAGATAGAGCACTGAGAAAAAGCAATGAGGAAAGGATATAGTAACAGGAAGCAGCTGGCATGCTCCAAGGGGTCATTGAAGAGAGCCTAGTGAAAGTGCGTTTACGGAGGCATGGGCAGGGTCAAGGGAAAGTAGCAGCTGTGGCAAAGCCCCAGAGGCTGCAAAGAATGTGGAGCCATTGCCAGGCCAGGCCTGAGTGTGAGAGGAGGAAGCAGTTACCTGAGCCTGGAAAAGAGCTGTAGCTCTTGGAAAAAGCCGCCCGATGGGAGCTGTGGCCTTCAAAAGAAGGATGCAGCCCGTAGCTGGGCCAAGAGCGATGCAGGAGAAGCCATTCCCCTCATCCTCCTCCTCCCTTCCGATACCTCCTGCCTTCTGATACCGACTGGCACTTTCATTGGCAGAACCAAGCAGGAGGTGGAGGGCAAGGACCTGTTGTCAGTGGCCACCTCAGACCCAGGCAAGAGGGGCCCTGCTCGGGCCCCACACCCGGCTCAGAGTGTCGAGTCTGTGAGGCTCAGGGGAGATTGCCCTCCTGCTTCTCCTGCCCTTCCCGGCCACACTTGGGCACTGGGCCCCAGAATCACTGTCTACACAGCCCTGAGCCTGCCTCCAGGGCCTGTGCATGCCTCTTTTCCAGGCGAGCCCCTGAGGGCACTGCTGCATTGCCTGTGCCTGCCCCTGGTCCTGAGAGGTGGCTGAGGGTGGCTGTTTCAAGGGGAGTGAATGGCTTAAATATGTGGGCAGGGTGACCACATGCATGCACAGAGGCTCTTCCCTGTGCAGGGACCTGCTGTGGCAGGAAAAGAAGAAAGGCAGCTCATGTGCTGGGCCCAGTCTGCCTGTGCTGGCACACATCAGCCTGCTACTCCCTGGAGTCTGCAAGTTCTGAAGCTGGACTGAGCCATTCTGGGCTGATAGGAAGGTGTATTTGTCAAAACAGCAGGATAGGGATATATATCATTTTACAGTTTGTTTTTAGAGACAGGGTCTCTAAAATGCTGATGGGCCTAATGGGAGGTGTTTGGGTCATGGAGCGCTACTTGGCACTGTTTGTTCTCTTGGTAGTGAGTGAGTTCTCACTCTCAAGAGACTGGATCAGTTCTCTCAGGAATCAAAGAGTCCCATAAGAGTAGGTTGTTATAAAGCAAGGTTGTGCCTTGGTCCCTGCACACACCCACTTCCCCTTCTGCTTCTCTGCTATGTTGTGACGTGGCACGAGGCCCTCACCAGAAGCCAAACAGATGTGAGTGCCATGCTCTTGGACTTTCTGGCCACCAGAATCATGAGCTAAATGTACTTCTTTTCTTTATAAATTACCCAGCCTCAGGTATTCTGTTATAGCAACACAAAATGAACTAAGACAAAGACCTTGTTGATTTTGCCCTCCTCCTCACCCTTCCCCTTCCCCTTCCAGATCAATCAAGTTATATCAATCCATCCATCAGACTGTAATTCAGATCTGTCCCTTATTCCCCTGCTCTGGCGTGCCCCCCATCCCTTACACCCATGTTCTCCACATGATCTTGGAGGGTGAAGGAATCCTAGCTGCGCCCTCTCTGAAAAAATCTTATCCTTAGTATTTAATTTAAATCAGAATTCAAATTCAAGTTAAATTCTCTCTTTAGGAAGTGATATTGATAAAGTTGAGAATATTGCCATCCCCCAACACCATGGCCTTAATCTTCCAGCATCACCTCTGGCTCTCCCATATCTCTTAGGCAGGTTCACTTTCCAAACACCCCTTCCTCAGCACTGCTCCCTCTGAAGCTTCAAGGCTTCCCTTGTTCTACAGGATGCAATGCAGCTGGATCTCGATACCTCTCTGCAGCCTGGCCCACTGCCTCCTCTGCTTACTTCCTCTCTCCTCCCAGGCAAGGCCTCTTCTCTCCTAGCATGCTCTCTGGCCCTGCACATCTGTGCTTCTTTCTGCCTGCGAGCATTTGTTCACAGCACCCCTCTGCATGGTCTTGCTCCTTCTGACGGACTCACCATGCCTAGAGCCCAGCTTAATCTCTTTCCTCTTACATGAAGCATCTCTCGGCTGTTTTGAACTCAGTATATGACCTTTTTTTCCTTTGACATCATTGATTCATTCTTTCAGTCACTTATTGATTAATTGGTTTGTTCACAGTGTAGTGATTAAAAACATTAGCTGGGCACGGTGTCTTACGCCTACAATCCCAACAATTTGGGAGACTGAGGCGGATCTCTTGAGGCCGGAATTTGAAACCAGCCTGGGCAACACAGTGAGACCTGGTCTTTATAAAAAAATAATTTTTTAAAATTAGCTGAGCTTGGTGGTGCACACCTGTAGTCCTAGCCACTTGGGAGGTTGAAGTGGGAGGATCACTTGAGCCCAGGAGTTCAAGACTTGGAGTGAGCTATCTGTATTCCAGCCTGGGCAACAGAGTAAGATGCTGTCTCTAAAAATCAAAATCAAAATAAAACATGGACACTGGGTTTCTGGTTATCTACTCCTGCATAATAAGCCACCCTAAGACAGTGACTTAAAATAACAGGCATTTATGTATTTGCTCACAAATTGGATTGACCGGGCTCAGCTGTGCAGTTCTCACTGGGGCTCTCATGCAGTTGTAGTCAGATGGTGGCAGCTGATGGGTGTTTTCATGCTTGTGAAAACACTCGAAGGTGTTTTCATGCTTGTGTCTGGTGCCTGGGCTGAAGACCCCAAAGCTGGGGCTCCTCAGGCATCCTGGCATCATCCCCCTTGCTCTCTCTCACTGGTTTCCTCCTTTCCTCCTTTTCCACTCTCTGGCTCCCCTCTCTCTGATCCCCTCTAGCCCTCCTTTTTTTTGTCTTTGCCCCCACCCCACCCCAGATGCTTTTCCCCATTGGTCCTCCCCTCTCTGGTTTCTCTGTGATCTCCATGGCAACTGAAGAGAAACCAGCAGATGGAAGTTTGCAGCCATCATCATTCCTGTTGAATTCTGTTCATTGAATTGATTACCAAGTCTCACCTAGGTTCAAGGGGAGGGGAACTAAACCTCATCTCTTGCTAGGAGAAGTGTTAAAAAATTTGCAGAGATGTTTGAAAACCACCACTCTGAGGCAATACTACCTTGGGAAGTCCAAACCTCAGCTCTGTCTCTCACTGTGTGGCCTCAGGCATGTTCTTGAGCCTCTCTGTTCCTTAATTGCCTCATAAAGTGGGGATAATTATAGCACCTGTTCAGAGGGGAGTTCTAAGAATTAAGTGAGTAATCTGTGTGATGTCTCTAGCACAGTACATGGCATATAGGAAGTGCTCAGTAAACAATATTTTTATTTATTAAGAATGTTCTGCATAACACAGGGCAGTGACTAAGCACAGGGCTCTGGAGGTAGACCACTGGGGATCAGCTCATGGCTGTGCCTCCCTCTAGCTGGGGACTCAGTCACCTTCTAATCCTCAAGTCCTCACCTGTGGAATGGGGGTGATATCAGCACCCACCTTAGCCAGCCGTTGTGAGGATGGACTCAGATGTCCCTCTGGAAGCATTTAGCGCAGCCTGGCCAGCGCAGCCAGTGTGTGCGAGGCGGCGATGGAGGTGGGGGTGCATGCAGCACTGCAAAGGCTCCAGACGCAGACATGACAAAGACACGGGCCCTGTTCCTGAGGAGCCAGTGGGCCTGTGCCTTCTCGACACAGCTCCTGGCTCTGAGGGTCTCTCTCAGGGCAAAGACTTGTACTGCTTCTTAGGTTTCTGCCTGGTTGCTTCCCCAGCTGGACTGTCTCCAATGTGATGCCTTCTGAAGAACTTTCTAGGGTCGTTCTGTCACACAACTTTCACCTTGCTGGCTACTTTAGCACCCAAGTGTGCTGCATTTGGGGTGCCCAGATTGTGAGCAGAGACCCTCGTGCCCCCTTGGCTCTCCTGGTGCTTTATTCTGTGGCCTCTTCCCTAGAGGAGGTTTGACCCCTGGACTACAAGTCACAGGATCCTGGTCAGCAGGGCCCCGGTTGCCGCGCCTCTGGTCCCACCAAGGCTCACGGAGCCGACTCAGAGCAAGGGCACTGGCTCACTTTGGGGCAGCAGCCTCCTTTTTGAGCTGCTTCTTGGACTCCCTGGCTCTGCCTCTCGTCTTCCCCACACTGGGTGAGGTTAGTGCTTCATTGCTACATTTTAGGAGAAATGGGATGGGGTACAGGAGCTGGAGAGAAGCTGGTCTTCTGGGGCTCCCTCGGGCTTCTTCCCAGGGGCTTCTACCCTTGAAGGAGGGGACACCTCTGACCCTTCCCCAGCTTCCCTCTGGAACACAAGCCGCAACCTGACACCATGACACGCTCCTACTTGCTCCTTCCATTAAAATTAAACTTCCCTCCCTGCCCTGTGTCCCACACAGCCCCTCCTCTGCAGCCACCCACCCTCGTGGCAGTCTCATTCCTTTGCCTGGTACTTAAGGACCCCATCTGTGTGGAGGTGACCATCGAGGTCACCATGCTCCTGAAGGACTGGGCCGCTGGGCAGTGGGGCAGGGCTGGGTCCCATTAGACAGGTCTGTCATAGTTTTTTTTTTTCATTTTGTTTTCTGCTTTGAGGTATAATTAACAAGTAAAAATTGTATATATTTAAGGTATACAACTTGATGCCTTGATATGCATATGTATTATAAAATCACCACAAACAAGCTTATAAATGTATCACCTCACATAGTTACCATTTTCTTTTGTGATGAGAATGCTTAAGGTCTACCCTCTTAGCAAATCCCAACTACTCAATACAGTGTTGTTAGTTATAGTCACATTGCTGTACATTCGATCACCAGAACGTACTCACCTTGCGTAACTGAAACTTGTACACTTTAATCAGTATTTCCTCATTTTCTTCATCCTCCAGTCCCTGGCAACCACTATTCTACTCTCTGCTTCTGTGAATTTGACTATTTTAGATTCCACGTCTAACTGTGATCATACAATATTTAGACAGGTCAAATTTAAGAAATTGGCCAGATATTCCCTGGAGATCTCTTGTAGGCATTGAAAAACATTTAGGCCATAGGATTCGGGTCAGAGATAGGCCCAGGAGGAAGACTGTCATTGGCTTTAGGGTGAGAGTTTGTTTGTTGTTGGGGGTGCGGGCGGGGAGCTGAGTATCTGCAGAGAAGAGAAAGGGCCCAAGGCCCTTGGGAGGGAGAGGAGGAGTCGGGCGAGAGCTGTGTCACAGAGACCCCAGAGGGAGGGAGTTTCAAGCAGGGCACCCCATGGAGAGAGGTCAAAGAGGCCGAGGCCTAGGAAAAGTCTTGCCACTCAGCAAGGACATTGGGGAAGGAGGGGGCGCGCCAGTGGGAGATACCCATAGCTGGTCCAGATGGGATGGTGGAAGTCTGACAGCAAAAAGGAAGCGGCCACCAGGACATGGCAAGTTGTAGTCTCACTCCTGAATGTCTCCTTCAAGGTCGGTAATCCAGGGGTTCTCAACTTGAGTGTGGATCAGCATCACCCACCAGGCTACCTTAAACCCAGACCCCTGAACACATCCCTACAGTGTCTGATTCATCAGGCCTGGGGAGGAGCGGCCGAAGAATTTGCATCTCTAAGTGCCCGGGTGATGGTGATGCTGCTCTGGAGGGAGGAGCCACAGATCGAGTGCAGCCTCACCCACTCCCCACCCGCAATCGCATGCTCACACGTGGTGCTCATCACCTGTTTAGGAGCCGGCCCTCACCATGAGAAAAATCAGGCCTATTTCTAAACTGAAACGTTCGATTACCCCCACCAAGGGAAAAAGAGTCATTGCCAACAGTTCAAATTAACTCAAACTTTGCAAGAAGCCCTTGAGGAAAGGAACATGCAGCAAATGCAAAGTCAAGCCATATAACCCCCAGTAACAACAATTCCCTTGCGCCAGCAATGCCAGGGTAGCTGGGCCCAGTCTGGCCACTCCTTGGCTATCCCATGGGGAGAAGCCCAGGTGCTGCTGGGGACTGGATGTTTTCCAACCTCACAGAGGCAGGGCAGAAGGCACCTCCTTCCTCAGGGATGAAGAATGTCTGAAATGTTTCCCCACACAATTAAGCTTAGAGTCAGTGGAAAAGGGCAAGGCTGCCCACAGGCAAACTCGTTTTCACAGAGGAGAGGGATACGGGGCTGTGTGCCTGGGGAGTCGGCTGTGGACAGGGAATTTTGAATGTTACGCTGAGGTAGTCCATCAACATATTCTTTATAGTTTATGCAGGGGTAAACTGTTCCGGCCCTGTTCTAGCACACTCCCTAGTCCACCTCAGACACTCTACTAAAAAATTTTTGAGAGGTAAAACATTGTATTACTTTCCTCTAAGTTTTATAACAAATTATCACAAATGCGGAGACAACACAACACAGATGTATTATCTTACAGTTCTGTGGTTCAGAAGTCCGGAATGGGTCTCGCTGGGTTAGAAGCAAGGCGTCAGCAGGGCCATGTTCCTTTCTGGAGGTTCTAGGCAGCATCCATTCTCTTGCACTTCCTGGGTTCTAGAGGCCGTCCACATTCTGTGGCTCCTGGCTCCCTTTCTTTGTGGTCAAAGCCAGCCAACAGCGGGCTAAGTTGCTTAAACATGGCATCACTCTGACCTTCTCTTCTGCCTCTCTCTTCCACATTTAAGGATTCTTGTGATTACATTGGGCCCACCTGGGTACTTCAGGCTACTCTCCCCATTGTAAGGTCAGCTGATTCGCTACCTTAATTATCTGCACATGTTCTTAGTTCTCCTTTGCCATCCAACCACACACATCCCCAGGTTCTGGAGGTGAGGATGTATAAATCTCTGGGGCATTATTCTGCCTACTACCGACATATATATGTAAGGTGCACAAGTCTTAAGTGTATAGCTTGAATTTTTACATATGTAAACAGTTACCCTTGAAAACACTATGCAGATCGAGATACAGAACTTTCCAGCTCCCAGAAGGCTCCCTCACACCCCCTCCCAAGGTACCCTTGGTACTTCCCAAGGGTAACCATTTTTCTGACCTCTGTCTCCATGGACTAGTTTTGCTTACTCTTGAACTGCATGTAAATGAAATCATACAGCATGTGACCCTCTCTCTTGAAACAACCCCAACCATCTTTGGAGTGGTGGGACCATCGGAGAGTTTGCATCATTTTGAGGGCCAATCTGTCTCTCTGAGGCTCCTACGTATACCACCTTAAGAGCTGTAATTATGGTGCTACTCAGAAGAAGTCTCTCTTCCACATGACTATCCTTCAAATAGTTGAAGACTGTTTTCCGAAAGTTTTTAATTTTTACAAGATCAATAATCCATGCCCTTCAATAGACTCTAATATAGTGTGATCGTGAACGTGCCCACCCCGTACACTTCTCCCTGAGCCTGTGCTATTCACAGGGAGCTCTTGGTTCCAAACGCTGTCCCTCCTGGATGTACTTGGCTCATGCAGAGCCAGGGGAATTATCCCTTCTGTTTTTCTAGATGCCTATAAAAATCTTTTTCATGTCCTTCCAAAGCTATTTTATGCATATGAAATATGCATATATATCCTCCCCACCCCACTTTCTAGACGATTGTGCTATACATACTCTTGTATGGCTATATATACTCTCGTTGTTATTGTACTATACATACTCTTCTGTACATTGGTTTTTTTTACTTAGCACTATATCTTGGGAATCTATCAGCTCATATACAACTTCTTCATATTTTTAATGGTTTATTATTCCACTGTATGGATCTATCATACTTTATTTGCCAACTGTCTTATTGAAGGATATTTAAATTGTTTCCACTATTTTGCTATCACAAGTCATATGTATATATGTCATTTTTAAAATTTTGTACATCTCTAATTTTGAAAATCATAGGATTCTCTAAATAGATATGGAAAAAACTCTTGATAAAGAACACCTATTGATGACAAGAATCCTTGGCAAACTCTCCTTACAACAAGCAAAAAAAAAAATTAAAATCCAATAGAAAAATGTGCAAAGAACAGAAACGGGCAATTCACAGAAGACGAAATCCTGGACCAGAAACATAGAAATGATCAGACTCATTGGTAATTAGAGAAATAAAAATGAAAACACTGAGAAAGAACTTTATACCTATCAGATAAGTGAGCCTTAGAAAGCTGAATCATGAAAGTCTCTGGGCTTTGAGGAGTCAGTCCTCAGCTAGTGAGTGTGACCACGTGTGCAGCACACAGGATGGAGTCGGCACCGTAGTCACCAGTTCCACGTGTCTGCCCGAAGTCAAGAACACGGAGCTGCACAGTATCGTGGGAATGGGAGGACTCTGGGAGGGGCTGGGGAAGTGAGGATCTGGAAGGGGGAGACTGGTGAGCAGACAGCTGCCACTCTCCACTTCGGTCTGAAGCCTGTTGAGCTGGGCAGGTTGACCTTGTGGGAAGCCCCACTTCGGGCTGCCTCTGTGGGCCTGGTGGTGGGCTTGGGCTGCTGTTGGATAGAAGGCCTTTCCAGGATCCCATCCCAGTTTACCTTGCCACACTTTCTCCCAAACAACAAACTTTTCCATGCCCTATGCTACTCCTATATATTTTGCTTCCGACTCCACAAACAGTCGCATCTTCATGTCATTTCATGGTGACAAAGATAATGGTGGATATTGAAGCAATGTGTCTTCATCATCAGAAACCTCTAGTCCAAATCACCCTGGGCTCTCATAGCAAGAGCCATGTCAACTTAGTCCATTGGGTTTTTTCACTGTGAAGATAAAACACCACTTCTGCCATCAAGGCAGAATTGTGAGATGGAATGCCTGGATACCTGAAGAGGAATTCCTAATGAACAGGAAGAGGACATGGCAAGCCCAACCCCTGGGGAGCTGTAGGGGAAGAAGACAGATGGGTAGACATAGAGGTCAAATGCACGTGTCCTTGCTTCCTTCTGGAGAGCAAGATCAGTATGTGAGGGAGCCCAAGATCTCTGTGGGTGTGGTGGAGGAGGGGGGCTGGTGGCTCGCTGGCTGGGCCTAGCATGGGAGGTTGCATGTGTGTGTGAGAGAGTGTGTATATATGTGCGAATGTGTGTGCACGTATGCAAGCGTTTGCTGCTACATTGAGTATGAGGAAGGAGTAGTGATGCAGTCGTGATGGAGGGAGGTGGCTGGACGGATGAGTTGAAGCTGAGTGACTGCCCCCACCAGGTCAGAGAGGGGCATGACAGCCTTCTGAAGTCCATGAGTGCTCAGTGTGCAGTAAGCAGACGCGGGTGCTGAGATGGACAGCAGACCAACATAGGCTCCGGTCTGGACCCAGAGGCCCTAGCGTGAGAGGATTTCCCTGCTGGAGGCCAGAGGACCATGGATTTGCCAAAAGACAGATGAGATCCTTTGGACCTCAGCAGACACCAGTCCAGAGAAGCGCTTAGTGGCAGAGACCAGCCAGCAAGCAAGGATTCAAGGGCCCCCTTTTGCCTCTGTGCCACAGGTCATCTACGGTGGGAGGAAATCTGAAACACTTTAAAACCTGGACTACACGGAGCTGCTGTTCATTACAACTTTTCCACACTTAACAGACATCTTAACAGACATAAGGGCTTGTGAGATGGATCAAAGAAACTGCCTTTAAAAAAAAACGTGCACATCTGAGAAGTGTGGGGGAATGATCTACTTGCCACACTACACTTATGCTCATCACACAACCTGAAGTGCCCTTCTTCCTCCCGCTACCTGTTAGAAGTAACTAGTGCTTCAAAGTCCAACCCAAATGCAGCCCGTTGGTGATGCTTTCTCCAGTGCCTGTGGCCTAAATTCAGCAAAAGCTGTCTCTTGTGTGAAATGTTCTCCAATGCCTTTCGTTGGACTTCACTGATCCTTCCTCTGGATCATATTATGAATGCTTCTTTTTCACTTCTGTGATGTGTCCTGAAACAGAGTCAGTTGCTCCTCTCCACGGATTTTAAGCTCCTGGAGGAAGGAACTGCGGCCTATGCATCTCCATATTGCGAATTGCAGTCTGCTCAGGGCTTGGTCTGGTGGACACAGTCAGGACAGGTATGAACCACTCAGTCAGTGCAGGCACAGGGACCCTAGGAAGCACTGACACATGGAAGGTCTTATTCAAATTCATCTCTGATGTGGATCTATTTCTTTAAATATCGTGACCCTTAAAATATCAAATTCAGAGAAACAGTGAAAAATCGTTATTACTTATTTTTGCTTCAATTCATTTCACAAGTTTGACAAAATTTCATCCTAAGGCGAAGCCTTGTGAGAGAGCCTGAAGAATTCACTGAGCACAGCATTTCCTTGGGAAAATCCTTGCTGTGTTCTTGTTTCAGTGTAATGTGGCAAGTTCTCCTTGACTGATAATCCAGAACTTCAGAAATAGTTTTTTAAAAATCTCCATAATAACTGGGAGCACACATTGCTGACAATGACCAACTTTTCTTCAAGTGTGGCTCACAGATTTTTCTGCTGCTGGCTTCCACCTTTTATTCCATGGCACAGGTTGGAATGCTCTATTTCCGCCCACTCTGCTGGAGCTGAGCAAAACCGCATTCACCCATGACAGCAGCGTTGGAGCCCAGGGCCAGGAGACAGTTCAGGACCCTTGTTAGGGCCTGTGGAGTCTAGGGGCAGCGGGCAGTAAGCTGGCATGGCAGGCAACCCATCTTGGGTGCCTGTGATCCCCTCAGGAAATCAGATTTGCAGAGTGTGACCCTCAGTGACATAGACACCAGTGCTAAGAGGTTGGCAGAGTCATTCCTTCCTCCAGTGTGTATTCAGCCCCCTTCAGACCAGACTGTCTGCTCTGTGAGTGCTGAGGGAAGTATGGGAGTAAGAGCCTCAGGCTCTGTCCTCTAGGTAAGTGAGTTAGGCCATAATAATAATGACAATGTTGATGTAACTATGTGTGTGTATGTGTATATGTATATGTATGTATATATATATATATATATATATATATATATATATATATATATTTGTTTTTAGACTAAGTCTCTGTCATTCAGGCTGGAATATAGTGGCACGATCTTGGCTCACTGCAACCTCCACTTCCCGGGTTCAAGCGATTCTCCTACCTCAGCCTCCAAGTAGCTGAGATTACAGGCATGAGCCCCCACACCTGGCTAATTCTTGTATTTTTAGTAGAGATGGGATTTTGCCATGTTGGCCAGGCTAGTCTCTAACTCTTGGCTTCAGGTGCCCCACCTGCCTCAGCCTCCCAAAGTGCTGGGATTACAGGCGTGAGCCACCACAGCCAGACAGTGTAACTATTTATGGAGAACATCTTATATGTCAAACCTTTCCATGGGCTTTACATGGATGAGCACATTTAATCCTAATGATAGCCTGATAAGCATATGAAGTTGGTACAATTATTATACCTATTTTAGAGATGAGGAAACTGAGGGAAAGAGAAATTATGTATGTACAAAGTCACACTACTAAGAAATGATAGTGACAAAATTCAGATACAGGCAGTGTATCAGTGGGGTTTTTTTTTTTTTTAACTTTTTTTGTAGCTGGCATAGTGGCTCACACCTGTAATCCCAGTGTTTTGGGAGCCTGAGGAGGGAGGATCCCTTAAGGCCAGGAGTTCCAGGTTATAGTGAGCTATGATCTTGCCACTGCACTCCTACCTGGGTGACAGAACAAGACCCTATCTCTAAAAATAAACCAAAAAAAAGTTTTTTGAATCACAGTCCTTTGAAAGTCTGTTTCCCAGAATAGTAATTAAAAATATCTGCCTCTCTCTGTCTCTGTCACACACACACCAGAGTGAGCACACACCCGCATGCATGCACACACACACACACGCATGCACACTTTTTTTATATGCAGTTTCAGGGTGTTCACAGAATCCCTTCACCGGTCTTCAGGGACTCCATGGACACAGGGCTCCCCGCTGCCTGCCTCACACAGACAATCTCAACACGAGGATGATGGTGGATAACAGAGCACAAACACAAGCAAACTGTCAGGAGCAGCTGTGGGTGGCATGAAGGACCAGAGAGGGGATGCAGGGCCAGGCCGGGGATCTGAGGGACAGAGAGACGGCTCCACCCTGCTCGGGAGCTGGCTTCGTCTTGCAGCCCATGCACAGGGCATGGCGGTTTCTCGGGCTTATCATCCACTTCTTGGTATTGGTCATTCTTGGTACTGGCCCATACTGTGAGCCACAGCAAACAGAGGCCCCTCAACCACTGGAGAGCTGGCTGGGGAAGCCAGGAGTAGGAAATTCAGGGGCCCGCTTCCTGAGTCCAGGTTGGTGAATGACCCACCTGTGGGACCACAAAGCCATCAACACCTCCCGTCCTCCTCTTCCTCCCACACCTCAGTGGAACTTTGTGCCATTTGACCTTAGATCTTGGTCTCTATTGATATGCCAACCTCCCCGCCCCACACTAGTGTGGGTGAGTGGGAGTTGGGGGTTCTGGTGTTTTCTTGAGTGCAGATTTTGGAGGCTGACAAAGCAGAAAGACAGTTGCTCTCCCTGAAAGTTGATGAAGGAAGCAGGTGAGTGTTACACTAGGAAAAGAATGGGACACTGTGGGGACCCCACAACCTTACCCAGGGGCTCAGGAAAAGCCCCCTAGAAGAAAGGTAGAGTTTAAGTTGAGACCCTAGTCGGTTTGCCTAGATGTGAGACTCAAGCCCCTCAGCCTCACCTTCTCAGACAAGCTTTTAAGTCACTGTTTCCAAATACTGGTTTCTCAAATATTAATAGGTGTTATTTTTCTTTACTATTTTTAAAACTTTGAGCTATAACACACATTGAGAAAAGGACGCTAAACAAGTGTACAGTGAAATAGCTTAAAATAAACACCCAGGTGAACCATCATTCAGATCAAGAAAAATAATATTTCTATTCCCCAGAAACCCATCACCTATCCATATGCCATTCCAGTCAGGTACCTTTTGGCCATTACTTCCTTCACTTTTTATTCTTTCATCTCCAACATACATAATCTTCAACCCCATAATTTAGCTTTGTATGTTTTGGAATTGTATATAAATGAAAGCATACCGTACATATTCATCCATAAGATGAAAATCTCTTATGTTATTGCATGTAACTATGAAATTCCATTGTATGAATACACCACAATGTATCCTATACTAGAGACAGACATTTGGGAGATTTCCAGCTTTTAGCTATAACAAAGAATGCTTTGTGAATATTTTTGTGTATGTCTTCTGGTGCACATTCACATACATTTCTCGAAGTAGAGTCCCTGGGTCATGGGGTGTACATAGCTTCCATTTTGCTAGGTAATGCATTGAAAGGTAGTGGTACCAATTTGCAGCCCCCACCCCCCCCCACCCCCGCCCACCACTGGCAAGGTATGAGAGTTCCTGTTGCCCCATATCCTTGCCAACACCTGGGATAGTCACCCATTCATTTGAGCCACTTTTGTTAGTATATAGTAAGAATATCTTATTGTGGTTTTAATGGAGCTATTAATGAGGTTGAGCACCTTTCCAGATGTTTATCATTTTTGTTGTTGTGGTAGTAGTAATTATTTTCTTTTCTTTTTTTTTTAGATTTTAGATTCAGGTACATGTGTGTTTTTGTTAAATACATGTGTAATGGTGGGCATTGGGCTTCTAGTGTACCCATCACACAAATATGTTTATTGTTAATTTCCTCTTTTGTGAAATGCCTATTCAAATCTCTTGCTTGTTTTTGTATTGGGTTATTTGACTTGTTCTTAATGGAACTCTTAGGAGTTATTTATATATTCTGTATACTAGCTCTTTGTCAGTTATTTGTATTACATAGTTATTCTCATGCTGCTATAAATAACTGCCTGAGACTGGGTAATTTATAAAGGAAAGAGGTTTAATTGACTCACAGTTCAGCACGGCTTGGGAAGCCTCAGGAAACTTACAGTCAGGGCAGAAGGTGAAGGAGAAGCAAGGCACCTTCTTCACAAGGCAGCAGGACGGAGAAGTGCTGAGCAAAGTGGGGAAGAGCCCCTTATAAAACCATCAGATCTTGAGAGAACTCACTTACTATCACGAGAACAGCATGGGGAAAACCACCCCCCATGATTCAGTTACCTCCACCTGGTCTGACAAGTGGGGATGATGGGGATAATGAGGATTACAATTAAAGATGAGATTTAGGTGGGGACAGAAAGCCTAATCATGTCAAATAGTGAATATTCCAATACATGAACATGATATATTTCTCCATTTATTTAGGTCTGCTTTAATTTCTCTCAATAATGTTTCATAGTTTTCTACATGGAGGACTTCAGATAGTTTCATAGACCTATTTCTATGTACTTATTTCTAGGTACTTTTGATGATTTCATAAATGATACTTTAAAAAAATCATTTTTTAAAACTCTGCTGGTATAGAGAAATGTAATTGATTTTTATATACTGACTCTATATTTAACAATATTGTTAAACTCTTTTATCAGTCTAATAGTTTATCTACGATTTTTAAATTTTATGTACTCAATCATACAACATGCAAATAATGTCATAACTTTCCAACGGTCATAACTTTTTTTTTCTTTTCCTATTGCACTGGCTAAAACCTTTAGGACAATGGTAGTGGCATCAATGGCATTCTTGTCTTATTTACAATTTCCAAGGAAATCTTACAACGGTTTACTATTAAAGATGGTATTTGATGTAGATTTTTTGGTAGCTCTCCTTCATCACATTGAGAAAATTCCCTTCTATTCATTTTTTAAAAAATCATAAATAGGTACTGATTTTAACAAACGCTTTTCTGCAATTATTGAGGTAAAGAATTTTCTTTTGTAGTCTGTTAATGTGGAAATTTATATTGATTCTAAGTTTTATAGTTTTCCAGTTTTATGCAGAAACTCTCAATCTTAATGTTTAAAAATCTATTTGCACATAGTAAACTTCGATATTTTAAAGTCTATCTTATTTCAGTATCCAAAGACCCCTATGGATCTGTTTATATTCTTTATTTTCCTGCTGGTTATTGTGTATGCCTTATTTTCTGATGTGCCTGCTTATTTTTGCTTATGAACTTATTTATATAATAATATAAATAATAATTTATAATGTATATAATATAAATAATGATTTATAATGTATATAATATAAATAATGATTTATAATTTATATTTATATTTTATATTATAATTTATATTTATAATATTTTAATAGAAAAAATTAGAGACCAAGGATGATGTTATCTTCCTCCAGAGGGGATTTATGTTTATTTCTGCCAGGTGCCTGGTGGCATTAACACCCGAGGTTGCTTGAGGGGACTACCACTCCGGAGAGCTTTAATCCGTGTTCGGTGACTGACATAATTTAAGCTGCGAACCCTACAAAGGTTTATCTACTCTGGTCCACCTTCATTTCTAGAATGCAGTCTTTGGGATGTACAATATATGAAGTACGAAGCTCCACTAAATGAGCACTTGGGCCCTAATCCTGTCCCACAGCCCCTTGAAGTCATCAAAAGCATCTCTCTGCCTCTCAATTCCCCTCCTGAATTGGCAAATGCCCCTAAGAGAAGTAGATCCAAATACCGGGCCATCCCCTTGGGACTCTGCTTCACCTAGACCCCCAATCCTGGCCTGTTTTGTTAACTTTGATGCCTCCAAAAGTAAGTTTTTCTTCTGGCACATTGGTTCACACCTGTAATCTCAGCACTTTGGGAGGCTGAGGCGGGCGGATCACTTGAGGCCAGGAGTTTCAGACCAGCCTGGCCAAGATGGTGAAACTCCATCTCTACTAAAACTACAAGAATTAGCCAGGTGTGGTGGTGCACACCTGTAATCCCAGCTACTTGGGAGGCTGAGGCATGAGAATCGCTTGAACCCGGGAGGTAGAGGTTGCAGTGAGCCGAGATCATGCCACTGCACTCCAGCCTGGGTGACAGAGCGAGACTTTGTCTTAAAAACAGAAAAAAAAGTAAATTTTTCTATTTTTGTCCAATTTTTAAATTTTCAATAGAAATGTTAGTGTGAATTACTTAGCTTGCTATTACTGGAATTCCTTGATTGATTTTCTAGTGTTAAAACCAGTTTTGCATTCCTGGAGTGAACCTGATTTGGACATGATTTATTATCTTTTTCAGTGTTTTGCTGGATGTGATAAATCCCTAAAGTGTGCTTTCCAGGACCATGAGAAGAAAAATTAAAGCGGAAAGTTAGGAACCAAGAAGAGCCCTTGGCTAAGCATGTATTTCCCTTATGCTGCCTTGAATTTGTCACCTAACTGGCTACACTGCCTGAAATCTCACCAGAGAAGAGAAATCCCAAAGAGAAGTCTCTTTGCGTTACCAGATCCCTCATTATTTTTTTAAAAATTATTTATTTACAGACAGGGTCTCACTCTATTGCCCATGCTGGAGTGCAGTGGCGCACGCTCACAGCTTACTGAAGCCTGGACCTCCCTGGCTCAAGCAATTCTCCACCTCAGTCTCCTGAGCAGCTGGGACTACAGGTGCATGCCACCATGCCCAACTAATTTTTGTATTTTCTGTAGAGACAGGGTTTCGCCGTGTTATTGAGGCTGGTCTTGAACTCCTAGGTTCAGATGATCCACCCACCTTGGCTTCCCAAAGTGTTGGGATTACTGATGTGAGCCACTTCACCCAGCCCAGCCCCTCTCTTAAAGCAGAAAACCCTACAGCAGTGTTAAGGGGCCAAGCCTCATTAGTTTAATGAGACTACTTTCCTTCTAAATAGGACTTGTTAGGACTTAGCCCCACTCAAAACATAAAATTGTTCATGGAAGAAGAAGAAAGACCAGTAATTTGCAAGAATTTCTCCCAAATCTAGGTTGGGAAGGGCCACAAAGTGGAGATCTTGAGAGCCAGGCAGTGGGGCAGGTCAAAGGCAGCGCTCAGACCAAGGAGGGCAGGGCCTTTGGTCTCTGTTGAAACTTGAGGTGCGAGTTTCCCTGAATGTGGCTTTGGGACCTCCTGAATAGAAAGATTGTTTTCCTCCAACAACCTGGGGCATCTGAGGCCTTGACCTGCACTCCGCATGGGCAATACCTCCAGAGCACTGATGCCTCCCTTGCAGTTTTTATCAAATTTCTCCTTAAAAGGGCACTGGAGCTCTGAAGAGCAAGCCAGGCCCTGAGAACAGACAGACACAGTAACTAACACCAAGCCAGCTGACATTTTATCTGGAAAATGCCTGAGCCAAAACTAGCTCCTGGTCAAACACTGTGCATGTTATCTGAAAACCAGGCCACTAGAACATGAATCCAAGAGGGCCATCGCTGTATTGTTTCTTCCCTGCGGCTCTTGGGACTGCTGTATCCAGCAGGTCACCTGGCACTTTAGAGAAAGTAGGCACAGGAGAGATGGGGAACAGGGAGAGTACAGTACATCTTCCACAGGAGGCTGTGCTACCCCAGAATTTAAAGTGCCACTCTGGGCCATTTTAACACCTCAGACTAATGAAGGGTCCCCAGGATGAGGGAATGAATGGTGTTGGGAGCCTCTAGCAGGGAGCGGGATCTAGGTACTAGGAGACAGCTCTGGCCAGGCTGCCCACACACCCTCCTTCAGGTTGCAAGGCCCTCAGGGGAGAAAGATAGGTTAATTGGTAAGCCCTGAGGAG
Organism: Homo sapiens; assembly: GCF_000001405.40. Classification (NCBI taxonomy): domain Eukaryota; kingdom Metazoa; phylum Chordata; class Mammalia; order Primates; family Hominidae; genus Homo; species Homo sapiens. The sequence goes on along the minus strand of NC_000006.12, from coordinate 89,273,611 downwards.
GGGCCTCCTCCCACAGGGACCATCCCATTTCTGGCACCCTCAAAGCACTTCTGGAGCCTGGAATAAAAAGAGAATGCAGGCCGGTGCGGTGGCTCATGCCTCTAATCCCAGCACTTTGGGAGGCCGAGGCGGGCGGATCACTTTTGGTCAGGAGTTTGAGACCAGCCTGACCAACATGGTGAAACCCTGGCCTCTACTAAAAATACAAAAAATTAGCCAGGTGTGGTGGCAGGCGCCTGTAATTCCAGCCACTCAGGAGGCTGAAGCAGGAGAATTGCTTAAACCTGGGAGGCAGAGGTTGCAGTGAGCCAAGATTGTGCCACTGTACTCCAGCCTGGGCAACAGAGCGAGACTCTGTCTCAAAAGAAGAGAATACGGACGACTGTCAGAGCAAAGATTTCTCATGGGCCCTGATCTTAGCTATCATCTGAGGAACACAGAAAAATAGAACGTTCAACTTATACCCTGATTTATCTGAGAGGGAAAAATTAAAGCATTGTACTTATTTTCTTTCACGTTTAAGAACACAGAAAATAGTCACCCAACCTCACCAGTAATGAATAAAATACTTCCATTCTATCAGGCTCAGCCAAAACAGGAAATCTTTAACGGTGGGATTTCAAGTGTTTGCAAGCCTATGGGGAGCCGTGGGGGAGTCAGCGAGGCCATCTCCCACCCGGGACTACTTCCAAGAGGACCTCTACCCTGCATTTGGGCGGGAGCTGAGGACTGGGCTTTCTAGTTCCTACGTACGCAGTGTGGGAATCTCTGGTCCTCCTTCCCCGCCCATGGCCAAAGTCTCAGCCCTTCCAGTTCTGCTCATTCCTCAGGACTCAGACTCACCAAGTCCCCCCAAGGTTCTCCCCGCTCAGACCACAGTGGGTCACAACGTCCTGATCCTGTGTTCCCTGGTCAGGGCTCAGAGGACCCACGTGCAGCTAGGCTGGCCTCTGGACAATGCCCTCTCCCGCTGAGGCCCAGCCCAGCTGCACCTGACTTGCAGTGTAATGGCATTCATTAACACGCCTGATAGATGCAGGTTGCTGGTTTTTCCCTTTCTAAGTTTAAAAAAAATTAAAATCCAAAAAACATTTTACTAAAGCATAACATACACCCAGAAAAGTGCACCCATTGTAAGTGTACCACTCACTACATTCTCCTAAAGTGAACTTATCTACGTAACCATCACCCAGCTCAAGGAAAAGGACAGGACCCCACAGACAAACTCAGTTTTAGAAATCTTGCCGTAGGCCAGATGAAGTTCAGTGCTAGTTTCCGTGCTGGGTTTTCTCATACTTCTAATCTGACATGGCCTGACAAGGTTTCATTGTCCTTTGCTGTGATGTGACATCGCACAGAGAAGATCTTGTCTCACCCTGGGTTGAAGGCCTCTAGAGGGCTGGACCCCAGCTATATGTCAGGGTCTCTGTAGGTATAGCCTGAATGACTGAATGAATTCAGACCAGGGCATGCAGGTGCCCAGCCCAGAGCTGGATGCTTTTAGGCCTCATTCTCTTTTTCAGATGTCACAGGAGGCCCAATGACCAGGGTCTCCAGTCAGGCACTACAGCCACATTATTACCTCTACCCTACAGAGACAGCCCTGGGATGTAAAAAGTGGTGATCAGCTCATTGATTCATCCAATAAGCATGGATTACACATTCAGCCTGGCCCAGGGATGGCACATAAGGCAGGCACAGTCCCTGACGTTGTGGAGAGAGCTCAGACACCCAACAGGTCAGGAACCAGCAAGAAACCCTCATAGAATTCTAAACCTCTGCCCTACTCTGCTCCAGTCCTGGCTCCCCGGGGGAAGCCAACTGGGGCTGTTCCCAGCCCAAAGGTAGAGAGGAAGGTGCCTTAACCAGCTGTCTCTGCTCTTCTGCAGGCCCTGCCATCCCGGTGGGCGTGGACGTACAGGTGGAGAGCCTGGACAGCATCTCCGAGGTGGACATGGTATGCAGCGGCCTCCAGTGACACAGCGTGAGAGCCTGTAGTGTAGTGGGCCTCGGTGGTGCAGGCTGTGCCTGTGTGGGCAGAGCGGGAGCTGGAGGTGATAAAATGGGCGCTTGGAAGTCGGCCCTGGAGCAGTAAAATCTAAAGCGGGCATTCTCGCTGCGTGGGTAAAAATAACCTAAGGAGTTGGTTAAATGTGGGTTTCTGGGCCCCATTTCACACTTCCTGATTCAGAATCTCTGGGAGTGATACTTTGCATTTTCAACACACTCCACAAATAATGCAAGTGATCAGGCGAACCACACCTGGTGGGGTACTGGAGGTGGACAGTTTCAGGCTGAAATTTTGCAGCTTTCTGATGTTCAGTTCCTGCTGCAAGTGCAGTCCCCCTACTCACTTTGTGGCAGTGTCCCCCACTCCATGTCTACCCCAATTCTACCACCACAGGCCTGGGTGTCCTGCAAGGCTCACAGTGGAGAGGTGTGCCCCCCACCCCAGGGCCCCAGCCTCCTCTCTTCCTTCTTCTGTATGCCTCTCTTTCAGTTTGCAAACTTCCTCTTTCTTCTGCCTCAGGGATCTTGAGCATGCTTCAGCTCTGGCCCTCCCCATAGCTATCTCCTTCTTATCCTTCAGGACTTAGCTAAAATGAGACTTCTTCAAAGAGGCTTCCCTGACCTCCTGATCTAAAGAATTTCTGTTTTTTCTTCATAGCCTACATCATCATTTATAATTGTGCTAGATATTTATTTGGGGAGTTTTCTTATATATTGGTTGTCTTCCATGCTTGACTATAAGCTCCATGAATGCAGGGACTCATGTTTTTCTTTACCCCAATATCTCCAAGTCTAGTCCAGTGTGGTCCCCCAGGGGCCCTGAAAATGTGTGGAATAAATAAAAGTCGGGGAGGCTCCACTTGCCAGCACTGCATCCCACTTGCAATGCTGTCATCTGCCCTTGAAGAGTGGGAACGCCCCTTGCTCCTAACGGACCCAGCATGGCAGAGCTGATATGATTGATACTGAGGTTGTACACCCCCCATAGCTCCAGCACCTGGTAAAATATGGGGCCCAGGTGTGAAAGGTGCAGGTATGACAGTTTCCAAGATGCTAGATTTTACATTGCCAGCCCCTTTGGATATCCAACAGCTGAGCCCAGTTCCAGAACCAGCTGTGTCTAGAACAGCCTGGCTGCCCTAGACTGAATCAACCCAGATGTCTGTGCTGAGTGTGAAGACTTTGTCCTGTGTGGCTCAGGATCACAGGGAGAGGTATCTAGAATGACCTGCCTCTCACAGAGCAACCACCAACCTGTGGGAAGGCAGGTGGACTCCAGCAGTAGGTAGGTAACATCCAAGGTAGCCATACACAGCTGGTGTTTGTGAATCTGCACTTCCCCTGGGCAATGGCCCTCAGAGCCTGCTCTTCAGCTTTGTGACCGAGAAGGGAAATAGCCAGAAGGGGCATTTGGCTGGTCTCTTCCTACTCAGGTATTGGCTGCTCTCCGTGTGTGTGGAGGGGGAGTTCCTGGCAGCTGCTGATGCACTGGGAGCCAGGATCAGTCTAGGGACAGACTCTCATGCATGCACTATCCCAGTGCTCACTCATTCTTTCCTCTCTTCCTGGGGCTCCCTCTGGGCCCACCACAACCACGAACTCTTTCCAGCCTTCCTCCACCCAGAAGAGGATCTTTTGGGCAGTTATTTTTCCATTTGCACCTGTGTCAGCTTTGGCTATGGGGAAGGACCAAACTCTTAAGGAATCAACCATGCAGGCAAGGAGACACTTTTGAACAAGGTAAGATTTCAGGCAGAAATTATAGTAGGTATGCAGCTGCCCATCCCCTCATCCATTTATCTCCCCGATCTTTCAACCAGCAAATATCTATTGAGCATCTACTCTGTGCTTTGCCAGGCACTAAATTCTGTGATGAATGGGGATGCAATGGTGGGCAAGACACAATTTTTCCTTCAAGGATCTTATAAGCCTAACGGCAAGAATCCTCCTAAGAGAGACATTCGACAATCCAGGTTTCTGGAAGTGGCCACTAAGCTGAAATGGAATGGTTAGCCAATGGGTAAGGAACCATGTGTGCAGAGGTCTAAGTGAGAGAGAGCAGAGCTTTGGAGAAATCCTTCCCCACTGGCCACCAGGCCAGGCTGCGAGCATCACAGCTGCAGTTTTCATTTGCAAAGCCTGAGGGGCTGGTTGCTCAGTCTCCTGGGCTCCAAGCGCATGATGCATAAAAATGAGCTATTCTCTTTCCAACTGCACAGTGCCATCCTGCCACAGGGCTGCAGAACTGTTACCTCTGAATCTGGATGCTGAGCCTGAGATGTTCACCACAGTAGTGAATGGTGGGTTGATTGTAAGGAAGAAAACCTTCTAAGCCATTTTTGTCTGGTCTCACCCCGGCTCCCACAGGACTTCACTATGACCCTGTACCTGCGGCATTACTGGAAGGATGAGAGGCTAGCTTTCTCCAGCGCCAGCAACAAGAGCATGACCTTCGATGGCCGGCTGGTGAAGAAGATCTGGGTCCCTGATGTCTTCTTTGTTCACTCCAAAAGATCGTTCACTCATGACACCACCACTGACAACATCATGCTGAGGGTGTTCCCAGATGGACACGTGCTGTACAGCATGAGGTAGCTGTCTGGGGGCCATTGTTCCTCTGTCCAGTGCCTTTCTGGTATGTGTGGTCAGGCCCTTTGGCCCTGAAGACTGTCACTGCGGTTGGGTCTGTGGGTTCGTGGATGGGAGGAGCCTTCTGATGCTAGTCAGAACTATCTAAACATGACATGGCCACCCCAGCAGGGGACAACTTCCCCATCACTGGGGGTCTTAAGCTTGGGTGAGAAGACTACTTTGGCCTGAATGAGACAATGACCTTCCACATACTGTACCTTCTGTTCCCTGAGAGCATGTGATTCTAGTTGATTGATAATAAAGATTAAAAAAAAAGCTTTTAAAAAAATAGATTAAAAAAAAAGCCCCCCCCCGTCCCCCAAAAAAATAGCTACTGTGTTTTGAGTGCTATTGCAGATTGGCTTCTGGAGTACGGGGAGTCACATAAGAAGTCATGTTCCACATCTTAAAAAAATGCTTTTTTCTTACTTGTCACTGATGAAGCTCATTGTCCCACATCCCCCTGGTCTGCTTGTACAGTTCACCAGAATGCATTGCTGATACTAGACACTTCTGGCCTTTGGTGGAAGTTGATGAGGGGGCCTCCCAGGCATCTCTGGAGGAGGTGGCCCTGCTGGCTGAGGGCAAAGCCCAGAGAGAGGCACAGGAGAGAGCCATTAGCAGCCAGCACCACCAGTGGCTGGGGAAGGGGAGCACCAGCCCAGTAATGGGGATCTGGCAGAGCACTAATACTCTACTACAGAAGACAAAACTCTAGAAGTTAAGGTTCTATAACTCAGATAACTGTTTCCAAACTTCTGCAGCAGATGTGAGGAGGCAGCTACTCAGTTGTGTGCTGTGCCTTCTTGCTCTGGGCAGATGTAGGAGCCAATAATTCACCGCACAAGCCAATATGTGACTCTGGGTTGTCTAGGATTACGGTCACTGCCATGTGCAACATGGACTTCAGCCACTTTCCCCTGGACTCCCAGACCTGTTCTTTGGAGCTGGAGAGCTGTAAGTATCAGCATTCCTAATTCCTTCACTTTCTTTCCTCTCTGATCTTTGTGCCATTTTAGTAATCATGAGACTGAGCACTGCCCGCCAGCGTTAAGACCTATTTACTTCTGGACTGGCATAGGATTTCCCTGTTACTTCACCCTGCATCAGAAGCGAAGGAGTCAAATTAACTTGTTTTCCTCTTCCCAAAGATGCCTATACAGATGAAGATCTAATGCTGTACTGGAAGAATGGGGATGAATCCCTAAAAACAGATGAGAAGATCTCCTTGTCTCAGTTTCTGATTCAGAAATTTCACACAACTTCCAGGCTGGCCTTCTACAGCAGCACTGGTAGCTATCTTTTGCCACAATCTGATTCAAATGTGCAAGAAAGCACATTTGAATTCTTCTTCAGCCTTAACCCCAGGAAAATATGTTTTGTGTGTGTTTTGTTTTTTGTTTTGAGACAAGGTCTCACTCTGTCTCCCAAGCTGGAGTGTAGTGGCGAAATCATGGTTCACTGCAGCCTCAACCTCCCAGGCTCAGGTGATCCTCCCACGTCAGCCTCCTGAGTAGCTGGGACTACAGGCGCTGCCACCATGTCCAGCTAATTTTTAAAATTTTTTTGTAGAGATGAGGTCTTACTATGTTGCCCAAGCTGGTCTCGAACTCCTGGACTTAAGCAATCCTCCTACCTCGGCCTCCCAAAGTGCTGGGACTACAGGCGTGAGCCATCATGCTCAGCCTAAATTTTGATTATTAAAATAATGTAGCCTAGAATAGGTTCTGGCTTCTACCTACCAGGAGTTCGAGACCAGCCTGGCCAACATGGCAAAACCCCATCTCTACTAAAAATATAAAAATTAGCCAAGCATGGTGGTATGCACCTGTAATCCCAGCTACTCGGGAGGCTGAGACAGGAGAATTGCTTGAACCCAGGAGGCAAAGGTTGCAGTGAGCTGAGATTGCGCCACTGCACTCCAGCCTGGGGGACAGAGTGATACTCCGTCTCAAAAAAAAAAAAAAAAAAGAAGAAAAGAAATTAGCCAGGCATGGTGACACATGCCCCTGGTCCTAACTACTCAGGAGGCTGAGGAGGGAGGATTGCTTGAGCACAGGAGTTTGAGGCTGCAGTGAGCTATGATTGTGCCATTGCACTCCAGCCTGGGCAATAGAGCGAGACCCTGTCTCTATTCAAAAAAATAAAGAGAGAGAAATAGAATAAAGGTTCCCAGGAACTCATGGGAGGGGGAATGGAGAGTTATTGTGTAATGGGTGCAGAGTTTCTGTGTGGGATGATGAACAAGTTCTGGCAATGAATAGTGGTGATGGTTGTACCATATTGTGAATAATATACTTAGTGCCAGTGAACTGTACACTCGCCTGGGCATTGGAGGCCTGGGTTGAACCAAGCTCAACTGACTCTAGCTAAGGCTTTGGAAAAGCCTCTAAATGTCTCATTACCTCATGTCCCAAATGTCAGACTTTAGAATCATGTGAACAGCCTATTTCTTTTTGTGACAGATGTGGAGTTTGCATGATAAAGGATTAGGGTCTCACAATAAAGGTGACAATTTCACAATAAAGGTGACAGTGACCAGAGCCTAGCTCTCCCAGCTCCTGCCCCAGTGGCACTGGCCTCAACAAAATAGAACTATTCCAACCTCTTATGCTTTTGAGCAGCAAGTCACTCAAGAAATATGGTTGTAATTTGCAAATTACAAATACAGAACAAACAACTATAGCCTAGGCAACATGGTGAAACCCCTGTCTCTACAAAATAATAATAAGAAAAAAAATTTAGCTGGGCATGGTGGCACACACCTGTAGTTCCAGCTACTCAGAAAGCTGAGGTGGGAGGATCGCTTGAGCTTGGGAGGCTGAGGCTGCAGTGAGCTGTGAGTGTGCCACTGTACTCCAGCCTGGGCTACAGAGCAAGACCCTGTCTCAAAAACAAACAAACAAAAACCCAAACGACTAAAACTTCCCTTCTGTTTAGTTCTGCCGTTTCCCAAAATACTGTGAAGAAAAGTTAGGTAATACCAACTGAGATAGTAAATGTACTAGATATTGGCAAGATATTTATATATAGGAGAAAGGGCTTAGATTTTGGAAAAGAAAGGTATTATATTAAGCCAACTGGTCATTAATTTCAACTTTCTGTTGCTGAGGAGAGCCAAGTCAGTGAAAGACGGGTTCCCAGGGACACAGTTTGCTTTCACCTCTCAGATGGAACCTCATTGGCTTCTTCCTGCATCCCCTAGGCTGGTACAACCGTCTGTACATTAACTTCACGTTGCGTCGCCACATCTTCTTCTTCTTGCTCCAAACATATTTCCCTGCCACTCTGATGGTCATGCTGTCCTGGGTGTCCTTCTGGATCGACCGCAGAGCTGTGCCTGCCAGAGTTTCACTGGGTAAAAGCATTTCATAAGGTGTGGTAGGGTGGTTATTTTTTTCAACTTATCACTATGTTTACAAAAAGTAAAAATCATTACTTAGACTTCTTAACTGATGAGCTGTTAGAGTCAGAAGGAGCAACTTCATGTTTCTTGCCTTTACCATCTAGATGCTGGCCTCAGTTTCCTCCACATTATGAGAGCCACAGGGAGCTAAAACAACATCAACTGTGATTGTATCACTTCAGAAAGATTTGGGGTACAGACTTCGACAACTGGCAATATCAGAGCTCAGTATTTAGATAAACAAGATGATTCTGCAAATGCCAACAATTCCTTCTGTAAATACAAAAACTTCATTTGCTGGCCGTGTTTAGACAGACTGAGGGCTTGGAGGTAGGGCACAGAATATGAGATTTGTGGGAAAAGGAGGACCACGTTCCCTCGAGCTGTGTTTTAGCCTTTTACAGACCCTGAATTCCAGAGTGAAAGTTTACAACATGTCATTGTAAATTTAGACAACATTAGGTTGGGCTTTGAGAAAGGTGAGGGTTTAAGCAGCAAGACAGAGTGAAGAAGAATCCCGCATGATGGGCCTCTGGGAATTTCCACAGTCTTCCACAGCGACTAAAGCACACCTCTGAAGGCACGTTCTCAAACTTCAAGGAATAGGCACATTCTCTCTCATCTAAAGATGAGAAGTTTGAGAACGTTCCTTCAGAGGTGTCCTTTAGTCGCTGTCTTTAATTCCACATGAGAATAGGTCCTCTCTTTGTCAGCCACATCACAGAAACCCAGTCTTTCAGGTGCTTGAAGGAAAATGGGACAAGCAAGCAGGTTGGCTCTGAGGAGAATAGGCCTGGCTGCTAGTAGGGCAGATCCTTGCCCCTCTCCGAGGTGGAAACACACCTGGGACTTTCTCATGTGGTTTAAGAGATAGAGAGTGTAAAATCGTGACTTAGTGAGATATGAGGGCAGTTCTAGACCGCTGTCAGCAGCCCAACTAAGGCCGGGTGTTGCAGGTATCACGACGGTGCTGACCATGACCACCATCATCACGGGCGTGAATGCCTCCATGCCGCGCGTCTCCTACGTCAAGGCCGTGGACATCTACCTCTGGGTCAGCTTTGTGTTCGTGTTCCTCTCGGTGCTGGAGTATGCGGCTGTCAACTACCTGACCACCGTGCAGGAGCGCAAGGAACGGAAGCTGCGGGAGAAGGTGAGAGGGCTTCTTCGGCCCTTGTCTAAGTCCATGCTGCTGGGTGAAAATGAAGGTCTTCTGGGCCAGGGGGCAGAGGCAGGGGTTGCATGTAGAAAAAGGAGATGTTTGTGCAAAACGAGGAGGATCTTGTTTTAGAATAGGTTCTGGCTTCTACCCCAAAGGATTCCAGAAAGCAGAAGGTCTTTAGACAAAGACTAGGAACTGGAAGACTTGGGTCTCAGACTCAACTTTGACACCTATGCTGAGCCTCAGTTTTCTCATCTGTAAAAGGGAGATTACAGAACCCTCACCTCTACTGTAAGAGTCACATGAGATAATGTATGTGAAAGTTGTTTTGATCTTTCACATGTATCAGGATCTAGACAAACAAACTCTCACTATCATTACTGAACATGTCTAGGGACAGTGCCTCCCTGTCTTATGACCAGAGAAGGGAGAGTTCTAGAACAAAAAGTGCCTTTATTTATCAGTGCCCAGTGAAAATTCAGCCACAGTAAGGACTAAAGCTAAATACCTTATATATATTTCTTTAAAAAAAAACCTTTTATGTGTAGCTGCAGAAGGAAATTGGAAATACTATACTATCTGCCGGGCGTGGTGGCTCACGCCTATAATCCCAGCACTTTGGGAGGCCGAGGTGGGCGGATCACCTGAGGTCAGGAGTTCAACACCAGCCTGGCCAACATGGTGAAACCCCATCTCTACTAAAAATACAAAAATTAGCCGAGCATGGTGGTGCACGCCTGTAATCCCAGCTACTTGGGAGGCTGAGGCAAGAGAATCGCTTGAACCCGGGAGGCAGAGGTTACAGTGAGCTGAGATTGCACCACTGTACTCCAGCCTGGGCGACAGAGCAAGACCCCATTTCAAAAATAAAATAAAATAAAAATACCATACTATCTATAATGTACTGTACTGTACTATATTATACTACAGTCGATCCTTGAACAAGGCAGGGGTTGGGGGGGCTGACCCCTTGTGCAGTAGAAAATCCAAGTATAACTTTTGGCTCCTCCAAAAATTAACTACTAATGGCCTCATGTTGACTGGAAGCCTTACTGATAAGATAAACAGTCGATTAATACATATTTTGTATATGTATTATAAACTGTATTCTTACAATAAAGTAAGCTAGACAGAAAATGTTATGAAAATCATAAGGAAGAGAAAATATCTTTACAATTCATGAAATGGAAGTGGATCATCATAAACGACTTCATCCTGGTCATCTTCACTCTGAGTAGGCTGAGGAGGAGGACGAAAGAGAAGGTTTGGTCCTACTGTCTCCGGGGTGGCAGAGGTGGAAGAAAATCTAAGTGGATCTGCACAGTTCAAACCTGTGTTGTTCAAGGGTCAACTGCAAACTATGAGACAGAATACAACTGGGAGATTTTACAAAGCCATGCTCATGAGCCTTTGGCACAGGGAGGCAGTCTTTTCCATTCATAGTCAGACTCTTATTCATTTTAGTGTTAGGTCTGTGCAAAAGTAATGATATAAACTGCAATTACTTTTGCACCAACCTAATACTAAATAAATAATGCTGACTTGCTACCTGATCATTGCCAATCATTGCACTAATCAAAATGGGTGTTCATCTAAAAGCTGTGGAGATAAAGGGACATGAAAATCTCATATTTATGAACAACCAAGTGGCCATTAGCCTTTTAGCATAAGGGAGCTTTTAAAATTAAAATAATTTATTTTTGCCATGTAACGACATTTTGGTCAATGGGACCTTTAAATTTTAGGAAAAGAGAATATGTTGCCTTTTCAAAAATTGTCTTTCAACACCTGCATTATACCTATCAAGTATTTCCACATTGTCTCTGTTAACTTTAAAAAAATCAGAAATTTATAAATTTGAAAAAGGAGACTTTATTTCTTATAAAGGATTCCAGTCTGCAAGGTGGCCATCCTGCAGGCTGGGGAGTGCAGCCTCCTGTAAAGACCTGGAAACAGGCACTTTGAAGGAGAAGGTGTTGGAGTAGGGGCTTCATGCTGAATATGGCTAAATATACATATTCAACAGGCTATAGGAAGATTTATGAATATTTATGAAGGTAGTCCTGACACATGCCTATTGAACAAATGTGCATGTAACATACAACCCATGTTCACCCTGGGGCGGAGACTTAACATTTCAATGTATTACAATTGGACCCTATATGCAAAAGGGACACAAAGTCACTCAAGTGAACAGCCTCTGTAAACTGACCAGGACTGGTCCATGATTGATGGTCTATCAAGAGAAGGTTACTAAAATCACTCTCTTGTCCAATCAAAGCTGTAGTTATGGCTGGTGGAACAGGGGCCAGGGGTTGGTTGGTTAGTCAGTGTCTGATGGTTGGTGAGCTGCAAATTTTTTTTTTTTTTTTTTGAGACAGGGTCTGACTCTGTCACCCAGGCTGGAATGCAGTGGTTGCTAACTGCACTCCATCTCCTGGGCTCATGCTGTCCTCCCACTTCAGCCTCCCAAGTAGCTGGGACCTTAAGCATGCGCCACCCCGCCCAGCTAGTTTTTATATTTTTAAAAGAGATGGGATTTTGCCATGTTGCCAAGACTGGTTTCAAACTTCTGGAGTCAAAGCCATCTGCCCACCTTGGCCTCCCAAAGTGCTGGGATTACAGGCATGAACCACCGCACCAGCCCCAAATTGTTTTAACGTTGTTTATCTCAAGGCCAGTGCTTGTTTAGCTGAAAGAGAAAAAGAAAAACCTTGTGGCAGTTAGCACACAGTGTATTCTTTAAGCGCAGGGGTGTGTGACTTCACCCTGGCCCTAGAATGGCCTTAGGTACTGTTTGTAATTTGGTATCTTATGGCCATAAAGAATCTGTTCTGTCTTACAATCTCTATTTCAGCATTAATGCTGGTCAGTTGTGTCTAAATCCCAAAAGAGAGGAGGAATAACAAGGTGTGTTCAGCCTCTTGTCTCGTCATGACTGGGAACTCAGTTTTTAAGGTTTCTCTGGGGTCCCCTTGACCAAGAGGGGGGTCAGTTCATCAGTTTGGGGGCTTAGAACTTTATTTTTAGTTTACATCTCCAAATATATTATACTAGGTTGCTTATTTTTAAAGCTCTAGTCAAACATTTTTTACTTCAGAAAATTGACTTGTTTAAACTTCAGTAATTTGTACACTGACCATTATCACAGGACTTTGGACCATATTTAAACACTTTTGATTTATAAATCATTAGACTTTCCTGTATAGAGCAGTTGAAAAAAATAGCAAAGCCTTCATCTGACAAGGCTCACAAACGAACGGTTCACCGGCACAACTTGCCCTGTTTCCATATCATGTTGGATCTTTGCCAGCAACTGTATGACTTTGTTTAAAGAGACAAGGAAGTCATCTATGGAGAGGGCCTCAGGCCGCTAAGTCTCCCCCTCTGTCTGTGTGAGAACAGACATCCTGAGGTGAGAGCTCGTACTCTGCTGTTGTCAAATGTAGGATTTAAGACCAAGAAGCATAGTTGCTGGAGAGCAGACAGAGGTGAGAAGGCACCATCTGCTGCCTCACAGAGAAACTAATATTCATAGTATTGAAATGTTTCCCAATAGAGCTGAGGTTCCTAAGTGGATGCCATGGAGTACCTTCCCTGGAATCACCTCCTGAGTCTGTTAAAAATAGATTCCCGGGTTTGAGACAGGGTCTCAAAAAATAGATTCCCTAGACCACACCCTAGGTCTACTGATTCAGAATCTTTGAGGATGGCACCCTGGAATCAAGATTTTAAGCAAGTTCCCAGGTGATTCTGATGCTCACTGAAGTGTGATTTCCACTCTGTAAAGGTAAAAGCTGCCTGGGACCCGTTAGGCCCACCCCTGGTTTGAAGGGCAGACAAGTGCAGGCGAGAGCATGCGGGAACACGTGGGAGCCCAGGGCTTACCTCCCCTCAGCTGCTCCAGTACTTTGGCTGATTAGCCAGACCTTGTCTGACATGCCAAGAGCCACTTCCTCTTTCTTAGAAGCAAGCCAATCTGGGAAACAGGGGTTTTATCCTAATTTTTGGTATTTCCTGATTTGAACTCAAAATCTTAGGAGAAGAGTCTATTTTCATTTTAGCAGAAAGATTTTCAGTTTAGAGCAAGGAGAAGAAGAACTGTGCCTTAAATAAATAAATAACCCCCCAATGATAATATCACACAATTTTATCAGTTTGGGTGTGATTATATCTAAATGCAAAGAGTTGAATAGGGCTGGGCATGGTGGTGCATGCCTCTAATCCCAGCACTTTGGGAAGCCAAGGCAGGTGGATCCCTTGAACCCAGGAATTTGAGACCAGCCTGGGCAACTTGGCAAAACCCCATCTTACAAAAAATACAAAAATGAGCTGGGTGTGGTGGTGTGTGCCTGTAATCCCAGCTACTCGGGAGGTTGAGGTGGGAGGATCCCTTGAGCCCAGGAGGTGGAGGCTGCAGTGATCTGAGATGGCATCACTGCACTCCAACCTGGGTAATAATAAAGCAGGACCCTGTCTAAAAAACAAAAAAAACAAAAAAAACAAAAAAAAAAAAAAAGAGAGAGAGAGATGACCTCTTACCTTTTATCCCCAATTCCCTTATAGCTATGAGTCTATGATAATTATTCAAAAATTGTTGGCTGGGTGCAGTGGCTAATGCCTGTAATCCCAGCACTTCAGGAGGCCTAGGCAGGCAGATCATTTGAGGTCAGGAGTTCGAGACCAGCCTGGCTAACATGGTGAAACCCTGTCTCTACTAAAAATACAAAAATTAGCTGGGCATGGTGGTGGGCACCTGTAATCCCAGCTACTCAGGAGGCTGAGGCAGGAGAATCGCTTGACCCTTGGAGGCGGAAGTTGCAATGAGCCGAGATCGAGCCACTGCACTCCAGACTGGGGGATAGAGTGAGACTCCATCTCAAAAACAAAAAAAACAAAACAAAAAAAAAGAAGTGTTACTGATGGAAAAAAGACACAGAAACTAATAATGAAACAATCATGCCTGATGAAAAAAAATAGCCCCCAAACCACGAACAATTTCTTCAAGGATAAGAATACTTCAAGTAATTCTAATTCTGCATAAAATCATTCATCTATTTCTGCATTCTAAAGCTTTATGATATTCATCTGAGAGTTTCAAGATCCATAACAATAAGAGGCAGGTTGTGAAACTTCATTATTTCACTTTCCTAGATGGAAAAACAGACGCCCTGAAGGGCTGAGAGCCAGGTCAGAAACATATTCAAATCAACGCCAATTGGATGTGTCAAGTGGGCCTCCTGCTCTCAGTCAACACCAAGCATCCAGGCACCAGTGGAAGCCCACTCTCTACTGACTAAACTATGGGGAGAAGTCAAGCGAAACCATTTCCTTTCCTCCCACTTAGAGTGTCATACACATTTTCATACTTGCAGAAACTATTAAAAGAATAGGGTCATATACATTCAGGTACCTAGCACCTAGATCCAACATTGCTAACATTTTGCCATTTTTGTGTGGCAAAAACTGCACCAACAGATACATGCTTATATGGAGAAAATGTATTATGCATTCAATGCATAATACATTTTCTCCATATAAGCATGTATCTGTTGGTGCAGTTGAACTGTCTAAAAATACATTGCAGATACCATGACCCTTGACTCTCAAATGTAATTTTTAAGATAAGGACACTCTCTACCTCATCATCTTTTTCTTTCTTTCTTTTTTTTTTAAAAAAAAGAGACAGGGTTTTGCTCTGTCACCCAGGCTGGAATGCAGTGGCATGATCACTGCTCACTGCAGCCTTGACCTCTTGAGCTCAAGTGATCCTCCTGCCTCAGCCTCCTGAGTAGCTAGGACTACAGGTGCATGCCACCATGCCTGGCTAATTAAAAAAAACATTTTTTTTTTTTTTTTTTTAGAGAAGGAGTCTCACTATGTTGCCCAGGCTGGTCTTGAAATACTGGCCTCAAGCGATCCTCCTGCCTTGACCTCCCAAAGCACTGAGATTATAGGCATGAGCCACTGCGCCTGGCTCCTAATCATCTTTTGATTCATGCACAGAAAGGTGGAGTCCTGCAGCTGGAATCAGACTATGTGGATTTAGAGTCCTGCTCTGACACCAGCTGTGTGGTCTCAGAATCGTATAGCTCTCTGGGTCTTAAGTTTTTGTCTCTACAACTGAGGGATTTGGACTAGATCAGTGATTCTCAATTCTGGCTACACAGTAGAATCACCTGGGAATTTTAAATTAATTGCTCTAAAGTGCAGCCCGGGCATGGCCAGTTTAAAGAGCTGTGCAGATGATTCTAATATGCAGCCACGGTAGAGGATCGTTGGACTAAGTAACCTCTGGAGATCTTTCTAGTTCTATCTTTCTGTGGTTCTGAGTAGCAATGTGGCTTTGCTCTTGGGCCAGGCCCCCTCCTCTGCCCACCTCACAAGGCTTAATGATGTTCTTTGTGCTTGCTGCCCATAGTTCCCGTGCATGTGTGGAATGCTTCATTCAAAAACCATGATGCTGGATGGAAGCTACAGTGAGTCTGAGGCCAACAGCCTGGCTGGGTACCCCAGAAGCCATATCCTGACAGAAGAAGAAAGGCAAGACAAAATAGTGGTCCACCTGGGCCTGAGTGGTGAAGCCAACGCTGCCAGAAAGAAGGGGCTTCTGAAGGGCCAGACGGGTTTTCGTATCTTCCAGAATACCCATGCCATTGACAAATACTCTAGGTTGATATTCCCTGCCTCCTACATATTTTTCAACTTAATTTATTGGTCAGTGTTTTCCTAGGGGCTCCAAGGCTGTTCCTAGAAGAGGGCATAGACATCGAGGGGGCCTGGCCAGTCATTGACAGACGGACTTGTTGACCACACGCCCCTCACCAAACAATGCAGCAGCTACTGGACCACCCTGAGCAGCACTCATCTCTCAGAGAAGCCCAGGAGCCTTCCAGCTGCCCTGACCCCAGACCCCGTGGGGCTGCTCCATGTTCATGCTGTCTCGCGTCACACTTCACATCTCTCTGGGACCTTCTGTTCTTGTGTGTGAACTAATTCACAAGAACTCCCCTCCTATAAACAAGGATTCAAATGCCTCCTAGACATTCTTAGACCCTCAGATTGCCTAGGAGTCAGTTGTGGAGGGAAAAGGAAAAACTGAAGTACAAGCTTAGGGGCATTCTGGATAGGAGATAGGAAATTAAGAACAAAAAACACCCTGTAAACCCATTGAACTTGATTAAGTGCCTACCTAGAAGGGAAAAGAGCTGAGATCCCAGACAGGAAATGATTTGGCCTGTGGGAGTATGGCAACCCACAGGATTCTGCAATATTAGAGGAGATTATTCATTTATCCATCCATTCAACCATTCATTAAATATTGAGGTCCCACTCTGTGCCAGGTACGGTAGAAATGAGAAAATAGTCTCTTTCCTTAGAGATCTTCTCTAAGTTGTGCTCATTCTACATATGGCATGATGTACTTCTGCTCTTTCCCCTCCTTCAACCCCGCTTACCCCACAGACCCATTCTGTTTGCTGTTGCTTTTACTCTTAGGCATATAAGGCAGGGTCCAGGAGAGGCCAGGTCCAGAACTTTCAACTATCCTCCTCCAGTGAAGTTACACAGATAGCACTAATTTTGCCCAGCAATGACATGTAGCAATGTGCATGGAGTATTGCCAGCCAGAGAAACTTACCCAGGCTCACCACGGTGTACAGTTTTTTTATTGGGGTCGGTCATGGATTTATAGCTGATTGCCCACATGGCTGACTTTAGTCTTTTGCCCCTCCAGAGGTTAAGCTGGTACCTTGAGGTCCAGGGCACCTATCATAAATCACATTGTTGGCATAGACTATCTGGTGTGGCCCAAGGCCCCAGTAGACAAAGACCCTTCTATCTCACAGGACATTCCAAGGGCATAGAGGTTGCTTCCTAGTAAAGGTTAGTCCTTTACTACACAGCAACTCTTGTCAATTCCCTATTGTTAATGTTAATTGCGGTGTTACTATTATATATTCAGGCAATAAACATTTTAAAGTATCTCTGCACTAGGTACATTGGGGTCCAAATTAAGAATAAGAGTAGTCGAAGCTCTCAGAGAAGGAACTAGTAAAGGAAATACCACACAAATATCTATAATATAAGATTAAGAGTGTTTAGTGCCTCAGTAATAGTTCAGTGTGAGATGGGAATTCCAAGGGAGGAAAAACAGTCCCACCAGGGAGACAGACCTCATGGAGAAAGCAGCCCTGAGATGCCCCTTGAAGGTCAGGATTTTAAGAAGAAGAAATGGAGCAGAATGCATCCTAGATCTGGGCTGTCTCATATGGTAGCCACTAGCCACATGTCTATTTAAATTTAAATTAGTAAAAATTAAAAATATTAGCCAGGTGTGGTGGTGTGTGCCTGGGGTTCTAGCTACTCAGGAGGCTGAGGCGGGAGGATTGCTTGAGCCCAGGAATTCCAGGCTGCCGTGAGCTGTGATCAAGCCACTGCAGTCCAGCCTGAGTGACAGAGCGAGACCCTATCTCTAAAATAATAATTATTATTATTTAAATTAGTTGAAGTTAAATAAAATTGAAAACTCAGTTCCTTGGTTACACCATCCACACTCAAGTGGGCTTAGTAAGCACAGTTGCTAGTAGCTACTGCACTGGGCTGGGCAGCCTAAAGACCAGGAAGCTCTACCAGCCAAGAGACCAGCTTGAGCGGACGCATGGGGAGAATGGGAAGGTTTGCCATTGCAGAGAACAGGGTTTGTGGGCAAGTCATTCATTTTGGCAGGATCCTAGGCTGTGATAAGAGGAGGTGAGCGACTAGCTTTTTCCACAACACTAGGGATCAAGGCAGGTCCCCACCATGCCGGTGCTTATGAGGACAGCTTCCCCACTATGGAGTTGCTGGACCCAAGACTACTAGATTTCCCAGTCTCACAGACCAATGAAGAACAAAAATGCATAAATATGGGTAATTGGGTGGTACAGGGCATCTGGACTTGTTTAGAAACCTTTTTTTCTTTTCTGAGACAGAGTTTCACTCTTGTTGCTCAGGCTGGAGTGCAATGGCTTGATCTTGGCTCACCACAACCTCTGCCTCCCGGGTTCAAGCAATTCTCCTGCCTCAGCCCTGGAGTAGCTGGGATTACAGGCATGCGCCACCATGCCTGGCTAACTTTTGTATTTTTTAGTAGAGATGGGGTTTCTCCATGTTAGTCAGCCTGGTCTTGAACTCCTGACCTCAGGTGATCCGCCTGCCTCAGCCTCCCAAAGTGCTGTGATTACAGGCGTGAGCCACCACACCCGGCCAGAAACCTTTTATCTATAGAGACTCTCCCAGGCCACAGTGCTGCTCGAAGAATGATAATTCTATTGTCATTAAATATATCATATTGCTTTGCTTGTAAGTCTTATTTAATTCCAACCCTTCTCTGCTTCTGACTGCATTGTTTTCATGCATTATGGCTCATATAACATAGTTGCCTGTTCACAAATTAAAACAAATATTTATTTTTGCTAGCTTCTATGTTAAACTGGAGTTAATTCTATAGCAGACATATTTAGAATCATAAACAGTGTTTTATCATGCAGGGCCATGATACAATGACACCATTGTATTTAGCATTGCCTTATTACAGTATACTAGTCTGACACTACTTGAGAAAAGTAGGAAATTTAAAGAGGTAAAGTGGAGACAACATTGGTAGGAGTAGAAAACAGGAACTAAGGAAATAGTGAGAACATGGGATGATTCACCCTGGAGGCAGGAAGACAGAGAAGCAAACACAATTGTTATCAGGAATGCATGAATGATACTTTACTTCACTGAATCTAAGACATGGTGAAATGTAAGATGCACCCATATTTTATGTACTGAGAAAAAATACTAACAATCAAATTCTGGAATGCCAATGATTATAATATGAATCCTGATTTCACCAATATGAAACTGTGAAAAAATGTTAATGTTACAATAAAAGAAATGGGTTTTATACAAAAACTGGTGATTGGACATACTTCATTGACACCAAGGAGCCAACATTTATTTAGCACTTGTCCTCAAGGTCTTGTGCTGAGGTGAGGGATGGTGGTGACGGGTAAAGAAATGAATGGGAAACACTCTTCAGTCATTAAGAAGCTTACACTCTAATGGGTGTGGCTCAAAGGAGGGAATGATCACAGAATTTGAGGAGTGTTTTCTGATAAATATTGAGTGATGAATAAACACAGCTTTGAGTACTAGAAAAGGGAAGGAAGGGATGATAACGTGGCAGAAGGAAAGCTCAGGTATGTTCAGGGGTCAGTGAATAGACACTCTACGGAATGTACAAGACATAAGATAGGAAAAGTAAGTTGGAGAAAAAGGGCTTTGAGCAGGGAAGTTATAATCTTTTGGAAAATCAATTAATTTGCCATCAGAATATAAACTGGTGTAGTTTTTAACCATTTTGGTTGCCAGTGACAGAAATTCAACTAAAAATGGTACAAATGAAAAGAAGATATATTGGAAGGATACTCCAGGGGCTCATAGAATGAAAGGGGATTTGAAGGCAGCAGGGAAGCTCTAGGGAATTAAGGGTCTGGAATTGGGTTTCAGCATGTCCCTTCAGGGTCATATCTCCATCCAACACTCTGTCTGTCTTCATTCTCACCCACTGCAGACAAGTTTCCTCCACCTGCTGTGGGTGGGTGGGTGAAGTGGCCTTGACGGTCTTAGGCCCACAGCTTTCTAGTTCAATCACCCAGTGTCAAGGGTCTTTCTATGTTTATTCCACTTAGAATAAACCTGGGGAATGAATTTAACTGGTCTGGGCTGGGCCATGTATGTTGAAGGTGATCAGATCTCTGTGATGTGTTTAAGTTGAGAAAGCTAGAACTCTTCAAAAACACTTTTATTTGGTTCCACCTTTTTGCAAACATCTGTTAAAGGGAGGCCATGAATTTGAAAAATGAAAGGCTGCTTAGTTTGAGGAAACCAGTGAAGAAGGAAAATAACATTAAAAATAGTGGAGAAAGTTCATGCTAAATTCAGTAATGTGTGAGGGCCACAGTCTATGTGTTGATGTTCATAGAGACTGGAAAGCCAGGAGAAAGAGCTGGCATGCGTGGAGGATGAGGAGTTTGAGTTTCACAAGGAACTAGAAATGTCAAATAAAAAGTAGCAAATGTTGGTGTGAGCCTGAGAGGGAGATAAAGATTTGGAACCATATCCTAGATATGCTGAATGAAGCTATGAAAATGGCCAAAACTGAAGGGGAAGAAGCAGCAGACAGCAGGTCTGTGGACAAGAGCTCGGGAGTATATATTTAGGTGGGAGGAGGATTGTGGTAGAAGCTGGGAGGAGGGAGTTTCTCAACAGGAGGAGGGTGGGGCTGGGAGCAAATAATAACCATAAAAACAAGAAGGGTAAAGACTGAACAGATGTGACAAGGTGTAGGCAGGAGGCTCGGTGGCCACAAACACCAGGTAGACAGCCATCCTTGGCTGTCTTAACCACAGTGATTGAGGAAGGTAGAAGTAACATGTTCAGAGAATTATGTTACTTATTATGGAAAGACTATTATAGATTCTTATATTTTTGAAGGCTTAAAACATAACATGGTAGCAGACCCAGCCTGAATAAGGGCTGTGTTCTCAATGGTTGGTTCCCCAAACTATTACACTGGAATTTGGGGGAGTGGCACAAGAACAGCGTTTATAACTGGATCATCAGATCCAGTCGTCACAGAAGATAAGAGAACAGCCATTAAAGTGACCATATGAGGTAAATGGCAAGTATAGAGTGCATCCTCCGCTCAGCACCAGGCTAAACGCCAGACGTGTGATTCCTGATTCAGTTCTCACATCAACCCTGCTGTGGTAGGAAGGACTTTCCCGTACTCCATACCTGCTAAGCTGTGGGGCCTCCCATAACTGCAGTCAACACATCTACGTAGGTGGATCTTGCATGAAACAATCCATTTCTCATAGTATTTTCAGGAAAAAGGTGATTCATTCCCCACTTAGATGGACAGAGAAGTGGTTAGAAAGAGCAGATAGAAAATCTGGGTTATGCTGAAACACATCTACATGGTTATCTCTACACTCAGGTGAGAACTTGGAGTTAAACCAGGACATCTTGGTTTAGCTTCTTGAGGCTGGAAGCTGGCTTTGAGAGACACATACATATTCAGGGCAGCCAGGGCAGAGGCATTATGGGTTTCCATCACCGACTCTGTTAAAAGCACTATTCATTTAATCAGTGCGCAAGGAGAATCCACAGCCGCCGCCGTGACCACCACCATTTGAAACGTCTTGTCTTTTTCATTCCATTGCAAAGGAACGGAGGGCTGTGGCCTAGAGGATTAGCACCGGTATGGAAGCAGCTGACTCCCCACTCCCACCAATCACTAGGAAACGGTACCGGTAAAGAAGGCTGTGTGCCTTACATGTGTCTGAGGACAAGTGTGCTGGACTCTTCTCATGGAGAGTTAAGTCCTGTGCTAGGAGGGTCTCATGGCCCAGCCTACCCAGCCTCCAGAGCCATCCGGAGCCTGCTCATATCTGCAGCATAAGAACATTCCCCATTAGCAGATTGGATAAAGCACTCAGTCCTGACCCTCTGACCTTCAGATGGCATTTAAAAAATGACATTTGGGCCAGCCATCGATAACATTAGGTTTCGGATTTATTTTAAAAGCTAAATTGAAAAATAAACCTTCGCTGTAGTACTCTGTTGTTTAATCTAAACTGACCAGGTTAATGGTGGTGAATACTCTTCTGCACTGTGTCCATTTAGCCCAACATGGCTCAAATTTTAATGTGCATATGAATAACTTGGATATCTTCATAAAATGCAGATTTTGATCCAATAGTTTTGGGAGGGGACCCTGGATTATGTATTTCTAACAAGCACCCAGGAGATGTTGGTGCTGCTGGTCTGCGGACCAGGCTTTAAGTAACAAGGCCCCAGAGACCCCTGCTCATCATTTGAAGTGAAACTCAGATGTGTCACCTCCCGTCTGTGGCATCCTGACAAGAGAGCTCACATTCCCCTCCCAAGGCAGAATGTATTATTATCTCATCTGTGATCCCAAAGCATTTTGTGCATTGAGGCACTTCCTTTATGTTGTGATTATTCTACTTGAACAATGGTTCCCAGGCTGGCTGTATGTGAGTCACCTGGGGAACTTTTGAAAAAGTATCAGTGCCTAAGCCCAGCCCCATTCTGATTTTATTGTGGTCTCAACTCTCTCTCTCTTTTTAAATGACACTATTTTTAAAAGGCTGTTAAGGGGGATCACTTGAGCCCTGGAGTTCGAGACCAACCTGAGCAACATAACAAGACTCCTCTACAAAACAGTTTAAAAATCAGTTGGGTGTGGTGGTGTGCACCCATAATCATAGCTACTCAGGAGGCTGAAGTGGGTGGGAGGATTGCTTGGACCCAGAAGGCTGAGGCTGCTGTGAGCTGTGATTGTGCCACTGCACTCCAGCCTGAGTGAAAGAGTGAGACCCTGTGTCTGAAAAAAATAAAGGCTGGTACTAAAGTCTGAAATAAATTTCTCTGGGAGAGTATTGTCTGGACATGGTTTCTAAACTGTGTTCCCTGGAAACAAGGGGTTCTCTGGAGGGGCTTTAAGGTCTACTCTGGAGGAATGGGTGGGAGACAGAAGAACAAGAAGGAACACAGTGCATGGGGACAAGAGATGGAGTCAGCCAACCAGCCCAACAAAGAATACAGAGCCTACTATGAGCAGGTGCTCTTCCAGGAACCCAGTGCTTTAGTTCTTCCAGGAGCCCAGTGAAGAAGGATTTACAGAGAGAGAAGAGGTAAAGGGGGTGAGTTCCAGGGCCAGGGCTGGAACTGGGGCTTCTGTCCCCAAGCCCTTTTCACTTTTCACAGTTTCCTATAAGAAAGCTACGGAGTTCCAGGAAAAAAAAAATGGCCCAAGGGAGGTTTTAGTCTTCTTCTACCAACGTCCTTTCAGATCATTCCAGAAGGCACCTGACTTCCTGGCCGCAGGCACGGAAATCAGGGGTGGGAGGGTCAGACAAGCACCCACAGAGCTTGGATTTGCCTGAGCTGCTTGGAAGAAGCTTCCAGCCCTGGATGCTGGGCCTCTGGTTGCCAGCCCTCTTCTGGCCTCCGGCCTTCACCTGCCTCTTCTTTTCCTTTCCCTAAGAAAGCACCGCTGTTCCACCTCCGCTAGGAAGCTGGCAGCTGCTGCCTCCACATCTCCAACTCTTTCCTGGTGTCTGCTCTACCATGGCATTGGAGAGGCTGTAGAGTGGCACCTAGCCACAGACCTTTCTCATCCTCCTGTGAGCAGAAAGGGTACAGGAGGGGAGGTTGCCCCAGAGAATTTAACCATGGATGTAATAAGAAGCCCTAGAAGGTAAGCTATCTGAGAGCAAGGATTTTTGTCCATTTCCTTAATTGCAGTAATTTAGGGTCTACAACAGTGCTTGGCACATGATAGATGCTCAGGAAATATTTATGGAAGAAATGAGTGAACTCTTCTTGCCCATGAGGCACTGGGGACTGTGCTGAATGCTTACTTACATTGTGTCATTTATTGTTAGCTACTGAGGTATCTCATTCATGTTCTTTGTGGGGGCAGGAGCCTGGAGATTCAGAGGATGCACTTTGCTAGCTCTGTGGCCATGAGCCATTTATTTACTCTGAGTTTTAGTTTCTTTACGTGAAAAAAAAAATGTGTGTGTGTTTGTGTGTTACACACACACATAATTCTGGCCTCTCAGAGTGGATGTGAGAAGTGAGTGAGCCAATGTACCTACCCAGCCCAGGCTGGGTGTAGTGGCTTATGCCTGTAATCCCAACACTTTGGGAGCCTAAGGGGGGAGGATCACTTGAGCGCAAGCAACATAGTGAGATCCTGTCTCTACAAAAAATATTTTAAAATTAGCTGGGCATAGTGTCATGCACCTGTAGTCCCAGCTGTCTGGGAGGCTGAGGCAGGGGGATTGCTTGAGCCCAAAAGTTGAAGGCTGCAGCGAGCTGTGATTACACCATTGCATTCCAGCTTGGGTGACAGAGAAAGACTCTATCTCTAAAAAACAAAACAAAACAAAAACTAAAATACTCAGCCCAGTGTCTGGTCCCTGAGGAAAAATGAAGTAGAAGAAAGAGATGAGGAGAGGGGAGGAAAGTGAGGAAGGAGGAGAAGAGTGTTGCCATGTTCCCAAAAGGGGAAGAGCATTGCTAAGTTTTAACTTTGCCAAATGAAAAGATTTAAAACCACCCACAACTCAAAATATTACTTCCATCTCTTATCACTGTCATTTTTTTTTTTCTTTGAGAAGGAGTCTCGCTCTGTTGCCCAGGCTGGAGTGCAGTGGCATGATCTCCACTCAGTGCAAACTCTGCCTCCCGGGTTCAAGTGATTCTCCTGCCTCAGCCTCCCGAGTAACTGGGATTACAGGCATAAGCCACCACACCTGGCTTATTTTTGTATTTTTAGTAGAGACAGGGTTTCGCCATATTGGCCAAGCTGGTCTCGAACTCCTGATCTCAAGTGATCCACCCCCGCCCTCACCTTCGGCCTCCCAAAGTGCTGGGATTACAGGGGTGAGCCACTGACCCACTGTCATTTCTAAAACAAAAATTTGAACACTGAAACTGTGGGAAGGTCTGATTTCAGAATATATGAAATTCTTCCCAAGAAAACTCAGTTTGCACTTTATCCTGGACATTTTCACCAAAAGAACAGATGAGGGCTGGGCGCGGTGGCTCACGCCTGGAATCCCAGCACTTTGGGAGGTGGAGGCAGGTGGATCACCTCAGGTCAGGAGTTTGAGACCAGCCTGGCCAACATGGTGAAACCCCGTCCCTACTAAAAATACAAAAAATTAGCTGGGTGTGGTGGCACACACCTGTAATCCCGGCTACTCAGGAGGCTGAGGCCGGAGAATCGCTTGAACATGGGAGGCGGAGGTTACGGTCAGCCAAGATCATGCCACTGCACTCCAGCCTGGGCGACAGAGTGAGACTCTGTCTCCAAAAAAAAAAAAAAAGAATCCAGAGTGAGATAAACAGCTTGTATAATTTTCTGGATGTTCCTTCTTAATAATAAAATAATACAAGAAATAAGACAGCATTTAAAAACAACACTGTGAATAATAATGTATGACTACATGAGTCAGTAATCTGGGCCATTTGTACACCTGGGATTCAAGTTACTGCTTATCTTAAGGCCATAGTGTCCAAGAATAATGACATCTTTCGTTTTCCACAATACTATTCTGCCCCTATTTATTGCATGTCATGTACACATGCCACATGAATATGGGCATCTAAAGAGTGGGAATATGTAGTCATATCTGTCATATCTGTGTTCTGGGAAACTTACCTTTTCATAAACTATTACCAGATACAGCTGACAACTTTTATCGAGTTATGATTCGCATGCACTAAAATATACAGATCTTAAGTGTATATTTCCATTCGTTTTGACAATGTGTGTACCCATTAGCCCACAATCTACAGAGATAGAACATTGTTGGCACCTCATAAAGTTCTTCCATGCTCCAGATTAATCCTTATAATCACCTTCCCTTACTTCACAACTACTGTTCTGAGATCCATCGCCATTAGATTGGTTCTATCATTTCTAAAACTTCACATAAATGGAATCATGAGGTATGTACTCTTTTATGTCTGGCTTTTATTCACTCCACATAGCATTTTTTAGATTAATTCATGTTGTTGCACGTATCAGTTGCTCATTTTGATTTGCTGCTGAGCAGTATTCCATTGTATGAATAACCAGAATTTCTTTATCCATTCTTCTGTTGATGGACATTTGGGTTGTTTCCAGTTTGGAGAAATAAATCTTCTTACAATAAATTATTTAAAATGATTTTAAAATAATAAATGTATTTATAAATAAAGCTTCTACAGATATTTGTGTACAAGAGTTTGTGTAAACATATGCTCCTATTTCTCCTAGCACGTACCCAGGAGCAGAATTATTAGGTATTAACTAGGTCAGTGAATTTTTTTTAAGAAAGCATTTTATTGACATATAATTCACATGCCATACAATTTGCTTATCTAAAGTGTACAATTCAATGATTTTTAATATATTCACAGAGTCATGTAACCATTACTGCAATGAATTTTAGGATATTTTCATCACCCCAAAAAGAAACTGCCTGTCCTTTCATCCCCAATTTCCACATTCCTCCCCTCCCCTAGCCTTAAGTAACCATTAATTTACTTTCTGTTTCTATAAATTTGCCTGTTCTGTACACTTCATATAAATGGAATCATGCAATGTATGGTCTTTTGTGACTGATTTATTTTACATTGTGTAAGTTTTCAAGGTTCATTCATGTTGTGGCATGTATCAATACTTTATTCCTTTTTAATTGCCAAATAATATTCCATTGTATGAATATACCACATGTTATTTATGATATTTGGTTTGTTTTTATTTTTGGCTATTATGAATCATGCTGCCATGAACATTTGTGTACATGTTTTTGTGTAGACATATTTTTTCATTTCTCCTGGGAATAAATCTAAGAGTGGAATTGCTGGGTCATATGGTAACTCTATATTTAACTTTTTGAGGAGCAGACTATTTGCTAAAGTGTGGACCATTTTACATTCCTACAAGCAATTGATGAGGCTTCCAATTTATCTGAATCTTCATCAACACTTACTACTGTCTGTCTTTTATTATAGCCACTCTAATGGGTATGAAGTGGTATCTCATTGTGGTTTCGATTTGCATTTCCCTGATTGTTAATGATGTTGAGCATCTTCTCATAAGCTTATTGGCTGTTTGTATATTTTCTTTGGAGAAATGTCTATTCGGATTGCCCATTTTTAAGTTTGGTTGTCTTTAATTATTGGGTTGTAGGGGTTCTTTATGTATTCTAGATATAATTATCAGATACTTATCAGATATACGCTTTGTAAATATTTTTTCCCAGTCAGTTGGTTGTCTTTTCACTTTCTTGATGGTGTCTGTTGAAGCAGCAAAATTTTAAATTTCAGTGAAGTCCAGCTTATCTGCTGTTTCTTTGGTTGATTGTGCTTTTGGTGTCATACCTAAGTCAGGCGTACGTTTAATCTTATAAAATCCTGAAGGTGTTATGTGAGTTGTGCATGTCTTAGCACAGAAACATGCTCATCTAAGATAGTTACTCGTGAACGAAGCTCAGGGGTGGTGAATATACAACTAGACCCTTTGTGAAGTTCAAGTGAAGAATTTGTGGAAGAAGTTGCCAAGATGAAGCAAAAAAATACAAGTTCATGCAGTTTTTAAAAGTTATCTACCAATATTCAATCAAATGAAGAAAATAGGCTTGGTTTGAAAATTCATGTTTACAATTTGTAGATGAGTTGCTCCTGGTGGGCTGTTGATGTCTCCATTTTACAGTGGAGAAAATTCCCGGACTCTGTTTCCTTATGTGTAAAATGGAGGTGCTGACTCCTACCTTGCCTAACTCACAGAGTTGTGAGAAGCAAATGAGTGAATGCATGGGAATGCACTTGTCAGCTTAAAGTCCTGTATAAGTGCAAAGTGGTGATGTTGTCTACGATAAATTCACACAGTTTTCCCTTGAGCAACTGTTGTAGAACTTCATCTTAGTCTGTTCAGGCTGCTATAACACAATACCATCAACTGGGTGGCTTAAACAATGAACACTTGTTTCTCATAGTCCTGGAGGCTGGGGAGTCCAAGATCAAGGCCCTGGCTGATTCAGTGTGTGGTGAAGGCTCTCTTCTTGGTTAGCAATATCCTCACTTGGAGGCAAGCAGAGAGAGATCATCTCTCTCATGTCTCTTCTTATAAGGACATCAATCCCACCTGTGAGGATTCCATCCTCACGACTTAATCACCTCCCAAAGGGTCCTGCCTCCAAATACCATTACATTGAGAATTTGGGTTTCAGCCTAGAATTTGGTTGGGGGCAGACACAAACATTTAGCCCACTGCAAACATTTTACCCATGTAATGCATGATTCTAAGCATTTTACATTTATTAACTTGTTTACCTCCTTAAGAAGTAAGTATTATTGCTATCATCCAGTTTCACAATGAGGAACTTGAGGCGTGGACAGGTTTCCCTTCCAGAGTCCACGCAGGTATAAATGGCCAAGCTGGGATTTGAACACAGACAGAACTGGCTGAAGTCTGAGCTGCTACTATTGTGCTGTCTGTCTTTCTAAGAAGATGTTGTCGTACCTCTGAGTAGCATCCCTACATTATAGTAACTCTCTCCATCCACAGCCTTTGCTTACTTGTGGGAGGATTGTGCTATCTTCAAATTCTTTGGAGTGTTACCCATTAGAAATAACAGAAGATGCTGAAACTTTGCATAAAATGTTAATGATTTTCCATTTTGGTCTTCTAGAGGTTTGTAATGAGATGGCTGGGTAAGCCATATGCTTCGTGCACACTATACCAATCTTTGTATTTATGGGACAACTAGAACCGCCAACCTGATAGAGCAGATCTCATGAGCTCCTGTATGAGGCTGTCTTTCCCAGGACGTGCAACATGGTGTTCAACTGAGGTGGGAAATACCCTTTGGCTTTGATTGCTAAGAAGGAAGCATTCCCATATCCAAGGTCAATCTCTGTCCTCACTGCCTGGACAGTTTGGCCTTGCTCCTTACAGACTTCTCTGGTGCCTCAGGCTTTGCCTCCTTTTGCCTGAGAGGCTATGGTAACCAGACTGGAGAGGTACCTTGCATGACTGGGTAGGGACACGTGGGGATGGAGAGAGCACTATTTCCTTCTTTTCTATTTTAAAACAACTAGGGACCACTAGTTAACACCTGTAAATTGACCAGAAAGCAAAACATTTTTTAAGCAAAATAATTCTGGTTTTCTAAAAGTTGCATGTCCCGATTACTGAGGTTTCAGAGCATGAGCTATGGAAATTCTAAATTAGGTGAAATTTCACTCAGCAACTCCAGAAACTACTGAATATTCAACTCAAGAAGAACCAACTGAGAAAACCACCTGCATTGCCAACTTTAGCATTTTCTACAGAACAGTTAGAAGCAGAGGTCACAGCCCCAAAGACCACATCACTAGAGATCGGCTGGCTCCATCTCCAGCATTGACTGAAAGGGACAGGAAATTACCAGTTGTACCTAAATGGTACTAATAAAAAACAAGAAGCTCCTACAACTTTATAGCCACTTGGGGAAAGCAAACAACACTGAATAACCCATCTGAATGAGTTCGCTGTTGGTAAATGAGGTAGATTAACTTAGAGGAGCCCCAACATCTATCCCACCTAAAATAGTCATGATTCTTAAAGATGCCTAAGGTAAGTTCATGCCATCAACGATCAGCTGCAATCCCCACAAACCTGTGATTTATAGTCACATCCAAGCTGCCCTGGATGTTCTCCTGGGCCCAGGTTATGGAGCAAGATTCATGGTGACTTCAGAAGCCCCTAGGGAAAGCATAACCTAGGGAAAGCCCAGCCCTAAGCCTCACAAGGCAGAAGTCCACAAAAATTAGTTCCACTGGTTCATAAAGAGCCCGTGTTTTCTCTTTCCCTTAAAGCAAAGAACCAAATAATCTGAAAAAAAAAAAAAAATGAAGATGAATGAAAACACTCTGAAGCTTATTTTGTTTTCATTTTTCAATAGATTAAAAGACAGTGAAATTTATATTAACTTATTTTAAGAAATTATATGCAATCAAAGTTACTCTGTGAGTCAAGACAATCACATGCTGAAAAAAGTTAAATAGTAATACATTAAATCACACAACTTGTGTTATGTTGTTCTTCCTATTGTATCTTTACTCATGAGTTCAATTTAAGTGTGTTGTGTATTTTATCACAAAATTAAATCACACTCTTTCTTTTCTTCAAGAGTTGACAGTTTCTAATGTGGCTTCTCATTCAAAGAATTTATTCTTGTCATCCCCCCAAGCCTCTATTTCATTCCAATGAATCAGCTCCTCTAATTAGCAGGGAAGAATCTGGAATTAATTAACTAAAAGATCTGAGTTGTCAT
Organism: Homo sapiens; assembly: GCF_000001405.40. Taxonomy (NCBI): domain Eukaryota; kingdom Metazoa; phylum Chordata; class Mammalia; order Primates; family Hominidae; genus Homo; species Homo sapiens. The sequence goes on along the minus strand of NC_000006.12, from coordinate 89,243,466 downwards.
CACAATGTCCTGTTGGGCAACATGGTAAATAAGGAGAATGTGTCACAAATAAAATCATTTTACAGATCAGCCATTTCAGGAAGGGGCAGGAGAGGACAGAGCTCACAAAAAAGCCCAAGCCCGGGATCAAAAGCACAGGTTTTCCTATCTATTAATCATGTGTCCTGGGGCAAATGACTTTATGTTTCTGGGCCTCAGGTGCTTCCTCAAGGAAGTGGAGGTAGTAACCTGCTATGCCTACTTCAAGGGCTTGTTCTTGGGGCCAAATGAAATCACTGATGTGAAAATGTTTTGTAAATGCCAAAGCACCATTCAATTGCAAACTATTATTATTCCAAGGCAGTTGGATTTGCTGGGGGGCACAACAAAAGAAGTCCTTGCATTTTGTATTCAGTCCTCAGACAACATGCTGAGGGGACCCCATTTCCACACACCTCTTCCATCCTAGCAGCCCCCATGAAGGGCTTCTTACTGCCACCGTGGCTTTAAGCCTAATTGATCTCACAACATTTCCTTTTTTCACCACCACATCTGCCCCTAGTGACGTCCCTGAAACCTGACAAGCATATCGAATTTGATCAAAAAGAAGCCTGGGGACTTCTTGTGAGTCTGTATTTGAGCCTAGAAGCCTATGGATTTCAATCAAAGGCAGGCTTGGAAATGAAGAAAAGGTTGCCTTAAACAATTTTTACTATGATTCCAGCAGAGGGAGACAGGACTGCACTTTCCCACAGGATATGCATTTTAATTTAAAGGTTTACAATATGAAGAGCATGCCTGCCTGCCTGCCTGCCTGCCTGCCTTCCTTCCTTCCTTCCTTCCTTCCTTCCCTCCTTCCTTCCTTCCCTTTTCCATCAAATCATGGTAGTCATGATTTTAATGCCCCTTGGTGGAGAAAGTACATGGCTGAAGGCCATTACAAATTCAGCTATGCTTCCAAAATGAGTTTGTGTCTCTTGATCACAAAAGCCACTAGGGCATTTGGAAACAGCAGTCAAGGCACGTTATATATTCTTACTGACTCTTCATTGATAGTTCATATTTATAACCTCTAATTTAAACTGGAGATTACATTTTAAAAATCACTTATGGCTCCTGGTGGAAAGAGCTAGCAAAAGTAAGAAGTAGGGGTTGCCTCATTGGAAGGAGACTAAAGTGCCCAACTTCCTAAGAAGGATTTTGGTCAAGTATTTAATGGATTGCTCAGAGAGTCACCAGATAATTGGTCTGAGTAGTTGTAAGACATTTATTATTTGTGGGTTTTTGTGAGCCAGGCCTTTAAGCAGGAGATGTTTATTATTTGATCAACAATGAGAAATAGGCCGGGTGCAGTGGCTCACGCCTGTAATCCCAACACTTTGGGAGGCCAAGGGAGGTGGATCACCTGAGGTCAGGAGTTCAAGACCAGCCTGGCCAATGTGGTGAAACCCTATCTCTACTAAAAATACAAAAAAATTAGCCAAGTGTGGTGGTGGGCGCTTGTAATCCCAGCTACTTGGGAGGCTGAGGCAGGAGAATCGCTTGAACCCGGGAGGTGGAGGTTGCAGTGAGCCGAGATCATGCCCATTGCATTCCAGCCTGGGTAACAATAGCGAAACTCCGTTTCAAAAACAAAAAATGGTGAGAAATAAGAACTCAAAAAGAAATGTAATTTTTCATCCAATAGTGTACAAAGTGTTATTCTGGGTGCTGACTGTAATAAAAAGATGAATAAAATACAGTGATGCCATTTAGATTGTCCTTTGAGAAAGAGGACTAACAAGGAATATGTGAAACAGTAGCCAAATATTTTAGGCAGCAAATAATTAAACCCTAAAGTCATGTGGTACAAAATAAATACCACTGGTACATGGACAAAGAGAGCTCCCAGTGAGCTACTGTGGTCAGGAGAGGTTATTTTATGGAGGAGATGAGCTTCACATAATGGTTTGGGTTTAGATAGACTTTTCAAGGTGAGAAAAATTGGGGCAATTATGGTATTGGGTTTTTAAAAATGAAATCAATGCTAATCAGAAATACTTTTTATTTCAACCCTTGTTGACGTTTTTCCTAAAATGTAGGAATATATGGACATCTGAAATTGTTTCCTATATTTTGAAAATACTTCAGAATTAAACTCAGAAAAAATTTAAATGTATTTATGCATTTCCTTTTTAGGAAATAAAAGCTTTAGGCATTTGATAGGTTAATTTATTCATTCGTTAAATATTTATTGAACACCTACTGTAAGCCAGGCAAGGTTCTAAGTGGTGAGCAAAATAAATATGTCTCATTGATTATTAAAGCCTTGGGGAGACCAACAATAAAAAAGTAGTTAGACATGCTTCAAAGGAAAAGAACAAATTGAAGTGACAGCAAATAACAGATGTAAAATCTACTTAGGTAGAACAGTCAGGGAGAGCTTTGGTTGAGATTTAAAGAATGAGCAAAGCCAAGCCAGCAAAGTGGGGAGCAGAGCTCCAGGCAGGCCCCCAGGGCTAGTCTGAGGTGCCCAGGTATAGCATCATATGTAGGTTGTATGTATATGTATATAAAATCATATACATTATATATGCTATATATCCTACTTTATTTGCTTATTTATTTCAAGGAATTGCTTATGTGATTTTAGGAGCTGGCAAGTGTGAAATTTGCAGGCCAGGCCAGTAGGCTACAACTCTTGGGCTATTGCTGTAATACTTTCTTTTTTTTTTTTGAGACAGAGTCTCACTCTGTCACCCAGGTTGGAGTGCAGCGGCACTATCTCAGCTCACTGCAAGCTCTGCCTCCCAGGTTCACGCCATTCTCCTGCCTCAGCCTCCCGGGTAGCTGGGACTACAGGCGCCCACCACCATGCCTGGCTAATTTTTTGTATTTTTAGTACAGACAGGGTTTCATGGTGTTAGCCAGGACGGTCTCGATCTCCTGACCTCGTGATCCACCCGCCTCGGCATCCCAAAGTGCTGGGATTACAGGCGTGAGCCACTGTTCCCGGCTATTGCTGTAGTCTTAAGGCAGAATTTCCTCGCCCAGGAAACCTCAGTTTTGTTGCGTTTAAGGCTTTCGAACTGATTGGCTAAGGCCCACACACATAATTGAGGGTAATCTCCTTCTACCTAAAGTCAACTGATTGTAGATGCTAACCACATCTACACAATACTTTCACAGCTAGATCCATGTTAGTGTTTGATTAAATAACTGGGTACTATGACCTAGCCAAGTTGACACATTAAACCAACCATCCCAGCAGGAAACCATCACATCTAGCACAGTGTCGGAGTACTGTGAGATAGGACAAGAAAGTCAGATAAATTTGGGAAGTTGGATAGAGGTCTTGAGGCTAAGATAGAGTTTAGCTTTTATTCCAAGTGCATTGGGAAACCACAGAAATGTATCAGCAGGGAATGGAGATTCATGCATCTTAGAGCCTATTTTTCATTCTCTTAATCAGTGGGACCCAAATGAAAAAATAAGTCACTCTGGCTACTCTCTGGAGAATAAAATAAAGAGTGTATTTTGGGGAGAATAAAATAGGGAGCCTAGTCAAGATCTAGTGGAGAGGCAGAAACCAGTGGAGTGACTTCAATAGAGAACATTTGATAGAAGGAGTTGTTAACTATGCACAAGGTAGATAACTTTTAAAAGGTGTAGAAGAGGGAACAACTGCAGAGAACACCTGTAGGGCTGAGAGAAGAACAAGGAAGGAACTTGGAAATCTGGAGGAGGTCCTGTAAGGTCTGTGATCAATGCTCTGATGGGAAGGCGTGACTCCTGCAGGAACACGCTATTCACCACTGCGGGGAAGAAGAAACTTGCAGGGGGCTGCTTGCTGGAACCATAAGGACCTCAGCTGCTTTGAAGAACACCACAGGAAATAGCTGCACACTGTGCCCCTTCCTGCCACTAAAAAAAAAAAAAAAAAAAAAATAGAAAAAAAGATTCTTTTCTCCCTCTTCCAGGCTTGTAGACTTCATCCTGCACCCTCTACTGGCAGCACCCAGCATTGTATTGACTGGCAAAGTAGAAATGTGGTTTATAGAGTCAGTTCAAGTATTATACAGTAGGGCAAAGAAAGGTGGGCTTGAGGATAAGAGCAAATAAGTGGATAACTGGCACTGGGATCAAGGGTGGACTTGGTGGCCAGGTGTGGTGGCTCATGTCTGTAATCCTAGCACTTTGAGAGGTCAAAGTAGGAGGATTGCTTGAGACTATGAATTCAAGACCAGCCTGGGCAACATAGTGAAACCCTGTCTCTACAAAAAATATAACAAATTAGCTGGGCATGAAGGTGCATGCTTATAGTCCCAGCTACTCAGGAGGCCGAAGTGGGAGAATCGCTTAAGCCCAGGAGATTGAGGCTGCAGTGAGTGGTGATTACACCACTGCGCTCCAGCCTGGACCCTGCCTCAAAAAATAAAAATAAATAAATAAAAAAGGGTGGACTTGGAGTTGAAGCTTTTAGGAAGCTATTGCAGTGGTCAAGGGGAGAGTTGATGGGGGCTGGATGAGAGTGGTGGCAACATAATTGGAGAAGTAGACTCATTCAAGTTATCTATTGGAGGTGGGTGCTCAAAAATGTTAAGTTAACATCTTTAATTATTCATTAGAAGAGAATATTGAAAATAGGAAAATTCCATGGTATGACTCAGGCTCTTAACATTACATAAATAATTCCAAACATGAAGTCTTAGTGGCAGTACTTATTAATTCACTTATTTGTGTAGCGAAATAAATAAAAAAGTTTAAATAAATGGAGAGATATTCCATTTTCATGGATAGAAAGACTCAATATTTTTAAGATGTCAGTTCTTCCCAACTTTATAGATTCATTGCAATTCCAATCAAAGTCTCAGTGAGTTACTTTGTGAATATTGACAGATTCTAAACATTTATACAGAAACAAAAAAATAGAATGGTCAATACAATATCAAGGAAGAAGAACAAAATTGGACTACATATACTACTCAACTTAAATACTTGTTACAAAGTACAGTAATTAAGACAGTGTAGTATTGGTGAAAGAGTAGACAATAGATCAATGGAATGAAATAGAGAACCTAGAAATAGACACAAATATATTCAACTGATCTTTGATAAAGGATCAAAGGCAATTCAATGGAGAAAGGATAGTTTTTTTCCAAAAAATGGTGCTGGAAGAAGTGGACTGCCACACGCAAAAAAAAAAAAAAAATCTAGACATGGAAGGTACCTGGCAGAAAATGGTGGATAGGACGCAGGATCACATTGCAGCTCTCACTTGGACAGACAGAGCAGCCTGTGGAGACTTGCACTGTGAAATTTTGCTCCAAGATCTACTGCAGGAATATACCAGTAAAGCTGAGAGAATCCACGAACCCTTTGAAGGAAGTGGATTGCTCTTGCAAGACCTAGGAGAGAGCCCAAATACTGCAAGTGCCCATACTGTGATAATGGGAAAGGGGAATTGTCCACCCACAACCACACAACCTCAATGGGGAACCTGAAGGTCCAGATCACAGAAAAAGGATTTGACTTTACCTGAAGCTGAGACAATTTAAGGAGCCATGCGAAATACAAGGGTAGAGGAAGCAGTAGGAAAAGCCCTGTGGGCTCTCTGGGTCCCAGGGAAGCCGTTTCTGCCTTGTCTCACAGGGGTCCTTGGGGAGGGCTGCCAGAGGAACTGGGAAAATATCATAGGGAGAAGGAAAACTCCTGCTGAACTTTGTAACAATTCCAACCAAACATGAAGTTTCTTGGCCAGAACTTGGGGGAGGGCATGAATCCGGTGTGCAGATCCCACAGGTGGGGAGGCATGAAAGCCCTGTTTGCTTTCTCAGCCAGGAGGCTGGTACCCTCGGGCAAGTTCTCAGCCCTGTTCAACCATTTCCTAGAAACAAACTTGGTGCTGTTGGAGTGGGGGCATGGCGGGAGTGAGACCAGCCTTTTGGGTTGCATAGGAGCTGGGTGAGGCCTGTAACTGCTGGCTTTCCCCTGCTTCCCTGACAACCTGCATGACACAGCAGAGGCAGCCATAATCCTCCTGAGAACATAACTCCATTGACCTGGGAACCACATTCCCATCTCCCACAGCAGCCACAGCAAGCCCTGCCTAGGAAGAGTCTGAGCTCAGACATGCCTAACCCTACCCCTTCCTGATGGGCCTTCCCTCCCCACCCTGGAAGCCAAAGACAAAGGTTATATTCTCTTGGGAGTTCCAGGGCCTCACCCCTAACCTGGTCCTCTCCTATACTGCCATAGCTAATGCTCTCTTGAAAGTTCCACCTCCTGGCAGGAGGCCAACCAGCATAAAACTACAACAAGTGCATTAAACAACTACAACTAAGGACCCTCACAGAGTCCATTTCACTCCCCTGCCACCTCCAATGGAGCAGGTCCTGGTATCCATGGCTGAGAGACCTGAAGACAGTTCACATCACAGGACTCTGTGCAGACACACCCCAGTACCAGCCCAGAGCCTGGTAGCCCTGCTAGATGGCTAGATTCAGAAGAGAATAACAATCACTACAGTTCTGCTCTCAGGAAGCCACATCCCTAGGAAAAGGGGGAGAGTGCTACATCAAAGGAGCACCCCGTGGGACAAAAAAATCTGAACAGCAGCCTTGAGCCTCAAATCTTCCCACTGACAGAGACTACCAAAATGAGAAAGAACCAGAAAAGCAATTCTGGTAATATGACAAAACAAGGTTCTTTAACACCCCCCTAAAAAAAAAATCACATTAGCCCACCAGCAATGGATCCAAACCAAGAAGAAATCCCTGAATTGCCAGAAAGAGAATTCAGAAGTTGATTATTAGGAGGCACCAGAAAAGGTGAAATCCAGCTTAAGAAAATCAAAAAGATGATACAAGATATGAAGGGAAAAATCTTCAGTGAAGTGGATAGCATAAATAAAAAAAAAATCACAACTTCAGGAAATATAGGACACACTTAGAGAAATGCAAAATGCCCTGGAGAGCCTCAGCAATAGAATTGAACAGGCAGAAGAAAGAACTTCAGAGCTCAAAGACAAGGTTTTTGAAATAACCCAATCCAATGAAGACAAAGAAAAAAGAATTTTAAAAAATGAACAAAGGCCTCCAAGAAGTTTGGGATTATGTTAAATGACCAAATCTGAGAATAATTGACATTGCTGAGGAAAAGGAGAAATCTAAAAGTTTTGAGAACACATTTGGGGAAATAATTGAGAACTTCCCTGGCCTTGCTAGAGATCTAGACATCCAAATACAAGAAGCTCAAAGAACACCTAGGAAATTCATCACAGAAAGATCATCGCAGAGGCACATAGTTATCAGGTTGTCTAAAGTCAAGATGAGAGAAAGAATCTTAAGAGCTGTGAGGCAAAAGCAGCACCAGGTAACCTATAAAGGAAAACCTATCAGATTAACAGCAGATTTCTCAGCAGAAACTCTACAAGCTAGAATGAATTGGGGCCCTATCTTCAGCCTCCTTAAACGAAACAATTATCAGACAAGAATTTTGTATCCAGTGAAACTAAGCTTCATAAATGAAGGAAAGAGACAGTCTTTTTCAGACAGACAAATGCTGAGAGAATTCACCACTACCAAGCCAGCACTAAAAGAACTGCTAAAAGGAGCTCTAAATATTGAAACAAATCCTGGAAACACAACAAAACAGAACCTCTTTAAAGCATGAATCTCACAGGACCTATAAAGCAATACAGTAAATACGTAAATAAATAAACCAAGGTATTCAGCTAACAAATAGCACAATGAATAAAATAATACCTCACATCTCAATACTAACTGAATATAAATGGTCTAAAGGCTCCATTTAAAAGATACAGAATTGTAGAATGGATAAAAATTCATCAACCAAGTATTTGCTGCCTTCAAGAGCCTCACTTGCTCACACCTGTAATCCCAGCACTTTGGGAGGCCAAGGCAGGTGGATCACAAGGCCAGGAGTTTGAGACCAGCCTGACCAACATGGTGAAACCCCGTCTCTACTAAAAATACAAAAATTAGCTGGCATGGTGGCAGGCACCTCTAAATCCCAGCTACTCAGAAGGCTGAGGCAGGAGAATCGCTTGAACCCGGGAGGCAGAGGTTGCAGTGAGCTGAGATCGTGCTACTGCACTCCACTCCAGCCTGGGTGACAGAGTGAGACTCCGTCTCAAAAAAAAAAAAAAAGAGCCTCACTTAACACATAAGGACTCACATAAACTTAAGGTAAAGGGGTGTAAAAAGACACTTCATGCAAATTGACACCAAAAGCAAGCAGCAGTAGCTATTCTTGTATCAGACAAAACAAACTTTAAAGCAACAGCAGTTAAAAAAGACAAAGAGGGACATTACATAATGATAAACAGCCTTGTCCAACAAGAAAATATCACAATTCTAAATATATATGCACCTAACACTGGAGCTCCCAAATTTATAGAACAATGACTACTAGACCTAAGAAATGAGATAGACAGCAACATAATAATAGTGGGGGACTGCGATACTCCACTGACAGTGAGAGATGACAGCGTGCTGGCAGTCCTCACAGCCCTCGCTGGCTCTCGGCGCCTCCTCTGCCTGGGCTTCCACTTTGGCAGCACTTGAGGAGCCCTTCAGCCTGCCGCTGCACTGTGGGAGCCCCTTTCTGGGCTGGCCAAGGCCGGAGCAGGCTCCCTCAGCTTGCGGGGAGGTGTGGAGGGAGAGACACGGGCAGGAACTGGGGCTGCGCATGGTGCTTGCTGGCCAGCGTGAGTTCTGGGTGGGCGTGGGCTTGTCGGACCCCGCACTCGGAGCGGCCGGCTGGCCCCACCAGCCCCAGGCAGTGAGGGGCTTAGCACCTGGGCCAGCAGCTGCTGTGCTCAATTTCTCGCTGGGCCTTAGCTGCCTTCCCACAGGGCAGGGCTTGGGACCTGCAGCCCGCCATGCCTGAGCCTCTCCAGCCCTCCGTGGGCTCCTGTGTGGCCCGAGCCTCCCCAACGAGCACCGCCCCCTGCTCCACGGCGCCCAGTCCCATCAACCACCCAAGGGCTGAGGAGTATGGGCACACGGTGCAGGACTGGCAGGCAGCTCCACCTGCAGCCCTGGTGCAGGATCCACTGGGTGAAGCCAGCTGGGCTCCTGAGTCTGGTGGGGAGGTGGAGAACCTTTATGTCTAGCTCAGGGATTGTAAATACACCAATTGGCACTCTGTGTCTAGCTCAAGGTTTGTAAACACACCAATCAGCACCCTGTGTCTAGCTTAGGGATTGTGAATGCACCAATCGACACTCTGTATCTAGCTACTCTGGTGGGGACTTAGAGAACCTTTGTGTCCACACTGTGTATCTAGCTAATCTAGTGGGGACGTGGAGAACCTTTGTGTCTAGCTCAGGGATTGTAAATGCACCAATCAGTGCCCTGTCAAAACAGATCACTTGGCTCTCTGTAAAATGGACAAATCAGCAGGATGTGGGTGGGGCCAGATAAGAGAATAAAAGCAGGCTGCTGGAGCCAGCAGTGGCAACCCGCTCGGGTCCCCTTCCACACTGTGGAAGCTTCGTTCTTTCGCTCTTTGCAATAAATCTTGCTACTGCTCACTCTTTGGGTCCACACTGCCTTTATGAGCTGTAACACTCACCGCGAAGGTCTGCAGCTTCACTCCTGAAGCCAGTGAGACCACGAACCCACTGGGAGGAACAACTCCAGATGCGCCGCCTTAAGAGCTGTAACACTCACCGCGGAAGTCCACAGCTTCACTCCTGAGCCAGTGAGACCACGAACCCCACCAGAAGGAGGAAACTCCGAACACATCTGAACATCAGAAGGAACAAACTCTGGACACGCCGCCTTTAAGAACTGTAACACTCACTGCGAGGGGCCGCAGCTTCATTCTTGAAGTCAGTGAGACTAAGAACCCACCAATTCTGGATACAACAGCACTCAACAGGTCATTAGACAGAAAGCCAACAAAGAAACAATAGATTTAAACTATATCCTAGAACAAAATGGGCTTAACGGATATTTACAGAACATTCTACCCAACAACTGCATAATATACATTCTATTCATCAGCACATAAAACATTTTCCAAGATAGACTATATGATAGACCACAAAGCAACTTTCAACAAATTTAAGAAAATTGAAATTATATCAAGTACTGTCTCAGACCACAGTGGAATAATATTGGAAATCAACTCCAAAAGGAACCTTCAAAACCATGCAAATACATGGAAATTAAATAACCTGCTTCTGAATGATCATTGGGTCAACAAGGAAATCAAAATGGAAATTTAAAAATTCTTTGAACTGAATGATAATAGTGACACAACCTATTAAAACCTCTGGGATATAGCAAAGGCGGTGGTAAGAGGAAACTTCACAGCCTTAAATGCCTACATCAAAGAGTCTGAAGGAGCACAAATAGACAATTTAATCACACCTCAAGGAACTAGAGAAACAAGAACAAACCAAACCCAAACCCAGCAGAAGAAAAGAAATAACCAAGATCAGAGCAGAACTGAATGAAATGGAAACAAACAAAAATACAAAAGATAAATGAAACAAAAAGCTGATTCTTTGAAAAGATAAATAAAATTGATAGACCATTAGCAAGATTAACCAAGAAAAGAAGAGAGAAGATCCAAATAAGCTCAATTAGAAATGAAATGGGAGATATTACAACTGATACCACAGAAATACAAAACATCATTCAAGGCTACTATGAACACCTTTACACTCATAAACTAGAAAACCTAGAGGAGATGTATAAATTCCTGGAAAGATACAAGCCTCCTAGCTTAAATCAGGAAGAATTAGAAACCCTGAACAGACCAATAACAAGAAGGGGGATTGAAATGGTAATAAAAAAAAATACCAACCAAAAAAAGTCCAGGTCCAGACGGATTCACAGCTGAATTCTACCAGACATTCAAAGAAGAATTGGTACCAATCCTATTGGCACTATTCCACAAGATAGAGAAAGAGGGAATAATCCCTAAATCATTCTATGAAGCTAGTATCACCCTAATATCAAAACCAGGAAAGGACATAACAAAAAAGAAAACTACACACCAATATCCGTGATGAACATAAATGCAAAAATCCTTAACAAAATACTAGCTAACCAAATCTAACAGCATATCAAAAAGATAATCCACCATAAACAAGTGGGTATCATACCAGGGATGGTTTAACATATGCAACTCAATAAATGTGATACATCACATAAACAGAATTAAAAACAAAATCACATGATCATCTCAATAGATGCAGAAAAAGCACTTGACAAAATCTAGCATCCCTTCATGATTAAAACCCTCAGCAAAATCAGCATGCAAGGGACATACCTCAATGTAATAAAAGCCATCTATGACAAACCCATAGCTAACATAATATTGAATGGGGGAAAAGTTGAAAGCATTCCTCTGAGAACTGGAACAAGACAAGGATACCCACTCTCACCACTTCTATTCATCATAGTACTGGAAGTCCTAGCCAGAGTGATCAGACAAGAGAAAGAAATAAAGGGTATCCAAATGGTAAAGAGGAAGTCAAACTGTCACTGTTTGCTGATGATATGATTGTATACCTAGAAAACCCTAAAGACTCCCCCAAAGGCTTCTAAAACTGATAAATGAATTCAGCAAAGTTTCAGGATACAAAATTAATGTGCACAAATCAGTAGCTCTGCTATACACCAGCAGCGACCAAGCTGAGAATCAAATCAAGAACTCAACCCCTTTTACAATAGCTGCAATGAAATAAAATAAAATAAAATACTTAGGAATATACCTAACCAAGGAGGTGAAAGACCTCTACAAGGAAAACTACAAAACACCACTGAAAGAAATCATAGACAATACAAACAAACGGAAATACAACCCATGCTCATTGATGGGTAGAATCTATATTGTGAAAATGACCATACTGCTAAAAGCAATCTACAAATTCAATGCAAATCCCATCAAAATATCACCATCATTCTTCACAGAACTAGAAAAACCAATCCTAAAATTCATATGGAACCAAATAAGAGCCCACATGTGCAAAGCAAGACCAAGCAAAAAGAACATCTGGAGGCATCACATTACCTGACTTCAAACTATATTATAAGGCCATAGTCACCAAAACAGCATGGTACTGGTATAAAAATAGGCACATAGACCAATGAAACAGAATAGAGAACCCAGAAATAAACCCAAATACTTACAGCCAACTGATTTTTGCAAAAGCAAACAAAAGGAAAGATTCCCTTGTAGGGAGGAGCCAAGATGGCCGAATAGGAACAGCTCCCGTCTACAGCTCCCAGCGTGAGCGACGCAGAAGACGGGTGATTTCTGCATTTCCATCTGAGGTACCGGGTTCATCTCTCTAGGGAGTGCCAGACAGTGGGCGCAGGCCAGTGGGTGCGCGCACCGTGCGCGAGCCGAAGCAGGGCGAGGCATTGCCTCACCTGGGAAGCGCAAGGGGTCAGGGAGTTCCCTTTCCGAGTCAAAGAAAGGGGTGATGGACGCACCTGGAAAATCGGGTCACTCCCACCCGAATATTGCGCTTTTCAGACCGGCTTAAAAAACGGCGCACCACGAGACTATATCCCACACCTGGCTCGGAGGGTCCTACGCCCATGGAATCTCGCTGATTGCTAGCACAGCACTCTGAGATCAAACTGCAAGGCGGCAGCGAGGCTGGGGGAGGGGTGCCCGCCATTGCCCAGGCTTGCTTAGGTAAACAAAGCAGCTGGGAAGCTCGAACTGGGTGGAGCCCACCACAGCTCAAGGAGGCCTGCCTGCCACTGTAGGCTCCACCTCTGGGGGCAGGGCACAGACAAACAAAAAGACAGCAGTAACCTCTGCAGACTTAAATGTCCCTGTCTGACAGCTTTGAAGAGAGCAGTGGTTCTCCCAGCACGCAGCTGGAGATCTGAGAACCGGCAGACTGCCTCCTCAAGCGGGTCCCTGACCCCTGACCCCCGAGCAGCCTAACTGGGAGGCACCCCCAGGCAGGGGCACACTGACACCTCACAAGGCAGGGTATTCCAACAGACCTGCAGCTGAGGGTCCTGTCTGTTAGAAGGAAAACTAACAAACAGAAAGGACATCCACACCGAAAACCCATCTGTACATCACCATCATCAAAGACCAAAAGTAGATAAAACCACAAAGATGGGGAAAAAACAGAACAGAAAAACTGGAAACTCTAAAACGCAGAGCGCCTCTCCTCCTCCAAAGGAACGCAGTTCCTCACCAGCAACAGAACAAAGCTGGATGGAGAATGACTTTGACGAGCTGAGAGAAGAAGGCTTCAGATGATCAAATTACTCTGAGCTACGGGAGGACATTCAAACCAAAGGCAAAGAAGTTGAAAACTTTGAAAAAAATTTAGAAGAATGTATAACTAGAATAACCAATACAGAGAAGTGCTTAAAGGAGCTGATGGAGCTGAAAACCAAGGCTCGAGAACTACGTGAGGAATGCAGAAGCCTCAGGAGCCGATGCGATCAACTGGAAGAAAGGGTATCAGCAATGGAAGATGAAATGAATGAAATGAAGCGAGAAGGGAAGTTTAGAGAAAAAAGAATAAAAAGAAATGAGCAAAGCCTCCAAGAAATATGGGACTATGTGAAAAGACCAAATCTACGTCTGATTGGTGTACCTGACAGTGATGGGGAGAATGGAACCAAGTTGGAAAACACTCTGCAGGATATTATCCAGGAGAACTTCCCCAATCTAGCAAGGCAGGCCAACGTTCAGATTCAGGAAATACAGAGAATGCCACAAAGATACTCCTCGAGAAGAGCAACTCCAAGACACATAATTGTCAGATTCACCAAAGTTGAAATGAAGGAAAAAATGTTAAGGGCAGCCAGAGAGAAAGGTCGGGTTACCCTCAAAGGGAAGCCCATCAGACTAACAGCGGATCTCTCCGCAGAAACCCTACAAGCCAGAAGAGAGTGGGGGCCAATATTCAACATTCTTAAAGAAAAGAATTTTCAATGCAGAATTTCATATCCAGCCAAACTAAGCTTCATAAGTGAAGGAGAAATAAAATACTTTACAGACAAGCAAATGCTGAGAGATTTTGTCACCACCAGGCCTGCCCTAAAAGAGCTCCTGAAGGAAGCGCTAAACATGGAAAGGAACAACCGGTACCAGCTGCTGCAAAATCATGCCAAAATGTAAAGACCATCGAGACTAGGAAGAAACTGTGTCAACTAACGAGCAAAATCACCAGCTAACATCATAATGACAGGATCAAATTCACACATAACAATATTAACTTTAAATGTAAATGGCCTAAATGCTCCAATTAAAAGACACAGACTGGCAAATTGGATAAAGAGTCAAGACCCATCAGTGTGCTGTATTCAGGAAACCCATCTCATGTGCAGAGACACACATAGGCTCAAAACAAAAGGATGGAGGAAGATCTACCAAGCAAATGGAAAACAAAAAAAGGCAGGGGTTGCAATCCTAGTCTCTGATAAAACAGATTTTAAACCAACAAAGATCAAAAGAGACAAAGAAGGCCATTACATAATGGTAAAGGGATCAATTCAACAAGAAGAGCTAACTATCCTAAATATATATGCACCCAATACAGGAGCACCCAGATTCATAAAGCAAGTCCTGAGTGACCTACAAAGAGACTTAGACTCCCACACATTAATAATGGGAGACTTTAACACCCCACTGTCAACATTAGACAGATTGAGACAGAAAGTCAACAAGGATACCCAGGAATTGAACTCAGCTCTGCACTAAGCGGACCTAATAGACATCTACAGAACTCTCCACCCCAAATCAACAGAATATACATTTTTTTCAGCACCACACCACACCTATTCCAAAATTGACCACATACTTGGAAGTAAAGCTCTCCTCAGCAAATGTAAAAGAACAGAGATTATAACAAACTATCTCTCAGACCACAGTGCAATCAAACTAGAACTCAGGATTAAGAATCTCACTCAAAGCCGCTCAACTACATGGAAACTGAACAACCTGCTCCTGAATGACTACTGGGTACATAATGAAATGAAGGCAGAAATAAAGATGTTCTTTGAAACCAACGAGAACAAAGACACAACATACCAGAATCTCTGGGACGCATTCAAAGCAGTGTGTAGAGGGAAATTTATAGCACTAAATGCCCACAAGAGAAAGCAGGAAAGATCCAAAATTGACACCCTAACATCACAATTAAAAGAACTAGAAAAGCAAGAGCAAACACATTCAAAAGCTAGCAGAAGGCAAGAAATAACTAAAATCAGAGCAGAACTGAAGGAAATAGAGACACAAAAAACCCTTCAAAAAATCAATGAATCCAGGAGCTGGTTTTTTGAAAGGATCAACAAAATTGATAGACCGCTAGCAAGACTAATAAAGAAAAAAAGAGAGAAGAATCAAATAGACACAATAAAAAATGATAAAGGGGATATCACCACCGATCCCACAGAAATACAAACTACCATCAGAGAATACTACAAACACCTCTACACAAATAAACTAGAAAATCTAGAAGAAATGGATAAATTCCTCAACACATACACTCTCCCAAGACTAAACCAGGAAGAAGTTGAATCTCTGAATAGACCAATAACAAGAGCTGAAATTGTGGCAATAATCAATAGTTTACCAACCAAAAAGAGTCCAGGACCAGATGGATTCACAGCTGAATTCTACCAGAGGTACAAGGAGGAACTGGTACCATTCCTTCTGAAACTATTCCAATCAATAGAAAAAGAGGGAATCCTCCCTAACTCATTTTATGAGGCCAGCATCATTCTGATACCAAAGCCGGGCAGAGACACAACCAAAAAAGAGAATTTTAGACCAATATCCTTGATGAACATTGATGCAAAAATCCTCAATAAAATACTGGCAAACCGAATCCAGCAGCACATCAAAAAGCTTATCCACCATGATCAAGTGGGCTTCATCCCTGGGATGCAAGGCTGGTTCAATATACGCAAATCAATAAATGTAATCCAGCATATAAACAGAGCCAAAGACAAAAACCACATGATTATCTCAATAGATGCAGAAAAAGCCTTTGACAAAATTCAACAACCCTTCATGCTAAAAACTCTCAATAAATTAGGTATTGATGGGACGTATTTCAAAATAATAAGAGCTATCTATGACACCCACAGCCAATACCATACTGAATGGGCAAAAACTGGAAGCATTCCCTTTGAAAACTGGCACAAGACAGGGATGCCCTCTCTCACCACTCCTATTCAACATAGTGTTGGAAGTTCTGGCCAGGGCAATTAGGCAGGAGAAGGAAATAAAGGGTATTCAATTAGGAAAAGAGGAAGTCAAATTGTCCCTGTTTGCAGACGACATGATTGTATATCTAGAAAACCCCATTGTCTCAGCCCAAAACCTCCTTAAGCTGATAAGCAACTTCAGCAAAGTCTCAGGATACAAAATCAATGTACAAAAATCACAAGCATTCTTATACACCAACAACAGACAAACAGAAAGCCAAATCATGAGTGAACTCCCATTCACAGTTGCTTCAAAGAGAATAAAATACCTAGGAATCCAACTTACAAGGGATGTGAAGGACCTCTTCAAGGAGAACTACAAACCACTGCTCAAGGAAATAAAAGAGGATACAAACAAATGGAAGAACATTCCATGCTCATGGGTAGGAAGAATCAATATCGTGAAAATGGCCATACTGCCCAAGGTAATTTACAGATTCAATGCCATCCCCATCAAGCTACCAATGACTTTCTTCACAGAATTGGAAAAAACTACTTTAAAGTTCATATGGAACCAAAAAAGAGCCCGCATTGCCAAGTCAATCCTAAGCCAAAAGAACAAAGCTGGAGGCATCACACTACCTGACTTCAAACTATACTACAAGGCTACAGTAACCAAAACAGCATGGTACTGGTACCAAAACAGAGATATAGATCCATGGAACAGAACAGAGCCCTCAGAAATAACGCCGCATACCTACAACTATCTGATCTTTGACAAACCTGAGGAAAACAAGCAATGGGGAAAGGATTCCCTGTTTAAAAAATGGTGCTGGGAAAACTGGCTAGCCATATGTAGAAAGCTGAAACTGGATCCCTTCCTTACACCTTATACAAAAATCAATTCAAGATGGATTAAAGATTTAAACGTTAGACCTAAAACCATAAAAACCCTAGAAGAAAACCTAGGCATTACCATTCAGGACATAGGCATGGGCAAGGACTTCATGTCCAAAACACCAAAAGCAATGGCAACAAAAGACAAAATTGACAATGGGATCTAATTAAAATAAAGAGCTTCTGCACAGCAAAAGAAACTACCATCAGAGTGAACAGGCAACCTACAAAATGGGAGAAAATTTTCGCAACCTACTCATCTGACAAAAGGCTAATATCCAGAATCTACAATGAACTCAAACAAATTTACAAGAAAAAAACAAACAACCCCATCAAAAGTTGGGCGAAGGACATGAACAGACACTTCTCAAAAGAAGACATTTATGCAGCCAAAAAACACATGAAAAAATGCTCATCATCACTGGCCATCAGAGAAATGCAAATCAAGACCACTATGAGATACCATCTCACACCAGTTAGAATGGCAATCATTAAAAAGTCAGGAAACAACAGGTGCTGGAGAGGATGTGGAGAAATAGGAACACTTTTACATTGTTGGTGGGACTGTAAACTAGTTCAACCATTGTGGAAGTCAATGTGGCGATTCCTCAGGGATCTAGAACTAGAAATACCATTTGACCCAGCCATCCCATTACTGGGTATATACCCAAATGACTATAAATCATGCTGCTATAAAGACACATGCACACGTATGTTTATTGCGGCATTATTCACAATAGCAAAGACTTGGAACCAACCCAAATGTCCAACAATGATAGACTGGATTAAGAAAATGTGGCACATATACACCATGGAATACTATGCAGCCATAAAAAATGATGAGTTCATGCCCTTTGTAGGGACATGGATGAAATTGGAAATCATCATTCTCAGTAAACTATCGCAAGAACAAAAAACCAAACACCGCATATTCTCACTCATAGGTGGGAATTGAACAATGAGATCACAGGGACACAGGAAGGGGAATATCACACTCTGGGGACTGTGGTGGGGTGGGGGGAGGGGGGAGGGATAGCATTGGGAGATATACCTAATGCTAGATGACGAGTTAGTGGGTGCAGCGCACCAGCATGGCACATGTATACATATGTAACTAACCTGCACAATGTGCACATGTACCCCAAAACTTAAAGTATAATTAAAAAAAAAAAAAAAGCAAACAGAAACATAAAGTGGGGAAAGTACACCCTATTCAACAAATGGTGCTGGGATAATTGGCAAGCCACACGCAAGAGAATGAAACTGGATTCTCATCACTCACCTTATATAAAAATCAACTCAAAATGTATCAAGGACTTAAATCTAAGACCTGAAACTGTAAAAATTCTAGAAGATGGCTGGGCACGGTGGCTCTCGCCTATAATCCCAGCACTTTGGGAGGCCAAGGCGGGTGGATCACGAGGTCAGGAGTTCAAGACTAGCCTGGCCGACATGGTGAAACTCCATCTCTACTAAAAATACAAAAATTAGCTGGGTGTGGTGTTGGGTGCCTGTAATCCCAGCTACTTGGGAGGCTGAGGCAGGAGAATCGCTTGAACCTGGGAGGCGGAGGTTGCAGTAAGCCAAGATCACGCCACTGCACTCCAGCCTGGGTGACAGAGCAAGACCCTGTCTTGGGGAAAAAAAAAAATTCTAGAAGAAAACATCAGAAAAACTCTTCTACATATTGGCTTAGGCAAAGACTTCATGACCAAGAACCCAAATGCAAATGTGACAAAAACAAAGATAAACAGGTGGGACTTAAACTAAAGAGCTTCTGCACAGCAAAAGGAACACTCAGCAGAGTAAACAGACAACCCACAGAGTGGGAGAAAATCTTCACAATCTATACATCAGGCAAAGGACTAATATCCAGAATCTACAACAAACTCAAACAAATTACAGGAGAAAAAAATTCCATAAAAAAGTGGGCTAAGGACGTGAATAGATGATTCTCAAAAGAAGACATACAAATGGCCAACAAACATGAAAAAATGCTCAACATCACAAATGATCAGGGAAATGCAAATCAAAACCACAATGCAGGCTGGGCATGGTGGCTCACACCTGTAATCTCAGCTCTTTGGGAGGCCAAGGCAGGCAGATCACCTGAGGTTAAGAGTTTGAGACCAGCCTGGCCAACATGGTGAAACCCTGTCTCTACTAAAAGTACAAAAATTAGCTGGGCGTGGTAATGCATACCTGTAATCCCAGCTACTACTTGGGAGGCTGAGGTAGGAGAATCGCTTGAACTCAGGAGGTGGAGGTTGAGTGAGCCAAGATCATGCCACTGCACTCCAGCCTGTGCGACAGAGTAAGACTCCATCTCAAAAAACAAAACAAAACAGAACAAAACAAACAAACAAAACCCCTGGCGGCCAGGCGTGGTGGCTCATGCCTGTAATCCCGGCACTTTGGGAGGCCGAGGCAGGCAGATCATGAGGTCAAGAGATCGAGATCATCTGGCCAACATGGTGAAACCCCGTCTCTATTAAAAATACAAAAATAAGCTGGGCATGGTGGCATATGCCTGTAGTCCCAGCTACTCGAGAGGCTGAGGCTGGAGAATCGCTTGAACCCAGGAGGCAGAGGTTGCAGTGAGCCAAGATGGTGCCATTGCACTCCAGCCTGGCGACAGAGCAAGACCTCCGTCTCAAAAAAAAAAAAAACCCACAATGCAATACCACCTTACTCCTGCAAGAATGGCCATTAAAAAAAAAAAAAAAGATATTGGTGTGGATGCAGTGAAAAGGAACCACTTCTACACTGCTGATGGGAATGTAAACTAGTACAACCACTATGGAAAACAGTGTGGAGATTCCTTAGAGAACTAAAAGTAGAAACTACCATTTGATCCAGCAATCCCGCTACTGAGTATCTATCCAGAGGAAAAGAAGTCATTAAATGAAAAAGACACTTGTACACGCATGTTTATAGCAGCACAATTACCAGCTGCAAAAATGTGAAACCAGCCCAAATGCCCAACAATCAACGAGTGGATAAAGAAACCGTGGCATATATATACAATGGAATACTACTCAGCCATAAAAAGGAATGAATTAATGGCATTCACAGCAACCTGGATGGATCTGGAGAATATTACTCTAAGTGAAGTAACTCAGGAATGGAAAACCAAACATTGTATGTCCTCACTCATAAGTGGGAGCTAAGCTATGAGGATGCAAAGGCATAAGAATTTCACAGTGGACTTAGAGGACTCGGGGAAAGGGTGGGAAGGAGGTGAGGGATAAAAAGACTACAAAATGGGTTCAGTATATATTGTTTGGGTGATGGGTGCACCGAAATCCCACGAATTACCACTAAAGAACTTACTCATGTAACCAAATACCACCTGTTCCCCAAAAACCTATGGAAATTAAAAAAAAAAATCTAGACAAGGACATTGATTTCTACCCACTGTCAGACATCAAGTTCATGATGATGCTTGTGATGACAAAATAATATGTGTGGATAAAATTAAGCCTCTGCTATCAAAACGTCATAGTTTAACGGTCTATTGATCCTTGGCACCACAGTTGTGGCTGGAGCTGTTGTGGAACGCTGGGCTGGGTGTGTTCAGACCACAAAACTTAGACTGTAAAAAAATTTAACTCAAGCTAATTGAGGCTTCCTGTCCATCTAGATCTCTCATCAATCATGAAAATTTCATTTTAGATGGTGGGCAGTCTCCAAAAAGCCTATTGTCATGATCGTAAATTAATAAGTAAAGTGCTTTCAGAGTGACACCAACACCAGCTGGTTTATGGCATTGGTAATTTAGCAGGGAAGGAGAGACAGGGAAATGACAAAAAGAGCACATTACAGATGGGCATTAAAAAACCTCAAGATCAAGGAATCTGACCTGAATTAAACGAGCAGATGCAGAACGGGGGTGGTTCCTTTGGAAGCACACTATAAATACCACAGCCTTCCCGACAGGACTTATATTAACGGTCTGACTGATGTTTTGTCCCTTCTTTGTTTTATTTGGATGTTCTGACTAATCTGAGTGTTTGGCTCCAGATATGCAGTGGGCCAAGGGGAAAAGGAGCCCCACAAAGTGGGTTTACAGGAATCGAATTTAGGATCCAAGCCACTGCTACTTGACTCTTGGGATGGGAAGAAAAATTGGAGAGTTCAGCACATTGCTGACTGTTCCCCCAAATTTATTTTTTGTTTTCATCATGATATAATTTTATCCAGGTATAAGATGACTCATTGAGAGACCACATTTCTTGGACTCCTTACAGTTAGGAGTGACTATCAGGCCAAGTTTCTTGCCAGTGAAATGTGAATTGAAGTGATGAGTGCAGCTCCTATGTCACTTGCCTAAACAGAAATTGCTTGCTTTTCATGTCTTCTCTGCCTACTGGCAGCCCAACTTTAACCAGGTACACAAAGACCATACCCTGAGAAAGGGCAACAAGACGAAAGGCACTTCGTCCTGGAGCAGATTCCCTTCAGTCTGGACCACTCACCTCTAAGCTGTTCCATGACAAAGAAATGCTATTCTTTTTATTGATCTTTCCATGGCTCGATTACAGCAGCAGCTTAAATAGTAGGCTTGACGATACAGTGAGTAAAGAAGCAGCTGCATCAGGAACTGAAAAATGGCTCTTCGGGTCATTGTTTCATCAAATTCCTTTCCTTTGCCTTTTTATTTGTCCCTTATCCCCTACCTGGAAAGGGCCAGTCCAATGCTGGGAGATTATGTTTAGGCATTGAGCTCAGAGCCAAATTGGTGCACGTGTACAGTCATCCCTCGGTACCAAGGGGATTGGTTCCAGGACCCCAAGGATTCCAAAATCCATGGATGCTTAAGTCCCTTCATAAAATGGGGTAGTATTTGCATATAACCTACACACATTCTCCTGTATACTTTAAATCATCTCAGATTACTTCTAATATCTAATACAATGTAAATACTAGCAAGTAGTTGTTATACTACATTAGTTTTTTGAATTTGTGTTCTTTGTTTTTCTATCCCCAGATATTTTTGATCTGCACTTGGTTGAATCTACAGATGTAAAACCCACGGATGCAGAGGGCTGACTGTGGCTAGAAAATGTGCTGCAGGGAGCACGTGGAAACAGCTGATGAGCACCTGCAGCCCCTGTTTGGGAGCAGCTGGGGTGTGCTGCCTGCCGTTCACCCATCAGTCAGTGAGTGCCTTGTGTGTGGTGTTGGGTTGGCTCTGAGGGCTTGGGGCAGGGAGACTTTTGATGGCCATGAGAAGATAAGCTGGAGTTAAGCATTGCCTGGTCCCTCTTCTGCTGAAGAAATTATTGCCCTGGAGACCCTGCATTGCTGTAGGGAAGGCCATGATGGCTGAGGAATAAAAAGGAGAGTGAGAAGAGAGAGAAGGCTGGCATACTCAATAAAGGAAAAGAAGAGTTTTGTCAAAAAATAGTGTTTTTGGCCAGGCGCGGTGGCTCATGCCTGTAACCCCAGCACTTTGGGAGGCTGAGGTAGGCGGATCACCTGAAATTGGGAGTTGGAGACCAGCTTGACCAACATGGAGAAACCCCGTCTCTACTAAAAATACAAAATTAGCTGGGTGTAGTGGCGAATGCGTGTAATCCCAGCTACTCGGGAGGCTGAGGCAGGAGAATCACTTGAACCTGGGAGGCAGAGGTTGTGGTGAGCTGAGATCATGCCATTGCACTCCAGCCTGGGCAACAAGAACGAAACTCCGTCTCAAAAAAAAAAGCATTTTTAAAACTTGGTCTGGAAGTGTTATAGTTCAGTAAGTCAGTCTGGATCCTTAATATGCTCTGATGCTGGCCCTAACTGGTTCTCTCAGGCCTCTTTACAACTCCCTTCTACATCCTTGTCCTATAAAGAGGGCACAGATACTCTCCGCATTAGAGCCACGTGGTGTTAGTGGGAAATAAAGTTGATTAAGAACATTTACAAGCAACAAAGTAGTGAAATGCCATGACTTTCTAAGTTCTCATGACAGCAGTAAGAGGGATGCATGGTTGGCTCAAGCCCAAAGCAGAAAGGGCTCTAAGACAGGGCCCCTCCCCTCAAGGTTCTGCCATAGGAACTTCTGGATGGAGGAAGTGGCCTTGTTGCAAAGGCTCAGCAGCTGGTACCGCCTGTCCTGCCATCAAACTAACTGGGGACCTGCTGAACCAGCTCTCCTTAGCTAAGAGAGGGTAGGAAATGCGTGTTTGAGGCCTTCCGGTTTGCTCTCTTTGGTTATGCCCAGGCTCCTGGCCCCTGGAGCTAGTCCAGGATCCTCTAAACAAGAAAGAAAGGTATTTTCCAATCTGGGCATTAGGAGCCATTTAATGTCCTTTCTACCTCCCCAATTTAATGCCTTATTGTCCTGTTCATTTTGATGTACTCAGCTCCAGAATATCTCCCTTTAGACAATTTGGTCTTTAAATCAGCAAGTCACTACAACTTAAGTATCCAACCATGCTTAGCTTACATTGACCTCGGGAGACATCACATATTCTGCCTTTATTTCTATATGTTGAATGTTTTTGACATCTATTAATTGAAAGCACGTTAAAGGATGATTTATATAAGAGGATATAATCATGACTCTCACATAACTATAAAATGAACAGACATTGAAGATTTTATTTAACTCATTATTTAGTTAAGGGACCAGTAAGATGTTACAACTGGTTCAAATAAGGGCTTGATTTATAGAGATTTATACTCTCCACAGCACAAAAGGAATAATTTGCATAGCTATGGACAGGAAAGCTATGCGTTACTATCAGTTTGCTACGTGTTAACATCTACTATTACAGAATTGTAAAATAGCCTAAAGACAATCAAAGTCATACATCCCTATAGGATCAGACAATCCCTGGAGGACCCGCTGGACAAGGCTTAGAATTCTATTGAAAGAACACCCAGTAATCTATTTTGCTCATTTCAAAGTTTGACGATTTTTCCTGACCATCTTCCTTCTCCTTGTTATTATATATAATTCTAAAGATTATTCTTGATCACAGAAAAAAGCTGGGCTCCTTAGGTTTGGCTGGTTACTTCTACAGTGCATCATAGATGCCTCCTTTGAAGTTTGCGTTGCAAAACCTAGAGCCATACGGTGTTGAATGATTCCAAATTAGCTCCTGCCTAGAAGTTATCATAAGGAATCTTAGCTTGGACTTCTAAAAGTGTCTGTTATTTTCTTTTCTTTTTTTGGGACGGAGTTTCATTCCTTATTGCCCAGGTTGGAGTGCAGTGGTGCGATCTCGGCTCACTACAACTTCCACCTCCCAGGTTCAAGCGATTCTCCTGTCTCAGCCTCCCAAGTAGCTGAGATTACAGGTGCCCGCCACCACACCGAGGTAATTTTTGTATTTTTAGTAGGGACAGGGTTTCACCATGTTGGCCAGGCTGGTCTCTAACTCCTGACCTCAGGTGATCCTCCCACCTTGGCCTCCCAAAGTGCTGGGATTACAGGCGTGAGCCACCGTGCCCCGCCATGTCTATTATTTTCTATCCTGCTAAGATTAGGAGACCAAGCCCAAGAAACTCCACCAAATTTTACCTGCAGTACCTATAGATTTGAGTGAATTCCTTTCTTCTAGAGGTTTCAGAAAAATACCTCCAAGTACTTGCCTAGAAGTGACTTTCCTTACTAACTGTAAGACTGGACACTATAAACTGGACCTACGTCAGGTTTCCTGAGAGGACATTATAGGCATTGGTTCCGTAAGTACAGCCAACCTTTATTCCTTAAAATGGCTTGTCACACCTCGTTAAATGAACATTATTCTCAAATAGGGCATTCAAGGCAAGGCTTTCATTGCATAATTGATGCTTCCAGTTGTATTTTGGCAAAAGGGAGGACAGATTCTTACTAAACCTATGCAAACAACTATATTGCCAAGAAATGTAGAGAGACTGGGTAAGAGTTTCTGAATTCAAATAAGAAGAATCGTGTTAGTGAGAATCATATATAATTTAAGAATACTTCATTCTGGTTTATAAAAGCAGAATTTAAAAGCTTATTGTGAATTACAGATAGCACAAGAAGAGAAAGAAAAGGCTTCTTACGATCTGGGAACAGAACCTTAAAACAACTGCATTTCAAATAACCCGAAAAAAATTTCTCTCATCAATTTTTTTTCAGTCTTGTGTAATTAATTCTCATTCTATTGGATCTTGGGTTAGCAGTTGTGTGAAACCGCTTTTCAGCTATAGAGTTATGGGAATCCTGACTCAGTTTACCGGTACAGTCTGAAAGTTACCAAAACCATGTCAGCTCAGCTTTGAAGAGTCAATAGTTTGGAGTACCTAATGCGGTCTCTTCCACGAGGCTCTGAGACTGTCTTTTGATGAAGACACAAGATCCGGCCTGTAGATTATAGCAGAGTCTTAAAGTAAGCATCAAAGCAAAAGAAAAACTGTCTACAAATAACACAGACTTGAGGCTACAGTTAATTTATTACTGGTATTTTTCAAATGTGGACAGTGCAGCAAGGTTCATGATAAGAACAATGCAACTGACAAGGAAATTTACTTGTTTCTGCGCCAAACAAAGACAAAAAAACCTCTTCCCCAGTTGCCCTCCCAATCTCAGCCATATAGACAGCCCACGCAGGTACCGAGCCCTGGGGTTTCAGGGATTCAGCCACAGGAAGTGGGGGCAGGAAGCTGTCCAAATCCAGCCCTCAGCTAAAGCAAATAATAATGGCCGTAAGCTTAAAATAGATCCAGGGAGGAGCTCATTAACGTGAACATAGAAAGCAGTTCCGCACCTCTGGCCTTACTCCTCTTGGAAATTGCTTTGGTCCATTTTTACTTCCTTTTATTCGACGCACCAGAAAATAAGACTTTTACCAACATTTTTACTGCATTTGACGATGAACTAATTTAGACCGGCTAAAATAATTGTTCCACTGGGACACAGGAATTCAACCTCAGTTCAGAAAATCCCTGACATCTGACGTAGGAGGATTTATAGGTTTAGTGGAAATTGCTTTCTCCTGCTCTCCAGATTGCATCCTGTGGGTTGATTTTTTTTTTGCATGAGTAAACATCCTTCTAATAATGAACAGACCAATAATGTCTTAAGAGAGAAAAAGAACAATCTTTTCCTTTTTGCTGTTTCTGGAGAGAGCTGTTTGAATTTGGAAACCCATGTTGGCTGTCCCAAATATGAGATTTGGCATCTTTCTTTTGTGGTGGGGATGGGTTTTGGCCACTGAAAGCAGAATGCACTGGCCCGGAAGAGAAGTCCACGAGATGTCTAAGAAAGGCAGGTGAGTGGACATTTAGGGATAGAGGATTTAGGAAAAGAGGATGCACAAAGTGAGCTTACAGTGTTCTTCTAGAAACTGAGCATCATTTCCAGCGTATGGTGTTTTGTGTGGATGCCTTTTTCTTCCCCTTCCCTTTGTTCTCCTGCTGCTCCCCTTTTAGAAAGTTAGAATTACGTTTTCTTTTAAAATGATGCTAGATTAGATCATTTTATCAGTGCATTTTTAAAATTCCTTATGAATTGTCCTGGGTGAAAGGTAGATTCTGGAAAATAGAATATATGCACATTTAAAAAAAATATCAAGGGCAATTGTTTGCTGTCTGTGTCCTAGGGTTAGAACAACTCTGTGAATTCTCAAATTACCAATGGGACCTGTATTTCATGAGAATGATTCTGCTCTAATTATTTCTGTTAGATTTGTGAATCATTTTTTAATATTTTAAAAGAAAGCAGCTTTCTCCAAGCTGTGTGACTAGAAGGATCATTATTAGATGGTTCCCTACCTATAAATTGGGAGGGCCAGGGACGGAGCCTCCTGCAGGCAAGTGCTTGCCTGTGGTCAACACCAAAGGTGCATGGTGCCCTGTCTGCCAGCACTTGCAGAGGGAGCTTACACAGGAAACCAGGTTCCCCACCAGCCCCTTAGCACTCGGCCTCACCTGGGCCATTCTGACGGCAGCACTGGCAATGTCTATCTGGGATGCACACCTGCTTGCCCGGCATCAGTCAATAATACAGGAGACTTGGAGACAACCTAATCCAGTGCTCTCTGTACTGATGAGGAAATGGAGACAGTAGGGCGTTGTTGATTCTTGGTCCTTTCTTAGCCTTAGCTTCAAATTGAACTTCACCTTTCTTTTGAGTGTAAATATAAATAGAGTCTGAGAGATCAGTGAATATGAAAAGATATCTAGCTTTTGGGAGTTTGGGGTTAGGAGGAGGGCTGTGTCTAGCACCTCAGTGTCCTCCTTCTGGGGCTGGAGGGAGCCCTCATCACATGGGCTCCCAAACAGCCAGCTGTAGCTCACAGCATTTGTTTCAAGCTGTTCTTAACAACATCACAAAACTAGGAGCTGAAATATCCAGTGGTCATGGTGAGCCCTGGGGTGCTAAGGGAGGCCACTGTGCCCTATTACCATCAGAGTCAGAAGTTGCTTGGGCAAACACTGGAACTTGTGGATTGGTGCAGCCGTAGAGATTATTTGATCCAAATGTGCTTATAGGGATTAAAAGCAACAACAACGACAACAAACTCTGTTGGTCTTCATCAAAAACTTTTCCCAAGCCAGAGTTAGAGTGGCAACCTATTTGCAAATATCGGTGATTAAGAAGTCTAAGAGAGTGAAATAGACTTTCTTTTAAATAATTTATTTAAAACATTTAAATTTTAAGTGACAAATTATGATTGTATATATTAATGGGGTACATACAAAATGATGTAAGGATCTATACATACAGTGTGGAATGATTAAGTCTAATTAGTGTATCCATTACCACAAATATTTACTGTTTTTTTGTGGTGAGAACATTTGAAATTTACTCAGCACTTTTGCAATATATAATACACTATTTTTAACTGTGGTCACCATGCTGTGCAATATGTCTCAAAAAACTATTCCTCCTGTCTAACTGAAACTACTTCTTGGCCAACATCTCCTCATACCCTCAATCTCCCAGCCTCTGGTAACCATCATTCTGCTGTCTGTTAATATGATTTCTGTTGTTTTAGATTTCACATACAAGTGAGATCATATGGTATTTGTCTTTGATGCTTGGCTTATTTCATTAAGCATAATGTCCTCCAGGTTTATGCGTGCTGTTGCAAATGACAGAATTTCTTTTTCTAAGGTTGAATAGTATTCCATTGTATACCACATTCTCTTTATCCATTCATCCATTGATGGACACTTAGGTTGTTTCTATAACTTGACTGTTATGAATAATGCTGCAATGAAAATGAGAGTGCAGGTATCTCTTCAACAAACTGCTTTTAAGTCCTTTGGATATATACCTGGACATGGGATTGCTGGATCATACGGTAATTCTGTTTTTAGTTTTTAGAGGAACCTCCATCTAGTTTTCCATAATGGCTGTGCCAATTTACATTCCCACCAATGGTGTTACAAGGGTTTTCTTTTCTCCACATCTTTGCCAAGGCTTGTACTTGTTCATCTTTTTAATTTTGTTTTGTTTTTTGTTCGTTTGTTTTAGAGACAGAGTCTTGCCCTGTTACCTAAACTGGATTGTAATGGTTTCAAGTGATCCTCCCACCTCAGCTTCTTGAATAGCTGGGACTACAGGTGCACTACCATGCCTGGCTAATTAAAAAAATTTTTTTTTCTATAGACAGGGTCTCACTATGTTGCCCAGGCTGGTCTCGAGCTCCTGGCTTCAAGTGATCCTCCCACCTTGGCCTCCGAAAGTGCCAGGATTACAGGCATGAGCCACCATGCTTGGCCATCTTTTTGATAATAGCCATTCCGACTGGTGTGAGATGATATCTCACTGTGGTTCAAATTTGCATTTCCCTAATGACTAATGATGTTGAGCATTTTTTCGTATATCTGTTGGCCACTTGTATGTCTTGTTTTGAAAAATGTCTGTTCAAGTCCTTTACCCATTTTTAATCAGGTTACTTGTTTTCTTGCTATTGAGTTGTTTGAGTTCCTTATATATTTTAGATATGAACCCCTTATCAGATGTGTATGCCTTACAAATATTTTCTTCCAATCTGCAGGTTGTCTCTTCACTGCATTAGTTATTTATTCTGCTGTGCAGAAGCTTTTTAGTTTGATGTAATCTCATTTGTCTATTTGCTTTTGTTGCCCAAGCTTTTGGAGTCAAATGCAAAAAATTCACTGCCTAGACCAATATTGTGTAACTTTTCTCCTATATTTTCCTCTATCAGTTTTACAGTTTCAGGTCTTACACTTAAGTCTTTAATCCATTTTGAGTTGATTCTTGTATATCAAAAGAAATGAAAGCTTTTAAAAGTAAAATTACAAAGAAATTTTATTTCATTCTCTAAGATCAGTAACAAGACTCACTCTCACCACTTCTATTCAACCATAGTACCAGAAGTCCTTGCCAAAGCAGTTAGACAAGAGAAAGAAAGAAAAGACATAGAAATAGGAAAGAAAGAAGTGAAATTGTTGCTGTTTGCTGATGACATGATCTTATATATAGAAAACCCTAAAGACTTCACCAAGAAAACTGTTAGAACTAATGAACAAATACAATAAAGTTGCAGATTCAATTCAGCATGCAAAAATCAGAAGTGTTTCTGTTTCTTTAGTTATGAAAGACACATATAACTATTATTTAAATTTACCAAAAAAAGAGAAAAAAATTTTAAAAACACCCAAGAATTACCCATAATCTCCAAGCCCAGAAGTAACCTTGTTAACATTTTTGTGTATTTTCTTCTTGTCTTTTTTGGTAAGCATATACTGAATACTAAGTAGTTTGGAATTATGCCATGCATATAGTCTGCATGTTCACTTATTTGAAAAGTCAATAGAATTATCATTTGATTGGCTGCATAATAATGCAAATATGTAAATTAATGCACAGTGTGCCACCATTTAAGTGTTTTCCTCTATTTACAGACATTTGGTTGCTTCCTCTTTGTTATTACAAATCTTCTGTATTTACATCTTTGTATATAAGAAGAGTTGTTCACATACATAATTAATCAGGTTAGACTCCTGGAAGTGTTCTGGATCAAATGGCACAAGAACATTGAAAGCTCCAGATATATGCGGGCAAATTTCTTTCCAGAATGTTACGTCAACCCAACTTATACCCCACCAGCCAGGTTAAACTTCATTTTTATGTAGCCTAAACTTTTAAAGGGCTTACTTAATTTCATCCAGACTCCAAATCCATAAGCTGCTGGTAATTTGTATCCAGGCTTCTTTACATGGTCATGCTAATAAAATAGCTTAGGTAAACATGGGCACACCAGGGGGTGAATCTAGTGAGGTGCCTAGGGTGCAAAACTGAAGGAGGTGCTTACATGCCCCAGAGAGTGACTGGCTCTTTACATTTTACTCCCTATGCACCTTACCTGCCTCACTCTAGTCTCCACTCCAGGAAATAATTCATGTTTTCCCAGAATCTCCATGGGAGGCACATCCAGATAGGACCCATCTTCACCAATCATGCAGAATCAAGATCAGAATGCCAGGGCACTGGGCAATGTTTCTAGAATCAAAACTTACTGTCTCAGGCCGGGCATGGTGGCTCATGCCTGTAATCCCAGCACTTTGGAAGGCTGACACATGAGGATAACTTGAGCCCAGAAGTTCAAGACCAGCCTGGGGAACAAAATGAGAGCCTGTTTCTATAAACAGTACAAAAAAATGTAGCTGGCCACGGTGAGGTGTGCCTGTAGTCCCAGCTACTCAAGAGGCTGAAGTGGGAGAATGGCTTGAGCCTGGGATGTCAAGGCTGCAGTGAGCCGTGATCATGCCACTGCACTTCAGCCTGGGCCCATCTGACCCTGTCTCAGAAAATAAATAAATAAATAAATAAATAAATAACCCAAAACTTACTGCCGGTCCTCTCCTCCTCTCTTCCCTGGAAGAATGGAAACATAACTTGTCTACACTATGGGCCCCTGGACCATGCCAGCTCAGGCTGTGGGAGGGCAAACTGATTCTACCAGAAGCTGGAAGTACATTATCATGCATTCTTTGTCGTGCTAAAGAATTCACGTTTATTCTGAAGGTGAAGAGGAGCTGAATGGTCTCAGCAGATTTCCATTTCAGAGAGACGATGCTTGCTTGCTCAGCAGCATGATGGAACACCAGGAAGGGGGATAGAGGGGAAACAGAGAAAGTAATCCAGAGTCTATGACCAGAGTCTGAGGCCAGGTAAGAGCTGGTGCAAAGCTCATTCATAGTGGAATGAACAGGATGGGGATGGGGGAGGAATGAATATGAGAGCTTTCAAGGAGCTAGAATGGTCAGAATCTGATTGGCTTCAGGGTGAGAGAGAAGTTTAGGGTGAATGTTCGGCAGGTCTTTGGATTGTACGACTGAGTAGATGGTGATGCCAGGAAGGAGAGCAGGTGGAGGATTAGGTTTGGGGGTGAAGGTGATGAGTTTGGTATGAACATATGGACCTAGATGTGCTTGCAAGATACCCAGAGACAGCTGTCCAGTCAGCAGGAAGGGATATAAGTCTGCAGCTCAAGAAGGAAACTGGGCCTAGAGAATTAGATTTAAAGGGAGTCCCCATAGGTGGCAATGGATGAGGTGGCCAGAGACAGCATGTGGCATGAAATAAGGACCAGATCAAGGACAGACCTTGGGGAAGAGCAGCATTTAAGGAGAAGATAAAGGAAGGGGACTCAATGTAGAGCTGGAAATGAGTGATCAGAGAAATGGGTATAGAGCTGGAACACAGAGGTGTTGAGGATGTTAAGAGGCCCATTTTTTCAACAGTTATCAAGTGCTTATTACAGGGCAGGCACTACACTGGGCAATGAGCTCTTCACCAGTCACAAAATGAGATGCAGGCTGTGCCATCAGAGACCTTCCGACTAGGAAGGTGTTCTAGCAAGGTGTCAAGGGTTTTAAGAAGGAGGGAGTGGTCAATAGGGTCAGATCACTCCAAGGTCAAAATCAACTAGGTAGAGGACTGAGAAGTGAGCCCTAGATATGGTAGTTTTGTGTCATTAATGATCATTCCAAGAAGAGACAGATGTCAGAGGGTTGAGGAGAGTAGAAGAGAAAATGGAGTGAATATAGACAGTATTTACAAGAAACTTGGTGTGAACTGAAAGACTGAGATGGGATGAAGGCGAGAGAGGAAGACAGGAGAGTTTTAGGGTAGGAGGGACTTTGGAGGGTTCAAAGGATGAAGAGAGGCCAGGGGCGGCAACAATGTGGCATGAGGAGTTGCTGTCAAATCCCTGTCTTGCATGACAAAGAGAAAGCTGTGGGATTATGGACTGGATCTCTGATCACCCTCAACGCCTTGAAATTTGATTTTCTCTTAAGTTAGTAGTGCTCTCTTCATCTTGTCCCTCTGCTCCCCAGAAAGTTTGCTTGAACGTTCGAGTCCCCACTTTGTGCTTCCTGGTCTTTTGTCTCCCTGCTGATTACGACCTGCCCCTGCTCCTTGCAGTCTCCTAAGGCCTCTGCACCTGCTGCTCCCATGCTCACAACACCATTCTCTTTCTTATTTCTCTGACCCATTTTTTTTCTTCCTCCAATATTTAGCAGAGGTGTCACCTCCTCTGAGAAGCCTTCCTTGGCCTTCCCTCACCCCCTGCCTCTCAAGTCTCAATTAGGTGGCTTACTTCTGAGCTTCTGCAGCTCTCCACCACCCTTCTCTCCAAGGACTAATCACTCAGCATTGCCTTTTTTATCTCATTTTTCTCTGCTTCTAGACTATGAGTCCCTTGAGGGCGCATTTATCCTTGTTTCCCCACAATCAAGAACAATGGTGAATGTTCATGAAGTGTTGGGCATGAATAAATGAGTGAATCCTGACTCTTGCTATTTCCTGTACTTCATTCATTCATTCAACAAATATGTATTGAGGGCACTATACTCCAGGCACTGTGCCCATGGCTTGGGAGGCAATGGTAAGCAAAATAGACCTGCTCCTCCCCTTGAAGTGCTGACAGTCTAGTGGGGGAGACAGACCTTAATCAGACCACTTTTGTAGAATGCAAAAATTAAAAATTTTGCAGAAGACTGGGCATGATGGCTCACACCTGTAATCCTAGCACTTTGAGAAGCCAAGGCAGGAGGATTGCTTAATCCCAGGAGTTAGAGACCAGCCTAGGCAACATAGTGAAACCCCATTTCTACAAAAACAAGCAAAATTAGCCAGGTGTGGTGGCACACACCTGTGGTCCTAGCTACTCGGGAGGCTGAGGTGGGAGGATCACTTGAGCCTGGGAGGTCGAGGCTGCAGTGAGCTGAGATTGCAACGCTGCATTCCAGCCTGGGTGACAGAGTAAGAACTATCTCCAAAAAAAAAAAAAAAAAAAAAAAAAAAAATTGCTGCAGAATGTCAGACCTTCAAGGACCTTAGAAACCCCCTCACTTTAAAGGTGAAAAGAGCAAGGCCCAAAAGGGTACACAAACTTGTGCCATGGTCACATAACATATCCACAGAGCTCCCACAGACCCCATGTTTCCACTTCTGGTGCTTTCCTCTCGCCATCAGAAAACAAAAGAAAGTTATATTGATGGACATAAAACTCAGGTTGAACCAGGTGAAAATGTTT
Source organism: Homo sapiens (assembly GCF_000001405.40). Taxonomy (NCBI): domain Eukaryota; kingdom Metazoa; phylum Chordata; class Mammalia; order Primates; family Hominidae; genus Homo; species Homo sapiens. The sequence continues at coordinate 89,209,952 of NC_000006.12, read as the reverse complement.
TTGTACGTCACAAACAGTTGAATGTCAGCCATTTCCTGTGGTTCAAATTAACATTTTCTTGCTTAATTCTTACAGCACGCCAGTAAAGTTAGTATTATTCCCCCCATCTTATAGGAAACTGAGACACAGAAAGATCAGGTAACCTGCCCAAGGTTAACAGCTAGTTTGTGGCTCCCCTGGGATTCACACTGAAGTCTGACTGATGCCAAGTCTGCACTCCTTCCAATACTGTAAGCTGCCTCATCAAATAAATCTAACCTCAGACAAGCAGTGGTGGCTCTTGGGATTGCGGTGATAGCATTGAGAAGACCTCGTGAGTCTTGACTCACCCCTGTTGAAGGCCTGGTCTCTGCTCCACTCCCCAGGCGAGAGGGCAGGAGGTGAAGCGAGGTAGAGATGTTCCGTCCGCAATTTCACATTCTGAAATGCATTGCAGGCTGTCCCCTTGACAAACACCTGTTTTTGTTTGTTTGTTTTGTTTTTGTTTTTAGGCAGCTGAGACATTTAATTGGCTATGGGGATTTCACTCAAAAGGCATTTAACAAGAGTCTAAAATGTTGGCATTAGGGTCAAATAGATATCTACAAGTTAGAAAGTAGTACGTTCTATAAGAAATGGGAATAATACAATCTGAGAATTCTAATAAAGAGAACAGGTAGACAAAATTCAGAGCTTTAAATTAAAAAAAATAAAGTAACCCGGTGTCTTCAAGTGGGAGGCATATGGTATTCCCAGGCATAGGAATTCAGACATATATGTACAAGGAAAAAAAAGGGATGATCTAGGCTGAGATTTTTTTTTAAGCCCGCAACTTGGATGATAGGCTGAGATTTTATCTAAGAAGCAGTTAGACAAACATATTCTTGATGTGTTCTTTTTACTCTGTGGCAAGGCAGTAGCAGGCCAGGGCTGTCTGTGTGTTAGGGGCCCACCAAGTTGGTGGGAACAGAAGTCAGTAATGGTGGCAAGAAGACAGCTTGATCAAATACCCTGAGACCTGACAGAAGCTGATAGGTCAAAGCTGGGCTGGTACGCCCATCCTAGACAGCCCTGGCAGCCCTTTGGCTGCAGGCAACAGCTCAGATCTCCCTCAGATGTGCAGGCCTCAGGGGTCAAGGAGTGTTCGCACTGTATCAGTCAGGGGTCTCCAGAGGAAGAGAACCAGTAGGCTGTCCACATCCACATCCTTATGCCTTTCTCTGTCTGGATCACACATTTGTGGGGGCTGCCAAGTCTGAGATCTGCAGGGCAGACCAGCAGGCTGGAAGTTCTGGCAGAAGCTGGCGTGTTGCCATCTTGAGTAGGAAGGCAGTCTGGAAGCAAATTCCTTCTTCTTCTTCGAGAAACCTTAGTCTTTTCTCTGAAGGCCCACAACTGACTGGATGGGGGCTCCCCACATGATGGAGGGTATCTGCTTTACTTAAAGTCCGCTGATCTAAATGTTAACCACATTTTTTAAAAATATCGTCACAGTAACATTTAGACTGATGTTTGACCAGAACAAGTACCATGGTCTAAGCAAGTTGACCCATAGAATTAACCATCACACATTTTAGAGAACATAATTTGAAAAGCACAGTATTAGTTACCAAAAATCCACTTAGGAAGGAATCAAAGGAAATGAACTATTTAATATTTACAGCCAAGGAAAAATACAAAATGCTCAACTCATTATGTGGAAGAATGCACAGCCTCTGTAACAATTCAGGAAATGCAATATAAATAACATGATGGATACATGCTCATTAAATTAATGAAAGTTAAACACACGCACACACCCAGTGCTAGTGGGTCTGTGTGGAACCCACACCCCTATTGGTGCAGCTCTGGCAGGGAACCTACCCTTGTAGCATCGCCTTCAGCCAACAGGACTAGAGCAGCGAAGCGCCTCTCACATCTCAGGGAGGCTGCCGCCTTCTGGAATGGACTTGAAAGGTTTCGAAGCCATCTCATTGCCTAATCCCTTATTTCACAGCTGAGGAAACAGACCTGGAGAGAAGCAACTTGCCATCTCCCACCAGTAAGCAAAACGGGTTCAAGGCAGTGTGCTGGCTTCCTAACTGCCTGCTTCCTCCTACTGTACCAGGTCATGGCCTCAGAGAGCTGTGAAAAAGAGCTCCATTTTTAAAAATTAGAAATCACAACTTTGGCTGAACATTGGAATCACCTGAGATTTGAAAACTATTGCTGGCTGGGTCCCACCCTTAGAGGTTCTGATTTAATTGGTCTGCTCTGTGGCCTGGGATTTTTTAAGCTCCTCGGGTGATTCCAATGTGTAATCAGGGCTGAGCATTAGATGGTTGTGTGCTACATGTCCACTATTCTGGTAGCAAATAATTCTTTTCTCTCTTCCTAATTTGAAGACCACTCTCTTTGATGAAGAATAGCAAAGTAAAATTGGATTCTGTTAGCAGAATCTCAGCCTTATCATAATTGTTTATTAACATTGCCTCACCTCTGCCAGGTGTGGTGGCTCACACTTGTAATCCCAGCATTTTGGGAGGCCGAGGCGGGCAGATCGCTTGAGCTCAGGGGTTCAAGACCAGCCTGGGCAACATGGCAAAACCCCAACTCCACAAAAAATACAAAACTTAGCTTGGCATGGTGGCACATGCCTGTAATCCCAGCTACTCAGGAAGCTGAGGTGGGAGGATAGCTTGAGTTCAGGAGGTCAAGGCTGCAGTGAGCTGAGATTGTGCCACTGCATTGTAGCCTGGACAACAGAGTGAGACCCTGTCTTCAAAAAAAAATTAACATTAAAAAAAAATTTAATCTTGCTTCATCTTCTCCAAGTGGTATATTTCCTTCTACTGACTCTCCTAGCTCAGGATGCAACTGGAAAGAATTCTGCTTGTCTTTACCATGTCTCTTGAGTCTAATTTAGACTCTGGCCTCCCTTGACTCATTTCTTATGGATCCCTTCAATTCTGTGCAATACACCCTTGGGTTTGTGCTTCTCCTTCCATATTTGGTACCTGTCTTTGTAAAGTCAATTCTGCACACTGCTAAGGTTTTACAGAGATGTGTAACGTAGAGGCCGGGCATGGTGGCTCACAAATATAATCCCAACACTGTGTGAGTTTGAAGCGGGAGGATCCCTTGAACCTAGGATTTGGAGACCAGCTTGGGCAACATAGTGAAACCCCTTCACTACAATTTTTTTTTTTAAATTAGCTGGGCATGGTGTCACACAACTGTGGTCCCAGCTACTTGGGAGGCTGAGGCAGGAGAATTGCTTTAGCCTAGGAGGTTGAGGCTGCAGTGAGCTATAATTGCACCACTGCACTCCAGCCTTGGGCAACAGAGAGAGATCTTGTTTCAAAAAAAAAAAAAAGTACAGTCTCTCATCTATTGATCCCACGGTGAAGTGAGTGGGATGGTCAGAAGGCCTATCACCACAATAGCACGGTGTGCACATTCTGATGGAAGCATGTAAAGGAGAGAAGCTCAAGAATGCTTTCAGGAGGAGGTGGCATTTTATCTGGGAATGCGTGGAGTTGTCTGGGTAACAAAGGGTATGAAGAATGATGGGAAGGGCATTCCAGACAGTTGGGACATCGGGAGCAAAGCACAGAGATGTAATTGACAACGGCAAGAAGTTGGGGGCAGAGTGGGAGCTGAGTGGAAAAGTGAGTGGGAGCCTTATTATGGGCCTTATATGCCCAACTTCCACGGATTTTACTTTGAGGATGAAGGGTTTTAAGAGAAGTGACATAATTGTGATTTTCATTCCATGGTGTTGGTGGGGTGGTTGGATTAGAGAAGGATAAGACCAGAGGCAGGAAAGCCTGCTGCCTCCCATATGCTAAGTAATGACACCTGAGGCAGGGGGCGTGGGGATGGAGAGGGCGAGACAGCAGGGGTGGGGCATGGGGTGTTGAGAAGGAGGTCAGCCAGGACTGGCTGCCTGACTGCTGTGGGCAGGGCCCCAGTTGGCCTTTCGTGGCCTTTATGCACATCAGAAAAATGTAGCCCTATGAGCAGTACATGTCTGAGAAGTGGAGCTAGAGCCAGTGTTCTCAGTGTCCCTGGAAGAGGATGTGAGAGATGGGGGGGCGGGGGGTGGAGGTGCCAAGGACAACATCTGGGTGTTTTGCACTACATACAAGGACTTCTTTTCTTGGCTGTTAGAAATGCCGAGAAAGCATGATCATTTTCATTAGCCGGTTTCTGCTTCCTTGTAAAAATTAAGTTCTCTGTCTTCTCAGATGAAATAGTCAGCAAGGTGAAGTGTAACTTATCAGATGCTCGGCCATTAGCTGAATGAGCCTTCCAGCAGACCTCCCTCATCACAAACCCCCATCCGTGCTCCAGCTCACCTCCAAGAAAGTTCTGACACCTCTTTTGGGAAAACATCCATGCACAGACTAAGAACTAGAACAAGCAGACATCAAGAAGAAGTCTTGTAGGTTGGAATTTGTCATTTGATCCAAAATAAAAGTGGGTGTTCAACAAATGTACACCCTATGTTCAGTTCAAAAAGCTGTCTCATGTCATCCTGCATCATCTTAACATGGTACATGCCTATCCTTTCTTCATAACCTCCTGGGGCTCATTCAGTAAATATTTATCATGCACCAACTTTGTGCAAGGTCTATGTTAACTTCTATATGAGGAGACGATAAGCTCAGACCTTCCACATCTAAGCCAATTTCCTGGCAGTGGGAGGCAAATCTTCCAACGTGATGCTGTGGCCAGCCTTGCTTCCAACCCTGGAGCCAGAACCCCTGGCTCTGACTTCTGGCTCCTTCACTTTTACAAGTTATTTAAAGTCTTTGTATCTCAGTTTCCTACATATAAAATGGGGATAATGACGAGGCCTACTTCATAGGGTTGTTTTGAGGAATAACCTGAGTTAACACATGCAACAGGAGTTAGCATGGTAACTCACACATAGGAAGTGCTCAAGCAGTGTTAGATTTTCCTATTATTTGTTTTGTGTGATACATCATTTCAAGATTAATAACCATACCCTCAGATGGTGAAAAGATGCCAATGACGCAAAAAAATTCCATGATATATTATAATTTGAGTTTAAAAGAAAGTTTCAAACAGTATAATTCTCCAAGAATCATAAGAAAATACAGATGCAGAATGGCAGAGGTTCCTTCTGAGTTATATTCATCTTCTCCTTTATGATTAATCTATTTTCTAAATTTTTTTACATGGGCATGTAAACAGGAAAAAAAGTTATCTAATAATATTAATAATGAAAAAGACTATAACTGTATTTTATTCATCCGTCTTCTCTTGGCTAGAATCGAGGCTTCATGAAGGCAAAGGCAGTGGCATCTCAGAATTTGACAAACCTCCTTTCATCAGTGACTGGTTCCATTTCAGGCTGGCCCAAAGTCAAAGTAAGAGCTGGGCCAAGCTTTTTTCCATTCCAATCTCCTCTTTCATTCCCTCCTGTCTCCCTTTTTAGGTGCCCATGTAGGGGGCTGATTCCTTCCTTCATTCAACTAATAGGTATTGAGGGTCCACAGGGATCCAACACTGTGCAAGGGACTGAATGCAAAGAGAACTTTGTCCCCGGTGTCCTTCGGCCTCACGCTGCCCATCAACTGTGATGGCCCATCGCCTGAAGCGCATGCCACTCCCCAGTCTTAGCTCTGCCCACGCCTGCAGAGCGCACACCTGTCTCTGCTCCATTTTCTACAGATGACATAATCCTTGTGCATCTGTTCTGATGTGTCCCTGTGCATCAGTCGAGTCCTGGCAGAAAACAGCATTGCCTTCAAAAGGGCTTAACTCATGATGATCGAATAAAAGGACAATTCGAAGAGATGTGGGCAGAGTTCAGTGATCCAGTCAGGCACGTTGATGCCCCCAAGGACTAGGAATAGGAGGAAGCCAGGACTACCCCTCGACTAGAAGGGGAAATATTAACTATTATTGGAGCTTATTGAAGATACTGTGATTATCAGCAATCACAGAGTAACACAGGCATTGCTAGTCCTGGCATCAAAGCCGGGAGAGAATGAGGAGTAAATACCCTGACCTCTTTCTTCCTCCTCCTCCTCTCTCATCTCCTGTCGGTGCCCATTTGGCTGAAATCATGAGCCAAAGAACGAGGATGCTCAAGTGATGCAGTTCACCTGGCAGTGTGTTACTCTCCGTAATGAGGGTTTTATGGTGGATCAAAGTTAAAGTGTACACATCCTTAAGAGCCTTCTAAAAGAATGGCGTCCATTTCACGCCCGGGTAGACCAGTGGGGGAGATATTTTAGCTCAGACCTCTTCAAATTAGGCCTTCTTAGTAATGAACCCTCCAGTTTCTACTGTAGGTACTTGGAAAATGCTCAACAAGAGGCTAAATGAATGCATTGAATCTTCGTAGTTTTTTCTTCTTCTTTTACATTTTATTCTGGATAGATTTGAAGCAAATCTGGAGGGAGAGGGGTGCTTGGTTGATCTGAGTACCTAGACTTTCTCTACAATGTCTTTATTTTTAATGTTCATGGTAGGCCCCAAAGACAAAGACGAGAAGTACATGAAGATGCCCACAAGCAAGTCAGGTATGGCCATAAGCACGTGCACACTGTTCTGCAGATGTTTCCTCCGTGAACCTCAACTGTAGTGATTTTCAGCAGGGCCCCTCCCCGACCCCTCACCAAGGATCAGAAAGTGGAGGGTGGGGGACCAGAGGAAGGGGAGCCTGAAAGGAGACGGCAGTCAGGGGTGGCGGGGTGGCTCCTGGATCGAGCTGGTGAGAGAGGATGTCCGCGGCAATGGGAGCTGGTGTTCCTCCTCTTGACAAGCCCGGCTTCCTCCCTTATATCTGTAAGCAGCTCACTGGTTCCAATTCTTTCCCTGGGCCACCTCCTTTGCTGCCAGCACGGTAATTCCTCACTTTAGAAGGACACTTCCTGGTGGGTTCAGAAATGGCAATGGCTCCTCCCATTTGTGTAGCACTTTCTAGTTTGAGAAGTACTTCCAGGTTGGGTGCGGTGGCTCACGCCTGTAATACCAGCACTTTGGGAGGCCTAGGTGGGAGTTGCTTGCAGGCCAGGGGTTTGAGGCCAGCCTGGGCAACATAGTAGAACCCCCATCTCTACAGAAAATTTAAAAATTAACTGGACTCAGTTGCATGTACCTGTAGTCCCAGCTACTTGGGAGGTTGAGATGGGAGGATCACTTGAATCCAGGATCACTCGAGCCCTGGAGTTTGAGGCTGAAGTGAGCTCATGATAGGTCACTGAATCCAGCTTGGATGACAGAGCAAGACCCTGTCTCTAAAAATAAATAAATAAATAAAAAATATAAAATAAAGAGGGGATAACTAAGAATATATGTCTGTATATACTTGTATACAAGAAACTCTGGTCAGATAGACAAGAAACCAGTAAGAGCAACACCTGGCCAGGTGTGGTGGCTCACATCTTTAATTCCAGCACTTTGGGAGGCTGAGGTGGGTGGATCACTTGAGGCCAGGAGTTTGAGACTAACCTGGCCAACATGGCAAATCCCCTGTCTCTACTAAAAATATAAAACTTAGCCAGGCGTGGTGGCAGGCGCCTGTAATCCCAACTACTTGGGAGGCTGAGGCATGAGAATCACTTGAACCTGGGAGGTGGAGGTTGCAGTGAGCCGAGATCACACCACTGCACTCCAGCCTGGGTGACACAGTGAGACTGTCTCAAAACAAACAAACAAACAAACAAACAAAAAAACGAAACACCTGTGGATGAGGGCTAGGAGCGGGTGGAGGCAGAAGTGGGAGGCTGAGTCTTCACTACATTTCTTCTTTTAAAAAATTGTCAACTGCTAAAAGTATGTTACCAATCGAGAAAAAGAGAAAATAAATACAAATGACCCCAGGTGTGGTTCAGAAGCAGTAGCAGGAGTAGCCACCTTCCATGCAAACAGGATGGTCAGCATTTCCCTTGAGGGCAAGGTCCCGCTCCCTCCACAGTGGGCCAACAGAGATCAGGGGACCAGGCTCAGACCGTACTCACTGGCTCTCCCCTCCAGCTCAAAACCCCTCAAAAGGCTGAGGCACTTTAAGGGAATTTGGGCTATTAATAACAAGACTAGAACCAGCTATTTTTCAGTCTTGGTTACACATTAAAATCATCTGGGAAGCTTTAAAAATACCAGGCCCTATTCCCAGACAGTCCAAATCAGCATCTCGGAGGTGGGGCCTGGGCATCGGTATTTTTTTTTTTTTTTTTGAGACGGGGTCTCACTCTGTTGCCCAGGCTGGAGTGCAGTGGTGCAATCTCGGCTCACTGCAAGCTCTGCCTCCTGGGTTCACACCATTCTCCTGCCTCAGCCTCCCGAGTAGCTGGGACCACAGGCGCCTGCCACCACGCCCAGCTAAGTTTTTGTATTTTTTGTAGAGATGGGGTTTCACCGTGTTAGCCAGGATGGTCTCGATCTCCTGACCTCGTGATCCACCCGCCTCGGACTCCCAAAGTTCTGGGATTGCAGGCGTGAGCCACCGCACCCGGCCCAGGCATCAGTATTTTTAAAGCTCCACAGTCATGGTCAAAGCCAATGTCTTGGACCTTCTGGGTTAGTTCATTTATCCAGAAAGATGGAGAAAGAAAGAGGGGATGTCCAATAGCTTAAAAGAAGAAATAGCACACCCCATCACACCTATCAAGATCAAGTCAGAATGCAAGTTACTGTTTATTTGTCTTGGTTGGAATATATGATCAGCCTGGTTTCTTCCCCCTTGGCAGCCCAATTCTGAGACGAAGTCCTGACATCACCAAATCGCCTCTGACAAAGTCAGAACAGCTTCTGAGGATAGATGACCATGATTTCAGCATGAGGCCTGGCTTTGGAGGTATGGGATGTGTGCTCTCAGGGTGTCCTCTTTCTTCTGGTCCTCTGTCTGTGGGCAGGAAATTAGCCAAGGGACAGCACAGCTTTGCTCTCCGCTGACCCGGTCTGCCTCAGTTGTGCTTGGTGGACAAGACATCGAGCCCACAGTACATTTTGAGCATCTGTCTTGCCCCGCCCTGGGTTCTGCTGAACAGTCTCAGGAAGCATCTGCTGCTGGGTGGCTGCTGCCCCTCTAGGATGGCTCACGATGAGGGAGGCCAACAGCTGGCTGTAGGAAGGGCAGGAGAACACAGGGCAGCTGCAGCCCAATGCGGCCTCCTAAAAATACTTGGAAATAACAACCTTGGACTAAATTTGTTGTCATCTGGGAGCTGGCAGACAGAGTTCAGGGTATGTATCTTACGGTGGAATGTGGTCTGCTCATTTTAATTAAATGAAAATAGCTTGAGAGAATAATGATTTAGTGCAGAAGAATAGCAAAGCCCTATGAAGCTTAGCCTGCAGCTACTGGGTTTCAGCCTTCTTAATGTCAATAATTTTTCACCCTTATGGGTTTATTTTCCTGGAAAAAAAAATACTCATTTTAAAAATCATTCTCGGCCGGGCATGGTGGCTCATACCTGAAATCCTAACATTTTGGGATTTCATCTGCCATGGCTGAGGTGGGCAGATTGCCTGAGCTCAGGAGTTCGAGACCAGCCTGGGTAACATGGTAAAACTCTGTCTCTACTAAAAATACAAAATTTAGCCAGCTGTGGTGGTGTGCACCTGTAGTCCCAGCTATTCAGGAGGCTGAGGCAGGAGAATTGCTTGACCCCAGGAGGCGGAGGTTGCAGTGAACTGAGATCACACCACTGTACTCCAGCCTGGGCAACAGAGTGAGACTCTGTCTCCAAAAAAAAAAAAAAAAAAAAAAAAGGGAAAAAGAAATAATTATCTTGCCATTTATTTTTCTTCCAGTCACTTTTACCCAAAGAATAAATAGGCTGTAGAAGAGAGTCTCTATGCAGTCCCCAATCCACCATTGTTGAATCCAAACCCACCTTTTTACTCCAAATGATTCAGTGTGCTCCATGCCTGCCCTTCATCCTCAGAGCATCAGAGCAGGGAAGAAGGGGGGCAGGAATTGATTCCCTTCATTATACTTCCTTACTCTTTATCAATATTTAGTCCGTATGGCCCAGAAATAACAAAAAATCTAATGTTTTAAGGCCATCCTTAAAACAGGCATCCTGTCTTCCCTGGAAGCTACTCCATCATGTTGCAAAGATGCAGATCTGTGGGTTTGGCAAATGACCTGAATATGACTTTGGTTCTGAGTTCCTATTACCAAACAACGCCTTTCTCATGTCCAGACAAGAGACAGTGGCTTCCAGGATGAAAGAGGGTGCAACACCAGAAGGCAAATATAGAGAATAATGTGGGTGACCTCATGCTAAGACGTCAGTTACTCTTAGATCAGACCCAGCTTTTGACCTAGGTCTTCATCATACCTTCAGATGAGCATATATAACCAAGAAAGGATGTTTTCAAACTTCTGTTGGAATATTTCAGAAAGCCAGCCTATGATTCCATGCTTTTATCTCTGGTTTGACTTCAGGTTGCCATGACCAAACCTCCAAATCTGATATGACATTGAGGTTCCAGGGGAAATGCTCCTTTTGCCTATTTCCTCCATAGTAAAATTTCAAGTAAAAACAGTGAATGCTCTTGCCATGCTCTGTCCCCAGGCCCTGCCATTCCTGTTGGTGTGGATGTGCAGGTGGAGAGTTTGGATAGCATCTCAGAGGTTGACATGGTAAGTGCTTCTCTGACCAGGGCCGTGGCAGGGGGATTCACAAAGCCGGTCCAGGGCCAGGAGCTCCACGCACCTGAATTCACTTAGTCTCACAACTGCCCTGGGCGGTGGGAATCCCCACACTACTTTTTCAGATGGCTCAGGAAGATTTGCCCAAAGCCACCCAATTGGTATGAAACAGAGCCAGATAACAAGCTTAACCTTTCTCACTCCAGTGGCCAGGCTCTTGCCACTGGGATGCATTTTCTGGACAAAAGCTCTCAAATGTAAGCAGCAGGGCCCAAGTTTGCAGCTGCTAAGTAGTCAAACACATCTTATTCCTGTGGATTCTGTACCTGGCTGTCGAAATGCAAAAGAAGCAAAAGAGTGTCCTTTCCCCCCGCCCGCCCCCTTTTTGGTCGGTTCAGATAAAAAGTGCAACATTCTCCAACTCCTTGACTTACAGGATATTTTAGGGACCTACCTTAGTTTGGGTCCACCAAAAAGCAGACCTGAGACAAGCAGTCACAAGCATAAGTATAAGCACTTTATTTGGGAAGTGATCCTGGGAAACACCAGAACAGAGTGGGGAAGGGAGAGAGGAAGAGAAGGAAGCAAAGAGGGCTGTGCTATCAAACCAGTTACTGTGGAACTGGTATGGAACTCAGTTATAGAACCACAGAACTCAGTGCCACTGGAGTACTCTGGGAGTCACTGAAGAACACACTTCAGGGTTATTCTGACTCAGGGGTGCAGGCTCTGGGGTATGTATCCACCGCCTTCTCTCTGATTGAGTGCTGTTTGCAGGTATGAACTTTCTGGCATCTGTGGCTTGAGTCACACATGGTGGCAGTAGCAGCCCCTCAAGTGTAGAGTGAATGCCAGGGGCTTGAAGCAGGGCCAGGCACACTTACACTGTCTGCTCCAGGCTTCTCTCTGAGTTCCACGCTGTGCCCCGCCCCCCGCCCCCTGCAGCGTTCTCTTCCTCCTACTGCAGCAAACTCTGGAGACTAGAAGCAAAACCTCTCTTGGTTCGGTTTCATTCCCCAGCCAAGTGATGGCTCCACAGGGGCTACAGAATCCACATCTCAGTGGGTTTGTGTGTGTCTGGGGTTCCCTCTCTGCCCTTCTGCTCCCAGGACTTTACGATGACCCTCTACCTGAGGCACTACTGGAAGGACGAGAGGCTGTCTTTTCCAAGCACCAACAACCTCAGCATGACGTTTGACGGCCGGCTGGTCAAGAAGATCTGGGTCCCTGACATGTTTTTCGTGCACTCCAAACGCTCCTTCATCCACGACACCACCACAGACAACGTCATGTTGCGGGTCCAGCCTGATGGGAAAGTGCTCTATAGTCTCAGGTAGGAAGAAAGGCAGATCATTCATATTAACCAAGAAAAGCATTGGTTTCACAACAGCAATTTGGGTTTTTGGCTCTGAATGTCTACTTTCTAACTTTTCAGTAGTTGCCAGCTTCTCAACATCAAGGAAAACTAACTTTATACATGAGTAGAAATTTTAAAGAATTATTCAGTCTTGAAAATACCTTTGGGGCAATTTCTCAAACTGATACTATTCTATGTGTTATATTTCAATAACAAACAAGTTTATTTCTCTAGTAGGAGTCAGAGAAATAGATAATGTGTTCTCAAGGACTTACTTCTTACAATCTCTCTGATTCCCATTTTTGGGAACATTTTAGAACTTTGGTTAAAAAAAAGTTCTTCTGCTTCATCTGGCCACCACAGGCATGTTTTCTCTCCTTTCTCTCCGTAGTGTCCTACTTGAGAAACTATGGGGACCCCCGGCTACTTTATGACTTGACGTGCCATTCTGAACATCACTTTTTAAATATAATGAATAAAATCTTCTCACCAGTTCAGACACTTTAAAAACGTTTAATTGCTCATGAAGCGCTGGCCTGGGGAAGCTTTCCTTAAACACAGCTCCACAGTGTGGTTTTCAGGCTGCACAGGAACTTTAGAAACTCATGGTACTCAAGGCACATGGAGATGAGCAGCAGGCCTTCACAGAGAAGGGATGTGGTCACTTGCTGTGGTCTGCTCCTCTTGTGCTTTGTGGACGGTGCATTCCAGTTTCACAGACTTTGCTTTGGCTTCCGTGCTGATGAATGGTAAAGATGAATCCACACATCAGTGTATAAGTAGAGGGTTCATGGATGCTTGCACAGTAGACTTATAAACCTATGGAGTCAGAGATTGCAATGTTGAAGCTGACTTTCTGTCCCCATTCCCCAAAGGAATATTTATGATGATCCCTCCATACTCATTCTGGCCTGGAACCTAAGTAATTAGGTACCTAACACAGAGTGGGGTTATGGGGTTTTCATCTTTAATGCTTAAAATGCTTCCTCCCGTAAGAAGTACTCAGGCGGGTCCAGGATGTGCAACCCCTTCCCCAAGCCATGTTGAGCTGGTTCTCCCTGAAGTCTTCATTTCTGAGGCAGATTTTTTATTTTCTTTTCTTTTTTCTTCTCTTCTCTTTCTTTCTTTCTTTCTTTCTTTCTTTCTTTCTTTCTTTCTTTCTTTCTTTCTTTCCTTCTTTTCTTTCTTTCTTCTTTTCTTTCCTTCTTTTCTTTTTTTATTTACAGAGTTTTGCTCTATTGCCCAGGCTGGAGTGCACTGGCGTGATCGTGGCTTACTGCAGCCTCAACCTCCCAGGCCCAAGCAGTAATCTGACCTCAGCCTCCCAAGTGGCTGGGACCAAAGGCATGTGTCACTATGCCCAGCTAATTTTTTAAAAAATTATTTTTGTAAAGACAGAATGTCCCTATGTTGCTCAGGCTAGTCTTGAACTCCTGGGCTCAAGCCATCCTCCCACCTTGGCATCCCAAAGTGCTGGGATTACAGGTGTGAGCCACCACACCTGGCCCACTGAGACCGGTTTTCAAGGCATCTTAAGGCTCAAAAACTACCAACACAACAACACAACTCAATGGCACCACCAAGGCTACAGAGTACTAGACCATAACATATGTGACCATTGGTATGCTAGTAAATGTTTAACAATTGGTTACCTGGGGGGAAAGTATGCATACCTATGTGTATATAAGTTTGTTGTAAACATCACTGACATAAAGGACGTATAATGCTCTTTATTATAAATTCCATATATTTATAACTTGAGCATGATTTCCTAGTTCTTGGAAAAACCACTATAAGTTTTTATAATTCTATCATCAACAAATGAATATAGATCTGATGAATGTTGGTTGATATTTTCTTTTCCATTAGTAAGACAAAAGTGAAACAATGAAAAACTATATAGAAACTTTACTCATTCATCAAAGACATAAGCAACTTCTTTGCTGAATTGGATGATAGCTTTCAAATACTGAAATATGTCCTCAATATTTTGTACTACTCACAATGTAATGATAATAGGCATAACACCCTTTTAGGCTTAATCTGCCTTAAGTCTAGACAATCAACAAAACAATAAATCAAGCCCTGATTTGTAGTGTTTGCTGATTTCTGTAGTATAAATACTCCCATCGTGGCTGATTTCAAGCTCCCACCTGATGTCACTAAATGCAGAATTAGGAAGAAATTCATGGCAGCACACCATTATGCAGTGTTTCCACCATACAGATGCAATAAGTGTAAATGGCTTCAAGAATATACATAATAAAATGTGGTGAAATACTTAGGAATTGATGAGTATTTTTTACTTTTGTTTTTACAAGATAAGTCTGGTGATAGTGAATTATCTCAGCTTTTGTCTATCTGGAAAAGACTATCTCTCCTTTATATTCAAAATAATTTTGCTGGATATAATATTCTTGGATGACAGTTTTTTTCTTTGAGCACTTTGAAAATATTCTTCTACTTCCTCCTGGTCGGCATGGTTTCCATTGGGAAGTCTGTTGCCAGACAAATTGGAGCTTTTTTTTTTTTGGAGACGGAGTCTTACTCTGCTGCCCAGGCTGGAGTGCAGTGGCGTGATCTTGGCTCACTGCAACCTCCACCTCTCGGGTTCAAGCAATTCTCCTGCCTCAGCCTGTCAAGTAGCTGGGACTACAGGCACATGCCACCATGCCTGGCTAATTTTTTTTGTATTTTAGTAGAAATGAGGTTTCACCGTGTTGCCCAGGCTGGTCTCAAACTCCTGAGTTCAGGCAATCTGCCTGCCTCAGCCTCCTAAAGTGCTAGGATTACAGACGTGAGCCACCATGCCCGGCCCAAATTGGAGCTTTTTAATGTGTTACTTGTCTTATTTATCTTGCTGCTTTTGGGATCCTCTCTTTGTTCTTGACCTTTCAGATGGATTACTATATGCCTGGAGATAGTCTTATTTGCATTGATTCTGTTTGGTGTCCTCAGACCTTCCTATACCTGTATATTTATCTCCTTCTTGAGTTTTGGAAAGTTTCCTGTTATTATTCCTTTGACTAAGCTTTCCACCCCTTGCTGTTGCTCAGCTCTGTCTTGAACACCAATAATTCTTAGATTTGGTCCTTTGAGGTAATTTTCCATATCTTATAAGCAGCCTTTGTTCCCTTTTATTCTTTCTTCATTTTTTCTCCTCTGACTATATTTTCAAATAGCCAGTCTTCTAGCTCACAGATTCTTTCTTCTGCTTGGGTCATCCTGCTGTTGAGAGCCTCTAAAGAGTTCTTCAGTTCGGCAAATGTATTTCTCAGTTCCAGGATTTCTGTTTGATTTTTGTTGTTGTTGTTATTTCAGTCTCTTTGTTAAATTTCTCTGATAAATTTCTGAATTGCTTTTTTGTATTATTTTTTGGATATCACTGCACTTCCTTAAAATTGCTATTTTGGATTCTTGGTCAGAGAGATTACAAATCATGGTCTTGTTAGGATCCCCTTTTGGGGAGGTCCTAATTCCCTGTTTGCTGTTGTTTCTTGTTGGTATACATCTATGTCTTTGCATTGAAGGATTAGTTTTTTATTCCAGTTTTCTCTGTCTAGTTTTGTTTTTTATTGACTATATTTGCTTAGTGAATCTGTCGCTAGGTTGCTGCCTCCTTTTCAGCTCCAGGTGGCACCTTAAACCCAGGTTCGCCTCGCTCCAGTAACCAGTCTGTCTCTGCACCGCCAGTCCCGAATGGGGGAGGTCCTGAAGGGATTATCCCGGCAGTGTGGGAAGGCTGGCTAGGGGTTCGTGCCCAGGGGACCTACAGAATATTCTTCCTACAGTGCTACTGAACAGCCACTCTGATTTGGCATCTCCTTTGGTCAAGTTACAGAGCATAGTTTCCAGGATGGGGATGGTTGTCCTGCCTCCCCTTTGTCTCAGCCTGTTCTCAGGGCTATTTCTCCCTTCAGGCAATCATGATGCTTCCTGTTGGTTAAGGTAAGGACAAATCTCCTGACAGGGAACCTAAGAAGGTAGGGAATCTGATTGATCACCTCAATTTCACTTTTTCCAGTGTAGAAGTCATGAGTTGGGGGGAGATTTTCCATGCATTTGGTGGCAAATAGAATGGGAGAGAGGAGCATCGGGGATGTGTAAGTCCAGTTCTCCTACTGGCATCTCAGTTTTTCTACTTCTCTGTGGCCCAGGGAACTGTCTCATCCTCATCCATGAGCTCTGGGTTGTTGCTGTTGAAAATCTTGGCGTGATATGTTTGTTTTTGGTTTTCTGTGGTGTGGAGTGAAGCAGCTTGCCTTTATGCCACGATTTTGGAACTGGAAGCTATTATTTATGTTTTTTAATGTGACATTTAATTTTAATGCTTAATAGTGACTGTGTTTAACAACTGGCTCACAAGCTTCCTGAAAATCTAGCAATCAGCTCCCGAAAGCCTGTAGAAGTCCAGTCCAGTGCACCACTGGATGTGAGTGCAGGAAGGGAGTAGAAAATCTTTTGTATGTTCAGAATAAAAATCCTCAGTGAGCCTCAACCACCAGGAAAACACCCCCTTTCCCTCCCTGTGCCTAAAAGCAGATGAGTTGATTTCTCATTGCAAATAAAGTGATGAGTTTGTTTGATTTAAATGAAAAAAAAAGAGAGATCTAAGTTTCTGAAGACCACCGCTTTGAATTTATTTTAAGGAAAACATGTCAACTCTGTCAGCCACTGGCCAGCTCCTAAAATACATCCAATTTACCATCTCCTCACTTCATTCATTCATTGATTACTTCAACAGATTCTTATTAACAGCATCCTGGGTGCCACGGTGGCCTGTGGAGTTGTACGAATGAAAGCCATGCCAGATTCTAGATCAAGCTCTGGGGACATAAAGACAGGAATAGAGGTCACTGTCCTTCCTAGGACTGCAGGCTAGTGGAGGAGACAGGCACAGAACCCAATGCTTAGGACACAAATGAGGAATGCAGCAGTGCAGTGGGTGGAGGAGCAGGGAGCCACAGATAACAGGATGATGAGAACAGTTTCCTAGGCACCAGCATACAATAAAAACTGAAATCCACAAGTGAGATACTCTATTATGCTTGGTAGATTTTACTAAGGTAATATTGAAAAACCTATTCCATGACTTTTGAATCCCTAGTCAACTTGAAGATATAAAAGAGTCAATGAGGCCGGGCATGGTGGCTCAGGCCTATAATCCCAGCCCTTTGGAAGGCTGATCCGGTGGATCATCTGAAGTTAGGAGTTCAAGACCAGCCTGGCCAATATGGCAAAACGCCATCTCTACTAAAAATACAAAAATTAGCTGGGCATGGTGGCACATGTCTGTAGTCCCAGCTACTCAGGAGGCTGAGGCAGGAGAATCGTTTGAACCAGG
The DNA here is from genome assembly GCF_000001405.40 of Homo sapiens. Classification (NCBI taxonomy): domain Eukaryota; kingdom Metazoa; phylum Chordata; class Mammalia; order Primates; family Hominidae; genus Homo; species Homo sapiens. Next base: position 89,192,651 of record NC_000006.12, on the reverse strand, counting down.
GAGGTGGAGGTTGCAGAGTTGAGATCGCACCACTGCACTCCAGCCTGGGCGACAGAGCGAGACTGTCTCAAAAAAAAAAAAAAAAAAGAAGAAGAAGAAGAAGAGGAAGAAGAGGAGTCAATGACAGCGGGAGAAAGGAAAGATTTGTGAAATTTTTTCGGGAAAGCATTGTGGGCATTCCGTGAGTGGGCCTTCACTGGGACCTCTCAAAAAGCTTGGTGTGTGTGTGCCTGCAGTTTGGGACACTGTGCAGTTAGGTGGGAGAGAAGAGCTGTCTGACCACTCTGGGGGCAGAGCCAGAAGTTTTTGCCATAGTGGGATCAGACTGTACTTATCTGTGAGTGTATGTGGAGAGGACGGTGGGTGAACCAAGAGCTGGAGAATGGAAACCTGCAGTGTGGAGGCGCCCAGTCGTGGGAGTGAGGAAGCCAGGAAAGAAAGTATCAGCTTCCACCAGGTAACAGGCCCAGAAAGCAGGAAGCCGCCCAGCCACAGAACTGCCCTGCGCCCACCTCCCTGTCTCCTTGCGCTTCCACCTGTGTGGGAAGAGATCGGAGATAGGCAGAAACTGACCACTCAAATGCCAACTTTATTTTTCTTTTTTTTTTTTTCGATGGAGTCTCACTCTGTTGCCCAGGCCGGAGTGCAGTGATGCGATCTCGGCTCACTGCAACCTCCGCCTCCCAGGTTCAAGCAGTTCTCCTGCCTCAGCCTCCTGAGTAGCTGGGACTACAGGTGCATGCCACTACGCCCGTCAAATGCCAACTTTTATCTTAGCTGAGGAGGGACAGCAGAAGTCTTCATTTGAATGAACTTTGAAGCTGATGAATACCTCAGACCAAAACTCTTAATTTCTGAATTAAGGTGTGGTTTGTGACTTAAGAGGGTTTTGACTATTACATAAGAGTGAGCAGAAGAGCCACGGGACCTGCCAAGTTTCCATCCAGGGCAGGGAAGAGCCCCTCCAATGAATCAATTTAAAGAGACTTGTGGAAACAAGAATAAACATGAGCTTTGATTACATCACAAATGGTTGCTTTATGTGTAAGTTATATGGAGAGAAGCATCAACTCAGGGTGGGAAGACCCATTCTGGTGATGTCTGTAATTCTGAAAACAGCTGTTCCTATACCAACTAACAGAATGAGGAGGAGTATTCAGTCCCCTTGTTCGTAGCAAAACATTTCCTTCATTGGGCATTCTATGTCTCTAAAGTTAGCTCGAAGTGTCCCTGAAGTTAGTTCTTAGCTTATTTCATGTTGATGATGCCATTGGGCATTGTTATGCGATGATGTACCCATAGAAATGGAAACCCACCCATTAGGCATCCAAGTCAGCTGCCAGCCTGACCCCCACCTCGACCTCTGCACTCTAACATTCCCTGTTTATCAGGATTTCCAGGAGACATAAGACCACCCAGCTGCTGGCAATCAAAAATGCCTCATAGATAGAATGCAACCATTCCACCCTCAAAGCAGTGGGAAAAAATGAGGCAAATATTTGAAAAATTCCATTTCAAGAATGTTCTTTTCCTTGAAATTTCCATTTAAATTAAAAGTGATTTTTCTTTTTTTACCATGAATTATTCATATAATTTCCACAACTTTTGCGTAGCAAATATTGCATGGTTGAAGGAAAAGGAGTCCATTCAGCACGAGCGAACAAATGTTAATCGTGTCCTGCTGTGAAATTCCCCACTGGATAGGAGGCTTTTCACTATGAAGAATGATCTGTATGTGTTTGGCTTTTGATGCGGAAGCCTCTTTCCCAGTGTAAATTCTGAAATAAAATCACTCAATGCCAGCAAGTGCTTGCCTATTAACACAGTAAGACCTTTCAGTGTTTTTCCATTACTTTGATCTCCAAGGAATTATCCACTAACAACACATATGCCCACTAGTAGATACTATTATCAATATAAAAATATCAACATCGTTAAAGAAAAAGTGCCAAGCTTGGCAACTGGGGTAAGTGTACACTGTATTGTATATGATGTTGAATATCAATAAAATCAATAAAAGAACAAAAGAACTGGAATTTATCTGAAACAGGAGAACAATATATGGTCCTAGAGCTTCTTTTAAGAAACCATATCATGTAAGTTTTTATTTCACATTATTATATTCATTGAGACCATTGCTTCTTTAAAATGCTTGAATGTGATAAGAGTTAGTAGAGACATTCCATTTGCCTCACACTGACCCTTGGGTTAAACATAAATGCCTAAGAGTACTCCAGTGATGGTATCACTCATAAGCTACTTATCTAAACCCTGACACATTGCTTATGAAGTATGAGAAGAGGCATCTATCATATTGGAAGGAAGCAGAGGCCTTTTCCATTTATCATTTTGCACTCGTCTTTTGCAGGCTCTGAATAAATCAATTTTGTCTTTTTGGCCCTAGGGTTACAGTAACTGCAATGTGCAACATGGACTTCAGCCGATTTCCCTTGGACACACAAACGTGCTCTCTTGAAATTGAAAGCTGTGAGTAGACTTGTCCCCGGGCATCAGCACACAGCTCCTGATAATTCTCAACACCTCTAACTCTCAGCTGCAGGAACAGTGTGTGTTCCTTATTCATGAGTAGACTTTTTTTTTTTTTTGAGATGGAGTCTCACACTGTCGCCTGGGCTGGAATGCCGTGGCGCAGTCTCTGCTCACTGCAACCTCTGCCTCCCAGGTTCAAGTGATTCTCCTGCCTCAGCCTCCCGAGTAGCTGGGATTACAGGCACCTGCCACCATGCCTGGCTAATTTTTTGTATTTTTAGTAGAGACAGGGTTTCACTATGTTGACCAGGCTGATCTCCAACGCCTGACCTTGTGACCACCTGCTGGGATTACAGGCGTGAGCCACCATGCCCAGCCTTCATGACTGTACTTTTAAAGTAATGTGTTAGATTGAAGCTAGGTCTAGGGTAATTTTAAATATCAGGAACAAATTTGAAACTAAAACCTTCATTGCCATAACTGATCTTTTTTTTTTTTTAATTATACTTTAAGTTTTAGGGTACATGTGCACATTGTGCAGGTTAGTTACATATGTATACATGTGCCATGCTGGTGCGCTGCACCCACTAACTCATCATCTAGCATTAGGTATATCTCCCAATGCTATCCCTCCCCCCTCCCCCCACCCCACCACAGTCCCCAGAGTGTGATATTCCCCTTCCTGTGTCCATGTGATCTCATTGTTCAATTCCCACCTATGAGTGAGAATATGCGGTGTTTGGTTTTTTGTTCTTGCGATAGTTTACTGAGAATGATGGTTTCCAGTTTCATCCATGTCCCTACAAAGGACATGAACTCATCATTTTTTATGGCTGCATAGTATTCCATGGTGTATATGTGCCACATTTTCTTAATCCAGTCTATCATTGTTGGACATTTGGGTTGGTTCCAAGTCTTTGCTATTGTGAATAATGCCGCAATAAACATACGTGTGCAATAAACATAACTGATCTTTTTAATGCCCTATGGCAATGGTTTTAAACTTTGTTCTGTTGAATCAGGGTAACTGCTTGGGGAAGGGAAGTAGAGGGCTAAGCGAATGTGGGTCTCCTTCCAAGCCCTTTGCCCAACACACACACACACACACACACACACACAGACATGAGTTCATCCAGAGAGCTCATTTTTGATGTGTTTTATTGCTCTTCTAAATGTAATTTCTGCTGAAGAAAGGATTTCCTGGCCAAAACAAGTTTGACAACAGTTGCCCTAGGGAACTGCCACTGTGAGTTCGTGTGGTGGTTGAGATGCTCAGGCACAACAAGGGATTTCAGGAAGCTTGCACACACACAGACATCCTGGAAAAACTGAAAACCAGGCGCTATGACACCACAGGTGCAGTCAACAAAAGAAAAAAATACGCAAATTGGACTACATGAAAATTGTCAATTTTGTGCATCGACATTATCAGAGTAAAAAGGCAACCCACAAATGGGAGAATATATTGATAATATATTGATAAATCATCTATCTGATAAAGGATTGATATCCAGAATACAAAGAGAACAGCTAAAACTCAACAACAACAACAAAACAATCTGCTTAAAAAAATGGACAAAAGACTTGAATAGACATTTCTCCAAAGACGGTATACAAATGGCCAAGAAGCACATGAAAAGATGTTCAACATCATTAATCATTAGGAAAATGCAAACCAAAACTACAGTGAGTTACACTTACTGGGATGAATACTGTCAACAAAACAGAAAACAATTCTGGGGAGGATGTGAACAAATTAGAACCCTTATCCTTTGTGGGTAGTAATGTATAATGGTGCAGCCACTGGGGAAAACAGCTCCTCAAAAAATTAAAACAATGGCTGGGCACGGTTGCTCATACCTGTAATCCCAGCACTGTGGGTGGCCGGGGTAAGAGGATCACTTGAGCCCAGAAGTTGAAGACCAGTCTGGGCAACATAGCAAGACCCTGTCTCTACAAAAAATACAAAAATGTGCTGGGCATGGTGGCTGGCATCTGTGGTCCCAGCTGCTCGGGAGGCTGAGGCAGGAGAATCACTTGAGCCCAAGAGCCTGAGGCTGCAGGCTGCAGTGAGCTATGATTGCACCACTGCACTCCAGCCTGGGTGAGAAAGCAAGACCCCCATGTCTAAAAAAAAAAAAAAATTAAGAACATATGATCCAGCAAATCCATTTCTGGGTAAATAACCAAAAGAATTGAAAGCAGGGTCTTGAAAAGGTACTTGTATGCTCATATTTATAGCAGTTCTATTCACAATTGCTAAAACATGAAAACAACCCAAGTGTCCATCAATGGATGAATGGATACACAGAATGCAGTATCTGCATACAGTGGAAGAGTGTTCGGCCTTAAAAAACAAGGATTTCCGATACATGCTACAGCATGAATGAAACTTGAGGGCATTATGCTAAGTGAAATCAGCCAATCGCAAAAGACAAATACTGTATGATGTCACTTTTAAGAGGTACTTAGCGTAGTCAAAATTATAGAGACAGAAAGTAGAATGGTGGTTGCCAGAGGCTGGGGAGAGGGGAAACAGGGATGAGGCGTTATTGTTAAATGGGTATGGAGCTTCAGTTTGGGAAGATGAAAAGAGTTCTGGAGATGGATGGTGGTATGACCATCATACTGGTTGTGTTTATGTAGTAATGTAGTACAACACAGATACTACATGAAAATTTTAAAATGCTGTGCATCAAAACATTATCAACAGAGTAAATGCAACCCACGAATGGGAGAATATACAATGGCAAATGATGTATCCTACCATAAGAATGGCTGTATTTATGTAGTAATTTTCATGTAGTATAATTTTAATTATATTTATCATGCATCATAAATACAACACTTAAGAATGTAGTGCAATACCACTGAAGTTACACTAAAGAATGGTTAAGATGGTAAATTTTATGTGTATTTTAACACAACACAACACACACACACACACACACACCCCCCAGAAACCAGGCCACAGAAAGAGCCAGGCTGAGGCAGTATAAAATGATCCACATGCATCTCTGTCCCTCTACATGTCCGCTCCATTCTCCTCCCTGCCCAAACACTTTCTCCCACAGCACAGTGGACACCCCTGTGACTCCTACACTCCTCCTGAACACTGGCACTCCCTGGCAGTGTCAAAGCCCTAGTGAGGGTTCTCACTGTTCCAGGGCACTTTATCAGCCAGCCTGGGCTTGTAGCAGTGGATCAGGTGTCCCCTGGCTCCAATCATCTGGGACCAAGGAGTGCAGGGACATTGACATCACACACCGCTGGGGCCAAAGGGACAGCTGCATAGGGCACTGAATGTGGGGAAAGGGTGTAATAAAACCCAGGACCAAGGGAGTGGCTACTTATTGCACAGTGGCTTTACCTCTGCCTTGTCATTCAACCCTCACAAGACCCTGAAGAACAGGTTATTATCATTATACAAAGGAGGGACAGAGCTCGGTGGCAGAGCCAGACTGAAATACTGAGTTCATTGTCTCCAGAACTTAGTTTTCCCCACTATGCCTGGGCAGCTTCTGCCTCCATCTGGAATGTAGCCTTTTTTCAGGTTGTATCAGTCATGGCTCCGCCAGATAAACAGAACCAGTAGGACATACAGAGTAGAGATTTATTGCAAGGAAGTGGCTAGCAGGATTGTGGGGGCTGGCTAAGAGTCCCACATCTGCAGGGCGGGCCATCAGGAGTGCAGGAGGGGCACTCTGGGGCAGGAGCGGATGCCGCAGGCCACAGGTGGGATTTCTTCTTCCAGGAAGCCTCATTTCTGCTTCTAAGGCCTTTCAACTGATGGAATCAGGCCCACCCAGATTATCCAGGAAAATCCCCTTTAAAGTCCAGTGGTTGTAGATATTAGTCACATCTACAAAACACTTTTACAGATTAGTGTTTGATTGTATAATTGGGTACCATAGCCAAGCCAGGTTGACACATGAAACTGACCATCACACAGGTCAAGTGTTAGAAAACAAGAATAAAATAGTCCCAGGGACCCCTGGAAGGAACTGTTTACACATCAACAGGCTGGACTGGCAGTGCCATGAGGCTTCTCCTCAGTTATGCTCAGGCTGGAGGTAGGTTTGTTCACTTGGAGTTCACCAGAAGCAGGTGAGGGAAGGGGAAATGGTAGCACCAGAAAGGGTGATGATCATGGATTCACTTCGACTTTACCCTGAGTAGGAGTAACTGGAGTCCTACAGAGAGGGACTTGTTCCACTCCCGTCTCTTTATGGATCTTTTCTTGCTAAAATTCAGCCTTTATTACCTGATAGTGTTTACAGGTGCTTGCCATCAATTGATGAGTCGCCACACTTTGAAAGAAGAAAGGAAAAGGCTAAATTACTCTCCATTTATAAGGCTGAGCCATGTGAAATTTTGCCAATATTTAACCATTTCTAACCTACAAAAATAGAATTCCATTTGATTTAACCTAATAAATGGCAGGCTGAATTGTAGGGTGAACCCTTTTGCAGGAATTATGTGCATTTGGGCTTGAGAACTTTGCTCTGATGACTTTTGGAAGAGTGGAGATAATTAGATTTGTCTTTTTGGATATTGTTTTGCTTTGTTTAGACTGTGGTTTGTTTTTCAAACTATCATATCACAATCCCAGTAGTCAGTGTGGGAGGTCAGGACACAGCTTCTACATAGCCCCACAGACCATCCTGTCTTGCCACCACCTTGTGTCTGATGCTGGCCCCTGTCTTTTCAGATGCCTATACAGAAGATGACCTCATGCTGTACTGGAAAAAGGGCAATGACTCCTTAAAGACAGATGAACGGATCTCACTCTCCCAGTTCCTCATTCAGGAATTCCACACCACCACCAAACTGGCTTTCTACAGCAGCACAGGTAAGTGTAGAGTGAGGGCTGAGAGTCAGGGCAGGCTTCAGCTTGGTCTCCAAGGTTCACCCTCTATTATAGGAAAGGTTTGAATTGGTCGTCAGGTGAGCAGTGTCACTTATATTTGAAACTAAAGACAGAGGCCGGGTGCAGTGGCTCATGTCCCAGCACTTTGGGAGGCCAAGGTGGATGGATTGCTTGAGCTTAGGAGTTCAAGACAAGCCTGGCCAACATGGTGAAACTCAGTCTCTACTAAAAATACAAAAATTAGCCAAGTGTGGTGGCACACGCCTGTAGTCCCAGCTATCTGGAAGGCTGAGGTGGGAGATCCCTTGAGCCCTGGAGTCGGAGGTTACAGTGAGCTGAGATCACACCACTGCACTCCAGCCTGGGCGACAGAGTGAGACCCTGCCTCAAAAAAAAAAAAAAAAAAGAAAGAAAAGAAACTAAAGGCAGAAATCCTAAGTGAAGTCTAGTGGGTAGCAAGCAGTGGGTGGAAGTGATTTTTTTGATATTACCAATGCGTCAGAGTACTAACCTAAAAAAATTAGTAAGAACTTAAAACATAAGCCACTTGAGTGGGTTTATTTGAGACAATCGCATTGCCAGCTTAGTAACTGGCATCTCAGCCGTGATACGCTGATCCGAGTCCCCTCCTTGACAGCAGGAAACAAATACAATTCAGGTCTGCTGTTTTCAATTTACGTTCTCCCTGCTCCAGCCAGCCCCGTGGGGTCGCTCCACTCTTGACCAGTCTGCTCTTGCTATGCTGCTTGCACAGCCCCTCCTGGTGACTCTCTTCTAAGTGTCAGTGCAAGAACCACTGGTCAGTCCCCTGTGGACCCAGTTGTTCCTTTTTGAACCAAGGGTTGGGACAGGCTCACCCCCTCCTGTTGCCTGCGGGGGCATGCTCTGTGACCTTTCTCCTGGGAGCTTGCCTGCGCTAAATAGCTGAGGTTAACTTGCTTCATTTCTTGCCTTAAAAAAAAAAGTAGGGACACAAGTGGGTTTTGATTACATCGATGAATTGTATAGTGGTGAAGTCTAGGAATTTTTTTTTTTTTTTTTTTTGAGACGGAGTCTCACTCTGTTGCCCAGGCTAGAGTGCAATGGCCAGATGGCCAGGTCTGGGCTCACTGCAACCTCTGCCTCCTGGGTTCAAGCAATTCTCCTGCCTCAGCCTCCCGAGTAGCTGGGATTACAGGCACCCACCACCACGGCTGGCTAATTTTTGTATTTTTAGTAGAGATGGGGTTTCACCATGTTGGCCAGGCTGGTCTTGAACTCTTGACCTCAAATGATTGGCCCACCTCAGCCTCCTGAAGTGCTGGGATTACAGGCATGAACCACTGCGCCCAGCTGAAGTCTAGGATTTTAGTACATCTGTCACCTGAGTGGTGTACATTGTACCCAATGGGTAGTTTTTCATCCCTCACTCTCCTCCCACCTTCTCCACTTCCGAGTCTCCAGTGTCCACTATACCACTCTGTATGCCTTTGTGTTTCCATAGCTTAGCTCCCACTTATAAGTGAGAACATGTGGTATCTGCTTTTCAATTCCTGAGTTATTTCACCTAGAATAATGGCCTCCAGTTCCATCCGAGTTACTGCAAAAGACATTATTTCATCTTTTTTTTTTAATGGAAGAGTGGTATTCCATGGTGTATATATACCATATTCATTCATATCCATTCATCTGTTGATGGGCACTTAGGTTGATTTCATATCTTTGCAATTGTGAATTGTGCTTCTTGCCTCTTTTTTGACCAGTCACCTTTCAGGATGATTTCGCTCAAATCTTCATGCAGTTTCTATGTAAAACTTGCGCAATTGACTGCACAGGGAAGCACATTCTTTTTAAGTACCCCATGGTCTTCCTAATCTGTAAGAGGGAGCACCAACATAGCACTACAACCCAGCACATATTATCTCCTGTATCCATCACCCCAAAGTATTGGTTCCTTGGAGGAACCCTGTTCTTTTGACCCTCAGCATTCTGACAGTCCCTCTGCAGTAGCTTGCTGGTAACCAGAGGCATGTCCCATGCATTATAATGACCCAGGGTGCCAAGTTTCCAAGTTCATATTGCCAAGTCCCCATCCATTTTATTTTTAGTCCTAGGCATCTCACGCATATAAGGCCTTTTCCTTTTTTTTTTTGTCTTTTTTTTTTTCCATCATCCTCCCTTTCTCTTCAACTCCTCCATGCATATGTTTTCCTTGTAAGGACACAAAAGAAGAGCTAAAATGTAGCTGGACCTGTGATTGTTCACTGTGTTCCTAAATACAATGTTGTGTTTAACTTTCTTTTTTAACTTAAAGCACATTTCTCCCCATAAAGAAATCTAAAGAGATTGTTTAAATCAGTGCTTCTCAAACTTTGACGTGCATATGAACTATGAACAAATTACATATATATATATAAAATTATTTTTTTTCCTAATAGAGACAGGGTCTCATTCTGTGGCTCAGGCTGGAGTGCAGTGGGCGATCATAGCTCACTGTAACCTTGAACTCCTGAGCTCAAGCAATCCTCCCGCCTTGGCCTCCCAAAGTGCTGGGATTACAGGCATGAGCCACCGCGCCCAGCTGAGAATATTGTTAAATGGACCTCCAATTAAGTAGGTTTGGGGTGGGGCCCAGGTATCTTCATTTATAACAAGCTCCCAGGTGACGGTGAGGTTGCTGAACCCTAGACCAGGTAATGAGAGTAACAGGAGTTTAAATGACCCAGGCGTGATGGTAGTTCATACCTGTAATCTCAGCATTTTGGGAGGCTGAAGTGGGTGGATCACTTGAAGCCAGGAGTTCGAGACCAGCCTGGTGAACATAGCAAGACCCAGTCTCTACCAAAAAATTTAAACATCAGCTGGGTGTAGTGGTACCAGCTACTTGGGAGGCTGAGGTGGGAGGATTGCTTGCACCCAGGAGTTCAAGGCTGCTGTGAGCCAAGATTGCACCACTGCACTCCAGCCTGGTGACAGAGTGATACACTGTCTTAAGAAAAGAAAAAAGTTTAAATGGTCTTTTCAAGGGATTCCGTTTGTAAATAGGACAACGGCCAAAGGTTTCTTGAGATAGATTCACCCAGGTGGTATGTATTACTATATAATCACTTTGTTTCATGATTTCTCTCAATTTCACCTTATAAAGACATGATAAGAGTCCATTGGAGTGTCTAAGGCACTTAACAATTTCCTGAATAAAATGTGTTTTATGAAGGAGCCATGATGTGTACTGTCTTTTATTCCTGTGTCCCCCAGGCTGGTACAACCGTCTCTACATTAATTTCACGTTGCGTCGCCACATCTTCTTCTTCTTGCTCCAAACTTATTTCCCCGCTACCCTGATGGTCATGCTGTCCTGGGTGTCCTTCTGGATCGACCGCAGAGCCGTGCCTGCCAGAGTCCCCTTAGGTAAGGAATACCTCAAGTGCATATTCCAAGCATCTGCAAATATAGGTATTAACAATTCCTTCCAGATAAAACCATTCTTTTCAAATTGATTCTGTATCCCTTTTGGCGTTATGACTTGGAAAAACTCAAGAGTTATTTATTTATAGTTAAAATCCTGTAATTAGGAATCTATGTAGCAAAATGCTTTCCAGGACTCTGCAGGTGCCCATCCAAACAGCCCACCTTTAGTCTTGTCGAAGCCGTGTTCCAGGGTGGGCGAGCCTGGTCTTTAGGTGCCTTCTTTGCTCACCTGCAAAATGAATCATATCCTACAACAGTGTTTCTCAAATGGTAGCTCAAGGGGTCTTTGTGATAGAATCTTTGTGGGAAATTGTTAAAAATGAAGGGTCCTGGGTCTCATCTGCATCTATAGAATGAGAATCTCTGAGGGAGGACCAGGAACCTGCATTTTTAACAAGTTCTCCCAGTAATTATTCTGTGTACTCAAGTCTGAGAATCCCTTTTCTATAAGCATTCCGCTTATGGCTATTTGCTGTCAGCTCTTTTTCTCACCTTAAATATTATACCCATTTATACACACCACCATTGCTCAGACAGTTCAGGGGCTGCAGGGGAGAATGCGACCCACCAGGTTTTAGTGAAACTGGATTGGAGCTGGCCCTTAAGATGACCCCAATCCCCTGTGATTTGATGTTTGCCAAACAAATGTTCTGAGCTTAATTTGAAATCCTGGGCAAATTTCCATGGACAGATGCCTTGTCCTCTAACAGTTGTTCCATAGCTTGAACAGTTACTGTGCTAAATAGCTACACACTCTAGTTTTAAAATCTGTTTCCTATAAATGAAGTTAACATTGTCATCCTTAGTGAAATTGACCCTCAAGTCCTCAAGTGGACAATGCTGAATGGGCAGCTAGGTCCAGCATGGTGGTGGCTGCTGGGGGTGCCCTGACAGCTGTCGACGCAGGCCCAGGACAACAGGACTGCACACCAAGAGCCAGGACATGATATTAAAATAAACCCCATGGGCTTTTTCCCCTTGATGGAGCAGTAGTTATAAGAAACATATATACCTGCTCATATATGCAACCTCTTATTTTGTAAAAATCAATTGAAATAAATGTTTTAATGCCAAAATGTCTAGGGTTCTTTGCAGAAGAATAGTGACACAGATGCTACGATGAATACACAGGGTATGCAGAGGGGCGAAAGGGTAGGGAAGCAGGGGGAGAGGAACAGGAAAAGCTTCGTGAAAAGCTAAATCTTGAAAGATGTGTAGGTGTTTGCTGGGCAGTGGAGCAGGGATGGAGACATTCTAGATTGAGGGAGCAGCAGGGACAAATGAGCAGAGACATGAAACCATCCTGTGTTTGGTGAAAGACAAGCAAACACTTGTTTCTCATTCTTGTGTTTGCAGGTATCACAACGGTGCTGACCATGTCCACCATCATCACGGGCGTGAATGCCTCCATGCCGCGCGTCTCCTACATCAAGGCCGTGGACATCTACCTCTGGGTCAGCTTTGTGTTCGTGTTCCTCTCGGTGCTGGAGTATGCGGCCGTCAACTACCTGACCACTGTGCAGGAGAGGAAGGAACAGAAGCTGCGGGAGAAGGTGACTTTGCCATGCGCTTATAGTGTCTGGTCAGGATGGAACCTGATCTAGCTCTGGAACCTCAGGCAGGGCAGACCTTCTCTGTAAAGCAAGGTCATGATACCCTCTCCTGTGCCTACTTCACAGGGTTGTTGTGAAGAGCAAACAAATTGGTGTATTTCAAGTCATTGTGAAATTTACTTTGGGTGACATCTTTCATTCATTGAAAAATTTTTTTGCACCTACCACATACTTGGACCAGGTCTTAGTTAAGTGTTAGGGAACATCTTGGTGATGTTCATAGTTTAGTGAGGGAATCCCAGGAGAAAAATAAATGACAATTTAACATAGTGGGACAAATTATTTATGAACATAAGGGTGTAATAAAAGAACTGTCCAGGGAAGAACATTTCTCATTCTAGGAAATCTTCCTTCATATGTAACCTCATGCATGCTCCACCTTTTCCCAGGTTATCTTTCCTCCCACCTGACTCTCCTTTCCTCCTCCAGTGTGCAGCTCAATGGTTATCTCCCCCAGCAAACTCTAACCATGTTACAGTAATCTATCCCCACAATACCAATCCCCATCCCCATGACAAATGCACACGTTCATGCACACACTTGTAATTATGTGATCTGTAAACATTTTTATCAAGGGCTCATAACAGCTTATGATCTCATGGAGAACAGGGTGATCTATGAATCATGAGCATTCTTGTTGGTCTTTGGTATGGCACTGTGATATTTTCTAAGAGTCAGTATGTAGATTTTAGATCAGCAAAAATGGATACCAGGCTGGGCACAGTGGCTCACGCCTGTAATCCCAGCACTTTGGGAGGCCGAGGCGGGTGGATCACCTGAGATCAGGAGTTTGAGACCAGTCTGGCCAACATGATGAAACCTCGTCTCTACTAAAAATAAAACAATTAGCCTGGCATGGTGGTGTGCATCTGTAATCCTAGCTACTTGGGAGGCTGAGGCAAGAGAATCACTTGAACCCCAGAGGCGGAGGTTGCAGTGAGCTGAGATTGATCGTGCCATTGCACTCCAGCCTGGGCGACAAGAGCAAAACTCAAGTCCCCCCCAAAAAAAAAACAAAAACAAAAACAAAACAAAACAGGATACCTACCCTCTTCCCAAACTGGGAATACCAGAAACCAGGCAACACCCTCCACTATGCAGTTCCTTTTGAAGGGCTTCTGAGAGATGATGCTGAGCTCACACCCCAACATGTGTTTACTGTTTGCAGCTTCCCTGCACCAGCGGATTACCTCCGCCCCGCACTGCGATGCTGGACGGCAACTACAGTGATGGGGAGGTGAATGACCTGGACAACTACATGCCAGAGAATGGAGAGAAGCCCGACAGGATGATGGTGCAGCTGACCCTGGCCTCAGAGAGGAGCTCCCCACAGAGGAAAAGTCAGAGAAGCAGCTATGTGAGCATGAGAATCGACACCCACGCCATTGATAAATACTCCAGGATCATCTTTCCAGCAGCATACATTTTATTCAATTTAATATACTGGTCTATTTTCTCCTAGATGCTTGTAATTCTACAAATTTCACATTTCCATGGCATGCACTACAGAAATAACTGTATAATGAAAAAGTATTTAAGGATATGGTTAAAAAAAAATCCCAGGACCCACCCATGTTTTCACTATCCCTTCTGCAGCTTTCCAAAGCTACATTGACGAGACACTTACTGGTTTAATTTGCACTTATTAACCATCTATTGAATACACAGCATTATATTAGGTGCTGCAGGAAATACGACACTGTAGCGACTGATGTTAGTTGTTACCCAGATCCCCTGGAAAAGCACACTACCAGTGTTGTGGGCACATTTAGTTCCACCCGTTAGACCCTTGATGCTATTCACATGAATAATTTATTTTCCTCAAGTGTCATTACATTGTTCAGGCTACGTGAACTTGGAAGCACCTACAGGCCATTTGCATGAAATTCACATGCACCTAAATCCTCACTTTGACAGAAACTCATGCTTCAGTTTATAACCTATTACCTATTTTGTATGCGACTCCACCTCCGCATGTTTATTTTAATAAAAGGCAATGATAACATTCACATTATTTTTCTTTATATGCTGTGGTTCACAGGCTTTACCCCTTCACAAGAAAAGCTCTTTAGATTGGCGCAATTGCTTCTGATTTTGGTGAAATTTTCCCTGGTAGGGAAACTTTGAAGATAAGAGTACACACATGCATTTTGTCTGTTGTGTCATAGAGGTAACTAGGCTAGAAAATTTGTGTTTAAATGTTCCCTATTTTATATAATCACCACTTCATGTTTCTTCTTCTTGGAGCATGTCCTTGTTCAAAGAGAAGTGCTTTCTCAGTGATGTGATATCTTCACTGAGGAACTTGGGTAGAGAATGATTTCTTCTGCATAAACACTTCAAGGAAATACATAATTTGGGACTACTTGTAACTCATTAGAATGAGAAATACTCACATGGTTTCTTAAGAGAAAAAGAACATCGGAAAGCAAAATAAATGGGAAGATATCACTGGACATCTGCATTTATACTCGAAATACCAGCATTTTCTATGGACCAGAAAACTGCCATCACCTAGACCACACAGCCCAGATACCAGGCAGACGGATGGCCCAATGGCAACTGATGTCAGGGCATGGGGTAAAGGAGAGGGTTCTAATCTGGTGTATCACTTAAAAACAGTTATTTATATTATATATCTGCTATATAGATCAACCTCCACCAAACTTACCCAAACAGCATTTGTTTTATTTGAAACTCACTTTAATAAAGTGAATTATATACACAATAATGTCATTTTCATTTCAAAGTTAATTTGACTCATCACCAATACTAAATATTATGATTCTACATATGCAGGACTATATTTTAATCTGAAAAAACCTATTTGCATAAACCCTAATTACAATGTAATCTCCCATTATCTCCAATGAAAACTCACCGAAAGAAAGTTTTTTGGCAAGCTTGAATAAACTTAAAGGGATTTAGATGAAATAGTTAAATGTTAACTATTTAAATTTTGTATTCTTATTTTATTTTTTTGAGACAGGGTCTCACTCTGTCACCCAGGCTGTAGTGCAGTGGTGCCATCTCAGCTCACTGCAACCTCTGCCTCCCAGGCTCAAGTGATTCTCCCACCTCAGCCTCCTGCGTAGCTCGGGCTACAGGCATGCTCCACCACACTCAGCCAATTTTTTAAAGTTTTTGTAGAGACAAGGTCTCATTATATTGCCCAGGCTGGTCTCAAACTCCTGAGCTCAATCAGTCCTCCCACCTCAGCCTCCCAAAGTGCTGGGGAAAAAGGCGTGAGCCATCGCACCTGACCCCTAAATGTTAACTTTTGATGTTTAAAGATGTTATTTTAAAAACGCTGGTTTTTTCCATGATTATTTTATAGAACAATTGCAATCAAACTCTTTACAAACATCTTTGCTGCTGTCTTCTTCCTCATGATCACTAGGGCCACTGTGAGTGAGCTGAAATGTATCCAGGGCACACCATCTGAACTTCCATCTATTTGTACAGGATACTCCACCATTTGAAGCAACCTATGGGATACTCTATTAGTGTGCTAAAGTTGTGATAGCGAAGTACCACAGACTGGGTGGCTTAAACAACAGAAATTTATTTTCTTACAGTTTTGGAGGCCGAAGTCCAAGACCAAGGTGTTGGCAGGCTTGGTTTCCCTGGAAGCTTCTCTCCCTGGCTTGTAGATGGCCATCTTCCCACTGTGTCTTCACATGGTCTTTCCTCTGTAATGTGTGTGTCCTAATTTCTTCTTATAAAGACACTGGTCATATTGGAATAGGGCCCATGCCAATGACCTGATTTAACCTTAATTACCTTTGTAAAGGCCTATCTTCAAATACAGCTATGTTGGGAGTTAGGGCTTCAATATATGAATTTGGGGCCCATAGGGAGACACAATTCATTCAATAACAGATGCCAATAGAAATTATCAATTTGCTTAATAGTATATCTAATGCATCTTTTAGATGTTTATTCTTGATTTTTGCAACACAACACATGCAGCATTGTTTTTTAAAGTGATATTTAAAAGACTTATTTACTTTGATAGTCACACAGTGATTGTGAGGAATCAGTGATTAAATTCATATTAAATGTCTTTGCTATCTTTTCTGGCAATTCCCGGTGACCACTATGAGTATCTAAAACTAGCATTAATTGAATAATTTCCATGCTAATGTGTTTTCTTAAGGCATTACTTTTCTGTCAAAGTTATGTAATTGACAGCTCTGTAGTATGACTTCGTAAGGACCCAAATATAAAGCAACTCCCTATTTTTTGAAGGATAATTTTGGAGAAAACCACATAATATATCTGAGCATCTATAGTACTTAATACGTTTTACTGGCATGAGTAGGAAGATGTGGTTAATAATATTGTCTGGTTAATGGGCAAATACCATGTGGCCATATTGAATATTTTTTTTAATTTTAAAAATTTTTTATAGAGACAAGATCTCACTATGTTGCCCAGTCTGGTCTCAAGCAAACTCCTGACCTCAAGCAATCTTTCTCTGCCTCAGCCACTGTGCCTGGCTTGAATAATTAATTTTTAAAGAGTTAAAATGTATTTGACTAAAACTATATCAAACATAATGTATTCTCTGCCTGGTAGTTCAGAAGGCGCTGTAGGATTCTGAAGGATTTTTATCACTGTGATAGAATGTAGGCATCATCCAGATGTGCAGAAGGGTTATAGGCAGTAGAGAACTGGAGTTTCAATATTCTTTAGTTGCTTTCATAATTCATACTTTATAGGGAAGGGTGGTGATGCTAGATCTTAGAATAAAAACGGCTTATATTTTAGTGACAGTGAAACCTCACATTTGTAAATCCAGTTTTACAAAAAATACTTTCACATTCTGTTTCATTTGAACCTGAATGAGGAAATTCTAAAGGCTGAGAGAGGCTGATGGAATAACATGCAGATAACATGGTTAATAAGTGAAAGACTTTTTTTTGAGGCCGAGTTTCACTCTTGTTGTCCAGACTGGAGTGCAGTGGCGCAATCTCGGCTCACTGCAACCTCCACCTCCCAGGCTCAAGCAATTCTCCTGCCTCAGCCTCCCAAGTAGCTGGGATTACAGGCACACACCGCTATGGCTGGCTAATTTTTTTTTTGTTATTTTTTAGTAGAGACGGGTTTTCACCATGTTGGCCAGGCTGCTCTTGAACTCCTGACCTCAAGTGACCCACCCACCTCAGCCTCCCAAGGTGCTGGGATTACAGGCATGAGCCACCTTGCCTGGCCTTTTTTTTTTTTTTTTTTAAGACAGAGTTTTGCTCTGTCACCCAGGCTGGCGTGCGGTGGCATGATCTCAGCTCACTGCAACCTCTGCCTCCTGGGTTCAAGTGATTCTCCTGCCTCAGCCTCCTGAGTAGCTGCGATTATAGGTGCCTGCCACCACGCCCAACAAATTTTTTTTTTTTTTGTATTTTTAGTAGACATGGGGTTTCATCATGTTGGCCAGGCTAGTCTCGAACTCCTGACCTCATGTGATATGCCCACCTCGGCCTCCCAAAGTGCTAGGATTACAGGCATGAGCCATCGCGCCCAACCTTAAGTGAAAGATTCTTTACTCAATGTTCATTCACCTTATTACAGATAATAAATACTGGACAACCAAACTGTCATACACAATACATAAACACTGCTATAAGGAAATATTTTAACTGATCATTGGTATATTTTAATTAATTCGTTAACTCATTTATTTATTCATATATTCGTCAAGTAATACTGAGCACCTACTACTTTGTAGGAAACATTTTAGACCAGTGCTTCTTAAACTCTCTGTGGTGAAGGTTCAGCTTGTTTTATTTTTTAAAATGTCAGTCCATCAGCTTTTTGTATGATGAGTTTTTTGAATGTGGAGAGTCCCTGATATAACCCAGTCCTGTGCCTGCATCCCCTCCTTCAGAACCATGGAGCCCACCACCATGTGTTGCTAAAATCACAATCACAATAATCCACGTATAGAAAGAACAATTTCATTTTGATGTTATCAAGAAAATTGCTACAACTGAATTTCAGGGCTTGCTATGTATGGGAAATTTCAGTACCTGCAGTAAATAAGAAAGTACATTCTCCAATGCACACGTCAACAATGTTAAAGTAAAACCATTTCACTCACTTCAGTATTATCACAACTTTTAAAATAAGTGAATGTGTTTTCAATTCCATATTCTAAATTTAATTTCAATCTATTTCCTGTCAATTATTTCAAGTATTACTATTTGTGTAGAAGGAAATATCCTTACGTTTCTTGAGACCAGAGTGTTTTATGAATGCCCTCTAGTTTACACCAAAAACAATGAACAGATCCTTATTGGTGAGTTTAGTGGGTTTCTTCAAGTAGCATTTATAGCTCTGTACACAGTCGGTACCTATTGTGATGAAACACATGCATTTGTAGGCTACTTGGCTGGCAGGCAGGCCTTGGCCATGAGAACTGAATGAAGGTAACCGAATCTCTTTGAGAATCAAAGCCATGCCTAAGTGAGGTTAACTTATATGAAGTGTTCAACCACACAACTATACCTTATATCTATAACGGGGAGTGGAAAATAGGGAAGTGTTTAGCTTTTTCATTTTTCTTGATTTGCAAGCTTCAATACTCTGTTTAAAACAGTGTAATTTTAGCCGGGCACAGTGGCTCCTGCCTGTAATCCCAGCACTTTGGGAGGCTGAGGTGGGAGGATCACTTGAGCCCAGGAGTTCAAGACCAGCCTGGACAATACGGTGAGACCCTGTCTCTACAAAAAATAGAAAAATTAGCTTCAGCTGGGCATGGGGGCACATGCCTGTAGTCCTAGCTACTTTGGACACTGAGGCAGGAGGATTACTTCAGCCCAGGAGGTCAAGGCTTCAGTGAGCCGTGATCACACCACTGCACTCCAGGCTGAGTGACAGAGCAAGACCCTGTCTCTAAAAAAATACATAAAATCTTGTGAAAGTAATTAAGGAAATTTAAAAAAATTGGAAATTTAAAATCTAGTTAGCAGGACAAAACAAAAAGTGAAAAACTTCCATTTCAGTCCAAATGGAGTTAAACACAACCCCAATGACTGAAAGATACAAATTTAGGCAATATGTTTTGAGTGTATACAATGTCAGACAGTTTGGTATGCTGAGCTGAATAACTGCTTTGGCATTTTGTAGACTGAACCCTCATGTACCTATCTAAACTTTGTGATTCTCCAATAAACAAAAGTCCTTTAAACGTTTTAAAAATCTAATTTGTTTTGAAAACTAAAAATAAGACAGGACAGCCAGGCACAGTGACTCATACCTGTGATCCCAGCACATCGGGAGGCTGAGGTGCAAGGATGGCTTGAGCCTGGGAGTTTGAGACCAGCCTGGTCTCTAACAGAGAGCCTTGTCTCTACCAAAAAAAAAAAAACTTAAAAAAAAAATTAGCTGAGTGTGGTAGGGTGCACTGGCAGGAGGATCGCTTGAGCCCAGGAGATGGAGGTTGCAGTGACCTGAGATTGCACCACTGCACTCCAGCCTGGGCAACAAGCAAGACCTTGTCTCAAAATAAATAAATAAATAAATAAATAAATAATAAACATAAGACAGGGCACCACATGCCATAAAGAGGTGCAAAAAGTAAATCCTCTCAAATTCCCACCATTTCTGTGGCTTAAAATTTTAATTGACATTTCTAGAAGTGGTCATTAACACTGAGGAAAACCCACTGGAGCAAGAAAGAAAGTCCAGCAACAAATAAAAAATACAACCACAAATTTAATTTTTTGTTGCAATGTAGAACCCCGATGAATGTCATTCCAAAACATTGTTCCTAAAAATGATAGATTCCAAAGAAAAAGACATTAGTTGCAGGGTGAGAGGTGAGTGGAATTGAGAAGAATTAAAGAGGCAGAAGTTGCTTTAAGAAATTTTACTGGCTGCAGTGCCAAGATTTCTGTTGTTCAAAGGCCAAGTTTTAAATCTCATTCAGGCATGTTATAACAGGATTCTGTTTGTAATTTTCCAGTGGTTTCTTTCTCTTAGACTTTCTTCTTCTTCTTTTTTTTTTTTTTAGACGAAGTCTCGCTCTTGCACCCTAGGCTGGAGTACAATGGCATGGCGTGATCTCGGCTCACTGCAACCTCTCCACCTCCCGGGTTCAAGCAGTTCTCCTGCCTCAGCCTCCTGAGTAGCTGGGATTACAGGTGCCTGCCACCACACCTGGCTAATTTTTGTATTTTTAGTAGAGACAGGGTTTCACCATGTTGGCCAGGCTGGTCTCGAACTCCTGACCTCATGTGATCTGCCCACCTTGGCCTCCCAAAGTGCCAGGATTACAGGCGTGAGCCACCATGCCTGGCCCTCTTAGACTTTCTATTGGAAAGCAATCAACTTTATATTGCCCAGTTAATGACATGTGCAGAGAAACAGTTCAAGCATGATGAGAGAAGAAAAAATGATCTTTGAAAATTTCTCAGTCTTCACCCCAAATTGGTACTGTTTCTCATGTTATGCCTCTGCACGTAACTATCCTTATTTTAATGTTCTGGCTTGTCTCCAAAACACTGTAACTACAGCTTAATATGAACCTAGCTATAAAGTTGCTGGCTTTGCCATCCCAAATAGTTAACAGTCTTTGTAAAATGGTCTTTAGTTATGATATATGGTATGATTATACTCAAATATATTGGGTAGCTTTACCTAAAAACTAAAAATTTAAGGTACAACATGAGAACTATTTTCCTATTTTGTAATACTTTTCCATAACACAATTTAATTACCATGGCATTCCTCAAGTTGGATTTCCACTTTTGGGTAATCACTACACCTTTTTTTTTTTTTTTTTTTGAGATGGTCTCGCTCTGTCACCCAGGCTGGAGTACAATGGCATGATCTTGGCTCACTGCAACCTCCGCCTCCTGGGTTCAATCGATTCTCCTGCCTCAGCCTCCCAAGTAGTTGGGATTACAGGCACCTGCCACTACACCTGGCTAACTTTTGTATTTTTAGTAGAGATGGGGGTTTCACCGTGTTGGCCAGCCTGGTCTTGAACTCCTGACCTCAGGTGATCCACCTGCCTCGGCCTCCCAAAGTGATGGGATTACAGGCATGAGCCACCATGCCCGGCCTCAATGCACCTATTTTTAATTGAGATAATTACAATTAGGTTCTCGTAACTCACAGTATCCCCAGAGCGGCACTGGCATTACCTTGGAACATGTCAGGGAAGCAGACTCTCAGGCCCCATCCCAGACCCACTCAATTAGAACCTGTAGTTTAACAAGATCCCCAGGTGATTCATATACACATTCAAGTTAGCAAAGCTCTAAACTAGGTTCTCATAACCATACACCTTTGTCATTCACAGAAAGTGATGAGTGTTGCATCTATGCATTCAACAACTTATTCCATATTGAGCGTTTATTATATGTGCTAAGCACTGTGTTAAGAGCTATAGCTGATCTATTGATCTCAAAGAAATTGTTAAACTATCCCCCTAGGGTCTGCACCTTCAGACACCAAGCTTTGTTTTTTTTTCCCTAATTTTTAATTTTTATTTTTCTTGAGACAGAGTCTTATTCTGTCACCCAGGCTGGAGTACAGTGGTGCCATCTTGGCTCACTGCAACCTCCACCTCCCAGGTTCAAGGGATTCTCCTGCTTCAGCCTCCTGAGTAGCTGAGATTACAGGTGTGGGCCACCACGCCCAGCTAATTTCTGTATTTTTTAATATAGATGGGTTTTCACCATGTTGGCCAGGCTGGTCTCAAACTCCTGAACTCAGGTGATCCGCCTGCCCTGGCTTCCCAAAGTGCTGGGATTACAGGCATGAGCCACTGTGCCTGGCAGAAGCCCAGCTTTAAAGAACACAATTGTCTCTTCAAAATAGGAAGAAATGTTTGTTCAGGAATATATCTTTAAAATATTCCTCTACCACAAAGCTCAGTTAATTTTTTTTTTAAATTCTGGTGGAGTATGAATCCGAGTTACCTAGGATTTAAGTGTTGATTTTTTTTTGTTTTTTTTTGGCAGGGGAGTAACCTGTAAAGTTCACCAAGTTTTAGAAGGCAAAGATTAATTTTTTCTTTTCCAAAACACAGCATTATCATTTTTCTACTAAAAACTCTCCACATTTTGTAGCCATTATAATAACTCCATACTATGGATATACAATTCAATCTTTCCCCTAGTATTGAAAGAAATAATAATATTGTGATGAATACTCCTTATATTCCTATCACAGACTATTTCCTCATTAACAATGAGCATATAGAATGAGGTTGATCTGAGATCAATTTTCTTTATTATATTATGGTAGTACAACTCTAGGTCCCTAGCTTTTTAAGACTTAAAAAAATCAGGAAAGGGTATTAAACTATACCTTAGTGATATTTGATTGTATGAACAGTAACCCACTCAAACTAACTTAAAAAAGAAATAGAATACAGGGGAATCTCACAGGCAGGAAATAAAATGAAGTGCAACTGGGGCTCACTGGAAAGATTTCAGACAGCTGCCCTTTCTAAGCAATATAGTACTTTACTTCTTGCTGGACTATTGCTTTATTCATAAGATTGGACTTCTCACAGCCATAAAAAAGAATGAAATCATGTCCTTTGCAGCAACATGGATGGAGCTGGAGGCCATTATCCTCACAGAAACAGAACACATAAACAGAAAATAAGTATCTCATGTTCTCACTTATAAGTAGGAGCTAAACAAAAGGTACACATGGACATAAAGATGAGACAATAGACTCTGGGAACTCCAAAAGGGGGTGGGGAGGGAGGGGGGTGAGAGTTGAAAAATTACCTATTGGATACAATGTCCATTGGACATTGTATGTAGTATGTATTGCATGTATACACGTATGTATGTTACACGTAACACCCATGTAAACAAGCATATGTACCCCCTGAATCTAAAAAACAAAGTCCCACTTCCCTGGATTGTATTATTGAAACCATGTTTGCAAGAATTATAAGTGAGAAAATTACGACAGTGAGAGAGATCTGACCTAACTGACGCCATCTTGCTTCGAACCGCCAAACTGCCCTTGTTCATTCCCGGGTGTAAGCCAGACTAACTTTGGGAGAAACTTATAGTTTAACTTTGAAACAAAGATAACAACCCTTTCCCAAACCCCCTTCTTGCCTGAGGACCAGGCTGCCTTTGTTAAGACTAACAAATTAGCTACAAGATTAGAAATTATCATTTAGGAGTCATTGTAACCAGAGGCCACAAGATCCTGAACCTCCCTAATTGTTCCTAGGGATAACATCACTATAGCAAAACCTAAGATCAGGGCTTGAGGTATTCTTCAGAGCCCCATTCTGATGCACCAGCCGGAGCCACCCAGACCCATTTTGCACCAGCCGGAGCCACCCAGACCCATTTTCCATCTGGCTCAACCAGCTCTGTGATCCCACACAGGAACAGAATTCAGCAAGAACCCACTCGGGCCCCACTATGATTGCATCTCCGACCTGACCAATCAGCACTCACCACCCTGACCCCCAACCTGCCAAATTAGCCTTAAAAAACCCCAGTTTTCAGATTTTCAGGGAGACTAATTTGAGTATTAAATCTCTGTTCACCCGTTTAGCCTAGCTCTGTGTAAATTAAACTCTTTTCTATTGCAACTCCCATCTTGATAAATCAGCTCTATCTGGGCAGTGGGCAAGGAGAACCCATTGGGCGATTACATTATCAGCTACTTGATTTAAATGATGTAATTATATTATTAAAATTATTCTGTTAAAAAAATTAGACTTCTCTGACATTCAGCTACAGGATTATTGACCTCAAAATTCCAGGGCTCATCATCATCAGTGGAACTTTAGGCCAGGAGAATTTAGAAAGTGCAGACGGGGCCAGGAACAGTGACTCACATCTGAAATCCCAACACTTTGGGAGGCTGAGGCAGGAGGACTGCTTGAGCCCATGAGTTCGAGACCAGCCTGGGCAATATAGTAAGATCCCCATCTCTACAAAATTTTTTTAAAAATTAGCCAGGCATGGTGGTGCACACCTGGAGCCCCAGCTACTCCAGAGGCTGAGGTGGGAGGATCACTTGAGCCCAGGAGGTTGAAGCTGCACTGAGCCCTGATTACGCCACAGCACTCCAGCCTGGGTGACCTAGTGAGACCCTTTCTCAAAATAAACAAACAAAAAATAAGAAACATAAAAAAGGAAAGTAGCAGAGGGTAGGTGGGGGGTAGTGGCAACATCAGAAGCTGGGAAGCATAGTCTCAAATCTGCTTCGAGAAAATGCTTAATCATGGTTGTAATCTCTTTCTGCCTGGGATTTTCTTTTTTCTTTTTGAGATGGAGTCTCACTCTGTTGCTCAGGCTGGAGTGCACTGGCACAATCTTGGCTCACTGCAACCTCTGGCTCCCGGGTTCAAGAGATTCTCCTGCCTCAGCCTCCTGAGTAGCTGGGACTACTGCACTACCACGCCCGGCTAATTTTTGTATTTTTAGTAGAGACAGGGTTTCACCATGTTGGCCAAGCTGGTCTCAAACTCCTGACCTCAGGTGATCCGCCCACCTTGGCCTCCCAAAGTTCTGGGATTACAGGCGTAAGCCACCGCACCCAGCCTGGATTTTCTACTATAAACTATTCTTATATATTTTTACAAGGGATCTTTTTTCTTAAAGAACACACAACCCACCTATAAGCCTTCAAAAACTATGGCAAGCACACCAAATAGGTGCTGTGAGTAACTGCTCCATATCTGAAGAAACGTCATGGCTCAACAATCATTTACCGCCACACACGTTCAGAGATAACGGGACTTGGATATTAGTTTAAAGCATTAGGTTTCAACTGCATCTGAGTTCACTTCCTGGCATCCTATCCTGCTCTCAGGCAATGAGCAAACTTTCATTCATTCATTCATTCATTCATTGAGACAGAATCTCACTGTTGTTGGCCCGGGCTGGGGTGCAATGGTGCGATCTCGACTCACTGCAACCTCTGCCACCCGGATTCCAGCAATTCTCCTGCCTCAGCCTCCCGAGTAGCTGAGATTACAGGTGCCCACCACCACGCCCAGCTAATTTTTTTAGTAGAAACAGGGTTTCACCATGTTGGCCAGGTTGGTCTCGAACTCCTGACCTCAGGTGATCCACCCACCTCAGCCTCCCAAAGTGCCGGATTACAGGCGTGAGCCACCGTGCCCAGCCCAATGAGCAAACTCTTAACTATTCATACTCAAGGATTTTTATTCAGCTTCTAATCAAACTCTTTAAGTTTCTGTACTCTAACACATAATCTTTCTTCAAAGAAAGTGCCAGACCAGATGACATGCCATGAGGCTACTGTTAATCCTGAATCCTTATCATTTCAGGCAATAACAGTGAGTCAATTTAGAAGCTTTGGTTCATCTTAAATAAACGCAAATGGAAAAGATGCAAGTTTTTAACTCTTTCCCATTCTCTTGAGCTAAATATGTTGTCAGTGACCAACAACACAACAAATAGAAAAAAAATTCAAACTCCCAAATGCGATTGTTCATCCAGGGAGGCAATGTCTACTCTCTCTGACCTCAACAAGTTGATTATTGTCCACTTAAGACCCTGACCTGATAATCTTCTCTGTTTTGTATTTCTGAGGTTTCTCTTTTAAGGTGGTTAGGTGCTTTGATCTATTGAACTAACAAAAGCTAATCTTACATATTAACCTTTTTTTTTTTTTTTTTTTTTGAGACGGAGTCTCGCTCTGTCACCCAGGCTGGAGTGCAGTGGCGCGATCTCGGCTCACTGCAAGCTCCGCCTCCCGGGTTCACGCCATTCTCCTGCCTCAGCCTCCCGAGTAGCTGGGACTACAGGCGCCCGCTACCACGCCCGGCTAATTTTTTGTATTTTTAGTAGAGACGGGGTTTCACCGTGTTAGCCAGGATGGTCTCGATCTCCTGACCTCGTGATCCGCCCGCCTCGGCCTCCCAAAGTGCTGGGATTACAGGCGTGAGCCACCGCGCCCGGCCTATTAATCTCTTTTAAAAAGAACAGATTTGGGCTCTATTTTGAAAGCCAGTCTAAGGCTGGGCACAGTGGCTTATGCCCTAATCCTAGTCTTTTGGGAGGCCAAGGCAGGAGGATCGCTTGAGCTCAGGAGTTTGAGACCCCATCTCTATAAAGAGTTTAAAAATTAGCCGGGCACATGCCTATAGTCCCAGGTACTCAGGAGGCTGAGGCAGGATTGCTTGAGCCTAGAAGATGAGGCTTCAGTGAGCCATGATCACAACACTGACTGTACTCCAGCCGGGGTGACAGTGAGAACCTGTCTCCAAAAATAAGAATAAAAATTAAAAACCAGTTTAAACAAAGAAACATGGACATTTGTGACTTTTCTCATATGAGGCACTTATACTTTAGCCAGGATCCAAAAACCTGTTCCATTGCATTTATGTTATTATATGGAATTACTCTGTATTAAATGTGTAAACTTTTTTTAAAAAAGGAAACTCAATACTATATGTATTTACCTCCTGCCATGTACAATTTGCACTGCAATTTTTTAGCTTCTGAGACTAGTGAAACATTCATTTTTAAACAAAAGAACTTAATTGTTCTTTTAAAATATTTGACACATAGTGGAAAAGCAAGTCAACATCTATGATACTGATGCGTAAGAAAAAGTATAGTATATCACAATGGATTTGGATGATTGTGCTTCATCTTCGTACATATATCTTCAGGTCATTAAAAAAGCAAGACAATTGCTATCAGATAAACATGTTTATTGTAGATTTTTCATACACATTTTATGTACCTATTATTACAAAAAAGCTTATAATCTGATGGTAGTAGACTGATTGCTTACTTGAAAATATTAACTTCATACATATCAAAATACACCATCCTCAACTATATAATTGGACTGCAAAATGCTTGATATGAAGTATGTAAAAAAATAAGCAGTTTATTATACCTTACAACCTTATAAAGGGTTGCTATCTAGTACAAAGATAACATTTATCTTATAACAAAAATTTGATAGTTTTAAAGGTTAGTATTGTGTAGGGTATTTTCCAAAAGACTAAAGAGATAACTCAGGTAAAAAGTTAGAAATGTATAAAACACCATCAGACAGGTTTTTAAAAAACAACATATTACAAAATTAGACAATCATCCTTAAAAAAAAAAACTTATTGTATCAATTTCTTTTGTTCAAAATGACTGACTTAAGTATTTTTAAATATTTCAGAAACACTTCCTCAAAAATTTTCAAGATGGTAGCTTTCAGATGTTCCCTCAGTCCCAATGTTGCTCAGATAAATAAATCTCGTGAGAACTTACCACCCACCACAAGCTTTCTGGGGCATGCAACAGTGTCTTTTCTTTTCTTTTTTTTTTTTTTTTTTTTACAGGCACAGAAACTCATCAATTTTATTTGGATAACAAAGGGTCTCCAAATTATATTGAAAAATAAATCCAAGTTAATATCACTCTTGTAAAAAAGTTGAGCACACTTTTCACAAACAATTTATGTAAAAGAGAAGAAAATACACATAATTTTACATAATATCTTAAACTCTTTTATTCCCTACCATAGACATTTTGTCTTGTTTTCTTTCAGTTTTCTACAATTTCCAACTTGTACCTGTGTTTAATACTGCTTTAGTGTGCTAAAGACATTAACTGATTGCTTTCCTAAATCTAAGGATTATATAGTTTTAGTATAAATATATATCATATATTTTCGTAAAACTTTGACAAAACCAAATAAGCAAGCCTTGTTTTAAGTCCACGCTCCTGCCACTGTTTACAAAATTTGATTTAATGATCAAAAAACTATTGGTTGTCACTCTTCTGTTACAACAATCTTCCTTGTGAACTGCCACCCAGTTTTTACATAATAATAACAAGCAATAGAAAAACCAAAGAAATTATGTTAATCTTAGCTCTTCCTTTGCAAGTGTCTTTTCTTCTTACACCCAGTGCTTAGAAATAGGCACTCCTCAACCAGTGTTCACTGAATTCAACTGCTGAAATTGTAACAGTTAAATTATCAACACAACTCTTAATAAATAAACATTCCTTTGGGAAATTGTGGGAAATCAAAACACTTTTAAGTTTATACAAGTATTCATAAACATAAAATATTCTAGTTTATCCTAATGCCCTAGCTCTTATGAGTGCTATAGAGGCAATTAAAAAGGGAAAATTTCTTGAGTAGTTCACATGTGGAGAATTTGTTAAAACCGAAAAGCAGTCCAAAATTTTTAAAAGGCATACTAAATATTAGCTATACTCACTATTACATGGTATATAGCAATTTAGTAATTCATAGTACCACATATTTTACTTTAAAAGCAGGTCCCATATTAAGGCCTGCTTTTAAAATTGCCACTAAAAAGAAAATATTTTCAATTTGTATATTTAAACCATTAATTTAGATAACATCTTTTAAAGTCTACAAATTTAACATAGCCAAGAGTTGGTATTTGAGAAAAAGGTTTCAGTACAGGGTGTGAACAATGAAAAATTATAAAGGCATGTAATAAAAATGTTCCATAAAAACAAAGATACCTCAAGCAGGTCCACCTATACCTCTAGTTTAGTTTAGAAACTAATTCAGTATTTTAAGAATCATATAATTTTAAACTTTGCACTAAGCCTAACCTTTTTAAAAAATGGTCAGGGCCAGGTGCAGTGCCTCAAGCCTGTAATCCCAGTGCTTTAGGAGGCTGAGGTGGGAGGACTGCTTGAGTCCAGGAGTTCGAGACTGCAGTGAGCTGTGATTACACCACTGCACTCCAGCCTGGGAGAGCAAGAACCTGCCCATTAAAAAACCAAACAAAAATGGGCAGGTGTGGTGTCTCATACCTGAAATCCCAACACTTTGGGAGGCCAAGACAGGAGGATTGCTTGAGCCCAGGAGTTTGAGGCCAGCCTGGAAGCTACAGCGAGCCCCTGTCTCTATTATGTAAAAAAATAAAAATTTTTTTAAAAAAGAGGTTTTCTTATGTGTACCTGAAGCAAAGTAGTAAGTATATCTTTTCTTCTCCACGTTGTACAAGAGATGACTGTAAACACAAAATTAAAACTCATCTTAGGATCATGGTCCATCCACGAAGCTACTTTAAACTCTGATGATTCCAAGCAAGGAAGCAATATTTGCTTATTCAAAAAGTACTGAATATTCAGAGTAAGCAATATGCTAGATACTGTAACAATTTAAAAATACCAACACACATGTGTATTAAAAAGACACTGGCAGGCCGGGTGCGGTGGCTCATGCCTGTAATCCCAGCACTTTAGGAGGCCGAGGCAGGTGCATCACCTGAGGTCAGGAGTTCGAGACCAGCCTGGCCAACATGGTGAAATGCCGTCTCTACTAAAAATACAAAAATTAGCTGGGCATGGTGCCACACACCTGTAATCCCAGCTACTTGGTAGGCTGAGGCAGGAGAATCACTTGAACCTGGGAGGCAGAGGTTGCAGTGAGCCGAGATTGTGCCACTACACTTCAGCCTGGGCAACAGAGCGAGGCTCTATCTTAAAACAAAAAAAGGAAAGACACTGGCTTCAAATATACAATCTGGTAGAGGAATTAATATACGATTAGAGAACAAGTTTACCACCCTATACCACAAAACACTCTCATGGGTGTCAATTCTGAATATAAGGTTTGAAATCTCTTAAGCTTTTAAAAATACACATAACATTTAAGGCTTACAAAAAGGTTTACTAACATATTTTATAAAAATGATGCCATGTATCCTCCAGGTTAAGAAATGGTATCACTACTGTGAAGGTGAGTGGTTGCGGGGTAAAAAAAAAGAAAGAATGGCATCACATACCAGCTCCTGTAATATCATAATCCTATCAAGTACGGATTTGCAAAAATTTTCACTTTAGATATGAGGTAATTAATATGTTTTCTCCACACCCTGTCCTCACTTATCAGGTAAAAAGAATTTTACTCCTTTAAGATTAAAAAACAAGCATGCCTTCATTAAAAGAGATTAAAAGAAAAAAATCATCACGTCTTCTTGATTTATAAGTGGCCCCTAAGTCTTTTATTCTACTGCATTTACAAACTGTTCTTCTTGAAGTTTCAGTTTAAAGTCCTCTCTGATTCCTTCCAGTAACTCTGGTTTAAAAATAACATCCAGTGCCGTCATTGCCAGAGCTTTGGCCGTCCGCAGAGTGTAGAACTGAGCTTCCTGTGACCCTAAAAGGTAGAGAAAATAAAATACCTCCTTACTTATTTAAGCTGTATTTAATTTCACAGGTTAGCTACCCGTATCTCAACTGGCTCTCCAACTGCCCACCACAGTGCAGTATTTACTGAGGTGATGTTATGTAGTGAAATAGTAGGTTAAACAGAAAGGCAGCTACTACCAGAAGAAGAGTGTGTGTGCCAAAACAGTCACATCCAACAACACTTACCAGCAGCTTCAGTGTACTGTTCAGTATGATTCAAGGCATTAGATCCAATGTGAAAATATGGATGAATTCCAGGAACCACAAAACTAACATTTCCAAAATCCGTAGATCCTTGGAACACACAAAGTTAAGAAAAGTCTATTTAAGTATATGTGGTTAAGTATTCTGGAGTTATGAAGTCACAGTCCCTGTTAGAAGAGACGCAGAGAAGTGAGCTTCTTGGAGAGTTGTCCGTATGCTCATGCTTTCATGGGCTCACCTTCCACTGAGTCTGCCACCCACTCCCCTGTATCAGTCACATCTCTCATGAAGGTCACTGCAAACCTGCCCTCACCTTGTCTCACGGCTTTTACTGGCCCTCTTGGCCAGCACTCCACACTGCCACCTACTCCCTTTCTTCTCTTCTGTGACACAGCACTTGCATGGCTTCCCTTCTGCCTCTCTGATGGCCCCTTCTTCTGTCTCTCTTGGGGATAGAGCCCCCTCTACCTGACGATGAAATAATAGTTACGGGAGACTCCATTCCAGGCCCCTTTCTCTTCTTACTGCATATTCTTTCTCAAGATTTTGTCCGTATGTATTGCTTCAAATCACCACCAACTCAAATCTCTTCCCAGTCTCTGCTAAGTTCCATGCTCATACATCCAGTTGCCAGCCTGGTATCTTCTCTTGGATGTCTTCAAGGTAGATCAAACTTAACATATCTAAAGTCAAACTCATGATCTTTCTCTTCTACCTCCACTCCACCTATCAACAGTACCTGCCAAATATCTCAGAATCCTAACGCTCTTTGCATCACCATCACCAACACCTGTCCTCAGCCTATGCTATCATTATCTCTTGCCTGAACTAGAAGTTTCCTAATTGGTCTAGCAGCATCTACTCTATTTGCCGTCTTTTTTTTTTCAATCTTCATTCACCTTTCCAACCTGATCTCATACCATGTTCCCACTACTCTCGATGCCCTAGCCGCTCTAGACACTCACCATGCTCTCCCTGTCACAGGACCCTTGCACATGCTATCCCTGCATCATCTCTGTAACTCTTACTTAACCTTCAAATTCCATCTTAAGCATCATTTCCTCAGCAAAGCCTTACTTACTTCACCTTCCCATAAAGTGAAATTCCTCTAGCATAAGCTCTCACAGAGATGTATTACTCTCCTTTACAGTACTTTTTAATTTTCCATGTATTGGATGATTTGGTTCATGCTTATGTCAGAAACTAAATTATGAGGCTGTATGAGGCAAGAAATAGTATTTGAAATGACTGTGCATCTAGCTTCTCACAGGATTGACACACAGGCACTTGTTGAATAAATCACAGTAAAAACAAAGCCTTATGTTCACTCAATGGATATTTACTGAATGTTTATTACATGTCAAACACCATGCAGGCAAAGTGAGACTACACAGTGATTGGTAAGAGAATAAAGGAATATGTGACAAAGAGTAGCTAACATTTATCTGGAATACTACGTTCCAAACACAATCCTAAGTGCTTTGTATGTATTCTCATTAATATTTAGAACAGTTTCCATTTTAAACATGAAGAAACCAAGGCTTATGGGTATTAAATAACATGCCGATAGTCTCACAGCTGCTAGTTATGTGGTAAATGCAGACTGAGGCCAGACTTTGAGGCATAGTAGCCTCTATAGAAGTACTGCTTCAGAAAATATTCACTAAGCACTTAACTGTGCCAGAAACGGCTCCACACACTGAGGATGCACAGTAATGGGACATCAGTGAACAGGATGGAAAAAGCCTCTCCAGTGTTTAAAGAGTCTAAAGAGTCTGAGTGTAAAAACAAAACAAAACAAAAAAGGATGGACAAAAAAAAACCTGTTGCATATTTTAAGATCTTACTTGTGGAACTAGACCCTAGAGCCCACAAATCATACCAAAATCACAGCCACTTTATCCTACTGTTTTGTCCATTATATAAAACCCAAACCCGGGGTAGAGCAGGCCATGTGTCTTCCCTTCTTCAGCTAGACAGCAGAAACCTGCTAGGGTAAAAGAACAGAACCATGCTGAGCTGAGCTTTCTTGCTGTCCAGAACAAAAGAAAACATGAAACTCTGATGTCCCTGGACAACTCCTCTCAGTGGCAATTCTCTCTCAATCCCTCAGCCCTACCAGCTCAATGCTCACTGTGTGCTACTTCCTAGAGGGAAAGTCTCTGAACTCCCTGACCTCCTTCCTAAACATTACATCTACTTCTCAAGTATCTTCCCTTAAAAACTATTTTCTTTTCCGTATTTCCCTCAAGCTTGTATCCACTCTTTCTATTTTCCTTGAAAGCTAACTCTCTTGAAAAAGAATAGTCTTCATTTGCTACTTCCACTATCTCAGCAGTCAATGCCCTGGGTAGAGAAGTGAGACCCAGCATCTGGTACCACTGGTCTTATACTATTTTCTTCCAGACAATTCATGAATTTCTAATTACTAGAGTCCAGTGGACACTAGACCATATTCATCTTATTCAGTCTCTACAGCACTTGACATGATTTATGCCTCCTTCTCTTCTGTAAGTTTTCTTCTCCCTTGGCTTCCATGACTTCTCCTCTCTCCTGATTGTCTGGCTTTCTCTCTGACCACTTCGTTGACTGCCAATGTCTGATCTCTGGGAATCTTCTTCCTCTATGTATTTGGGCAACCTCATCGACATCTATGTCTTCTATATACCTTTCATATATGGACAACTCCTAAATCTCCAAACTAGACATCTTTTTGGGTTCTAGATTTAACAGGTACTGAACAGCTCCACTTAGAAATACTATAAGCACCTCAAGTTTAACATACTAATAATTTATAACAACCCCCTCTTACCCTAACCTGCTCTTTCTCTTGAACTCCTTATCTTAATGAATGACACCGACACCCCATTTTCACCACCAAGTCCTTTTGGGCCTACTTCAACAACATCTATTTTTAAAACAGATGATACATCTCTAACTTGCAAATGTATTAGTAATAATATGCTTTTAAAAGGAAAAAAAAACTAACATAACCCCAAATATGCTTATTTCAATTCTAGCTGTCTGTTGCTCCTCAGAAACTGAAAATGCCCCAGATAACTAAGTACTTAGTAACCTGCTTATTGTGATGACTGAGAATGAATTAAAATTCTATATCCCACCTTAGCAACTTACTTAAAAATTAAAACTAACGAAACTTAAACACTAGAAAATATTTAGAATACAGACAAAAATGTAGGTTGACTATTTCTAAAATCAAGTCTGCTCGTTTGACATTCTACACTCACTTAAGAGTCCATTAGTTTCTTTCCCCTAACCATAAAGTTTGTGAAAATATTAAAAACGTCAGTAGTACCTCCCGACCTCCCAAACCATTAAATACAACCAATTTAACCAAAGATGGTATTTCTCTTCCTCAAATAGCTCAATATATAAAAAAACACTTAATTACCTGAAGGGCCATTCAACATTGTATCTTCTGAAATGAACTCTATTCCTAGCTTTCTTCCATTTTCCATATAGGCTTTCCATAGGCTCTTATTGGGAAGAACATTGTAATAATCATGTGCTCCACCTTTAATTTCCACCTAATAAAAAATTGCAAAACAAATTTTGAAATAAAAAACTCAAATTCACTATCTAATTTTCAAACCAGTGATTGTTCTCTAATAGGAAGAGGTTTTAAGAGAAGATACTTTCCCTTCCAGATATAAACACTCTCAAATCTCTTACCTTAAAAAAGAAAAAAGATTTATTTTCTATAACGAGAGTTCCTAGGACTCTCTTTTATGCTATATATACACTAAACCCCACAATGTCACCAAGCTCTATACTAGCTACCAAGTGTCAACTTCAGTCACCTAGATAGGGTATGAGAAGGGCCCAGAAATTTTTATTTTATTTTTGAGATGGAGTCTCACTCTGTTGCCCAGGCTGGAGTGCAGTGGTGTGATCTCAGCTCACCACAACCTCCGCCTCCCAGGTTCAAATGATTCTCCTGCCTTAGCCTCCCAAGTAGCTGGGATTACAGGCGCCTGCCACCAAGCCCAGCTAATTGTTTTTGTATTTTAGTAGAGATGGGGTTTTGCCATGTTGGCCAGGCTGGCCTCAAACTCCTGACTTCATGTGATCTGCCCGTCTCGGCCTCCCAAAGTGCTGGGATTACAGGCATGAGCCACTGCACCCAGCCTAATTTTTATTTTAACCAGCACCTCAAAGTAATTCTGACATAGGTGACCCAAAAACCACACTCTGAGGAACACTGCTCTAGGATTCAGTCTCCAAAAAAAAGAAATTAAGCTTTACTAATATTCAATATGCAAACTGACACTGACATCACTGCCTGGTGTGAGAGGTAGAAAAGTACTCTGAGGGAAATGTAGAAGATTTGCAATGAGGAAGGGTTGACAACAGTCCTCATTTATTAATTTCAGTATATAAAGATACGGAAGCAGCTTTTATGTGCCCAGTTAAGTGGATTTACAGATTCAGTTTTGATTAAATAAAAATTGGCAATATTCCCTCAAACCAATATTAGCAAAAGCCAATCATAAAATGGCAGAGATGACATTTCTTTTATTCTTAGCAACATCTACGGTAGAAATTATGACAACCAAATCAGACCTTACAAGTCAGCCAAAATATAAGAAATTACTAAAAGATTATTTAAAATATAGATTTAGGCCAGGCAAGGTGGCTCACACCTGCAATCCCAGAACTTTGGGAGGCCAAAGCACGAGGATCACTTGAGCCCAGGAGTTTGAGACCAGCCTGGGCAACACAGGGAGAGCCTATCTCTACAAAAAACTTTAAAAATAAATAAATTAAATTAAATATAGATTCAAATCCAATAACAACAAACCTTACCATAAGGGAATACTGTATACCTTGAGATATTGCCTAATGATAATAGTTCACATCCATAAGTATTTCACAAATAAATATTTATAATTATAAATGAATAAGGGAATAAATATTTAGTTTTTACTGCCCTCAGCTATGGACATTTCACAGTTTTCATTCACTATAACCATCTTCTCTAGTGGCATATGAGAATACATCTTTGCTCCTACATCTGTCCATATGTTTATCGATTAACTACAACACAACACGAGCTTCTATATTCTTATCTTTGCTGACTATATTCCCTAAGAACTTTCAGTCTCTGTCTTTCCCATGCATATCTGAAAGTATGATCAACCTTCAAAGCTCAGTTCAGGTCTACAGTCTTCCACAAAACCTTCCTCCAAGGTTAACAGCCCCAGACCACTCTTTCCCACCTCTGATCCTCACGACACATTCCACACTACTCTCAGGACACGTAACATATGCTTTCTGAGAATTACTGCTACTGTGAGATACTGCTACTACGTGAATCAATCATACATCTCTAGACTAATAAGAACAGAAAAAAATAAGGCAATATAAATGAAGGCTGGGCTCTAAACCCTTCAGAAACATTATCTCATTTAATTCTCACAAGAATCCTAAGATAAATTGTTATTATCTCCATTTTTCAAGCAAGAAAATGGAGAGCCAAAGACACTAAACATTTCTAAAGGTTACAGAATTAGCTAGGCTGAGAGTTATGGGTCAAGATCTTGTCTCTCCAACTAGACTACAGGCTCCCTCTAGGGCAAGATTCTTATCTTGTATAATTCTAAAACTCACTCCACTTTACACAGTACATGATTTTAAATACTAACTTTATAGTTCAAATCAACAAAACCAGTCAGTGTGGTGGCTCACACCTGTAATTCCAGCACTTTGGGAGGCTGAGGTGGGTGGATCACAAGGTCAGGAGTTCGAGACCAGCCTGGCCAACATGATGAAACCTCGTCTCTACTAAAGATACAAAAAAATAGCTGGGTGTGGAGGCAGGCGCCTGTAATCCCAGCTACTCAGGAGGCTGAGGCAGGAGAATTGTTTGAACCTGGGAGGCAGAGGTTGCAGTGAGCTGAGATTGCGCCATTGCACTCCAGCCTGGGTGACAGGGCAAGACTCCGCCTCAAAAAAAAAAAAGAAAAAAAAAAATTAGCCAGGTGTGGTGGCAAGCGCCTGTAGTCCCAGCTACTTGGAAGGCTGAGGCATAAGAATCGCTTGAACCCAGGAGGCAGAGGAGGTTGCGTTGAGCCAAAATTGCACCACTGCGCTCCAGCCTGGGCAATAGAGCAAGACTTTGTCTCAAAAACAAACAAACAAACAGAAACAAATCAATAAAACCTCTTAACTAACTTCTGTGTCTATTTTATCTTCCATTCCAGCAAGCCATAGTATTTATATCACTACTATACACACCCTAACTTCAGAAATGGCTTTCGCTGGCTGGGCGAGGTGGTTCATGCCTATAATCCCAGCACTTTAGAAGGCCGAGGTGGGTGGATCACTTGAGCTCAGGAGTTTGAGACCAGCCTGGGCAACATGGTGAGACCCTGTCTCCAGAAAAACATACAAAAAATTAGCCACGTGTGGTGGTGCGTGCCTGTAGTCCCAGCTACTCAGCTGGCTGAGGTGGGAGGCAGAGGTGAGAGGATTGCTTCAGCCTGGAAGGCGGAGGTTGTAGTGAGCCAAGATCGTGCCGCTGCAACTCCAGCCTGGGCAATAGAGCAACACCCTGTCCCCCCACCAAAAAAAAAAAAAAAAAAAAAAAAAAAGCTTTTGCTGATTTTGCCATAAACTTTCCTTTATAGAAACTACATATAGCAATTCTAAAAGTATAACTGCCGACAAGGAAGAATATAACTTGTAAAAAGGCAGGGATTCTAGCATAGAAGTATCAGAATTATTCTAATTACTATATAAGTAAGATGACCTGTCATCTTCCCTATTGCAAGCACTGAGGAATGAAACGTGTAAAAATTAAAGACTTTCACATTAACTATTCAGCCAATTCATTTTGCATATTCAACATGTCACCAAATAAGAGAGTCAAGTTAGATTTCAATCTAACAGTGCTAGCCCACATATATACCTCTGATTGTAACTTAGATTAACTTTTAAAAGTTCTTACTGTGCACCCTGAAGCCAAAGCTGCAGCTCTGAAGCAATCTTCTGCCTTTTTGGTCAAAACTTGAAGTTCTTTCATTGAGGGTGCACGGAAGTAATAGATTAATTCAGAATAAGAGGGAATGATATTGGGTTTTACACCACCATTTTTTATTATACCTATAAAAAGAACCAAATTACTAGAATTAAGCTTGGTGACCATTTCTTTAAGCTTAAATACACCCATTAAGTTTTTCAGCCAATATGTTCATAAAGAAAAATAATTTAAACTCACTAGCTCCACCAATACACCAATCAAAGATTTTGTTATGTTGTACAACTGAAATTTCTTTACATAGGGTGATATTTTTTGGCTGATAAGAAAAAATAATTATCCATATGCACTTCATTCAGAAGAATTTACATAATGTTAAGAAATTATGATCCAGACTATAATGAAACTTAGAAATTATATAACCACAAAAAAAATTAGTAACATCTTAAGCTTTCTGGAAAAGATTTTACCATACCTCAACAATGGTATGAGGTTCTATAATTACCCTCATACCTCAGGAATCCCATGAGCATTTTAAATGGCATTTAGCTATAGGAAAAATAATTTTCATGCCAAGAAAAAAACCAATGCAGGTCAAAGATCACTAAGTATTATCAACTGTCAAAACAAATGTATTTATTTGGAATTATAAAGAATTAAGATTTATTCATTCGAAGTAATAACTAAAATAGATACAAAAAATCCAATGTCCTATGACCTACTTTAAAAAAATATTTCTACACATTCCTGTTTGTTCCTTTTAAAGAAACTAAAGCAGGAAAACTGGTAAAAGTACAATTACAAATTGACCTCAGGCTATAGCAAAATCAGGTAAAGAATAGATATTAAAATATAACAATTTCCTAAATCATAAGGAAATAAATTAAACAAATGTGTGCCTTCAAGACAGTACTTTGACTGTATTTATATTATGGTGATATATATATATAATTTTAAAAGACACTATTCAGGACCAGGCATGGTGGCTCACACCTGTAATCCCAGCACTTTGGGAGGCTGAGGTGGGCAGATCACTTAAGGCCAGGAGTTTGAGACCAGCCTGGCCAACATAGCAAGACCCCGTCTCTGCAAAAAATACAAATATTAGCTGGGTTTGGTGGTGTCTGCCTGCCTGTAATCCCAGCTATTTGGGAGGCTGAAGCAGGAGCATCACTTGAACCCAGGAAGCAGAAGTTGCAGTGAGCCGAGATTGCACCACTGCACTCCAGCCTGGGCAATAGAGCAAGACTGTCTCAAAAACAAAAAATCACACAAAAAGATATTACTCAGGACTAACAGCACTTAAATAAAACTAGCAGTTATTATACCTTTTTTTAATTGACAAAATTTGGTTATCATTAAGAAATAATGAGGACAACTGGAAAATCAAGATCCAATTTTCAAACACCCACCGAAAGAACACAGCCCCTTACATAAAACCTTTATCTTTGATACTCAAAGATGACATTCCATTTATGTACAATAATCAAAACTGTCTTTCTAACCCTATATAGACAAACATCTTAGTATCCTGTCACATGAATTTCTGAAAATATGCTTAAAAATCAGAATATTCATATGAAGTACAAAAATATTTCCAAATTTTTAAAAATTGAATATTAAATAATTATACTGCACTGAACTATAGCAAGCACCATCTATTATAGAAGGTATTTGACATTCATACCATGAACTCTCCAGGTTGGTTTCATTTGCTGTCTGAACACAGACAGATTGTTATAGGCCAGCACAGCAGCATCTAATGCATTTAATCCTTCCCAGGGATAAGAAGCAGAATGAGATGCTTTTCCATAGTATTTCACAGTCACACTAGGAAATAAAAAATCATTTGAAATTACTTTTGTTATTATTGCTAAAGTAAGAAAATCCAGGTAGTCAGAATTACCCAACTACTATTCAAAATTAATTCACATTGCTGGACTTTTGATTTGCAAATTATTTGTAGTAATAACACTGCAATTTATTTATGTTAGTTATAGTTTATTATTAGGTAACATAGTGCTTGACACAAAGAAAGCATTCCCAAAAAAGAGAGAAAAAGAGAAAAGATTAAATGTATACACAATCTAATGCAAACATGCAATATGGTATCAGGTGCTGAAATTACAAAAAAAAAAAATGGATCCTGTATGTTTTTACACAGCATTGTGATGATTCTATTATCAAAAGTCTGTAAAAAATCAGAAATTCTGTCTTAAGAGGTGGAAGGTCAGGAAAGCCAGAAAGGAGTTACTATTTGAAGTGGGTTAAGACAACCTCTGAAAATCAGATTATATTCAATGTTATCACAAGATACCCTAGTATTAAAGCAGTTGTTCCTGACCAATATCCAATATTTTATTATGTTCCAAAATGCCTACATCACTAATATTTTACATTTTAATAAACTGTTAAGTTCTCACACCAGTCTAACTGCTCTAATACAATTAAAAAAAAAAAGATTAGAGAAAGGATTGCGTGTTGAATAGTTACTTATAAAGCTCTGTGATTGACGTGCTTTGATAACACTTTTTAAGCCTGATTAATAATACCCACATTTAGGTGATTAGAAAACCAATCTGGACTTATTTTAATGGGTTAGATTCAGGAGTCCTTAGAATGCTTATGATATTTCTTCTCAACTGATTCCAGACATTCTATTAGCAGGACAAAAATCAAGTAAAAACATCAAACACGTATTAGATTTCAGGATACTGTATTGTTATTTCCTTGATATATATCTTATCACCATGACCTTGAAATGAATTTTTTTTTTTTTGGTACTCATCTCCCTCTGTCACCCTGGCTGGAGTGCAGTGGCGTGATCACAGCTCACTGCAGTCACCACCTCCCAAGTTCAAGCAATCCTCCTCTGCCTCAGCTTCCCACAGATGAATAGCTGAGACCACAGGAGTGCTCCATGCCCAGTTAATTTTTTATTTTTTTTTGTAGAGACAGGTTCTCACCATGTTGCCCAGGCTGGTCATGAACTCCTGGGCTCAAGAGACTCTCCTGCCTTGACGTCCCTAAGTGCTGTGATTACAGGTGTGAGCCACCTGGCCTGGCAAAACCGGAATTTCATCACAACTGGTGATAAATATTATAAAAACGAGAAGGATTATATGGAATTATTTTCAAGACATACTATTTAATTTTAAAAAGCCAGAACAATATATTGAGTGGAATACTTGAGGAAAACCTTCTTTCACAATTTATACAGGATTCTATTTATGTCCCATAAGTACACCAAAAACACTCTGAAAAGGATACATACCTCTAGAAAAAGGACTGGATTTGGGAAAGGTGGTCAGCAGGATTGCTTTATCTTATTCATTAGAAATTTGTGGTTGGGCCTGGCGGCTCATGCCTGTAATTCCAGCCCTTTGGGAGGCCAAGGCGGGTGGATCACTTGAGGTCAGGAGTTCAAGACCAGCCTGGCCAACATGGTGACCCTGTCTCTACTAAAAATACAAAAATTAGCTGGGTGTGGTGGTGCTTGCCTGTAATTCCAGGTCCATGGGAGGCTGAGGCAGGAGAATCCCTTGAACCCAGAGGCGGAAGCTGCAGTGAGCTGAGATTGCGCCACTGTACTCTAGCCTGGGTGACAAAACGAGACTCTCTCGGAAAAAAAAAAAAAAGAATTTTTAAGAAAAGTGGATTAGTAATTTAAAAAAAAATGAATTCTTGATCTTGTTCTCTTTTTTTTTTTCTTTTTTTTTGAGATGGAGTTTCACTTGTCTGGTGGCCAGGCTGGAGTGCAATGGCACGATCTTGGCTCACTGCAACCTCCGCCTCCCAGGTTCATGCAATTCTCCTGGCTCAGCCTCCCAAGTAGCTGGGATTACAGGTGCCCACCATGCCTGGCTAATTTTTGTATTTTTAGTAGAGATGGGGTTTTGCCAAGTTGGCCAGGCTGGTCTCGAACTCCTAACCTCAGGTGATCCACCTGCCTTGGCCTCCCAAAGTGCTGGGATTACAGGTGTGAGCCACTGCACCTGACCTCTCTTTTCTATCTTAAAAGATGACCAATGAAGGCCAGGTGTGATGGCTCATGCCTGTAACCCCAGCACTTTGGGAGGCCGAGGTGGGTGAATCACTTGAGGTTAGGAGTTCAAGACCAGCCTGACCAATACGGTGAAACCCTGTCTCTACTAAAAATATGAAAATTAGCTGGGCGTGGTGGCGCACGCCTGTAATCCCAGCTACTCAGGAGGCTGAGGAAGGAGAATCACTTGAACCTGGGATGCGGAGGTTGCAGTGAGCCAAGATCGTGCCACTGCACTCCAGTCTGAGCAATTGAGTGAGACTCAGCCTCAAAAAAAAAAAAAAAAAAAAAAAAAAGAGATGATCAGTGAGAAAGCTAAGAAGGCAGATACTAGGAGAAGGTCTGGGGTCAAGTGCGCTGACTTCAGAACCAAGACCACGAAGCCTAACCTTAAGTCCCAGAAGGGTAATGAGCTGCAGAGCCTGCCTGCATATGCAGGCCCCTTCTAGTCAAAGGCAAGGGCAGAGATTTCTAATCCCCAGTGTTTTCTAGAGATGGACTAGTTTACCACCACCCTTGAAACCAAAGTTCAAAGATTCCTCCTACTGCCACAGTACCAATTTCCAGTGATAAGAAGGAAGATACCCTAATAGTTAAAATGATCACCCTTTGAAAACAGGGCCTGGTAAGGTGCTAAGAGGTGGGATACCCGGGTACAATCTAGAAGCACTGCTGTGATGGTTCTGCTATCATTCCCTCAGTACCGAGCTACTTCTGAGGAAAACACATGGTTTTGCTGAAGCAGCTGAGCACTGGCTCCTTGTGCCTGGACCATTAACTACTATAGTTACTACTATGGTTGAAATTTCTGGTATAAAAAATCCAAACCACTTCAATGATGTGTGCTCCTAGGTACTAAAAAGTGAGTTCTTCAACATAAAGAAAGACAAATAAAAGGTTTCAGCACCAGACAAATCGGAAAAGCACAGAATGAGAAGTTCCACAAAAACCATAGCTACTCATGTTCCATATTCTCTCTCAGGACATAATTTATCCTCTTTGCAAAGAACTCAAATTAAAGTAAATAAAATGGATAAGTGTGGTTTCTTCCCATAGCTAATAGAACGATCTCTCGCAAATCTATTCAGTTGCAAAGACAATTTCATATGAAAGGACAGATGTTTTCCAGACACCAGATTATTGACAGTTCAAAAGAGAACTTAATTGTCAACATGTTTGTTATTCCTATGGTTTCTAAGTGCTACTATTTTAATACTCCAATTATGAACACCATAATGAATCTCAATTAGAAGAGGCTTGCCAAATGTCACTCCATAGATCAAGACATCTTGTTATTGTCTTTCAATTTACTTCTTAAATATACAAATGTGGAGTTTTCGTCTCTGGTTTAGACATAAAAGTATTCTATAGCCTGTGTTCCCCTAAGAAGTTTATCTTCAACTTGATTACTCACTCATGTTCAGCCATATCTGGTAGATAAGCAGCATTCTCTTGTGATGGGTGGGCCATAAAAACAACATCAAGATTTGTAAAAGCCCCTGCTTCAATTAAATCAATTTTGCCACCACCATCTTCTTCTGCAGGGGTTCCCAGGACAACTACCTAGAAGGAAATACTCATGTCAGGGAAAAACAACAAAATCCTCATAGGAATATATCAAACAGGTTCACCTGCATATGTATTCACAATCTACATTAAAGTCCTTAACCTATTAAGACAGGTTTTGTTCTATGACGCTTACGCAATGGGCATCAACAAATGGTGCTAAATTAATCACAAAATGTACATTGTTATACCAACTTGGTGCAAAGTATGTACTAAAGACACTATAAAAAGCTTTTCCCAATTTTACAAGTCAACTAATGGCAAAGATAAAAAAAAATACTACAAGTTTAGTCCCTCAAAATTTGTTAGGATTTGTTTCAAAAAGGTTCCTCTCGACTAAGCCTTTCAGTGTATGTATGTATATAATTATTCTTAAGTACTTTACGAGTCAGAAACTTTCTGTTAACTTACTACTTATCCTCACAACAACCCTGTGAGGTAGGTGGGTGATCTCTATCATCATTTTACAGGGGGTGTTTTTGAGGAATTGAGTGAAGTGTCTTGCCCCAGGTCACAGAGCAAGTCTTCAGGCAGAATTAGGATTAGATGTCCTGATCTTCTGGCCTAAACTCTGATTCCTTACTGGGCTACCTATTTTAAAAGTCTGAACTCATTAATCCTTTATGAAGAACATTAAACAAGTCTTAATGCCACAGTTAGAAACAGCCAACTATTACACAAACTTACTAATTCGATTCCACCAGTTCAACCAGGCAGATTTATTGGTCACCAAACACCTAATTAAACAAAAGAGAACTTTACAGAATAAACATTTTACTTTGATATTTAAGCTTAACTGCTTCAAACAATTTTAAAAATCAAAATAAACAACTAATATATTTTCAAGATCATGTATAAGAACACAATGAAACAAGCTGGAAAAGTCTTGGCTTGCAAAGGAAATCAACTTAAATTCCATTTTCAGATAATTAATAACTTAACCTTGCTAAAATTGAGAACAACCATTTGAAGTTAGAAGAGTGGGCCGGGAGCGGTGACTCATGCCTGTAATCCTAGCACTGTGGGAGGCCGAGGTGGGCGAATCACCCGAGATCCGGAGTTCGATACCAGCCAGGCCAACATGGCGAAATCCTGTCTCTACTAAAAAATGCAAAAATTAGCTGGGCGTGGTGGCACACACCTGTAATCCCAGCTCAG
The DNA here is from genome assembly GCF_000001405.40 of Homo sapiens. Taxonomy (NCBI): domain Eukaryota; kingdom Metazoa; phylum Chordata; class Mammalia; order Primates; family Hominidae; genus Homo; species Homo sapiens. The sequence continues at coordinate 89,148,103 of NC_000006.12, read as the reverse complement.
GAGGCTGAAGCACGAGGATCGCCTGAACCCGGGAGGCGGAGGTTGTAGTGAGCCGAGATAGGACCACTGCACTCGGCCTGGGCGACAGAATGAGACTGTCTCAAAAAAAAAAAAAAAAAAAAAAGAGTGTACATTTCTCAAAGTTTAGCTTTTTTTTGGCGGTTCTACAGTGCTCAAACTCTGACATGAAGCCGCCGCTCTTTTTTTTTTTAAGAGGAGGCCTCGCTCTGTTGCCCAGGATGGAGTGCAGTGGCGCGATGTCGGCTCACTGCAACCTCTGCCTCCTGGGTTCAAGCGATTCTCCTGCCTCAGCCTCCCGAGTAGCTGGGATTACAGGCGTGAGCCACCACGCCCAGCTAATTTTTTTTTTTTTAATATATTTTAGTAGAGACAGAGGTTTCACCATGTTGGCCAGGCGGGTCTCGAACTCCAGACCTCAACTGATCTGCCCACCGCTCTTCATTCTTGACCCTTAACTCATTAAATACGATATGTCTCTCGCTGACTACTCAGAACCTTTAAAAACGTGGTTGAAGCGAAATCTCTCCAGTGTTTGTGACATGGCAAAGCATGCTTCCCCCAACCCAAACAAAAACCTAACAAATGCAAAAACGAGCCTCCAGAGACAGAAAAAAGAAGGCAGCTAAAGTGAAAAAGCCACAAAAGATGTAGTGTTAGGATAAAAGAGGAAGGTTACTGACACTGGGGGAAATGAACTAAAGAGTATGAAAATAAAACATTTGTTTTCCCCTTAACTGAATGACGATTGAATCTTAGCTCATAGTGTAGAATATACCATCTGGAAAAGCAGAGTAAAACAGGATTAAACTTGCCCTACGACAAACATAAACGACATTTCCCTGTTTAAAGAGTCGAGGTATTTCTTAAAATCATAAAACAAAAAAATTAAGACTTAAGGATGAACTCATCTATGTATAATGCTCATTCACTTCCCCTTTATTTGTATACTTCTAGGGGTCTGGTGGTTCTAGCGACTGAAAATTCCTATCCAAATACCAATGACTTGAATCACATTTTCTAGGACTGCCACAAACAAAAGATTTATTTGGAGACGAATAAAAAGGGGCCGTAGGATTACCTACAAGAAGTTATTTCCTCCTGAGATTGATGGCACAACCTTGTCAGCAAATTGCTGTTGCCTCTCTCAGTTACCAAAAATAACCCGTAACAAACACCAGGCTTGGGTGTAAGTTCTTTCCTAAGGGAACAACTCAGCAGAGCTGTTTATAACTAGAGAGGAGGAAACAATAATCTGCAAGATGTCGCCAGGTCGGCAACGCGAACTGACTTTGACTGGGGGTTCAGCTCTGCTCCTGCGCCGAGGCGAGGACCGCAGGTTTAGCGCGGTCCCACACACACCTGCCCCGGGCGGGAGGGCACCGAGGCGCGCGGGACGCACGAGAGTCCCGCCCTTCCCGGGTCGCCCCCGACCCGGGCAGTCGGATAGGGTCCCGCACCCGGGCCCCACCTCACCTTCACGGGCGGAGGCGGCCTGGGGAGGCCCTCTAAGGCCCCCCTCACGCCCAGCGCGGCCGCCGCCCCGACCTCAGCGATGAGGTTGTGGCCGCAGGCGTGGCCGATGCCGGGCAGCGCGTCGTACTCGCAGAGGAAGCCCAGGTGCAGCGGGCGTGGCGTGGCGCTCGGTGCCCGGGCCTCCGGCGGCTCCCACTCGGCGCGGAAGGCCGTGGGCAGCTGGTAGTGCGGCTGCACTGCCCAGGAGGCCGCGGGCGGCTCCCGCTCGAAGAAGTGCGTCAGCACGCGGTGGGCATGGTGCTCCTCGTAGGCCAGCTCGGGCTGGCTCCAGATCGCGCGGCTCAGGGCCCCCAGCCGCTCGGCCGCCTCGTCGATGCACTCCGCCGAGCGCAGCTTCAGTAGCTCCAGCTCGGAGCGGCCATTGCACGCGCCCCCTTCCACGGGCCGCTCCCCTCCGGGCCTCATGCTGCCCAAGCCCGCTGCCCTCTGCGCCCTCTCGCTCCCTGGCTCGGCCGCAGGTAGCGACCGCCCGCGCACGCGCCCAGAGGCCTCCAGGACCCCGGCGGAGCGCGCACGCGGCCACACAGCTCCCAGGGCACCACCCCCAGTCCCGGGGCCGCCCCCGGCGCCGCGCGGGAAACGCTGGCGGCCGCTCGTACCCTACCAGGCGCTCTGCCCCGCCGTGGGGTTTTGGGGGTGCTGTGGAGAAGGCAGGGCTCGGGACTCTTCCACCTCCTTGGCTGCTCTGGCCTTTGAGTTATGCTCTAAGATTATCGATTACTTTTCCGTTGTTGCTTATTTCCCACAGCAGCAGAATGAGAACGGTTATTAGTTAATAGCCATCAGAGACAGACCAAGTGGAACACAGTCCTCGGAAAAACGCCACTCTGTAGCATTAGTAATTAAAACCTCACAAGGTTTGTATTTCCTGAAGGAGGCCGTCAGTGTCAATGCTGTACTAACGACGGTACTGTACGTAAGTTTCGGTACTGCCCCCACTTTCTTCTCCTTGACATTGTATTACTAAAAGCTGCAGCTACTCTCTACAGTTTTCTCATTGGTTACTAATGTCTGGAACAGCAGCTAGATTATGCAGTAAGCTCTTGGTATGTATTAGCTATTATATAATAATTTATTTGAATAGAGTAGAACTAAAAATTTGAAATGAGTTAAAACCAAAGAGTTAAAAGATTTATGGTAGTAAATATTCATACTGTTTTGTTGATTTGGACAGTTGTCTTGAACAGCTTTGAAAGGGAACATATGACAGGTTTCGTTTATAATTTTAATTGATGCTGAACTCCACTAACATGATATGTGCAGCTGGTGTTACATTATAACTGAGTTTTTTAATTACCCAGTGAAGAAATTCAAGATGTCATGCTCTTGTTTTTCTCCAGAGTGAACCACAAAGTCTGAAAAACTGTTGTTGACGGTATGCCTATTAATAACACTGTAGATGTTTATATTCTGAGGTTTTCCACATATTAAAAGCTTCTATCAGCTCTTCATACCCTATCATCTTTCCTTAATTTGTCTCAACTATGTTAAATGGGACACAATATATTAATGTGATAAACCAAATGAATATTTTGAAAATAAGTCTAAGGGAAGCTAACATGCACGAAGACTATCAACTACTGTTTTTACTACTCTATATGCTAATAATACCAGAGTAAATGTCACATTCCATTCACGTCTGAAAACTTTCTTTCTCAGTTAACACTCCAACAAAAACTCAGCTCTAAAAACAACAAATGTGTTATTAAATTCCTGGGCCCCCTTGGCGATAATAAATCTTTCTCTGGTATTCTGCTGAAGAAAATTACCCTGTATCCACGAGATCCAATATTATCCTGCTCAGTTAGTTGGCTAAAAAAAGGGGAGAAGGGGGGATTGGAGAGCAAAAGCAATAGGTGACATTTGTAGAGCAATTACTCTGTGCTAGGCACTGTTCCAAGGGCTTAGCATTTGTTAACTCATTTAATCCTCACAGCAAACTATGAGGTGGTTAATGTGGTTATTTATCTTCATTTTACAGATGTATGTCCAAGATTATAGAGCTAGTAAGTAGTGGACCCACTGTAGAACAGAAGCCAGAGTCAGCCTCCAGTGGCTGACTTTCAGCCACCATGGTCTATTGCTTGTGTAAACAGACATGCAAATTCATAAATGCATCTCCAGTTTATCTATTCAAATCAGAACCCACAACACTCATTTTGAATAAATTTTACTGCAGCAACTCTGCCTGCTGACATCAGTAGAACCCATGTTTGCCCTCCTCAGGCATCAATAAACAGCAACAGAAAAGGGATGCATATAATTTCATATAGAAGCTGCTATTTATATTGCTTTGCAGGAATTAACAAAGCTGCCACTTGAGGTAGAGGAAAGACAGATTCATTTCAAGCTCTGTTCCTTGTGTATATATGTGGGTGGGTGGGTGGGTATACATGCCCACAGGCACGTATGTATTCAGTTTCTACTGTTGACACCTTGTATTTCTTGCTCATGGTATTTTGCACCCTTGAATTCATTTATTTGATAAACTGTGATAACTTGCTGACCGTTTATCTTCCCCTCCAGGCTTTAAACTCTTTTGTTTTCCCACTGCATTCCCCAGCACCTAACATCTTATGGTCAGCATTTCCTCTGTGTTAATAAATATTTGTTGGCTGATTATTCTTCTTGAATCTAATAAACTAACTGAATAATGGCAGCAATTAACCATTAAACGACACTGACTACCAATAGACATTGTTATGCTTCTTCCTAGACTTCTCAGTCCTTTATGTGGAGCTGGGGGCAGGAAGAATTGCTTCTGGAAGCTGATGGAGTTGGACATGTGGCTTTCTAGAATCTGGTCAGCTCATAAATTCTTACTATTACTTTCATTTGTACCCATAATATTCATACAACTGTCTACCCTATCTATGTGCTACTGGTAAGGAACCTGTATGTTTTTATTAGAAACAAAAAAAAATGTATACAAGCTCCCTTCCTTTAGCTGGTGCTGGATCTGAGGAAACAATACAATATCCAGAATTTAGTATTAAGATGTATAACCTTTTTGGGGGGGTGAGAGGAGTGCAGATAGTTCTCTCTTGAGGACTGGTTTTAAAGTATATAAATGTTCTTTCTTGGCTCCTGATGAGAAAAAAGGGGAAAAAATATATAAAGATTCCTCTTCTTTCCTGGCTGCTTAGAAAACCAGCTGTCATCACAACTGACTCAATAACTTTGAGAACAGGACATTCATGACAAATGAGTGCTGTGGTGGAAAGAGTAGATCAAAAATTTCCTTTACCCTGGAAAAGCAACTAAAATACAGCCAAATTGTACAACTATACTGGGTATTATTTTGGGCTTCAGATTCAGAACTCCTTTTGAAAAGGCAGCAGGCTTTTGTATGGTTTATATTCTTTGAATTAAGATAGAAATAATAAAATAAAATCCCCAACATGGCAAAGCATGAGCTCATGGCAAAGCATGAGCTAAATGAGAAAAAAAAGTTTTTGAAAACAGAAAAAGGAATGGAATGAAAAATAAAATGAAGAAAATTAAAGGTAGAGAAAAAGTAAATAGAAGTACCAGAGAGCTTCAGTGCAGGATTTCAGGAATGAAAAGCAAACAAACAAAAATAATTGTGGGGGGCCGGGCGCGGTGGCGCACACCTGTAATCCCAGCACTCTGGGAGGCCGAGGTGGGTGGTTCACGAGGTCAGGAGATGGAGACCATCCTGGCTAACATGGTGAAACCCCGTCTCTACTAAAAAATACAAAAAATTAGCCGGGCGTGGTGGCACGCACCTGTAGTCCCAGCTATTCGGGAGGCTGAGGCAGGAGAATGGCGTGAACCCGGGAGGTGGAGCTTGCAGTGAGCCGAGATCGCGTCACTGCACTCCAGCCTGGGTGACAGAGCGAGACTCCGTCTCAAAAAATAATAATAATAATAATAATTGTGGGGGAAAGGAATAAAAAGTGCAAAAATGATTTAATCCAAGGAGAGAGTGCAGATATTTCACCAAAAAAATCAAACTTATAATACCTTCAAAATATATGATATTTCCAAAAGTGCATGTGAATCCAGCCTACATCGTTTCAGTTTAACAATACTTGGAACTACAGCAATTTTCTCCTGAACAAAATGCTGGCCACTGCACGATTTGAGGACTGCTGCTGCCAGCATGGAGAAGAAGCAAATCACAGTGTCACTTTGGTATACTGGTCATTTACAACATTCTCCTAAGCATCCCCAGACACACATGCAAACTTGGTTAACTCCAGAAACTTCTCTAGCTGAAACAAACACGTAACACGCACTAGATAGCACATGTAAAATCAATCTGGGCTAAGGTGTTGGAAGAGCTGGTTGTCATATGGCAGAAAGCAGACAACTAAGAGAGTAGGTGAGCAGAAAGGTGAATTTGATTGGGGATGAAGGGACATAGAGGAAGTGTACAACACATTGCTAAGGAATTACAACTTTAGCTGGTTTTGGTGGCTCATGCCTGTAATCCCAGCACTTTAAGAGGCTGAGGTGGGAGGATAGCTTGAGCCCAGGGGTTCAAAACCAGCCAGGACAATATAGGGAGACCCTGACTCTACAAAAAATAAAATAAAATAAAATAAATAGTAAATAAGCCAAGCATGGTGGCACACATTTGTGGTCCCAGCTCCTCTGGAGGCTGAGGTTTGAGGATCGCTTGAGCCCGGGAGGTCAAAGCTACAGTAAGCATGATTGCACCACTGCACTCCAGTCTGGGCAACAGAGTGAGACTTTTGTCTCAAAGTAAAATAAAACTTGGACAATGGCTAAACTATTGGATGTTATTAAGCAGGAGAGAGACAAGATCAGAAATTTGTTCTACAAGAATAATTGATGACTATTTGGAAGATGAATTGGAAACAGACTTAGGTCTGAGATAAGTTAAAAGCTTTTGCAGGCCAGGCGTGGTGGCTCACGCTTGTAATCCCAGCACTTTGGGAGGCCGAGATGGGCGAATCACTTGAGGTCAGGAGTTTGAGACCAGCCTGCCCAACATGGTGAAACCTCATCTCTACTAAAAACACAACAATTAGCTGGGTGTTGGGGCGGGCGCCTGTAATCCCAGCTACTCAGGAGGCTAAGGCAGGAGAATCACTTGAACCTGGGAGGTGGAGGTTGCAGTGAGCCAAGATTGTGTCACTGCACTCCAGCCTGGGTGACAGAGTGAGACTCTGTCTTTAAAAAATAATTTAAAAAATTAAAAATAAATAAAAGGCTCTTGCAAAGTCCAAGGATTCCAGAAACATTCCGTGGGCAGAAATGGCCAGACTTAATTCCTCACTGAATGTCTGTTTAGGTGAAGAAGGTGCTCCAGAGAAAGGGGGAAAGAGAACTGAAGTTTCTCGGGTTAACAGCTGAGTGAATGGTAAAGCCATGAAACAAAATAGGGGAAATAAGAGAGTGAGGGGCAAATTGATGGATGTGCATTAGACACGTGGAGAGGAGGTAGATGCAGTTGTCCAGGAGGAGACCAGCAGAGCACCAAGGAAAGTGCATTTCTACATAGCTAGTATGAGTAATGGTATACCCAGAGGGGAATTAAACCATCCAGGGAGTGAGTGAGTTGAAAGGGAAAAATGTAAGCTGAGGAAACAACCCTGAAAAACAAAAAGGGAATGAGCAAAAATACCTGACAGACCCTTGCTTCTGCTGGGCAAGATTCTATTACAACTCGTTTTCAAGTTCTGTGCGGATTTCTTCAAATGGCCCACAAAGTGAAGGCAGTGACTTTAAAGCCCTGAATGTCCTGGTACCTGATGACCTGAGGCTCCCTTTGGCTTCCCTTCTCTTGGCAGTGAGATTAGCTGCTCTGTTCTCCATCACTATTCCTGGAAATGAGGACAGGGAGGTTCTGAGAGGATAGGCTTTTCCTTTGCCCTGATTCCCCACAGTGTGTACAAAACAACACTGCAAAGACGTAACCCAGCTTGTGGTTAACAAGAACATTTCTCTCCTACCGTTATGGCTTAGGAAAATGGGTGGAGAACTTTGACTGCCCCTGGTCCTCTATACAACATCTAGAGCTTGGGCCCGGTGCAGTGCTTTTAAAGTCCTTGAAGAGATTGATCCCTCAAGCAATGTGTTCACCTCGACTGTGTACATACCATGGTTAATAATTACCTTTACTAAGGATTCACTTCTCAAACTTCCTGGTCAATTTGTTGCTACATATTTCAAAGATGCTAGCAGGAATGGATGGCAGGTATAGATGGTCACAGGGTTACAATCCTCAAGGTGTTCTGTGGGAATAAATTTTTATTAAAAATGTGATAAGTCATTAATAAAAATATGTGTGTTCTAAAAATTAGTAAATAGGACAGGACTGGTGCTTCATGCCTGTAATCCCAGCATGTTAGGAGGCCAAGGCAAGAGGATTGCTTGAGCTCAGGGGTTTGAGATCAGCCTGAGCAACATGGTGAGACCACCCCCCCATCTCTACAAAAAAGTTAACAAAAAAAATCAGCTGGGTGTGGTGGTATGTGCCTGTAGTCCCAGCTCTCTGTCTCTGCATGTGCATATGCTCACGTTTGTGTAACAAATGTAATTTGTTTATGGCTGGGGCCCTTTTGCAGCTTCTCCGTTTGCTCCATTTTTATCTTTAGGCCAGACTTGAGGCATTAAATTCAAATCCAGACCACTGATGGTTATATTTTATTGAATGCTTTGAAGGGAGATAAAGAAAGCATTACATCATACCTTGCACTGTAAACTTTCCTTAAAATGCTTTAAGCATTTCTCTTTTCCCCCAGAACCTCTCTCCCTCTGGCAACTGACTCATCTCTCCTTTCCTGCCTATATATACCCAACAGCCACTCCAGCTGGGGCCCCACCCTTATCACCTTATTTATTTATTTGAGACAGGGTCTTGCTCTGCCACGCGGGCCAGAGTGCAGGGGCGTGATCACAGGTCATTGCTGATTCAATCTCCCAGGCTCAAGCAATCCTCCACCTCAGCATCCAGAGTAGCTGGAACTACAGGTCCAAGTGCTAACCTCCAGTGTGACTGTATTTGGGAGCAGGACTTTAGGGAGGTAATTAAAGTGAAATAAGGTCATAAGGGTGGCTCTCGCCTATAATCCCAGCACTTTAGGAGGCTGAGGCAGGAGAATGGCTTGAGCCTAGGAGTTCGTGCACAGACCAGCCTGGCCAACATGAGACTTTACCTCTCCAAAAGAATACAAAAAATTAGCTGGGTATGGTGGCACAGGAATGTAATCACGGTGCTATGGGAGGCCTAGGCAGGAAGATTGCCTGAGGCCAGGAGTTTGAGACCAGCCTGAGAAACACAGCAAGACCCCATCTTCTCACACAAAAAAAATTTAAAAACTAGCTGGTCATGGTGGCATGTGCCTGTAGTCCTATCTATTAGGGAGGATCAACTGAGCCCAGGAGTTTGGTAAGCAATGATTGTGCCACTGCACTCCAGCCTGGGCAACACAGTGAGACTAGGTCTCTAAAAAAAAAGCAAAGATTAAAATGTTCCTCAAAAGCTTCATTTTACAGTCCTATTTGCTCTAATATTAAGTTTTCTATGTCAACTAACAAAAATTTCATCATTGCTATTATTGTAAGCTACCTGACTTCACTAAAACTACCTTTCTTTGTTATAAATTAATTTGGCTTAGGGGAAAAGTTTGTTCAAGATGAACTATGATAGAGATATTTATTTATTTGTTTATTTATTTATTTATTTTTCTAAGACAGAGTCTCACACTGTCACCAAGGCTGGAGTGCAGTGGTGCCATCTCTGCTCACTGCAACCTTTGCCTCCCAAGTTCAAGCAATTCTCCCACCTCAGCCACCCAAGTAGTTGGGACTACAGGAGTGCACCACTACACCCATCTAATTTTTGTATTTTTAGTAGAGATGGGGTTTCACCATGTTGGCCAGGATAGTCTCGACCTCCTGACCTCAAGTGATCTGCCCGCCTTTGTGATTAGCACTTTGGCCTCCCAAAGTAAGCCACCATGCCAGGACTGATAGAGATATTTAATTCAATTTTTTTCAGGCAAATGTGATAGCTGGCCAATTTTTTTTTTCGTTTTTTAAAATCTTTTGTTTTTTAGAAACCTCACCTGGAAAATTTCCAAAAACCTAGAATGCCATTTTTATTACCATTTCAGAAAAGTAAATACTTTCTTCATTGTCTAATTCATACCAAGTGGCAGCAGTTGATGCTCTCATTTCTTTTCTTGTCTAAAATTAGCTTATAATTGTACCCGAGTGTTGTTGTTGGCAAGTGGTCCAATTTCTTTCTCCAGGAACACTTGACCATGCAGAGGTCTGCAACCATGAAGACATATAATATGGTTCTATCATGTTGCTTTGAAAGTTTGATGCTGGGTGCATGGTCTCATGCCTGTACTCCCAACACTTAGGGAGGCCAAGGCAGGAGAATGGCTTGAGCTTAGGAGTTTTAAGACCAGCCTGGGAAATATAGGAAATATAGTGAGACCTTGTCTCTACAACAAATGCAAAAATTAAAAAAAAAAAAAAGAAATCTTGAAACCCCAGATTTGACCATAGCACTAAATACCAAGGGTTAGTACAAGACAAAATTAATTGTAGAACAGTGTATGCTGTTGAATGGAAGTGAACCAAAATTATATTGAAAATGTGAATAAAAGGCCTAAAAATCAAAGTTATTAAACTGGAATGTCCAATGGTTTATATTTACCATTAGAAGAGACCTATACCACATAAATTAATTTTAGAGTAATAGAGAAACTACCAAAGGAAACAAACAATGAATATGTCTGAAGGAAAGAGAGAAAAAAAGAGGGGGAATAAGGAAACAGTATGCAGCTGTAAAATTTTCATATTGCTGTAGTCTGGTCTAAATATTTCTATTTTTAAAACTGTCTGCAATAAAATAATAAAATAAAAAATTGTAATATGCATTTTTAGCCCAGGCATTACACAGTGAAGGTGAAGTAAGTTTAAGAAAACAAGCTAAGCTAAATAAATAAATGGAAAGGCCAAAATAGCTTATTACCAGCCTCTTTGCTTTTGATTAATGGCTAAATAATTTTCATGCAAGATCATATTAAACCTGAACTTCTATGTTGCATGATAGGATCATCCACTGTAGTTGCTAAACCAAAATAATTTGATCTTCAAATACCTAAGGCTGTGAAATAAACAAATCCCCTATACATGAACTCAGATTCTAGTTTCAAACTCTGAAACTCTTTCTTTCTTTTTAGAGATGGGATCTCACTATGTTGCCCAGGCTGGTCTCAAACTTCTGGCCTCAAGGAATCCTCCCACTCAGCCTCCCAAAGTGTTGAGATTCCAGGTGTGAGCCATTGCATCCAGCCTGAAATTCTTTCTATAAAGTGCTTCTTGTGTCCCATTTTGGACTTTCTATTAGCTTCACTGTATATTTTTTAAATTAATGTAGAATCTCAGTAAGTGTTTATTAGTTTTTGGTTGATTTAATATCCAAAGCAGCAATTGTTGGTAAAGTTTCAGTGGAATTGAGAACTGTGTATAAAGGAGAAATTATAACACTTTATAGAGAATCACCTTAATCAATCCATGATTCTAACAGGACAGCAAGCCTGTGTGGGAGTTGAAAAACCTTAAAAGCTGACACAATAATCTGGAGGAAACATCTCATACAAGATATCAACATGTCTGTAAGATGAAAACACTGTAGTAATGGCTTCCACCCTTAGCCTCCACTAGTCGTACCAGAGAAATTGTCTGACATCCCTTTGCTATACTACCACATTTTGGGGCAACTTTACAATGAAGTATAGAGTTCATCAAAACAGAAATTTATTCTGAGGGAATCTGTAAGATTAATAAGGGCATGAAATGTGGAAATTTTCCAAATATAAAGGTATATATAGTGTATCTGGTTAGAAATTTTTTTTTTTGAGACGGAGTCTAGCTCTGTCACTCAGGCTGGAGTGCAGTGGCGCGATCTTAGCTCACTGCAAGCTCCGCCTCCCAGATTCATGCCATTCTCCCACCTCAGCCTCCCGAGTAGCTGGGACTACAGGCGCCCACCACCACGCCCGGCTGATTTTTTTGTATTTTTAGTAGAGACGGGGTTTCACCGTGTTAGCCAGGATGGTCTCGATCTCCTGACCTTGTGATCCGCCCGCCTCAGCCTCCCAAAGTGCTGGGATTACAGGCGTGAGCCACTGCGCCCGGCCTCTGGTTGGAAATTTTAAAAGATTTAAGTATCATGAAGATGTATATGTTTGAAAATATTTTGCGTATTAACATATTAGAAATAAATTACACTGAATTAGCAGAGTTAAGTGAACATGATTTAACTCATGTTCTTGGTAAGGACGTCTCTTGGTCAGTAAGATACTTGGGAACACCGATCTAACAAAGATGATGAGACCTCACAGTTTGACACTGAAGTGGCCATAGGCATTCTGGGTTCCAACTAAGGGAAAGTTGAACTGGGCATACATTTGGCTTGGGTTTAGTGGATATAATTATGTGTATTGCAGTCACGTCTGCAACACTCATCTAGCTGTCTAGGTGCAGAAATGGCATCCAGCAGTATTCTTATTGCCCACATGGCAACTTACCTGGCATCCGCACAGGTAAATGTTCAGGGCCAGAGATCATATTGCAATATGACCTTGTCCTACAATGGGCAACACCATAAGTATATGGATAGTGAAGGGGAAACAAGGCTTGAAATGAATGGAGATAAAAGTCAGTCTATTGGAAATGCTTCTAGTCACCAGATATGTAAAACTGTTAAGGAGGGACAAGTCTGTTTTCATCTTCCTGGTCAAAAAGGAAGTTCTGCTTGTGAAGAATATACTCAATGATGCCATATACACAATTACAACTGTTTCACAGTTTTCTCCTCTCTTTCAATGGGAATGGTACAAAATTGAGTTTATCAGAATTACTGCGTATAGGGTACAAACTTAGCAGTACTACACACAATCTGTCTGATCTTGATGAAGGCTGATAACATGTCACTCACTGGAAGAAAATTTAAATTTATCAATAAAGATAATATAAACTCATATGCCATTGAAATAAGACATTGAAGACAAACTGGTTAATGAGTGTGGCCAATTCAAAGAGAACTTAAGATTTATCACTGTCCAAGAAAACTTGAAATGCCTTTAAATCTTACAGCCAATATACAAAAAAAATTTGATAGAGGCTTTACCAAATTTGACGATAATCCTAAAAATATACATGGCATTACTTGTAATGGATTATAGCTAAATAATGAAGCTAAAAGAAACTTTTCTAAATGATCAATAATAAAAACAAATTTAAATCAATTATGCTAGACTTTCTATAGAAAACTACATTACAAAACCATTGCCTTATGAAGAGGTGATCAAAAATTATGAAGTAAAAAAAGGAGAAGTGGTATATTTTTCTGAATTTTGTGATCTTTACAAATTTCTTAAGATTTTAAATGACCATTTTCTCTTCTTATCTGTAGCAATAGTTGTTAGTCTCCTTCCCCGATTCCCTTCAGCAAGCCAGTGCACCCATCTACCAGCTCCTGCAGGTGTTCACTACCAAGGACCCACACCTGTACCCTTCTGCAGCAGACTGACTGCCCAGGCCTAGGGGAGCCACCTTGCCTGGGAGCTTGAACCACCCCAGTGACTGATCGATGTAAAAGCTTTTGACTCACAGCAGGGTAATTTACACTCCAGAGCTACCCAAGAAATCAGCCTGAGGCTAGATCTCTTCCGAAACCATCCCTTTGCCTAATTACCCCTGCCCTATCTTGCATCCCTTTCTCCCTTACAATTTTCTGAGAGCCCACTCATAAATCACTTGCACAAGAATCTCCATCTCAGGCTCTGCTTTTAAGGAACCCCACCTGAGAGAGTATCTAATTTTGTATTTGTAATGTTGTGTTCTTATATAGTTGCCCCCAAATTTTAGAAGCTTCAAGTTCCCCCAGTTGTGGATCTATTTCTGGTCCTACTTATTGGTATCACTGCACAGGGGAAACTGAGCTAGAAAATGGGGAATCCATTCTTCAAGTGGTTTGAGGAATAGGCTTGGGTTGCTAACTATTTTAGTAACTACTATGATATCCCACCTGCCTTTTGTCACCACCAAAGAAAGACCGAGCTGAAGGGGTAGGATAAAAGATGTGTGGGGGTTCAGTCAGGATGGTGGGAGAAATTGTAAAACTATAGGAAATAAACACAAACCCTCTTGGAAGGCCTGGGGGTTTGCATAGTTCACTTAAGTGTTTGGCCGAAGGAAGCTGAATTCTCTTAAAGGCTTAGGGCGTAGATGCATAGGAATGTAGAGGAGTTTAGCTAAATAACTTGTTTACTCATGTGGTCCTAAAACTAACCTTTGATCAGGATTGAGATCAGGATGGCTCTAGGTGGGGGCAACTAGGTTAATTACCCTCTAATGGTGTTGACTCAAAGCCTTTGTCATTTAATGTGTGCTGAATAAATGCCGGCAGGGCCAGGAGTCAGGGCCGAGGCTGCAACTCTACAGCACCCTCCTTGGTGTCTGTAAGTGGCCCAGACCCTCAGCCGGACTGACAGGCAAAATACCTGTGTCAGTGTACGTTATTCATCCGTCGTTGGGTCAAGGTCTGCGGGACAGACCCCTGCAAGATGGATTCACTAAAATTAGATTTAGCAGCATTTATTCTAAAACCCAAATATCATGTAATTTAATAAGAATTGTATTTCCCTCCCATATAAAATATGTCTGGTGTTAGTCCAGGACAACTTCACTGCCATCAGGGACCAAGTAGTCACACTTCTGTTCTGCTATCCCCAGTGTGTGGCTTCCTTCCTCAAGGTTTCTTCATGAGTCCAAGATAACTGCTGGCATTCCAGCTATCATGCCCACATTTCAGGCAGTAGGAAGAAGAGAAGGACAAAGAGTGTGTCCCCTCAGCTGAAAAAAAGTCCCTTAAGGGGCCATTCCGGGTATCTCTTATTACATTTCTCTTTACATGTCTTTGACCAGAATGTGGTCATATTCATATCTACAGGCAAGGGAGGATGAGAAATATAGCAGGCATAAAGGAGGCAGGAGGGTGATGCAAGCAAGAAGAGCCAATACAGTGTGCATTAGTGAACTGACTGCCACTCTATGCAGCCAGGGCCCAACCCTGCTGAGAGCTTCTGAAGACTCTATAGAATCCACTTGGAATTGTATACTATTGATAAACATATAATTACATAAAACAATATCTATACTTATGTATAGAGAAAACAAATAATTATGAGATTTATATTAAAATATTTATAAAACAGCTAAAGTTTTATCGAATGTCATTTTGAACACAAGTATGTTCTTTTATTAAATTTTTATATTTTATCTTATTTTATTTTATTTTTTAGAGACAGGATCTCACTCTGTTGCCCAGGTTGGAGTGCAGTGGCATGATGATAGCTCACTGCAACCTCAAACTCCTGGGATCAAGTGTTCCTCCCACCTCAGCCTCTCAAGTAGCTGGGACCATAGGCATGCATCACCATGCCTGGCTAATTAAAAAAAAAAATTTCTTTGGTAGAATGAGGTCTCACTATGTTGCCTAAGCTGGTCTCAAACTCCTGGGCTCAAGGTATCCTCCTGCCTCAGCCTCCCAAAGTGCTGAGACTACAGGTATGAGCCGCCGCATCTGGCCATTAAGTAGCAGTTTTTAAAATGCTAAAAAATAATTAAAAAAAAAGATTAAAATTCCTTTTGAAGAGAAGCGATGTAAAAAGTCTTTACTTTCTTTTTTTCTTGAGATGGAGTCTCACCATGTCGCCCAGGCTGGAGTGCAGTGACGCAATCTCGGCTCACTGCAACCTCTGCCTCCTGGGTTCAAGGTATTCTCCTCCCTCAGCCTCCCGAGTAGCTGGGATTACAGGTGTGTGCCACCACACCCAGCTAATTTTTGGTAGAGACAGGGTTTCACCATGTTGGCCAGGCTGGTCTCGAACTCCTGACCTCAAGTGATCTGCCCGCCTCAGCCTCCCAAAGTGTTGGGATTACAAGTGTGAGCCACTGCGCCCATCCAGTCTTTAGTTTCTTGATCTTAGTTCCAATAATTTGTTCACTCAAACTTTGAATTAATTTCAAAAGAATTCATTTCTGTTTTTAGGATGTGATGGTGCAGGAAAAACTCCTGCCCATTGAGAGGGCTCCGTAAGTGCTTCCCAAAAGAGAATGAGAAGGAAAAGGAGATCTCCACAGGAACTGCCTCCTTGGATCCAGGGCAAAAATGAACCTCCTATTGGAGAGAAGGTGAATGAATGTGGCTTGGCAGCACAGGAAGTTTGAGTGGAGGGAAGGGAACGGCCCATTCTTCTGAAGGACAATGAGGAAGCTGTTGTTTGCATAAGCTCTCTATGAAGTGATGACTGCTAGGCCAGTGACAGCATCATCCCTGTAACTTCAACCATCATCTCCTTTTTTCTTGAGTGGATCTGTCTTCATTAGGTTCTTTTATTGGGAAACTTATTTCCTCCTTCAGGATTGAGTTGGTTCTTGTCAGCTTTCCATAGGTGTCCAATAGGCTCAGTACTTTTGATTACTTTCTCTTTGGAGGTTGATGTCCTCCAAAGATGACTAACTTTTGCATTCTCCTTTTTGAACAGTGCCCAGCTTGTCAAGAAGTTGAATCGGTGCAACCAGCGTTTGTGAAAGCAGCATTTCCCATTTCACATAAAGTCAGCTTCTGGCCAACTGGACAAGTCTGAACAAATATGAAACCCACTAAAAGGCCAGTGACAGGTGCACACACTACTGACTCTGGCTAGAGGCTGTGGCAGGAATTGGACTCATGTCATCCAGCGACAGTTCCACCAGCATCTCTTGTGGCTTCCCAAGGACCAGCCTGAGGCAAACTCCTCAGTGGTGTGAAGACTTTCCATGTCACTGGAAACCCACCACAGAGTTCTACCAAGTAACCATGCCTCCACCAGTCCACAACAAACTTTTAAGGCCTCTCCAGTTATGCCTGCAACCATCCCACATTAGCAACCTAAGTAGGCCACCAGTAGAGCTGGTCAAGAGAAAGGATAGGTTCAATTAATTATTTTTTAATTAAAAAAAAATAGAGACAGGGTCTTGTTATGTTGCCGAGGCTGGTCTTGTACTCCTGAGCTGAAATTATCTTCCCGCCTCAGTCTCCCAAAGTGCTGAGATTACAGGTGTGAGCCACCGTACTCAGCCAGATAGATTCAATTTTTAAAACTTTATTGCCATTACTGTTCAGTAACCCCTTGATATGGTTGAATATTTGTCCCCTCCAAAACTTATGCTGATATCTAATCCCCAATGTGACACTATTGAGAGCTGGGGCTTTTAAGATGTGATTAGGTCATGAGGGCTCCACCTTCTGAATGGATTAATCCATTCATGGATTAATGAGTTCATGGGTTAATAGATTAATTTATCTTGGGAGTGGGATTAGTGGTTTTATAAGAAGAGTGAGACCTCAGCTAGCATATTAGCACTCAGCTCCCTTGGCATGTGATACCACCTTGGGACTCTGCAGAGAGTTCCACCAGCAAGGCCTGTACCAGATGCAGCCCCTTGACCTTGAACTTTTCAGCTTCCAGAACTGTAAGAAATAGGCCAGGCATAGTGGTTTACACCTGTCATCCCACCACTCTGAGAGGCCAAGGCCAGTGGATTGCTTGAGCCCAGGAGTTTGAGGCTTCAGTGAGCTATGATCATGCCATTGCACTCCAACCCAGCCTGGGCAACAGAACAAAACTCAGTCTCAAAAAAAAAAAAAAAAAAAAAAAAAAAAAAAGAAGAAGAAGCCAGATACAAAAGAATACATTCTGTATGACTCCATTTATTAGAAGTTCAAGGCCAGATGTAGTGGCTCACACCTGTAATCCTAACACTTTGGGAGGCCAACACAGGAAGATCACTTAAGCTCAGGAGTTTGAGACCAGCCTGGGCAACATAGTGAGACTCCATGTCTATTAAAACAAAAAAGTTCAAGGAGAATCCAAATTAATGGATGTGGATAGAAATCAAAGTGGCGATTCCTCTTCAGAAGTGAAGACTGACTGATAGGAGAAATGAGAGAACTTTCTGAGTGATGAAGGTGTTTTATATCTAGATTGGAGAGTTGGTTACACAAGCGTATATATTTGTCAAAAGTCATCAAATTGCACACATATTATTTCACAGTATGTATGTTTTACCTTAAATAAAAATGTTTTGGCCAGGCACAGTGGCTTACACCTATAACCCCAGCACTTTGGGAGGCCACAGCAGGAGGATCTCTTGAGCACAGGAGTTTGAGACCAGCCTGGGCAATATAGTGAGCCCTCATCTCTACTAATGAAATAAAATAAAATATAACATAAAATAGCCACGCGTGGTGATGCAGGCCTGTGGTCCCAGCTACTCAGGAGGTTGGGGTATGAGGACCGTTTCAGCCTGGGAGGTCAAGGCTGCAGTGAACTGTGATGATGCTACTGCATTCCAGTCTGAGTGACACAGTGAGACCCTGTCTCCAGAAATAAAACAAGACACAACAAAAAAAGTGTTGTATACTTTTTTTTTTTAATTTAGAAGAGAAGAGCCAGGCACAGTGGCTCACGGCTGTAATCCCGACACTCTGGGAGACCAAGGCAAGAGGACTGCTTGAGCTCAGGAGATTGAGACCAGCTTGTGTAATATATTGAGACCCCATCTCTACAAAGAAATATATATTTTTAATATTAGCCGGGCATGGTGGCACACACCTGTAGTCCCAGCTGTTTGGGAGGCTGATGTGGGAGGATCCGTTGAAGCAAAGTTTGAGACCAGCCTGGTAAACACAGCAAGATCCTGTCTCTACAAAAAATTTGTCTCAAATTAGCCAGGTACAGTGACATGCATGTAGTCCCAGCTACTCAGGAGGCTGAGGTGGGAGGACTGCTTGAGCCCAGGATGGTGAGGCTGCAGTGAGCTGTCATTTGTGCCACTGCACTCCAGCCTGGACAACAGAGTGGGACCCTCTCTCAAAAAAAAAAAAAAAAAAAAAATTAGAAACAGAGAGAAGAGGGGTGTCTTGGTCCATTTTCTATTGCTTTTAAAATAATACCTGAAACTGAGTAATTTATTTAAAAACTATTTATTTATTTAGAGACAGGATCTCACTCTGTTGTCCAGGCTGGGTTGGAAAGCAGTGGCACTATCATAGCTTACTGCAGCCTCAAATTCCTGAGCTGAAGCAATCCTCCTGCGTTGGCCTCCCAGAGGGCTAGGATTGCAGTATCTGGCTTCTTTTGCTCAACACAATGTGCTTGGGATTCATGCATGTTGGTCCACCCCTTTTTTCATTCTGTGTAGAATGCTATTGTACAAATACACATGATTGGACATGATCCCATCCCCTTTACTCCCCATTCTCCCTCACCCTCCTGCCTTTTGGCCTGTACCTCCCTTTTTTCTCTCCTCACATCTTGGTGGCAGCCCCCTGACTCTGCAGGAATAACCCCTCAATGAGTGTCAAGGGGTTCTTGGCCACAGAATGAGAGGCCACCACACCCTCTAGCTTTGCCTACACCAGCTTCTCTCCTTTTTCTTTTTTCTTGCAATTTGTTGAAGAAACTTTGTAGCTTGCCCTGTAGTTTTCCACATTGTGGATATTGTTGATTGCTTTCTTTTGGTGGTATTAATGTGCTTTTTTAGCCCCTGTATTTCCTGAAAACTGATAGAACTAGAGTTGTCACCAGCCACATATAGATATTGAGCATTTGAAAAGTGGCTCATGGGACTTATTGGAGGAACTCGCCCCCAATATTTCAACATAGGTTCTTTCTATTTTCCATAAGTGTCAGCTGGCTGAGAAATAAAGAGAAAGTACAAAGAGAGGAATTTTACAGCTGGGCCACCGGGGGTGGCATCACATATTGGTGGGACCATGATGCCCACCTGAGCCTCAAACCAGCAAGTTTTTTAATTAAGGGTTTCAAAAGGGGAGGGGGTGTAAGAACAGAGAGTAGGGACAAAGATCACATGCTTCAAAGGGCAAAAAGCAGAACAAAGATCACATGCTTCTGAGGGAACAGGACAAAGGGCAAAAGCAGAACTACTGATAAGGGTCCAACAAAGATGACAAGGCAAAGGGCAAAAGCAGAACTACTGATAAGGGTCTATGTTCAGCAGTGCACATATTGTCTTGATAAACATCTTAAACAACAGAAAACAGGGTTTGAGAGCAGAGAACTGATCTGACCACAAATTTACCAGGGTGGAGTTTTCTCCCCACCCTAATAAGCCTGAGGGTACTGCAGGAGACCAGGGCGTATCTCAGTCCTTATCTCAACTGCATAAGACAGAGACTCCCAGAGCAGCCGTTTATAGACCTCCCTCCAGGAATGCATTCCTTTCCAAGGGTATTAATATTAATATTCTTTGCTAGGAAAAGAATTTAGCAATATCTCTCCTACTTGCATGTCCATTTATAGGCTCTCTGCAAGAAGAAAAATATGGCTCTTTTTGCCTGACCCAGCAGGCAGTCAGACCTTATGGTTATCTTCTCTTGTTCCCTAAAAATTGCTGTTATTCTGTTCTTTTTCAAGGTGCACTGATTTCATATTGTTCAAACACACGTTTTACAATCAATTTGTACAGTTAACACAATTATCACACTGGTCCTGACGTGATGTACATCCTTAGCTTACGAAGGTAACAGGATTAAGAGATTAAAGACAGGCATAAAAATTATAAAAGTATTATTTGGGAATTGATAAATGTCCATGAAATCTTCACAATTTATGTTCCTCTGCTGCGGCTCCAGCCGGTCCCTCCATTTGGGGGTCCCTGACTTCCCACAACAGGACTAAATGAATTTAAAATTTTATTTTAAATTTAAATAGTCCCATGTGTTTAGTGGCCACAGTATTGGACAGTGCAGATATAGAACACTTCCATTATTACAGAAAGTTCTATTAACCAATGCTGAGCTAGGCTAGACTCAGTGTTTTTGGAAGAGCATTTCAGCTAGGTGCAGTGGCTCTGGCCTGTAATCCCAGCACTTTGGGAGGCTGAGATGGGTGAATCACCTGAGGTCATGAGTTTGAGACTAGCCTGGGCAACATGGTGAAACTCCATCTCTACCAAAAATCAAAATTAGCCAGGCTTGGCGGCACATGCCTGTAATCCAAGCTATTCGGGAGGCTGAGGCAGGAGAACTGCTTGAACCCGGGAGGCAGAGGTTGCAGTGAGCCAAAATCACACCACTGCACTCCAGCCTGGGCAAGAGAGTGACACTCCGTCTCAAAAAAAAAAAAAAAAGCATTTCACAGGTACTGATGTGAACTTCCTTCAGAAGAGCATATAATGGATGTTTCTCTTTGTATTAATTTAGCAGTCATTTATGGCCATTGCCTGGACCCACTACTTCATTAGGGGTTGCAAAATTATGACATTATAATTCTATCATCTCCTCTTTATTTTATTGACTGGAATACTTTTAGAAAAACAAAACAAAACAAAACTTCCTTCATCAACCATTTGGGTTACCCTGAGGAATAAATTTATACAGGAAAGTTAGGATCCAAAGGTGACCAATTAGGGTTGTTTTTTAGTATAATTATGAACTTGTGCACTTAAAAATATTTGATATGTTTTAATTCATTGCAGTTATTGTTCTTATTGCTACTCAAATTGTCTTATCTCTAGCCAGGATTGTCTTTGGAATCCTTTTCACATGACCCCAGAAGCTTTTGATAACTTTTTTCTGATATGACAAGATATTTTAGGTTCATTGTGTACATTTTTCCCTCAAGCATGGAATCAGCCACACTTCCAAAAAGTCATTGTTTATTTTAAGACAAAATTATATTTAGGGAGTATGGTCTGGGCCATAAGGGGTGCCAAATGGTACTGGGCTGGTCATTGTTTCTAAGCCTTTTCAGTGGACAATGCTAATAACTCCTTTTTTTTTTTTTTTTTTTTAGATGGAGTCTCGTTCTGTCACCCAGGCTGGAGTGCAGTGGCGCAATCTCAGCTCACTGCAACCTCCAAGTTCAAGCAATTCTCTGCCACCCGAGTAGCTGGGATTATAGGCGCCTGCCACCATGCCCAGCTAATTTTTGTATTTTTAGTAGAGATGGGGTTTCACCATCTTGGCCAGGCTGGTCTTGAACTCTTGACCTTGTGATCCACCCGCCTCGGTCTCCCAAAGTGCTAGGATTACAGGCGTGAGCCACCATGCCAGGCCTTTTTTTTTTAAGACAGGTCTTTCTATGTCCCTCAGCCTGGAATGCCGTGGTGCAATCATGGCTCACTGCAGTCTTAACTTCACAGGCTCAAGTGATCCTCCCACCTCAGCCTCCCCAGTAGCTGGGACTACAGATGCGTGTCACCACACCTGGCTAACTTTTTAATTTTTTGTAGAGACGGGGTCTCACTTTGTTGCCCAGGTTGGTCTCCAACTTCTGGGCTCAAGCCATCCTCCTGCCTTGGCCTCCCAAAGTGCTGATACTACAGGCATGAGACACCATGCCCAGCCAAGAAATACTTTACTTTTTTTTTTTTTGAGACAGAGTTTCACTCTGTCGCCCCGGCTGCATTGTAGTGGCATGATCTCAGCTAACTGCAACCTCCACCTCCCAGGTTCAAGTGATTTTCCTGTCTCAGCCTCTCAAGTAGCTGGGGCTACAGGCACCCACCCCAATGCCCAACTAATTTTTGTATTTTTACTAGAGATGGGGTTTTGCCATGTTGGCCAGGCTGGTCTCGGACTCCTGACCTCAAGTGATCCGCCTGTCTGGGCCTCCCACAGTGCTGGGAATACAGGCATGAGCCACTGTGCCTGGCTGAGAATTTTTTTTTTTTTTTGAGACAGAGTTTTGCTGTTGTTGCCCAGGCTAGAGTGCAATGGTGCGACCTTGGCTCACTGCAACGTCCGCCTACTGGGCTCAAGAGACTCTCCTGCCTCAGCCTCCCGAGTAGCTGGGATTACAGGCACCCGCCACCACGCCCGGCTAATTTTTTTGTATTTTTAGTAGAGACGGGGTTTCACCATTTTGGTCAGGCTGGTCTTGAACTCTTGACCTCTGGTAATCCACCTGCCTTGGCCTCCCAAAGTTCTGAGGTTACAGGCATGAGCCACTGCACCCAGCTGAGAAATGGTTTTTTTTTTGAGACGGAGTCTCGCTCTGTCACCCAGGCTGGAGTGCAGTGGCGCGGTCTCGGCTCACTGCAACCTCCGCCTCCCAGGTTCACGCCATTCTCCTGCCTCAGTCTCCTGAGTAGCTGGGACTACAGGCGCCTGCCACCACACCCAGCTAATTTTTTGTATTTTTAGTAGAGACGGAGTTTCACCGTGTTAGCCAGGATGGTCTCGATCTCCTGACCTCGTGATCCGCCCACCTCGGCCTGCCAAAGTGCTGGGATTACAGGCGTGAGCTACCGCGCCCGGTGAGAAATACTTTTTAAAAGAGAAAATATATCACACACAAGACCCTTTTAACTGATCTGCTTGTACCAGTCTCTACTGTTCCAATTCATCCTCCACATTTTTGTCAGAATATCCTTATTAAACACAAATCTGATCTTAATCTCCTGCTTAAAAAATCTTGATGGGGCCAGGTACAGTGGGGTTACATACCTGTAACCCCAGCATTTTGGAAGGCTGAGGCAGGAGGATCACTTGAGGCCAGGAGTGTGAGACCAGCCTGGAAACATAGCAAGACCTACCTCTATAAAAAATTTAAAAATTAGCAGGGCATGGTGGTACACACTTGTAGCACCAGCAACTTGGGAAGCTGAAGTGGGAGGATTGCTTGAGTCCAGGAGGTTGGGGCTGCAGTGAGCCATGACTGCACCACTGCACTCCAGCCTGGGCAACAAAGCAAGACCCCGAATTGAAAAAAAAAAAAAAAACAACAACAGCAACAACAAAAACAACTTTGGCTCTAAATCTCCATTCCAATCTCTTTAGCATTCTTCCTTCCTTCTCCCCTAGTTCAGCAACACTACACTACTCTCACCACAAATGTCCCTTTGCTCATCGAGTTCACTTTGCTTTTTTTATTCCTGGGTGAATTTAATCCAATAAATAGCACAAACATTGATTTCCTCTAAAATAACTCCTAGTACTCCCCGCCAGAGAACTAATCTGTTTCCATTATATCCTCCATACTACTCCGAAATACCTTTATGTGGCACTAATGAAACAATATTATAATGACTTATTTACATACGTGTCTATCTCTAGCAAGAACGTCTCTCAAAAATTAAAGATACTCACCAGTGGTGGTACTATTTAGTTTTATATGTTACACTGATGAGACATTAAATGTGGAATTGCATAGTGTGAGAGTTAAAACTACAGGCACACACCACCATACCCAGCTACTTTGTTTTTATTTTTATTAGAGATGAGGTTTCGTATGTTGCCCAGACTAGGCCCTTTCCATATTTACATTAGGGAGAAAGTTTTAGTTTTGTGCCAGTATGTCTTCAACATCTCTATATTGAGTGATTAATTTCCCTTTTATAAGAGAGAGCAGGCTTGGAGCCTGCGCAGACAAAAGTAATCGGCTGGAATTTCCAACATGGTTTTGTTTATTATTATTATTTTGAGACATGATCTTGCTTTATTGCCCAGGCTAGAGTGCAGTGGCACGAACACAGCTCACTTCAGTCTCAACCTCCTGGACTCAAGTGATCCTCCCACCTCAGCCTCCAGAGTAGCTGGGACTACAGGCACACTCCACCATGCCCAACTAATTTGTTTTTATTTTTACTAGAGATGAGTTATCATATGTTGCCCAGACTAGTCTTGAACTCCTGGCCTCAATCATCCTGCCTCAGCCTCCCAAAGCACGGGGATTACAGGCATGAGCCATTGTGCCTGGCTCTCCTTCTGTCTATAAACCTTTTTTTTTTTTTTTTTTTGAGACAGTCTCACTCTGTTGCCTAGGCTGGAGTGCAGTGGCACGATCTCAGCTCACTGCAACCTCCACCTCTTGGGTTCATGAGATTCTTGTGCTCCAGCCTCCTGAGTAGCTGGGACTACAGGCACACACCACCATGCCCAGCTAATTTGTTTTTATTTTTATTAGAGATGAGGTATCGTATGTTGCCCAGACTAGTCTCAAACTCCTGCCCTTATGCAATCCTCCTGTCTCAGCCTCCCAAAGCACTGAGATTACAGGCATGAGCAACTGTGCCTGGCTCTCCTTCTGTCCATAAAACTTTAAAAATTAATATTGGTGATAGAGCTTTCTTTTTAAATAAAAGTGAGCTAATTTAAAGTAAACATATTATGGTAAAGAAGTACATCATTATGGCAAAAATCTCACAGGATGGATGAAAACGACTTAAGTTTGGGAAACAATGGACTAGGTCCTTGAGAATTAAGGAGCATAACTTCTATTTTCATCCCCAGTTCCTAGCACTGTGCTTCACATACAATAGATCAACACTAAGCAAATGGCAAATTAATTAGAAAGAAACACCCCCCCAAGATTTTCAATACCCAACATCATTTTAGGGAATATACAGGAAAAGTGACAGGCCTTCTAAGTTGACTTTTCTGAAAAAGTTAGTTTGATCCCTCCTAGTTACATTATTATCACACAAATGACCTTTTTAAAAACATGATTTCTTATGGCTATAGCAGAAGAGATCAAATTCATAAAAGGATACAATCATAGATTCTCCAACTGATTGTGTGGAATGATGATGTCTTATAAACCAAAGTACATAGGTAATAGAAAAATGTTTACAATGTGTTCTATACAAATCCCCACATCACTCTTCATGGTTTGTTTTAAGAAAGGATAGGCCATGGCAGCTCTCACTAGAGGAAAGCTAGCACCATCTGTTGGAGAGTGAGTTCACAACATAAAATGATATTCTCTGTTGACTTCATTAATCCTGACACTGTTTCTTCAAGGTACTTTTTAATCACACAAATTTCAAGACACTAATACCTACCTAAATACAATTTAATTTTCAATTAGTTCTAGTTATCCACTATGACAGTAATAAACAAAACTAGTTAATTAATCTGATTAAGATATTAATCAGATGTATTGTTTAATGCAGTTAAAATATTAATCAGTCTTTTACTATTTGACTTCTTGATTAGACCTGATAATTAGCCCATTCTGAGCCATTTAAGAAATGGAAGAAAAGCTTATTCAACCACATACTCTATCAGATTGCTTTAGAATAACAAATATCGTATGTATTGCTCAACATTGTAAACCTGCCTCAACTTCTTGATTATCCATGGTAATTAGGAAGAAATAGTGACAGCCTTGAATTGTGAACTTTACTAATAACCCAAACTCTTCTCCCACAAATCTACTGATGATATTGAGAGGTTTGTGCTTCTCCTGTACCATTCAGAATAGATGTTTCTAAGAGACAAAAAGAATGTAAGAGATAGTCAGCTCAGACTATGTGCAGGTAGGTAGAGATAAGAGGAAAGTCCTAAGTGTTTAGATTCTAAATGACAGTAAGTTATTGTCATATCAGCAATTTCCCCAAAGACAGGATTCAGGAGTAAACAACCAAACATTATAAATAGATTCACATGTGGCTCTATTTTAAACACAACATAGACTACTAATTTTAAAGACTTGTAAAACTGAAAAGAGATTCTGAATTTTTCTTGCAATACACTTTATAAAACCGTGATTCCAATGAAAAAGTTTAAAATGTATTTACTTTTGAAAAGTCAGGTGATGATATCTAAATGAGATATGACACAGGTTTTCCTAAAATATTTTCAAATCAAAGTCTCTCTTAGGTGAAAACTTAAAAAGCATTTAATTGATCATAATTTTTTAAATGTATTAAATAAAAAGTAATGGAAGCAACAGTTACTTCGAAGAACAATATATGAAACTCTCATGTAAAAATGAGGCTTTTGTTATGGGAACAGTTGTCAGATTTGCCAGTGGTATACTCCTTGGGAATCCTCAGGCAATTTAAGAAAAACATTAACTCTCCTAAGCCTGGAGGGTACCATTTGGTGCCTTAAAGCAATGATTCAATAAAGCAATACTTTTGTTAAATGGCACTTAAGTTCTAGAACAAAGGGTAAATATGAATATGTTTATGAGTCCAGGGACAGGCAGGGTGTTTACTCTTGACCTAAGCCTTTCCCCTACCTCTTCAAGTATCCTAATCTGCCAAAGGGAAGACAAAATACAGCTTCATCAGTTACTCATCTCAACTGGTTTAAGGACCAGGGCAAGACACTGGCCAAGCTGACTGTAACATTCCTTAGTTGGCCGTGCCCGACGATGTTCTCTCCTTAGGCCTTCCAACCAGAAAACAGCTTTCTTACACTTTACACTAGCTGCCTCAAATCATATCTGGAAAAAAGAACATACGTTTTTATGTAATATAAATAATTATGGCTCCACAACTTATTTTATATCAATTCCAGCTACCTTTTAAGTTCAAGTTGCTAAGAGAAACTCCTTACACAGTTGAAGACCCTTTCCTCAGGTATTTCCATCAAAAGGAACAGAAAAAACACCCCCTATCCATACATGCATGCTAAGTATTTTTGGATACTCCTACAAAAGCTTTTTTCAAACTGTAAAGAGCTTTGTGGTTTTTTTCTATATTTATAAAAAGCATTAAAAAAATCTGACAATACTAAAAGATAAGAAGAAAGCAAGTATCAGAGTATAATACCTATACCTGAATAGGTAAAAATAGAATAGAAAAATTCTATTTATACATGAACATACAGATAAATTTATTTATTTATTTACAGACAGGGTCTTGCTCTGTCACTCATGCTGGAATGCAGTGCACTGGCACAAACATAGTTCACTGCAGCCTCCAACTCCTGGGCTCAAGCAATCCTCTTGCCTCAGCCACCTGAGCAGCTAGGACTACAAGCATGTGCCACCATGGTTGGCTAATTTTTTTTTTTTTAATTTTCTGTAGAGATGGGGAGATTCTCTTATGTTGCCCAGCTGGTCACGAACTTCTAGCTTGGAGCAATCTTCCCAACTTGGCCTCCCACAGCACCAGGATACAGGCATGAGTCACCACGCCTGGCCAATATATTTTTAACTAAATAGGTTAATCGTTTACATGTCTCATGAATTGATTTTTCTCCACTTAACAGTATGTCAGGGATGAGTAATTGTGACTACCCACCAGGTCAAGTTTCTTTTCTTTGGTCAAGTTTTTTATTTGCAAAGTCAATGTAGTGGTTTGAATGGCGGCCCCCAAAAATACATGTCCAAGTCCTATCTCCAGGTATGTATCCTTATCTGGAAAAAGAATCTTTGCAGATGTAAGTGAGGATTTCAAGATGAGATCATTCTGAATTAACCAAGTGGGCCCTAAATCCAACGACAAATGTCCTTATAAGAGATAGAACTGGATAGGATAGATGGCTGATATCATTTGGCTCTGTCCCCACCCAAATTTCATCTTGAATTGTTAGCTCCCATAATTCCCACGTATTGTGGGAGGGACCTAGAGGGAGATAACTGAATCATGGGGGCAGTTCCCCATACTGTTCTCCTGGTAGTGAATAAGTCTCACGAGATCTGATGGTTTTATAAGGGGAAACCCCTTTCGCTTGGCTCTCATTCTCTGTCTGCCACCATGTAAGATGTGCCTTTTGCCCTACACCATGATTGTGAGGCCTCCCCAGTCTTGGGTATGTCTTTATCAGCAGTGTGAAAACGGACTAATACAGTGGCTCACACCTGTAATCTCAACTTTGGGAGGCCAAGGCAGGAGGATCACTTGAGCCTAAGAGTTTGAAATCAGCCTAGGCAACATAGACTCCATCTAAAATAAAAAGAGAGAGAGACAGAGAAAGAGAGAGAGAAAGACAGGAGGCCATGTGAAGACAGAAGTGGAGACTGGATCTATGTATCCACAGCCAAAACATGTGTGGGGCCACCAAAGACTGGAAGAAACAGAGGATTCCCCTAGAGTGCCTTCAGATAGATGATGGCCCTGCGGACACCTGGATTTCAGACTTCTGGCCTCTGAACTACAAGAGAATAAATTTCTGTTGTTTCGGGCCACCAAATCTGTGGTGCTTTGTCATGGCAGCCCTAGCCAACTAACACATGGTAAGCATTCTAAGCTTTTGTATTATGAATCCAGCCTGCTCTCCAGCCTCATTTTCCAACTCTTCTCCAGCCTCATGCTCCTGTTTTGCCTCATTTACTATATTGCCTCAAAGCCTTTGCACGTGCTGTTCCACTGCACTAATTACTCTTCTCCATTCTTTACCCATCTCTTCAAGACTTGTTCAGGGAACATAAGTGACCCTCTAGCCTTGCTCACCATCCCACAATGCCTGCTCTCAGCAGCATATAGTTCTTTTCATAGCCCTGTATTATAGTTTGTATCTTTACCAGTGTGATTGTTAGATTCTGCCTCCCTACCAAATTCTAAGCTCTAGGGGAATAGGCACGGTGCCAGTCTAGCCCTGTGCCTGCAGTGCCAGAGCAATCCCTTCTGAATGAAAGAATAGCCACCGTTCCAGTACAGCTGCAGACCCAGGAACCTCCACAGCCTCTGGGAGGGCTGTGAGCTAGAAGGGTGACCACGACATGTATTCTTCAAAGCCTACCACTTCTGCGAGCGAAAAGGGGCACTCTTCACACTTAGGAGTTGCCTGGTTACACTCCCAGCCCTGAATAACAGGCTGTGCCTGCCGGCCACAGGAGCAAGGCGAAGACGAGTCTAACTAGAAGGGGATGGGCTACAACATTTTGGGGGAATAGGGAGAGGGTAATTTAAATTTTGCTTAACTGTCCCTGCATTTAAACTGTTGTCTTCTACATCATGTATTCATTTGTACATTCGTTTGTCCCCCCTCTAGAATGTAAGCTCAGAGGGCGGGGCTTGGCCTGTTTGTTCATTGCTATATCCCACGCTAAGTGCCTGGCGCATAGTAGACGCTCAATAAACATCTGAATGAATGTACTCACAGCTGAGTGTTATGCCCCAAGTGAATAAAGGATGAAGAATCATATAATACTTAAAAATCCAACAGGCCAGGCGCGGTGGCTCACACCTGTAATCCCAGCACTTTGGAAGGCCGAGGCGGGAGAGGCTTGAGCCCAGGAGTTTGAGACCACCTGGGCAACACAGCGAGACCCCGTCTCTATTAAAAAAACAAATCCGAACAAAACCGAGACCTCACAGTTGGAAAGCCGAAGGCTCAAGACCAGAGGGGCAGGAGGCCTACCAACTGCCAAGGTCCTGCGCTCAGGACGATGCGCTGAGGGCCGCGGAGGCTGAGCGGGGGCGCGGTTGAAAGCGGCTCTCACTGACCCCACCTCCGCCCAGCCGCAGCCCCGCCACCACCTCTGGGTCCTCTAACCCCCGGCGTCCCCGCCGCGGCCTCAAGCCCCCTCTTGGCCTCCGCCCTCCTGACATACACTGGCCCTCGCCGCCCCCTCCCCAAATCCCGTCGCACTCCAGGACCCCCCATACCCGGATCCCATAGGGCCTGGGAACGGCCGCGCTCCTGTCTTCGGAATTCCCGCGGCCCCTGGGCCGCGCCGGCGCCGCCCCCGCCCCCGGCCCGTGCGTCCAGGCTGGCGCCGCGCTGCGCCCCCTCTGCGCCGGCCTCTGCGGCTGCGCGCTGGCGGGGCTGAGGCCGAGGGGTGGGGGTCGCGCCGGGGGCCGGCGGAGCTCCTGTGGTGGTAGCAGCGGTAGCGGGAGACGGAGCGAGTCCAGCGGCCGCGGGCAGACCCGGAGGGAACGGAGGAAGCGGTCATGTCTCGCTACACGAGGCCCCCCAACACCTCCCTGTTCATCAGGAACGTCGCGGACGCCACCAGGTGAACGGCCGCGGCTGCAGGTTGGGGGCGCGGAGGAGGGGCGGGGTAACAGCCGCGCCGCGGAGCACGGCCGAGGCCCGGCGGAGGCTCGGGGGAGCTGCGCGGAGCCTCCCCGCGGGCCCAGGCTGCGCCACTTGGGGAGGTGTGAGCCCTCGGACTACTCCGCGGCCCAGGGCGGAACTCGCGCCTCCGCCCTCCCGGCCAGCTTTCAGCCCCGGCGCCGCGCACATCGTGTCCCGGGCCCGCGTCGCTTTCCGCGGTTCAGCACCGCAGCCGGCGGGCCGTGGGACACGGGGCGCCCCTCTCCCGAGCTCAGGTCGCTCCCCGCCGGGAGTCGGGAGGGTTTGCGCTCCAGCGAGTGCCCGCGTTTCAGCTCCTTTGTCGCCGTGCCCCGATAAAATCGCGCGCATCCAACCCTCCTAGATGGAGAGGAATTGGGGCTGGTGAGAACGTTTTGTACCATAATGCGTACTCGGGCCTTACAGTTTCTTTCCCCCAGTTCTGGTCTACTTACAGACGGTGCTGCTTGCATTTTATTCACACAATTTTATTCTGCATACAAAAAATAACTTCAATGAATGAGATCAGTGCGTTTTTCTTTAAAGTTCTGAGTCCAGTATTAACACCCTTTTTAAGGGCGTGAGTATAGGCTCACCTGGTTGATTCTGATGCCCCACCCCTCCGTTGAGAATTTTGTCTACAGAGTGTCTGAACACAGATACTAAGGAATGACTTTTTCATATAGCACTTCCTTCCTTAATGGAGCTGAAGAAATTGGGGGCGGGGGGAGAGGGAACGGTGTTAATAGACATTCTCATTTCACTGGGCTTCATTTACTTCCCCCCAGCCTTTCTACCTATGCAGTACTGTTTTATTGTACATAAGGGAGAGCGGAAACTAAGAGTTTTAATGATTTACCTGGGGCCAGAGAGGTATAGATACATGGAGCTCTTGACTCCATAGTCATCTGAGATGAGTATTATAATTTACCTTTGAGGAGTAAATAAACGTTAAGTATTTTTTATTTTTTAGTTTTTTTTTTTTTTTTAGACAAAGTCTCGCTCTTGTCCCCCAGGCTGGAGTACAATGGCCCGATCTTGGTTGGCTGCAACCTCTGCCTCCCGGGTTCAAGCGATTCTCCTGCCTCAGCATCCAAAGTAGATGGGATTACAGGCGTGTGCCACCACACCCGGCTAATTTTTATATTTTTAGTAGAGATGAGGTTTCATTATGTTGGCCAGGCTGATCTCCAACTCCTGACCTCAAGTGATCCGCCCAGCTCGGCCTCCCAAAGCGCTGAGATTACAGGCATGAGCCACCGTGCCCGGCCAAGTATTTTTTATTTGATCACCGCAAGTACATGTATCACAACTATATGTTGTGGTTAATATATCTTAGTTAACATCTAAAAGGTGCCTTGTTTACATTTCTTCTGTCAGCCTTTTTATCAATATATTACATAGAAAACACGAACATAATTTATGATTTGGGCAGAATTAAAAAACCTTGCAGTTGAACAGACAACTTGAAAATGGAATAAGCATCAAGCCTCTTCAGGGTGTCTGTAGAAAAATCAGAGGTTTCCAATTCTAATGGTTCACAGGGGCCAGCCGGGGTAATATAAACGAGTGAAGCTGCCAGCCTATAAGGCACAGTAGGATGGTGTGGACTATCAAATAGAAATAGAATAGCAAATAGAAAAGGAAATATGCCATCTAAAAGGTGCAGCATCTGCCTCTAGGCTCCAGCTGACAGCTGCCATGTAGACATCTGGACTTATTGTTGATATATCTTACTAGTTGTAAAGAGAAATCAGAAATCTGGATTTTGTATGTGTAATCTTAGTCTTTAGATGCATTAAGTTGAATCATATGAAAATCCCATTCGTGGCCGGGTGCGGTGGCTCATGCCTGTAATCACAGCACTTTGGGAGGCTGAGGCAGGCGGATCACGAGGTCAGGAGATGGAAACCATCCTGGCTAGCACGATGAAACCCCGTCTCTACTAAAAATAAAAAAATTAGACGGGCGTGGTGGCGGGTGCCTGTAGTCCCAGCTGCTCAGGAGGCTGAGGCAGGATAATGGTGTGAACCCGGGAGGCGGAGCTTGCAGTGAGCCAACATCGCGCCACTGCACTCCAGCCTGGGAGACAGAGCGAGGACTCCGTCTCAAAAAAAAAAAAAAAAAAAAAAGAAAGAAAAAAGAAAACCCCATTTGTAGATTTGAAAGCTGTAAAATATAAGGCTGGGCGCGGTGGCTCACGCCTGTAATCCCAGCACTTTAGGAGACCGAGTTCGGCGGATCACTTGAGGTGAGGGGTTCGAGACCAACCTGGCCTACCTGGTGAAACCCCGTCTGTACTAAAACACAAAAATTAGCCAGGTGTGGTGGCTGGCGCCTGTAATCCCAGCTACTCAGGAGACTGAGGCACGAGAATCGCTTGAACCCCAGAGGTGGAGGTTGGCAGTGAGCCGAGATCAGGCCACTGCACTCCAGCCTGGGCGACAGAGTGAGACTCTGTCTCAAAAAATAAATAAATAAAAGAAAGCTATAAAATGTAGCCTGGTGTATGACACCTGTAGTCCCAATTACTGGGAAAGCTGAGGTGGGAGCCCGGGAGGTCACTTGAGCCCGGGAGGTCAAGGTTACAGTGAACGATGATCACATCACTGTACTCCAGCCTGGGTGACAGAGAGACCTTTAGAGAGTCTAAAAAAATAAAAGCTGTGGCCGGGCGTGGTGGCTCACGCCTATAATCCCAGCACTTTGGGAGGCCGAGGTGGGCAGATCACGAAATTAGGAGTTTGAGACCAGCCTGGCCAACATGGTAAAACACCGTCTCTACTAAAGATACAAAAAATTCACCAGGCATGGTGGTGCGTGCCTGTGATCCCAGCTACTCGGGAGGCGGAGACAGGAGAATCGCTTGAACCCGGGAGGTGGAGGTTGCAGTGAGCCGAGATAGTACCATTGCACTCCAGCCTGGGCGACAGGGCGAGACTCTGTCTCAAAAACTAAAAAAATAAAAGCAGTAAAATATTGGCAATTTCATATTTATACGCATTTTAAAAATGTTTAAACGTCATGCAGGCCAAATAAAACACATCTGCAGGTGACACCTGATCTCTGATCTATGTACTTCATTCACCAGTGAGTGATTGAGACTGATAGTTGAGATTGACTGATTTCCTTTTCCATTTTTTCACTTTTTTTTTTTTTTAGCTTTGCCACTGGCAGACAATCAAAATCTACAAGATTATATTACATGAATGAAATCTCTAACATTTGTTGAATACTCACTGTGTACTAGGTGCCATACTAAAAACATTACATATATTAAATTTTCGCAGTAACCCTATAATGTATGGTGGTTTTTTTGTTTGTTTGTTTTATTTTGAGACAGAGTCTTGCTGTGTCAGCCAGGCTGGAGTGCAGTGGCACGATCTCGGCTCACTGCAACCTCCGCCTCCTGGGCTCAAGCAGTTCTCCTGCCTCAGCCTCCCGAGTAGCTGGGATTACAGATGTGTGCCACCATGCCTGGCTAATTTTTGTATTTTTAGTAGAGACGGGGTTTCATCATGTTGGCCAGGCTGGTCTCGAACTCTTGATGTCAGGTAATCCGCCCACCTTGGCCTCCCAAAGCACTGGGATTACAGGCATGAGCCACTGCGCCTGGCCGTATGTTCTTTGTTAACCCCATTTTACCGATGAGAAATCAACGTTTAGGTTAAGTATTTTGCCTAAGATCGAATAGCAGGTGAGTGATGATATGAAATTAGAATCATCACATGTAATCTGTATTAACCTTTTAGTACAAAGTAGTATACAGTATAAGTTAACTAGCAATGTGACATGTAGACACTTTTAAAATTAGCTTTAAAGATAGGGCACAGTGGCTCATGCCTGTAATCCCAGCACATTTGGAGGCTGAGGTGGGTAGATCACTTAAGCTCAGGAGTTTGAAACCAGCCAGGGAAACATAGCAAAACCCTGTCTCACCAAAAAATACAAAAATTAGCCAGGTGTGGTAGTGCGCACCTGTAGTTCAGCTATTTGAGAGGCTGACGTGGGAGGATCGCCTGAGCCCAGGTGGTCGAGGCTGCAGTGAGTCAAGATGGCACCACTGCACTCCGGGGGTGAGAGTGAGACTCTGTCTCAAAAATAAATAAATAAATAGGCTTTAACATTTAGTATGCTTATAAACAAAATCTTTGGGGCCTGGCACGGTGGCTCACATCTATAATCCCAGCACTTTGGGAGGCCGAGGCACGTGGATCACTTGAGGTCAGGAGTTCGAGATGAGCCTGGCTAACATAGTGAAGCTCCATCTCTACTAATAATAGAAAAAATTGGGCTGGGTGCGGTGGCTCACGCCTATAATCCCAGCACTTTGGGAGGCCAAAGTGGGCGGATCACGAGGTCAGGAGTTCGAGACCAGCCTGGCCAATATGGTGAAACCCTGTGTCTACTAAAAATATAAAAATTAGCTGGGCGTGGTGGCACTCGCCTGTAGTCCCAGCTACTAGGGAGGCTGAGGCAGAAGAATCGCATGAACCTGGGAGGCAGAGGTTGCAGTGAGCCAATACCGGCCACTGCACTCCAGCCTGGGTGACAGAGTGAAATTGTGTCTCAAAAAAAAATAAATCATTGGGATAAAATGTTAAATAAAACATATGTAAAATTATATATGCAGCATGATTTCAGTTACAGTCATGCATCAGTTAAGGACAGAGATAGGTTCTGACAAATCCATTTGGTGATTTTGTTGTTGTACAAACCCAAACCTACTACACAGTAAAGCCAGCTACACACCTAGGCTATGTGGTGTGGCCCGTTGCTTCTAGGCTACATACCTGTACAGCATGTTACAATACTGAATACCGCAGGCAATTTTAAGACATTTACCTACATGTATCTAAACATAGAAAAGACACTAAAAATATGGTGTAAAAGATTTTTTAAAAGGTACACCTGTCTAGGACAGCTTTGTTATAAGATTATGGGGCCACCATGATATATATGGTTCATCATTGACTGAAACATTGTTATGTGGTGCATAACTATATTAAAAAATGAAAAAAGGAAAAAGCTATATATGGAAAATGAGACTAGGGCCAGGCTCAGTGGCTTATGCTTGTAATCCCAGTGCTTTGGGAGGCCAAGGCAGGAGGATCCCTTGAGGACAGGAGTTCAAGGCCAGCCTGGGCAACATAGCAAGGCCTCATCTCTACCAAAAAAAAAAAGTTAGCCGGGCATGGTGATGCGTGCCTGTAGTCCTAGGTACTGGAGTTCAAGGTTGGAGCAAGTTATGATATCACCACTGCACTGCAGCCTGGGCAACAGAGCGAGACCCTGTCTCCAAAAAAAAAAAAAAAAGAAAGAAAAGAAAATGAGACTAGAAAGAAATTAATTTGGACAGTAGGACTTACTTTTCTTCTTCCTTTTTTCAAATATTTTTCAAATTTTATTTACTAAGAATGTTTTAAAACAAAACAAATTTTTAAAAAATTAAAAGCAGAAGACACTAAAAGGCTTTGTGAATTAGTGTAAAATTTGACAGAAATGAAATTGAACACAAGAACTAAAGAAATTTTAAAAATAAGTTTTAGGCCGGGAGAGGTGGCTCATGCCTGTAATTCCAGCACTTTGGGAGGCCGAGGCGGGCGGTTCACCTGAGGATCCCAGCTACTCGGCAGGCTGAGTCATGAGAATCTCTTGAACCGGGGAGGAGGAGGTTGCAGTGAGCCGAGATCACGCCCTTGCACTCCAGCCTGGGCAACAGAGTGAGGCTCGGTCTCAAAATAAATAGTTTTAAAATTTGTGTTATGTTTCTTTTCACTGGTGAAACAAGATGTAGCTTAGGAAAAATAATATCTTTGCTTTTGTACTGCATAAAGGAATAATTTTTTAATGTTAAATATAGTGTATTAATGGAACTCCAGTCTAGGTGACAGAGTGAGACCTGAGACCCTGTCTCCAAAAACAAAAACACAACAAAACGTGTGAGCAAACTAGGAATAGAAGAGAACTTCTTAACCTAATAAATGTCAGCTATAAAAAACATAGCTAACATCATACTTAATGATGAAAGACAATGCTTTCCTTATAAAATCAGGAAAAAGAAAAGATTGCCACTCACAACCGCCAACGTTTTATTGCAGGTCCTAACCAGTGCAACAAGGCAAGAAAAAAGATATAAAATACAAAAATTGGAAAGATAAAAGTAACCATTCTTAGGTGACATATTTGCTTACATAGAAAATACTAGGGAATGAACAAAAAAACTGCTAGAACTAATAAGTTTAGTAAGTTATGAGGATATAAGGTAAATTTACAAAAACTTTATTTCTATATATTAACAGCAAACAATTGAAAACAATGACAATTTTAAAAAACAGTTGCATTTACCATAGCATCAAAAGGCATACTTACTTAGGAAAACAGTTAACAAAAAATGTGCAGAACCTTTGCACCAAAAACTACAACATATTTTCAAGAGGAATTTTAAAAGCTAGCATAACAAAACCCCATCTCTACTAATAATAGAATAAACAAGGTGTGCTGGCACATGCCTGTAATCCCAGCTACTTGGGAGGTTGAGGCACGAGAATAGCTTGAACCTGGGAAGTGGAGGCTGCAGTGACCCGAGATTGTGCCACAGTACTCCAGTCTGGGTGACAAAGCAAGATTCCATCTCCAAAAAAAAAAAAAAAAGACAAGTCTCACCCTGTCTTCCCAGACTGGAGTGCAGTAGCATGATCATAGCTCAGTGCAGTCTCAAACTCCTGGGCTCAAGTGATTCTTCTTCCTCAGCCTCCTAAGTAGCTGGGATTATAGACACCACGCCCAGCTAATTTTTTT
The DNA here is from genome assembly GCF_000001405.40 of Homo sapiens. Classification (NCBI taxonomy): domain Eukaryota; kingdom Metazoa; phylum Chordata; class Mammalia; order Primates; family Hominidae; genus Homo; species Homo sapiens. Next base: position 89,110,962 of record NC_000006.12, on the reverse strand, counting down.
TTATTTTTTGTAGAGATGGGGGTCTCACTATGTTGCTCAGGCTGATCTTGAACTCCTGGGCTCAAGTAGTCCTCCCACCTTGGCCTCCCAAACTGCTGGTATTGCAGGTATCAGCCACCATGCCTGGGCAACAGTGGGAATTCTAACACATGTTTTTGGAAATGTAAGTTGGTTGGGCCACTCTGAAGAACATGTAGTGAAGCTAAGGTAGGCATACCCTCCAGCCTACCAATTTCTTTGCTAGTGATACTGAAGCAGGAGAATAGGGTCTGGAGGCAGGGAACCTAAGGCCGATTCACAGTGACTTCCTAGAACTGAATCAAAAGGAGAACTCCACCTCTCTACACCCAAGTAACAAAAGGATCAGAGGCTACTCCCTTTGCACTGTATTACAGATAAAAAATGGAAAGTACCTCTGACTGGTCCCCTCCTACAACCAATCAGACTGGTCCCAGGCCAAGTCTTCATGTGTAACTTTGTAGCTTTGCTTCAGCCTCTAATTGGTCGCCTCCCTCCACCAGACTGGTGGTGGGCCAAGTCTTCATTTACATAGGGTGTAACCGAGTAACCAGTGGGAAACCTTAGAGGGTATTTAAACCCTAGAAAATTCTGTAACCAATGCACTTGAGTGGCTTGCTTGAGCCTGCTCCCACTCTGTGGAGTATCTTTTCATTTCAATAAATCTGTGCTTTCATTGCTTCATTTTTTCATTGCTTTGTGCATTTTGTCCAATTCTTTGTTAAAAATGCCAAGAACCTGGAGGACTCATAGGCAAGACCCTCCATTGGTAACAGAAGGATATAATATTTCTTTAAAAATACTGAAAATTATGGCAAGTATGTCAAATACGGAGAAAATAATTTTTTTTTTTTGAGACAGAGTCTTGCTCTGTTGCCCAGGCTGGAGTGCAGTGGCATGATCTTGGCTCACTGCAAGCTCCGCCTCCTGGGTTCACACCATTCTCCTGCCTCAGCCTCCTGAGTAGCTGGGACTACAGGCGCCCGCCACCACGCCCAGTTAATTTTTTGTATTTTTAGTAGAGATGGGGTTTCACCCTCTTAGCCAAGATGGTCTCGATCTCCTGACCTCGTAATCCGCCCACCTCGGCCTCCCAAAGTGCTGGGATTACAAGCGTGAGCCACCGCGCCCGGCCAGAAAATAAATCTTGTTGGTAGATACATGGGTGTTTATTATTCTCTGTACTTTTTTGAATATTGAAGTAGATCATACCAAAAGTGCAAAAATAAAACAACAGCTAACAGGTGAGGGAGTGGAGACAGTGAATGGGAATTGGCTCTTTTGAAAAGACCTGTTCCATCTGACTCCCATCACCCTTGGCTTCCAGACTCCAGACCTCTGTGGCACACAGTGCTGCAGCCTCCTCTTTTATATTATCTATGATCCCTTTCCTCTTAGCCACTACATTTGGTTGATGGGATTGGTTGTCTCAGAAGACCTTCATTTGAATCCTAGCTCTACTACTGGCTGTGTAGATCTCTGGGCAAGGTAACTTCTCTCACCCTCAGTCTCCTTAACTCTTAAATGGTAACAGTAATGTATTCTTTTTTCATTGATAGGCAAATATATATTGAGTACCTACTGTGTGCCCAGCAGCTACATTAGGTACAGAGATATGCTGGTGAAGACACCTGCTTTAGCAGTGATTCTTAACCTTCAGTCTCAGAATTGCCTGTGAAGTCCTGAAAAAATTAAACATAACTGGGCCTCACTATGGAAAACACTAATTAGGTCCAGAATTAATGCATCGGGTTGGGGTGCCTCTGTCTGTAACATCCCTTCACAGATGATTACAGTACTCAGGAGAGGTTGAGAATCTTTATGCCAGTCTATGGTCTGTGGGAGCAGGAATTGTGTTTTTCTTGTTTCTCATTATATTCCTAGAGCCTGGCACATGGTAGGTGCTCAATAAGTATTTGCTTAATTCTGAATAAGTAAAAGAAAAAAGACATTGTCACTGTCCTCAGAAACTAATAGTAAAACATGTTCTATGAGTGTTAAATGAAATAAAGTATGTCATAATGTTGACTGAGCTACTGGCAAAAAGTAGATGCTTAGTCAATTTTTGTTGAATCTTATATGTAATTTCTAAATCCCCATCTCTAGCCTTAGTCACTGGCTTCTAATAATTATATTAATACACACTAATTAATATGCATATAATCACAATTTTCTGTTGCTTATAGAACTCTTATCAGTGTTCTACCATCACCTCAAATACTGCATTTCTAAACCTGAAAGTTGCTTCTTTTGCCTCTTTTCTTCCTCCTTGATCTAGCTCTCTTCTAATTTTTGTCACTGACACCATCTTTTTTCCATTTGTCCAAGCTAGAAGCTTCTTAGTCATCTTTGAATCTTTATTTCTCCCGAGCCACATTTTATGATCATAGCTTGATGCTGAATCCCTATGATAGCACCATGAAGCAGTAGGGTGTAGTGGTTAAGATGGACCAGTATGAGACTGAAAATTTGATTTCTAGCTTTGTCACTTGCTGGCTCAGTGAGCTTAGATAGGTTACTCTGTCTGTATCACCTGTAATCTGCCTGTATTACCTGTAAATAACCTGAAATTCTGTCTGTATCACCCATAATCTGTCTGTATCATCTGTAAATAACCACAGGGAAATTGTAAGAATTAAGTGGTTGTAAGGTGAACACTGGCTAACATATAAATGCACTGTAACTGTTAGCTATTATTGCTAAATATTTTGTCTCTTCAGTTAAATTGTAGCTCCATGAAGATGAATATCATGCTGTTTCTTTTTTTTGGTACCCCTTCTGAAGCACCTAATCGCACTAGAAGGCACATAAGCAGGCTCGAAATACCTGTCAGATTTGGGAATACAGTAGTTACTTTGTTTTATGTTTAATATTAAAACATCCATTTTTCTTTAAAGCCTGATAAATAATTTTAGGACTTCTTTAGAATCTAATTCTTGCTATCTGAAAACAAGATTAACATAAACATGAAATTAAAGTGAAGCAAAATGAATGTGTTCTTAGTGAAACAATTACTTATTAGGTCTTATAATAACTTTCAGAGGTGGATATGCTGGGTCAGTGTTTCTGGAAATTAAGCATAACAACCACCTGGAGTGCTTGTAAAGATACAGATTTCCAGCCTCTAATCCATACTTCCTGAATCAGAACCTCCAAGAGAGGTCTGAGAATCTAGGGAGGTTTTTTTCGTGTTTTCTTTTTTTTTGAGACAGGGTCTCACTCTGTCACCCAGGCTGGATGGAGTGCAGTGGTGTGATCTTGGCTCACTGCAGCCTCAACCTCCCCATGCTCACTCAGGTGATTCTCCCGCCTCAGCCTCCCGAGTAGCTGGGACTACAGGCACACGCTACCACACCTGGCTGATTTTTGTATTTTTTTGTAGAGACGGGGTTTCACCATGTTGCCCAGGCTGGTCTTGAACTCCTGGGTTCAAGTGATCCACATACCTTGGTCCCCCAAAGTGCTGGGATTACAGGTGTGAGCCACCACACCTGGCCTGAGAATGTTTTTTTCCTTTCTTTTTTCCCTTTCTTTCAAAACCTTGCATGATTCTTACAAAAAACAATTTTAGATAATGCTGGTCTAGATGATGTTCTTTCTTTTGAAGGTTTCAAGTGGATTTCTGTAGGCAAAATATTTTAATCCAGCTATTCATATTTCTTTGCCTTATTTCTAAAACACTTCAGGCCTGAGGACTTGCGCCGTGAGTTTGGTCGATATGGCCCTATAGTAGACGTTTACATTCCACTTGACTTCTACACTCGCCGCCCAAGAGGATTTGCTTATGTTCAATATCCTTTATTTTATTGTGTGCATGTGAATATACTGTATATGCGTGCTTATACATATATGTATTCAGTAGCATATGTTATGAGATTAATATTGCCTAATTAAATGTGTTTATTTCTTTATCTCAGAAGATCTAAAGCAGTCCACAGTAGCTGGCAAGCACCCCCCAGTTTGAACCAACCTGTTAGCTAGAATCCAAGCATAAACCCAGCAGGCGAGACAAAAGGCACCTAAAGTTCAAGCATCAAGGAGTAAAGAGGGAGGGTGGACACAGATATAAAGACCTGGAAGAGGGGAAGTCTTTATCAAGCAAAAGACAAAGCCAACACCAGGTTGAGACTTCGGCTTTCCTACATTTACTCAGAGTTCCAGAGTCAAAGCCAAGTCTGATTTTGTTGGTTCTGCGTCTCTTATAAAGTCCATCTTGCAAGCCTTAAAGAGTAAAGGTCAAGGTTCAAGATCAAGTGACATTGAGGTAATTGCCAGTCTCGTTTTATATTGTGTATCTTGAGCTTTTTCTGTTTGTTATTTTTTTAATTAAACCAGTGAACAACCTCCTAAAAAAAGTTACTTATTTTTATATAGCTAATTTCCATTATAGCTAGGTTTAATATTATATAATTTATATACATAAGGAAGTTTAGTGGGATATTACAAACCAGTATATGTAATTCCAGATATTTACAGATTGCTTTTATGTTTCTTTTATATTTATATCCCAAGTAGTAAAAACATAAATGTTTGGCTGGGTGCGGTGGCTCATGCCTGTAATCCCAGCACTTTGGGAGGCTGAGGCGGGTGGATCACCTCAGGTCAGGAGTTTGAGACCAGCCTGACCAACATGGTGAAACCCCGTGTCTACTAAAAATACAAAAATTAGCCGGGTGTGGTGCCGGGCACCTGTAGTCCCAGCTACTTGGAAGGCTGAGGCGGGAGAATCTCTTGAACCTGGGCTTACAGTGAGCTGAGATCGCGCCATTGCACTCCAGCCTGGGTGACAAGAGGGAAACTCCATCTCAAAAACAGAAAAAAACATAAACATTTAAAGTGGTAGGTTCAAAAGTAGATACCATTTTTAAAGCACTAAATCCGGTTTTGTTTTAACTCACTTGTATATGTGCAGTTTTGTTTATAAGTAATCTCTCTTAAATGTCAAATTTAAAATTAAGCCTTTTAATGAAAGAGTAATTTTAATTTCAGAATAAAGGCTTCTGCATGCTGATATTCAGTGAAAAATCTGATGGATCCTTTATCTGAAAGAAGGGAGTGAGTCCTAAACAGTTTGTAATTTTATAATGCTAGCCAAATTTGGACTTTTTTTTTGTTTTTCTTGTTTTCAAATTATACATGCATACTGCAGCCACACTATTGTAGACACTAAAAGTACAGTTACATGTTTGTTTTGTTCTTTTTATTTTTAGACTCACTCTTCTAAACATAATGGGTCATTTGTTTTCATGAGAAAAAGTGAAAGTTTTTTTTCTGATTATTCATATTATATTGAAGATGTGAGCTTAATAACTTGAACTTGATTTTCCTATTAATTTCATTTCACATGTAAATAATGCTTTTAAAATATGTTTACTTGATATCTCATGTTCAAAGTGTCCTTAACAGCTAGTCATATTTGAAGATGTTCGAGATGCTGAAGATGCTCTTTATAACCTCAATAGAAAGTGGGTATGTGGCCGTCAGATTGAAATACAGTTTGCACAAGGTGATCGCAAAAGTAAGTGTGACTGAATGCTAGATTTTATTTATTCAGCAGAATGAGTTTCAGTGATGACTGATTTTTTAATTTAAAATTCTTTCAGTAAATGATTGCTAGTTGAGTGGTTGTTACTGTGGTGTTCAGGTAACGAATTATGTCATAAGTCTTGTTCTTTATGTTCCAGCACCAGGCCAAATGAAATCAAAAGAACGTCATCCTTGTTCTCCAAGTGATCACAGGAGATCAAGAAGCCCCAGCCAAAGAAGAACTCGAAGTAGAAGTTCTTCATGGGGAAGAAATAGGAGGCGGTCAGACAGCCTTAAAGAGTGAGTATAAGAGGACTGAAAATTTCATTTTCTACTTTTTCTGGGAAATAGATATATATTTTTTTGATAGGGTCTCATTGTTTCCCAGGCTGGAGTGCAGTAGTGTGCGATCATGGCCCACTGTAGACTTGACCTCCTAGACTCAAGCAATTTTCTCACCTCAGCCTCCCAAGTAGCGGGTACTACAGGTGTGCACCACCACACTGGGCTAATTTTTTTAATTTTTTGTAGAGATTGGAGGTCTCGCTATGTTGCCCAGGCTGGTCTTAAATTCCTGGGCTCAAGTGTTCCTCCCACCTCAGGCTCCCAAAGTGCTAGGATTACAGGTGTGAGCCACTGCACCCAGCCTGGAAAATATTTTAAAGTTTTTATAAACAGTCCACCTTAGTCATTTTGCTTAATGTACAAACATAATCAATTTTTGTTAAAAGATAACACTCTTCTCTATTTATCATATATTGTTATTTAACTTGGGTTTATGGGATTAATTCTTCTGTTAAAGTTACAGACTTAACTTTATCTTTTTACATGAGAAGATAATATATAGTGAGCAGAAAAAAAAAGTAAAAAAAAATACATACTCAGCCGCGTGCAGTGGCTCACACTTATGATCCCAGCACTTTGAGAGGCTGAGGTGGGCAGATCTCGAGGTCAGGAGTTCAAGACCAAACTGACCAACATGATGAAACCCCGCCTCTACTAAAAATACAAAAATTAGCTGGGTGTGGTAGCCACGCACCTGTAATCCCAGCTACTCAGGAGGTTGAGGCAGGAGAATCACTTGAACCTGGGAGGCGGAGGTTGCAGTGAGCTGAGATCACGCCATTGCACTCCAGCCTGAGCGACAGAGCGAGACTCCGTCTCAAAACAAAAAGCAAAAAAAAAAAAAAAAAAAGGTGATGAGTTTTAGATAAATAAAATTTTCCTAAATGTGCCCAACAGTTTGTAATCTTCAACTTTAAAAATGTTTAAATGTGTAAGAAATACAATAAAATGTCCAGGTGCCATAATCTCAGCACTTTGGGAGGCTGAGGTGGGAGTATCACTTGAGGCCAGGAGTTTGAGACTAGCCTGGCCAACATGGTGAGACTCCGTCTCTCCAAAAAAAAAAAAAAAAAAAAAAAAAAGAAATATAATAAAATCCCTTGTGAAAGGTGGTTGACTAAAGTTAATGTAAATCAATTTACTTATAAAAGATAAGTTATCAAGAATAAATTCCAAGTATGGCAGTATTGAAGAAGACATATTAAATAGTAATTTGGGGGCAGGGGAAAAGATATTTTCAAGTTATTTATTTTGCTAGCCAGGAGTTTATTTCTATTAGAATAATAGTGAATCACAACAGAAATTAATTATATGGACCAGGTGCAGTGGCTCACGCCTGTAATCCCAGCACTTTGGGAGGCCAAGGCGGGTGGATTACTTGAGGTCAGGAGTTCAAGACCATCCTGAGCAATATGGTGAAATCCTGTCTCTACTAAAAATTCAGGCCAGGCGCAGTGGCTTACGCCTGTAATCCCAGCACTTTGGGAGGCCAGGGCGGGGGCGGATCACCTGAGGTCAGGAGTTCGAGACCAGTCTGGCCAACATGGCGAAACCCCGTGTCTACTAAAAATACAAAAATTAGGTGGGTGTGGTGGCACAGGCCTGTAATCCCAGCTACTTGGGAGGCTGAGGCAGGAGAATCGCTTGAACCTGGGAGGCAGAGGTTGCAGTGAGCTGAGATCACGCCACTGCTCTCCAGCCTGGGTGACAAAGCGAGACTCTGTCTCAAAAAAAAAAAAAAAGAATTTAAATTGATTGTTTCTAAATGCATTACAGCCTTAGTGAACCAGTTTTTTTCTCTTGCTTGATTTAAATAAGGTGGATATTCACATCATTTTCTGCCTTCTAGTGGAAGTAAAGTATAATACTTGACTGTCTCAAATCATCCTGGAGTATCAGGGATGGAAGGACCACATCTTTCAGGGCAATGCTATTCTGCTTTGTACTTGTTATAAGACCATTGCTTAACCTCCCTGACACCAGTTTTTCTCATTTTAAAAACTGTCTTATGGCCAGGTGCAGTGGCTCACACCTGTGATCCCAGCACTCTGGGAGGCCAGGGTGAGATCACTTGAGTCCAGGAATTTGAGAGACCAGCCTGGGCAACATAGTGAGACCCCCATGTCTACAAAAACTAAAAAAAATTAGCCACGTGTGGTGGCACACACCTGTTCCAGCTACTGGGAGGGAGGGAGAGGGTGGACTGAGGTGTGAGGACTCCTTGAGCCCAGTAGGTCAAGGCTGCAGTGAGCCATGATTGCACCACTGCACTCCAACCTGGGCAACAGAGGAAGACTCTGTCTCACAACAAATAAATAAATAAATTATTAAAATGTAAAAAAAGGTATTCTGTAAATCTTTGTTAACTTTATATCAAGGAATGTGTATGTTAGAACTCTAAATGTTCCTGAACAGTGTTAAAATTGCTCCTCAACTCCCTTTTCTTTAGTCCAAATATATTATAGCGTCCTTCTTTTACTATGTTAGGATTTTTTTTCAAGGACATTTTCTTCATTTTGCTTCCTACAGCTGTCTACAAAATGAATGAAATTTAATAATTTCTAAAAGACTGTGAATTTATTCCAGAATATATTCTACATCAATGTATTTTCAGTATAAATATATAATAAAAAATTCAAGAGAGGCCAGGTGCAGTGGCTCATGCCTGTCATCTCAGCACTTTGGGAGGCTGAGGCAGGTGACTTGAGGTCAGACATGCCTGGCCAACATGGCGAAACCCCATCTCTACTAAAAATACAAAAATTAGCCAGGTATGGTGGCACGTGCCTGTAATCCCAGCTACTTGGGAGGTTGAGGCAGGAGAATCGCTTGAACCCGGGAGACAGAGGTTGCAGTGAGCCAAGCTCGCCCCACTGCACTCCAGCCTGAGTGACAGAGCAAGACTCTGTCTCAGAAACAAACAAACAAAACCAAAAATTGAAGAGGCTCTACATGGTGTTATCATTCTCCAAAGAAAGCTTTTTAAATTTCTTCATCTAGTTCAATGTTACTATCTAGTATCATTTTTCTTCAGTCTAAAGAATATTTAGTATTTCTTTTTTTCCTCTTTCAGCTCACCGAGAAGTACCAGGGCAGTGAATATTTAGTATTTCTTATAGTACACATCTGCTGATAGTGAATTATCTCAGCTTTTGTCTGAAAACATCTTTATTTAAAATTCATTTGTGAGAAATATTTTTGCTGAGGATAGAATTCTATATTGGCAGTGATTTTATTTTTCTCTTTAAAAATGTCATTCCATTGTTTTTCTGATACCCATAGTGAGTTGTCAGTCTTGTGGTTGCTCCTTTGAAAGAAATTTGTCTTTCATTCTCTGGCAAGGTTTTCAGATTTATTTTTATTTTTATTTTTTTTTGAGACAGAGTCTCACTCTGTCACCTGGGCTGGAGTGCAGTGGCACAATCTCGGCTCACTACAACCTCCGCCTCCCAGATTCAAGCGATTCTCCTGCCTCAGCCTCCCGCCACCACACCCAGCTAATTTTTGTATTTTTAGTAGAGGCGGAGTTTCTCCATGTTGGCCAGGCTGGTCTGGAACTCCTGACCTCAGGTGATCCACCTGCCTCAGCCTCCCAAAGTGCTGGGATGACAGGCATGAGCCACCGCACCCGGCCGGTTTTCAGATTTTTTCTTTGACTTTGGTTTTCATCAGTTTCACTGTGATGTGCCCAGTGTAGTTTTCTTTGCCTATGTGGGGTTTATTGAGCTTTTTGAAATTGTGAGTTAATGCTTTTTGTTAGTTTTGTAAAATTCTATGCTATTATCTCTTCAAATATTGCTTCTGCCTTATTCAGTCTTTCCTCTGGCTTGTGTGACTGTATGCTATACATCTGCTGTGTTCTTTTAGGGATTTCTTAAAATTCCTTTTCTCACACTGTATTTCGGTAGGATGTTTTTCTAATGATCTTTTAGTTAACTATTTCTTTTCTTTTTTTTTTTTTTTTGTCTTGGAGGTTTTCTCTTGTTGCCCAGGTTGGGGTGCAATGGCACGATCTTGGCTCACTGCAACCTCTGCCTCCCAGGTTCAAGTGATTGATTCTCTTGCCTCAGCCTCCTAAGTAGCTGGGATTATAGGCATGCACCACCATGCCAGGCTAATTTTTGTATTTTTAGTAGAGATGGGGTTTCACCATGTTAGTCAGGCTGGTCTTGAACTCCTGACCTCAGGTGATCCACTCGCCTTGGCCTCCCAAAGTGGGATTACAGGCATGAGCCACTGCACCCAGTCTAGTTCATTATTTCTTCTGCTATATCTAGATTGCTGTTAAGACCATCTAATGACTTTTTAATTTCAGATATCATATATTTTTAGTTTTAAATGTCTATTTGTTTCTTTTTATAGATTGTAGTTTTCCACTGAACGATCTTTTTATCTGTTTTGTCTTTTCCTCTTATTTTCTTAAATATATTACTCATAGTAATTTTTTAAATTCCTGTTTGATGATGCCAATATCCAAATCACTTTGGGAATGATTCTTTGCCTTTTATTTTCCTTAGTTTTTAGTTATTCTTGCCTGTTTTTTTTTTTTTTAACATAACATGTGGACATGGACAAAAAATTATAGAGGCTCTGCATGACATTATCATTCTCCAAAGACAGTTTTCTTCTGGTAGACAGAGTACTGGCAGATCACTTTGATCTTAAGGCTTGGTTTTGGGTGTTGTTAAAGCTGCTTGTTTTGGCTTTGAATTTATTCCTAGGGCATGGCCCTTACCTCTAGATTGTAGCCCTTCTGGGTTGTTACCTAATGTTCCTCATTGACCTTTTGGGAGTTTGAACTCTAATCTCTCTCTCAGCACTGTGTGTCTGATAAAAATTTCAGCGCAGTTCTTGAATTTCTGAATTCCGGTTTTTTGCTGGTCCCTTGGAATCTCTTCCATACACACACAACTTAGAAGATGGCCAGTGATTTAAGGATAATTTGTAGGCAAATTTTAGAGGTACTTTTTGGTCTCTAATTCACTCTTCTCTAGAGTTTTTGCCTCTCGTGTCCCACCCATTTTGGTAGCCCTGAATTAACTTTTCTCTCTTCAGCTTAGTCAAATAGCCATTTTCTGGTTGGGCTCAACTCCTCCATGCTGTCATTTGAAAAATGGTCTTAGTAAAAGAGCCAAGGCTTGTAATCCCTCAGGTTCTTCCTGCTTGTGTTGATTATCCTCCAGTGCCTTCGAACAGTTGTTTTATAAATGTTGTGTAGCTTTTCAATATAGTTGTTTTCGGCTGGGTGTGGTAGCTCACGCCTGTAATCCCAGCACTTTAGGAGGCCGAGGCAGGGGGATAACCTGAGGTCGGGAGATTGAGACCAGCCTGACCAACATGGAGAAATCCCATCTCTACTGAAAATACAAAGTTAGCTGGGCGTGGTGGCGCATGCCTGTAATCCCAGCTACTCTGGAGGCTGAGAGAGAAGAATTGCTCAAACCTGGGAGGCGGAGGTTGCGGTGAGCTGAGATCGTGCCATTGCACTCTAGCCTGGGCAACAAGAGCGAAACTCCGTCTCAAAAAAAAAAAAAACATGTATGTGTGTGTGTGTGTGTATATATATATACACACATATATATATACACACACATATATATATACACACACATATATACACACATATATATGTGTATATATATACACACATATATATATGTATATATATATGGAGAGAGAGAGAGAGAGCTGTTTTCTATGGGAAGATTAGTCTAATACAAGCTGTTCTGTCATGGCAGGACCCAAAAGTCCTACATCTAGATTTTTATTTTTATAAGCATTATTTGAACTGTAAATAATTGATTTTTTTAATCTTTTTTTCTTCAGATTTTTGTACCTCTTAAGAGCTGTATAACTCAGACCAAATATGCAGTGTATTTTTCAGAACTGATCCCTATATGTCTAGCAAAGTAAAAATTTTTGGCCATATATTCTAGTATAACAAATATTACAAACTTGTTACTTATGTTTGAACCAAAAGCATGCATAATAAAATGAGAAATTTTTTTAGCTTATCTAGTAAAAATATAACTAATGTTATGTAAAGTATGTAAGTTCCTGAAAGTGTTATTTCCTGATCTCTTATTTTGTGTGAAATATATGCTCTAACATTATGGATGTTTGCAGGTCTCGACACAGGCGATTTTCTTATAGCCAGTCTAAATCTCGTTCCAAATCATTACCAAGGCGGTCTACCTCAGCAAGGCAGTCAAGAACTCCAAGAAGGAATTTTGGCTCTAGAGGACGGTCAAGGTCCAAGTCCTTACAAAAGAGGTCCAAGTCAATAGGAAAATCACAGTCAAGTTCACCTCAAAAGCAGACTAGCTCAGGAACAAAATCAAGATCACATGGAAGACATTCTGACTCAATAGCAAGATCCCCGTGTAAATCTCCCAAAGGGTATACCAATTCTGAAACTAAAGTACAAACAGCAAAGCATTCTCATTTTCGGTCACATTCCAGATCTCGAAGTTATCGTCATAAAAACAGTTGGTGAACAGCAACAGAAAGAGCACCACGCCGTCTTTAATATAAGTTATTAAACTCTCATTATGTTAAATAAAAATTCTTTAAGGCATACAGAAAATGCGAGTTGATATTAGTTACTTTGGGCATATGGAAGAAATAAAATCTCTAGCTTTGGATTAATAAAAATTTGGTCTCCATTTAAAGGGCCCACACTACAAATTATGATTTGTCTAATGTCACCATTTTATGGACCATTTTTTATTTACATTGTGGCAGAAGGGTACTTTTCAAGGGAAATGAGTAAACTGGAACTAATTTTTAAAATTCTACTTGCATAGTATTAGTACTATTAATAATACCTTTTACACAAATATTTTTGACTTTAAAGCACTTTCATGTAAAAAGTAACTATGACTGTATAATTGCATAGAGCAGACTTAAGCTGTTTGACACCTATGTCTCTTTTGTGTCTTCTGTTTAAACTTGGGCCAATTCCTGGTGGATATTAGTTCATATTACAAAATTCTGATGTTCCAAAAAGTAGAATATATATAGAGATCAAACATTCAAAAGATACATTCTCTCCTAAGCTCAAAGGTTATATTTTTATTGGGTAGAACAGTATAGGTAAGTTGACATGAAATTGCATCCTGCACCATGACCACATTAGTAATATCAGAACTTTTGAGAAATACTGGATTTTGAATGGTTTGAGACTAATTCTTTAAAAATTAGGCTGAGCAACACTCACAATCCAAAAATATTCATATTAAGACTTACACATTTGAAGAATGGTACATTTTGTATAAAATCATATTTGATACCATTATTTCCACATACCTACTTTTCATCTGTTGCTTAATTTTTTCTTTTTAGAGTTCTTGCTCAACTTTATATGGAACAAGTCTTATTATTTTTGAAAGAGTGTTTAGTACCTTGTATTAAGAAACTTGGCCAAGCGTGGTGGTTCACTCCTGTAATCCCAGCACTTTGGGAGGTCGAGGCGGGCAGATTGCTTGAGGCCAGGAGATTGAGACCAGCCTGGGCAACATGGTGAAATCCTGTCTCTAAAATTTAAAAAAAAGAAGAAGAAGAAACTCGAGACTACATCTTCAAAAAACAACTTTGCAGTATTTGAATTTTACATTATACTGCCCTTCATTTCTGACAGCCAAATAACTTTATTGATATTTATTGCTTTTGTAGTTGTTATAACTAATAATTTCTTTGAAAATGTGTTGTAGTTTATGTTTTTCAAAGGGTTTTGGTAGTGTTTGTGATAGAATGGTTTTGCATATGATTATTATAGGGGATATATTTATAGAGCTCTACTTGTATACTTTGTGACTTACATTATGAAAACTTCAAAGTTCTCAATCCATACAGTTAGTATTTGTATCCAGAGTGTTTAAGAAAAAAATCTGTCTTATATTTTTAGTATATAGGAGCCAGTGTTGCTTCTATTTGTTTTGAATACAAATTCCAGTTTTCTTTGCATATTAGATCCCATATGTAAGAAACAACCTTAAACAATAATTTGTATGCTGGTAATATTTGGACAAGTGCCATAAATTAATGTATATTGTACTTTCTGAATAGATTTTCTCTAATCATAGCAAAATTTATTTCAAAACTACAACTCTTTGAATTATTCCGCTATAATAAAATTTAGTTATAAAATTATGTGGCACTACTGAAAATCTAAAGGATAATCTGAAGAATGAGTAAGACAGATATTGATAGAAATTTTTAGTATTTTCAGAATGTTTGGGTTCATACACATAAGTGAAATCATTTTAAAAACTAGGGGCTGGGCACAGTGGCTCACACCAGTAATCCTAGCACTTTGGGAGGCCAAGGCAGGAGGATTGCTTGAGCCCAGGAGTTTGAGACCAGCCTGGGCAACATAGCAAGACCCCTTTATCTATAAAAATAATAATAACTAGGTACCATTGTGAAAAATAATAACTAGGGATTGATTATAGTATCTTTACTCTGTATTCACAAATCTCTGTATTCCTGAACATATTTAATCCTTTGATTTACCTCTGACTAGGTTTGTCATTGTAATCCCTGGGCTGCTTAGGAGGATACCATTTGGTTTGATGAAAAAGCTGGAATGATAATAGCTCAAACTCTTTTGAGCATTTAGTACATGCTTGGCACTGTTCTATATGTCTTAAGTTATTCACTCTTGTATTTAACCATCAACACTCTTATGAGGTAAATATCCCGCAATTACTTTTGCGCCAACCTAGTACCACTACAGACAAGGAAACAGATGCAGAGAGGCTAAGTTACAAGGGCACACAGCCATAAACTTTGGATCTGTGGAGTGACTGGGCTTCAGAGTCCTCTTCCTGACTGCTGTTCCTATGTCTTTTGCAAAGAGAAGTCTTTGACAGGTATATGCTTTATTAAAATCATGTTTAGAAAGAAATGAGAGAATAGAATTAGAAAAAGGAATGACTGTAGGCTTCGATGAAAATGACTTTTGTGACTAGGTGAAAATTGTTTGGCTGGGTATCCTGGAAAATTGTCTTCTGGGAATATCTATATTCCAGGGTTCACTTTTGTCATAGAATTGTTTCTTGGCCCATTTAAGAGAGATACTTTGTTTATTAATAAATCAAACGTTTTAATTTTAGACATCTGTGATCAGTTCTTTTAAAGAGACTATATTTATTTAAGTACTTCCCAAGTTTAGTGCAGGGGTACTACCTACCATTTATTCAGGATCATAGAGGATAAGTTAGGGTCAAAGAAAATAGAGACTGCCATGACAGCGGCTTGCTTGCTTTCTCCCCAGGAATAATGCACAAATAATTTATAGCAGCTGATATTTTTCGGTGTTAACAGATAATAGGGGAATTTGCTGAAATTTTTATTTGGAGCCTCGGATTTAATTTTAGGCCACTGGGCTAATTTATTTTTAAATGTAAATTAATTCCAGTACTTTATTTGTAAAGTTTACTTGAGATCTAACTGTTCTAAGACATGCTGTTGCATTACAAATAAGAATTGCTGCATTTATTTTGATCCCATTGCCAGAGGCAAAATTAGTCAAAATTTAAAGGTATGTAGAAATACTTTTGTAATCCTTCTAAACTACATTAAATTTCTGGCTGACTGGTGGCTCACACCTGCAGTCTCAGCACTTTGGGAGGCTGAGGTTGGCAGATCAACATGGTGAAAGCAGGTCTCTACTAAAAAATACCAAAAAAAATTAGCCGGGCGTGGTGGCGCATGCTACTCAGGAGGCTGAGGCGCGAGAATCTCTTGAACCTGGAAGGTGGAGTTTGCAGAGAGCCGAGATGGTGTCACTATACTCAAGCCTGGGCTACAGAGTAAGACACTGTCTCAAAAATAAATAAAATTATAATTTCTTAGATTTAAAAATTAGATTTGTTTTCCAAAGACAGGGTAGTAGAATATGTAGGGTACTTGTATAGATAGATATATGTTACTTAATGCAGTACTGTCTGGTGCAGGGTATCTTCACGTGGCATAATAGACCCAGAGCTTCAGGTCTAGGCTCTGTAAAGCGAAATGCCAAACTACTGTGTGTGCATTTCTCGAAAGAAAGGTGATGTAGTTTTATACAATTTTGAAACAAGTCCATGACTCCCAAGGGTTTAAGGACCAATGGTTCAGTGAGACATTTACAGATTTTGAAGTCAGAATTCAGTTTGAATTCTATACACATTTACTAGCTATGCAACCTTGGACAAGTTACCTAACATCTGTGAGCCTCAGTTTCTTTACCTGTAAAATGATATATTTGCCCCATTGGGTTGTTAGGGTTAAAAAAAAAAAAAAAAAAAGATGCGTAGCAGAATGCCGAGTACCTGACAGGCATTCAAATGTCAATTTCTTCTTTCATTTTTCTTATTTAAATATTTAGAAAACATTTCCTAGTACTAAATGTGGATTATGCACCTTAGCATTTAAATCACTCCCTGGATGAAAATAGGATATTGAGGATACCCTAGGTATATGTTTGGTTCACATAATTCAAAACACCATACTCAACCTACATCTGTTTATAAACTAGTAAATAGGTTACAAATTAAAATATCTAGGCTGGGTGCAGTGGCTCGTGCCTGTAATCCCAGCACTTTGGGAGGTTCCGGGGGGTGGGGCAGATCATTTGAGGCCAGGGGTTCGAGACCAGCCTGGCCAACATAGTGAAATCCCGTTTCTACTTAAAATACAAAAATTAGCCAGCTGTGGTGGCACACCCTGTAATCCCAGCTACTCAGGAGGCTGAGGCAGAAGAATCGCTTGAAACTGGGAGACAGGTTGCAGTGAACCAAGATGGTGCCACTGCACTCCAGCCTGGGCAACAGAGTGACTCTTGTCTCAAAAAATAAAAAAAAATAAAGAGGCCGGTGCGGTGGCTGATGCCTGTAATCCCAGCACTTTGGTAGGCTGAGGCGAGCAGATCGCTTGAGGTCAGGAGTTCGAGACCAGCATGGCCAACATGGTGAAACCCTGTCTCTACTAAAATTACAAAAATTAGCCAGGCATGGTGGTGGGCACTTGTAATCCCAGACACTCAGGAGGCTGAGGCAGGAAAGTCACTTGAACTTGGGAGGCAGAGGCTGCAGTGAGCCAAGATCACTCAACTGCACTCCCGCTTAGGCAACAGAGTGAGACTCCATCTCAAAAAAAAAAAAAAAAAAAAAAAAAAAAAAATCTTACTGTGTGTCAGGTTTCAGGTTCTTTTAGAATGTTGGTAGATTAAAGGGTCAGTCTCTTCACATGAGAGACTGCCTAGCCAGTAGTTAATATTTAGTCCTATAACTACATTGCTTGCATGTTCATTACTGTTTGGTTTTTGTGTGCAAAAGCTTGTGTAAGGTGAGTAGTTCCTCAGAAAATGTGTAATTGAAGCGAGAAGCAAAATTACTTCTCTAGGAGTAAAATTCTATTAACCAAATGCATAAGTACTACATGCTTTTTAGAAATTTACTTCTTAGAGGTAGATGGAGGGACACGATCCAGAATTCTTAGTATTTGCTTGTGACCACCTGTTTTTGTTTACACGATCCAGAATTCTTAGTATTTGCTTGTGACCACCTGTTTTGTTTTTACAGAAATGTAGCTTATAAGACTGATCACCTGTTATCTAAAGAAACAACTATGGCCAGGCACGGTGGCTCAGGCCTGTAATCCTAGCACTTTGGGAGGCTGAGGTGGGAGGATCACTTGAACTCAGGGGTTCGAGACCAGCCTGGGCAACATAGTGAGACCTCATCTCTATTAAAAAAATAATAATAAAAATTTAAAAAAAAACAAAAACTACATTCCAGTTTTCTTAGCTTACTCCTAATAGTATGGACTTAAAATGCTGTTAAATTGACTTTAATGTCAACAAAAATCTCAATATAAAATAGCCTTCTAAGCCCCAACTGATACCCTGTTTCTTTTAATAATAAGAAAACATCAACGGACTTTTGTGGGTTGGGGGAATTACACTTGTGAGGCAGTATCAGATTCATAGTAACAATTTTACTCTGTTAAATATCTTTTCAGAATTGATATAAGCTATTAACTTGTCAGACTCTTCTAAGCAATCTTATATCTTTAAAATAAGAAGGGGCCAGGGATGGTGGCTCACACCTGTAATCCTAGCACTTTGGGAGGTTGAGGCCACAGGATCACTTGAGCCCAGGAGTTCAAGACTGGCCTGGGCAACATGTTAAGACCCTGTCTCTGCAACAAATTGTTAAAAATTAGCGGAGTGTGGTGGAGCGGGCCTGTAGTCCTCCTACTCAGGAGGCTGACGTGAGAGGATCACTTGAGCCCAGGAGGTCGAGGCTGCAGTGAGCGGTGTTTGCACGACTGCACTCCAGTCTAGGTGACAGAGCGAGACCTTGGCTCAAAAAAAAAAGTGTTACTCAAATTTATCTTAACACTGTGAAGTATTTATATAATTTTTGTTTTTTTTAGATCGAGTTTCACTCTGTCGCCAGGTTGGAGTGCAGTAGTGCAATCTCGGCTCACTGCAACCTCCGCCTCCCGAGGTTCAAGCTATTCTCCTGCCTCAGCCTCCCGAGTAGCTGGAACTACAGGCGTGTGCCACACGCCTAGCTAATTTTTGTATTTTTAGTAGAGACCAGGTTTCACCATATTGACCAGGATGGTCTCGATCTCTTGACCTCGTGATCCGCCCACCTCGGCCTCCCAAAGTGTTGGGATTACAGGCGTGAGCCACCACACCTGGCTAGTATTTATATAATTTCATAAGACTATTAGGAAAAACATCTTTAAACATTGTTGTCAGTAAACCTTAAAATTTTGGCCTTAAAGTGTTAAATGTAGCTGAATTTAAAATACTAATATTCTAGTTAGAATGTTCATTACAGTTTTTTTTTTTTTTTTTTTTTTTTTTTTGAGACAGAGTCTTGCTCTGTCGCCCAGGCTGGAGTGCAGTGGCGCGATCTCCGCTCACTGCAAGCTCCGCCTCCCAGGTTCACGCCATTCTCCTGCCTCAGCCTCTCGAGTAGCTGGGACTACAGGCGCCCACCACCACGCTTGGCTAATTTTTTCTATTTTTAGTAGAGACGGGGTTTCACTGTGTTAGCTAGGATGGTCTCGATCTGCTGACCTCGTGATCCACCCGCCTCGGCCTCCCAAAGTGCTGGGATTACAGGCGTGAGCCACCGTGCCCGGCCCATTACAGTTTTTAATGGATATAGTCATAGATCATTTAATGACAGGATACATTCTGAGAAACACATTGTTAGGCGATTCTGTTGTGCAAACATAGAGTGTACTTACACAAATCTAGAATGGTATGTATATTTTTATTTACATATATTTTTTCATATAGAAATTCAAATGTCCCAGCACCATTACTGAATACCAGTAATGGCGATGTTTCTGGGACTTGATCTGCAGTACCACATTAAGTGCCATGTATCAGGTTTCTATATATGCTCCATTATAATCTTCTTAAAAACATGGATGAAAATTTTATATTCTAAAGTACAAATAGTCCTTTATATACAAAGCTCTGAGCTGCCTATCAGTGGTCAAATGTAACTGATACTCATTTGGGCTTTTGTGACCACACCTTGTCCACCCTTTATTTTGACCAAAAGATTGTAGTTTCAGTGTCTATCATAGAAAGTGGAACTACATCACTTAAGGAATAATTTCATACAATGCTTTTAGCATCTCATTTACTCCACTGGTGTTAACTCAGCATTAAAGGCTTTAAAAGGCAGGAAACAGTGAAATGTTAAGAGTTGCACACTGCCTTACACTCTACTCCCTAGTCACTTCAGTGCTAAGTAGCCCTCAGTCAGCCCCTTTCTTTTCTGGGGACATGCATCTTTTTTTTTTTTCTTTTTTAAGAGACAGGGTCTTGTTATGTTGCCCAGACTGGAGTGCAGTGGCTATTCGCAGGCATGATCCCACTACTGATCAGCGCAGGAGTTTTGACCTGCTTGTTTCCAATCTGGGCCAGTTCACCCCTCATTAGTAAATCTGGTGGTCCCCCTTCCTGGGAGGTCACCATACTGATGCTGAACTTAGTGTGGACCCCCAACTGGCATAGCACAGTACAGCCCAGAACTCTTGGACTCAAGCCATCCTCCTGCCGCAGCTTCCCAAGTAGTTGGGACTACAGGCACGCGCCACCGTACCTGGCGACATTCTTCATAAACACATTTCCTTTTGCTGCTTGCAGTTTGTTATTCCACTTTCATTTCTTTAACTCTCTTCTCAAACCACGGACAGTTATAAATCCCTTTCAGAATCTTTGTAGAAATAGTCTCACTACGTTGCCAGGTCTCAAATGCCTGGCCTCAAGTGATCCTACTGCCTCGGCCTCCCAAAGTGCTGGGATTACAGGCGTGAGCACCAAACCAAGCCCTTTTCAGAATCTTTATAATCCCAATTTACCTCTTTATCCTTCTCTAATTATTCTTCAAGTATTAACATTTATGTTAATGTTAACATTAACATAACAGATAACATTAACATTAAATGTTATCTGTCACATTTCCTAAATAAGCCAGTGCTTAAATATGTTATTGTTTCTCTAATCTTTCAGCTCTTATTTACAATGGCCTTGGTGTTTCTGTCATTAACTAGAGTTCTGTTTTTTTAGATGTTATAACCAACTAGCCAACCTACTTGAAAATGCAGAGGAAAACATTCAGAAGGTTCAAAGTTTACAACCTCATAAGATCAGCTTATTTGTGCTGTATGCTACATATAAG
The DNA here is from genome assembly GCF_000001405.40 of Homo sapiens. NCBI lineage: Eukaryota > Metazoa > Chordata > Mammalia > Primates > Hominidae > Homo > Homo sapiens. The sequence goes on along the minus strand of NC_000006.12, from coordinate 89,090,371 downwards.
TGAGCTTTTAGAATTATTAGTAAAAAAAAAAAAAAAAAAGCAAATATTCAAATTATATATAATGTTGGAGTGAACCAGTAAAGCAGCCTTAATTTTCCCTAACTCTATTTTCTTTAACACTTTATTATAAAAATCTTCAGTATAAAAAAATGTTAAATGTAGCTGAATTTTAAAGTGGAACATCCATATACCCACTACCTAGATTCTACAGTTAGCAGTTAATTACACCTGCTTTGCCACATATATTTCCATCTATCCCCCAAGTATTTTGAATTTAACAAAGTATTTCAAAAAAAACCTGGAATATTCATACATGAGGTATTCTAATTAGCTAAAGTACAGCCAGAAAACCTTGGTTGAATACCTTTCATAAACAATTCTGTTTTCTTATTTTTGAAATTCAGGATCTGGTCTCAGGCATCACATGATTACAGGAACTTAAGAAATAGACCTGGATGGTTAAGGAGACTGGACTGAATGAACAGTGACTCTAAGAGCCTTGAAAGTCTGGTAGAAAAGGGACATTTCCAGTCTTTGATAGTAATCCTTTCTAAAATTTGAGAGCATTAAATGCCTAGTCATTTGAAGAGTAAGGTTAATTTTGCTCAACTTTGGAAGGGATTGTTGAAAGCCCTTGTTTTATAGTTAGAAAATCCCCTCAAATTGTAACTTATCCAAAGGTTTGATGGGACCAAAAAGCCCTCTGATTCCATGTTGTCAAGTAAAGTGAAATAATAAAGATCTTGTATTTAAAAATCTTACTGTTAGTAGGCAATTGTGAGTTCAATTTAAATCAAACATTTGCAATTGGAAATAACCAAAAATCATCAAAATGGCTACAAAAAGGAAGAAATCACTTAAAAACCCTGAAAACAAAAAGGGAAAACGTTTTCGGCTGGGCTTGGTGGCTCACTCCTGTAATACCAACACTTTGCGAGGCCGAGGCCAGTGGATCACTTGAGCTCAGGAGTTTGAGACCAGCCTGGACAACACAGTGAAACCACATGTCCACGTCCCTGTAGTCCCAACTACTCAGGAGGCTGAGGTGGGAACATCACTTGAAACCAGGAGGCAGAGGTTGCAATGAACTGTGATCGCACCACTCATTGCACTCCAACCTGCATGACAGAGCAAAACCCTGTCTCAAATAGAAAAGGCCCAGTGGGGTGGCTTATGCCTGTAATCCCAGCACCTTGGGAGGCTGAGACAGGCAGATCACTTGAGGCCAGGAGTTCGAGACCAGCCTGGCCAACATGGCGAAACCCTGTGTTTACTAAAACTATCAAAGTTAGCCAAACAGGGCGGCGTGCACCTGTAGTCCCAGCTACTTGGGAAGCTGAGGCAGAATCACTTGAACCCAGGAGGTGGAGGTTGCAGTGAGCCAAGATTGCACCACTGCACTCCAGCTTGGATGACAGAGTGAGACTCTGTCTCCAAAAAAAGAAAACATTTCTACTTGCCATCCCTTGCCCAAGATCCTAAAATGCCAAGATGCCAAGAACACATTTGTAATTTGCATTTGACAATGTCAGATTAACAAACTCTAATCTTGGAATAAGAGAACTATCTGTAATAATTTAGTAGGAGCAGCCATGTATATATAACCAGCTTTGGAGGAGTGTGATTATCATCTAGTGTCTTTACAACCAGACATAACACATATTTTTCTGAATGCTAATTGTATTAGACTAAGAAAAATTACTTAACTTTCCTGAATCTTTTCTTCCACATTCATAAAAATATTGTGTGAATAACTAGAGAAATGAGGTATTTTTATCATTGTTTAATGTCATTTTGTCTTTTAAAGTATTGTTAAATGTTCAAGATTATCTGACCTCTTCTAATTAAATGCAGCTTGAATAGAACATGTAGCCTCCTTTGATAAATGTGTATCTGACTTTCATAAATTTTGTAGGTTGCTTCTATCAATTGTCCCACTTTGTCCCTTTTTACCATTACTAAATTCAGAAACTATGATTAATGCCACATAATCTATGATAAGCTATTCCTTTAATGAGGGAATTTAAAATTTGTGTAGCCAGTTCTACACTAAGCCCACATTATTATAAACCCTGCTCTAGAAAATGAATTCTAAAATCTCAACAGTGGACCCTCACTAAATGCAACACCTTTTATACATCTTAAATTGTTATTGAATTTGGTATTTTTATAATTCAAGTTAACAAAACAAGTAGTTCCTGAATTACATTATTTGTGTTTACACAATTCTGTCTCCTACACCATCTCATCTCACAACACAGGCATACTTTCTTTCCCCATTTGAAAACTTATGCAACAGTTTCCGGGAGATTTCTAGATTCAGAAGGAAAGAAGTACAACAATGAGAAAACAACTTGGAGGAGTTAGCTCAGGGATCAGACTCAGCAAGGCAATTCTGTGATTTTAAAATGTATTTAGTTTAGCAATGTCCTTCAAAAATTTAAATATAGGAGTATGATGGGACTATCAGCCTTTCATACCCAAGGATACATATACTTGATTCCTTCAACCTGAAGCAGATATTGATTGCATATAAATTGCCTTCCACCCACGAAAACAAAGGATAGTTTATCCAGCAATAAGATGAGGAGGGTTATTAGGAGATGAGAGAGCTGCAAGAAGAGATAAAGAGTTACAAAAGATCAGTTTCACCCAATTTCAAATTGTAGAAAAGGGAAGGAAACTTTATTCCTCCTTTGCACCAACTGGGCCCCTGCTATCAGAATTCAGAATTTAAATTAGAACTGTCTGCTAACACAGACTTTTACAGGTACGGAAAAAAAAACAACCTCTATATAAGTTTCATGAGGAAATTATAATTCAACTACTATCACAGTGAAGTTGACAGTCCATAGGAGGCAGAGAGGATGAGGTCAAGACTACTGGTAAAGCATTATTATTATTATTATTTTTAGACAGGGAGTCTCACTCCGTTGCCCAGGCTGGAGTGCAGTGGCATTATCTCGGCTCACTGCAACCTCTGCCTCCCGGGCTCAAGCGGTCCTCCTGCCTCGGCCTCCCAAGTAGCTCGGAACACAGGCATGTGCCACCACACCCGGCTAATTTTTGCATTTTTAGTAAAGACGGGGTTCCCTATGTCACCCAGGCTGGTCTCGAACTCCTGGACTCAAGTGATCTGCCCCCCTAGGCCTCCCAAAGTGCTGGGATTACAGGCATGAGCCACCGTGCCTGGCCTAAAAGCATTAAATCTTATGAGACAAAAAGAAAAGGATAGAGATAAAATATTCCACTCTCATTTCCCTGTTGTAATTACTGCTTTGTGCACTATTTACCAAAGCCATACCTCTGGATCTGACCTATTTTCTATCTACTTGCTGTGCCTTTCCACATGGATGTCCTAGAGGCACCCCAAAGTTCAACATGCCAAATCAAAATGACCTTCCTTTATAATTCTGATCCCCCTGCAATCCCCTAATTGGTAGATTTATCCTTCAAGTTGCTCAATTTCAAGTCTTTTCCTTACCCTCTATTCAGATGCTCAATCCTCAATTCTAGCTCTAAAACATTCCCCCAAATAAGCCCATACCTCTGATAATGCCCTCTAGGCCCTTTTCTCTTTTGAGCTACTGAAATATCCTCACCTAAGTAATCTGTTTCAAGCTTTCCCTTATCAAGCTGTCCTCCATATTTCTACGTTTTCTTTTTGAAGCAAGAATTCCATTCCCTTACTCATAAACCTTTGAGAACTGCCATGCTTACAAAATAAAGTTGAAGCTCTTCCGCGTGACACTGAAGGCCCTTCGTGTTCTTACCCCAATATACCTTTTAAAAACTTCCCTTCCTTTCTTGCATTTCTCTTAAGCTACTGGACATTGTACATTTTTTTTTTTTTTTTTTTTTTTTTTTTTTTTTGACATGCAGTATCACTCATCGCTCAGGCTGGAGTGCAGTGGTACAATCTTGGCTCAATGCAACCTCCGCTTCCTGGGTTCAAGCGATTCACCTGCCTCAGCCTCCCAAGTAGCTGGAATTACAGGCACCCACCATCACACCCAGCTAATTTTTTGTATTTTTAGTAGAGACAGGGTTTCGCCATGTTGGGCAGGCTGGTTTCGAACTCCTGACCTCAGGTGATCCACCAGCCTCAGCCTCCCAAAGTGCTGGGATTCAGCGTTGTGCATCTTTTTACACCACCATCTGCTCAAACTTTTACCTCACAATTTTTTTCCTTTTTTGTGTGTCAAATACTTATCTTTTAAGGCTCAACTCAATTTTTTTTTTCATTTTTTTGAGATGGAGTCCTGCTCTGTCACCCAGGCTGGAATGCAGTGGCGCGATCTCGACTTACTGTAACCTCCGCCTCCCGAGTTCAAGCAATTTTCTGCCTCAGCCTCCTGAGTAGCTGGGATTACAGGTGCCTGCCACCAAGCCCGACTAATTTTTTTCTATTTTTAGTAGAGACAAGGTTTTACCATCTTGGCCAGGATAGTCTTGAACTCCTGACCTCGTGATCCATCCGCCTCAGCCTCCGTAGGTGCTGGGATTACAGGCGTGAGCCACCATGCCCAGCTCAACTCACTGTTACTTTCTAAGGTGTCAGATTCCCAAAGAGAAAATTTTCTCACCAAAATTAGTCCCTTCACCCTAAGAGACTTTACCTTTTTCTCTCTTCAGGCATTTGTTGTTGTAGAGTGGGGAATATAGCTTGTATTTTAGTTATATTTGTCTTTTCTCCCCATCCCACCTAAACTTTCAGCTCTGCCATTTATCCTTCTATTTCCTGAACATACGTTACACATAAGCCCTCACACATTAAACTGCAGACATACTGCTCAAAATGACAAGAGCTGAGAAATGTTGGACAAGGAAAGAAGGGTGGTTGAGGCGGTAGGACTTATATTACATTGTGTAGGAATTTTTATAACCATGTGCAAAAATGTGTTGTTAAAACCTGTTAATGTGTCCCTTTCTAGAATCACAAACTGATTTGGGAGAGATGTCAGAACTCACTGTAGTCAGTCATTAGTATTAATATTTACAACACATTACTAACAAAAGCTAAAATTGGTGACTAAAAATTGGGGGCATCTTCAAACTAAACTTCTAAATGAGCTTCCCTTCCATTTGTGAGGAAGGTGTATCTGCATTTGTAAGGAAGGAATGGTGACTCACACAAAACATCAAACAGAAGTTCCTTTGTATATTCGATCTTCTTTACTTGACCTGATTGCTTAACATTCCCACTCAAAATCTGTCTCCCTTACTTTCTCTTGGCCTTTTTTTTGAGACAGCGTCTGTTACCCAGGCTGGAGTGCAGTGGCCTGATCCTAGCTCAATTGCAATCTCCACTTCTCAGGCTCAAGAGATGCTCCCGTCTCAGCCTCTAGAGTAGTCAAGTACTATGCTCAAAAACCTCAATGCTGCTCCTGGTAAGAAAATGTAGATTATGGCCAGGCATGGCGGCTCACACTCAGCCAGTAAAGTAGAAGTCAAAAAAATCCAACCACACAAAATCATCTCCTAGTCACACATTCAAACATGAGAAACAGTCACACACAAAGAGTCAAGACTATTTTAAAAGGGGGGGCCAAATTATTATTATTTTAAAATTTGATTACAACCAATTTTGTTGGCATTAAAATTAGAGGCATTAAGCTGGAATGGATATATACCAAAACCAGAAATTGAGTTTAGCAAAAATGGGAATAGGAGTTGTTCAGTAATTTCAGATTACAAATCAATTTAGAGAAACAAACCCCATGCTTACATTGATTGTGCCACAGATTTAAACTTCAGTAGTGCATTAGTAAACTGTTCACATTTAGATCTTCACCTTGAGATTTGACAGCTGTTTCTTGAAAAAAATCTCAGTACCTTGTGCAAATAAAATCGGTCTTCCATGTGCCTTAGCACACACTTAAAATTTATCCATTGTATATATACAAAACACCTGCAATGTGGGCAGGGCAAAATACATACTTTCATAACAAAACTATAATATACCTCTCAAGTATGAACAATATACACATAATACATGGTATACAGTATTTACAAAATATAAAATATAATACAAGCTGTTTGTATGTAATTTTTTAAACTCATCTTTTGCAATTGTATGTTGCAACAAGGCAAATTTCCATTTCTGTACCAATTTTCTCAAGAGTCCAGGGATATGGGAAAAATTATGTTTTACACACATACTGAAATCTGAAATCTAAGTTTGAACTTTGAGGAGCGTTTTTAAGTGTACTGCCATCAGCTCCCTGTTTTGGTTGGAATTTTCAACAGTGCTTCCCATCCAGTGACTAGGAGGCTTTGGAAGAACACTAGGAGAAGGTGGATCACTAAACTTTGCCCCAGCATAATTTTCCTTTTGGCTCACTTCAGTTAGAAATGCTGATTTCTTCAAATGCGAATTTTTAATGTTCTCGGTATTTTTAAAAGGCTTTTTTTCCTGCTTCTGAATTCTGTCAGATGAAACAGAATCCTGCCAAAAGTTGTTTTCATTTCTTTTTGCAGAGGTGATCTTGGTTAGTGGCAAGTTATATTTGCTTTTCTGTCTGTTTATCTTTGGTTGCTCATACAAGTGTATACCATGAACAAGCTGGCCATGGGGAAGGGCAATTTTCTCCGATTTTCCCATCTTTGATTTTAAAACCTACAAAGACAAGAACACAAAAGTAAATATAGTTTCTAGATAAAAATCAGTTATGAACCTCATATCACATATCTAGTTTTGTTGTGTTTAAGTTTGCCCACAGCCATAGAAAAGAACAAAATTATGTTCTTTGTGACAACACGTATGTAGCTGGGGGCCATTACCCTAGACGAATTAATGCAGAAACAGAAAACCAAATATCGCAAGTTCTCACTTACAAGTGAATTTGGGAGCTAAACACTGGGTACAACATGGATATAGTGGGGAACAACAACAGACACTAGGCACTACTAGAAGGGGGGTTGAGAGAGAGATGGGGACCTACTGGGTACTATGCTCACTACCTGGAATGGGATCATTCATACTCCAAACCTCAGCATCACGAAATATACCCATGTAGCAAACCTGCACAAGTACCTCCTTGATCTAAAATAAAAGCTGAAAATTACAAAAACTTTAATTGGGCATGGTGGCTCACGCCTGTAATCCCAGCACTTTGGGAGGTCAAGGCAAGCAGATCGCTCAAGCTCAAGGAGTTCGAGACCAGCCTGGGCAACATAGCGAAACCCCATGTCTACTACAAATATAAAAATCAGCCCGGCGTGGTAACACGCGCCTCGGGAGGCTGGCTGAGGCGGGATCCCTTCAGCCTGGGAAGGGGAGGATGCAGTGAGCAGAGATCGATCGTGCCACTGCATTCCAGCCTGGAGTGCGATAGAGGCAGACTCTGTCTCAAGAAAAAAAAAACAACAAAAAACTTAAATTTCCCTTGACTTTTAAGTTCACTCTTGTTCGCCACTAAAAATGCAGTTAATCACCACTGCTAGTTACCAGTATGCAACGTGAACCAGTTCTAAAATGTCAAACTAAAAAAAGTCTGAAATAACCCAAGTCCACCTTTCTACAACTGTAAGGAAGACTAATGAGCTCTCTTCCAAATACGAGTGCCAGAAACAATCTTTGCTGTGTACCTCCTTTCTGGTTTAGTAACTGCTTCAAGAACGCTGCTTCACTCACCTTAATCTTTCCCAACTTAAGTGGGCCTTATAGGAAGTCTTGAAAGGATGGAAAAGCGTAAGGTAATCCACTAGATCACTGCACTACCAACACTTGTAACGCGGTAGTAAGCAAGACACGACACGAAAGAGGACCACAACTTTCCACGTCAATAAGGTTCACTGCCAGAGCTCCCTAGTTAGTACCTGTTCTAGAAAACAGGCCAGGAAACAAGCACAAAAGCTTTTAGGTAATCACGGATATTTCAAAAGTCGTGGAATTTTAAAAGGGAGACATTGAGACGATAATTTAAAGAAACAAGGTGGGCAAATTTTTTCCCAAGGGCACAGATAAACCGCAAATCTCTAATTCAATGCAACATTCTTCACTAAATAACGGGAACTTTTTCATTTCATTATTACGAAGATTAAGTCATTGAACTTAAGTCCATAAAACGTTATTCTGACAAGACTTTGAAATCATTTCGTAGACTTAATCCTATTTAAACTTCTATCCATTTTATCCTAATGCAATAGCACTGCAATCAGACGGGCTAAGTCAATTCAATTGCTAACTCTTCTGAAAACTTACTCTGGACACACTAACACGAAGTACCACAGTGGCAAAAGTAATAAAATCAGTTTTGTGCGGCTCCTGCCAACTCTTAACTTGGAACCACTAAGTAGGTCAGGCCCGAGGCGGGCAGAGCCCCAACTGGACTGCGCGTCCCACACCGGGCACCTCACATTTTGGCACAACTCCAACCAAACGAAACCCAGCCGCTCGGAGCCCACTCCACCCCCTACGGCGGGACGTTAGAGGCCGTCTCCGCGTTTCACCGACTAGGACTGGGGCTCCCGATAGCCGGGAGGCCGAAAGCCGGGCCCAGTCCTTCCCCAGCTGCCCCCACCCGGCCTCGCCTCCTTCATGGGCGCCGGAGCGCCGGGCACGTAGCGCGCGCTGACGTCAGCCCTCCCGCGGGCCCTGTCCCTGCCCCCACCCCGCCGCGCGCCCGGAACGCCGAAACCCCCTGGAACGCCGCCAGCCTTCTAAATCGGGGCTGTTGCTGGGGCGCAGCGGCGCTTCTCATTGGCCGACTCCTGGGAGCCAATCAGAAGCGCCAGCGCATGCCTCCCCTTCCCCCTTCTTCCCCCAAAGCAAGAATGGAGCGGGCGTCACGGAAACTTCCCTCCCGAGTAAACAGCCGCCCCCCCCACCCCGCCCCCACCCGCCCGACCCCCCGGGTGCAGGGTCTGCAGCCCCAGAGCTCGGCCGCGACCGTCTAAGGGCCCGACTCCCCAACGGCCCCCTGGCGGCCTCACCTCTTTCCTGAGGGGGGTTTGGCCGGGAGCCGCGGGCCGCAGCGGGGCAAGGTCGGGGCTGGCTCCCTCCGTGCCGGCTGCGGCTGCAGGACTCGGGGCCAAGGCGGCGGCCGGGCCCGGGACCTCCTGCGCTCCGCTCGGGCCGGTCGCGGGGCTCCGGCCGCCCTCCAGACTCGGCCGGTGCTGCTGGTACTGGTGGAAGCGGCTGGGCAGCTGCCCTGCGGGGCTGGCCCGCACCTTCTTCTTTCGCCGCTTCTTCGGCGCTGCCCGAGGAGTGCCTCCCGCCACGGCGAGGCTGCGGTTGGGCAGAGCTGCTGGAGCGCGAGGCTGGGGGGTCAGACACGGGCCATCTCCCCCTAGGAAATGAGGGAGGAAGAGGGTCGGGGGCAGTGCCCGGGGGTCCGGGATCCGGGGTAAAGGAGGCGGAGCCGTGGTCACCATCGGGAGGGCCCCAAAGTAACCTCGGGAGGAAAAGCCAAGCGGCGCAAGGCGGCCACCCAGGACGAGCGGCTCCCGCTGCGGGACGGAGACGACAGTCATAGCGCTAGGAAGCTTGTCGCTCAGCAACGAAGAGAGAAGGAGAAGGTGAATGAAGCCAGTGAAGATAGGGTGGCGGCGATGGATGCTGCTAGGAGAGCCTGAGAAGATCGCGGAACATGACTCGGGCGGTGGCGGCGCAGCAACAAATAGCCACAGCCCCAGCTCCGAGTGTTGTTATCGGAAGCTCCGCCCCGCGCCCGCCCACTTTCCTGCGAAAGCCCAATTAGAGTGCGACAAGGCAGGCCACGCCCCCTCGCTCCGCCTCCGCAGCTTCGGGTAGACACACACAAACAACCAGCTTGCTGCAGCCTGGCACAAAGAGGGCGCACTGCGCAGGCGCTGCCAGCGAGCTCTTTTGGGAAGAATCGGTCCCGCGAACAATGAAATTGGGTTTCCGCCCCACCCTCTTTACTCCTCCCCAGCACGCCCCTGCGCTTCGCCGGGCTAGGGAGTGGTGGTACTGAAATGTCCCGGCGGAGTTTGTTGATGGGGGTGGGGAAGGGAGGGGGCAGGGGGAGGGCGGCAGGAAGAACGGGGGCTGGGAAGAGGGGATGACTTTGGCAAGGCCACGGTTGCCTCCTCCGCTGCTGACCTTGGGGAAGTATCCGTTTTATTTTCAGCCCAACATAACAGCGTTATCATTTTAAAACAAAGATTTCTAAGTACGCTGTAAGGATTTCTTCCCTAGCAATCGTGAAGAAAATCAGTCTACATTTAAATTTTATCTACTGAAGTATGGCTCACGATTCTTTCATTTACTTGGTTCGGCATCGCTGCTTATTAGTCTCGGTGATCAGAGTAAAAATCAAAGTGACTTACTGATTGAATTAGCCCCTCGATGTATAAAAAGTTCTCCGTAAATCCATAAATGGAAGTTGGAGTTTTTACTGATTTCATACTTGAAGGATTGTGAGACTTTGGGATCAGAACATTGTGCCTGGTTACTTGAGGAGGCGGCAAGCCGGCTTGCGTCTCAAAGGGAGAAAGTGAAACAGCTCTGCAACATAGAGTATTTTGTTAGCTGCGCGTAAATAGAAATTTTTCGCGATCTCCCCGCACTGCTCAACCACAAAAAAGAATTGTGGCCATAATTTATCAAGCATTTATGTTCCAGGAACTGTTCTTTACATAGATTGTCTCACTTTAACCTCACAACAACCCTTACGAATAGGTACTAAGAAAAATAGATCAGACCTCAGCTCTGCGAAGTAGGCAGGCTGTCATTCTCTTCCTTTCACTACTAATGCCTGGGGCAATTGTTTAAAGGCATTTTGTTCCTGATTAGCTGCCTACGCATTATCTTTAAGTTTCTGAAATTTAAGATACAAAGAACAATGTATAGCTAGTCAAGAGCCCACGATATTTTAATGTAAATTGGTAAACAATTTAGGAGCTGCCTCTTTTCCTTTAAAAACCTACTTGTAACTTGCTAATCCGAGTGTATATTCAGGGCAGCTTGAATCTATGGTCCTGGGTTGCAGTCCTCAAGCTTGGCCTGATTTTGCCTCAGCTTCTTTTTGGAGGGACAGTACTGTATTTTATTCCCATTTTACAGCTGGGGAAACAGGCTTAGAAAGGCTAAAGGACTTGTCAAAGATCAAACGGTAAGTTAACATCAGAATTTGATCTCCAGTCCAGGTACTGCAAGACAAAAGTTTTAATTTTTTTTTTTTTTTTTTTGAGACGGCGTGTCACTCTGTGGCCAGGCTGCAGTGCAGTGGCGCCATCTCGGCTTACTGCAACCTCCGTCTCCCTGGTTCAAGAGATTCTCCTGCCTCAGCCTCCCTAGTAGCTGGGATTACAGGCACCCGCCACGCCCAGCTAATTTCTGTATTTTTTAGTAGAGACGGGGTTTCACCTTGTTGGCCAGGATGGTCTTGATCTCCTGACCTCGTGATCCGCCTGCCTCGGCCTTCCAAAGTGCTGGGATTACAGGCGTGAGCCACCGCGTCCAGCCCTGCCACACTAGATTCTACATTATTAGAAGACCACAGTAATCTTACACTTCTGTATCCTCACCGCCTCTACAATAGTTTTCAGCTTTGGAGTAGTAAGCAATTAGTAAGCAATGAAACGTTTTATGATTGATGGCAAAGTTGGACAGATTGCATATCCAGAAAAATGCTTCCCAATCACTTTATAAACTTTTTTTTTTTTTTAGACGGGGTTTCTTTCTGACACTCAGATTGGAGTGCAATGGCATGATCTCGGATTACAGCAACAGCCGCCTCCCAGGCTCAAGAGATCCTCCAACCCCAGCCCCCCACGCCCCTGAGTAGCTGGGACCACAGGCACACACCACCACTCCTGGCTAATTTTTTGTGTTTTTAGTGGAGACAGGGTTTCACCATGTTGCCCAGGCCGGTCTCAAACTCCTGAGCTCAAGCCATCTGCCTGTCTCAGCCTCCCAAAGTGATGGGATTACAGGAGTGAGCCACCAAACCCAGTCAACCTTATAAGCTTTTAAAACTACATTTCAGGCCAGGCGTGGTGGCTCACACCTGTAATCCTAGCACTTTGGGAGGCCGAGGCGGCTGGATTACCTAAGGTCAGGAGTTTGAGACCAGCCTGGCCAACATGGCGAAACCCTGTCTCTACTAAAAATATAAAAATTAGCTGGGCATACAGGCTAATGTGCCTGTAATCCCAGCTACTAGGGGGGCTGAGGCAGGAGGATCGTTTAAACCTGGGAGGTAGAGGTTGCAGTGAGCCGAGATCATGCCACTGCACTCCAGCCTGGGCAACAGAGCAATACTCCATCTCAAAAAACAAAAAAGAAACCAAAAAAACTCCATTTCATTCCAATTGCTGAATTTTACTCATTTTTGTTTCTGCAACATGTAATGCATAGTAAGTGCTCATGTTCATTGGATGGATGGGAATCATGGACATCCAGAGCTGTAAAAGAATCTACTTTTTCAAAGCACTTTCCATCTGTCATCTCATTTTATTCTTACTCTAGCACTTTAAGGTTGATATAGAGAGGTCCTATTTAACGTATGGTGTAAATAAATTTAAATATATAGTAACTTGCTTGGGGGGGGGGGTTCACAAAATGAGGTAGGAATAACTCGAACTCCTGATGCCTAGTCCAGTGTTCTTTTCACTATATCCCATGATTTTAGGCTTGACTTTATCTGGGGATAATATCATACTGTCCTAGAGAATAATTTACCCTTCAGGGAGCTGGTCATTGGTAGCCAGCTCTGTGGGGCCCTTGGTCAAAGATACCTATTATTGTCTATGTGTATTTCTTGGGTGATTGTTGGAGTAATTATGTGTATAACTTATCATTTTGAGGCCTTAAGTGTAGGCTTCATGTTTGCCCTGGGTTCTGTACTGTAAGAAAAGTAACCTTGCAGCTGTGACCACCTGGGTGATGGGTGCTGAGATTGCTAAAATGGTGCCCACCACTAAGAAACAGAATGGGAGCTGAAATGGGGCACTTAGAAGAGAGAGGTCGAGGTTTTATAAGCCAGATGATTGGATTTAATGTTACTCTGTGTGGGTAGTCTTTGTAAACCCTTAGTCTTTAGTAAAGTCTAATTTTAATGTTTAAACCTAAGCGTTACAGGTTTAAACATATAGTGTTAGCTGTGCTATATGATATAAAGGAAAAAGATCAGGCTGGGTGCAGTGGCTCACGGATGGCAAGGTGGATGGATCACTTGAGGTCAGGAGTTGGAGACCAGCCTGGCCAACATGATGAAACCCTGTCTCTACTAAAAATACAAAAATTAGCCAGTTGTGGTGGTGCATGCCTGTAGTCCCAGCTACTTGGGAGGCTGAGGCAGAAGAATCACTTGAACCTGGGAGGTAGAGGTTGCAGTGAGCCGAGATCACGCCACTGCACTCTAGCCTGGGCGACAGAGCAAGACTTCATCTCAGGGAAAAAAAAAAAAAAAAAAAAAATCAGATCCTTTTGCTTGGGCCCAAAAGGCCAAACTTGGAGGTAACAAGATATTCCAAGGGTAAAGGAAATTTTAGGAGAATTCTCAGAGTTCTTGAAGCTTTTTGCTCCAGTGTACATCTTGATTTTATTTTTGTTAAGCTAATCTTTAGAGGAGGTTAGAAGAAAAATAAAAGATTGGAAAGTAAACTAGGTATTAAATAGCAGAAAAAAGAGGTAATGCCCATTTATGAAATAAGCAGCTTACCCGCATTGACACTAAGCAGAACTCCAAATTCCACTTCTCTCTCTTCTATCTACCTTTGTCTCTCGTGTATTTTACCTCTGTCCTCTTTCTCTCCCTCTCTCTGTATGAAATGTCATTTTCTTTCCTCCTACCCTGAATGTCTTTTTTCCTCTTTATATAGACTTTATTACCATTTTTTCTACCTATTATTACTTAGATTTTTTTTTCTTTTTCTTTTTTGAGACAGGGCTTCACTCTGTCACCCAGGCTGGAGTGCAGTGGTGCGATAACAACTCACTGCAGCCTCCACCTCTGGCGTTCAGGAGATTCTCACACCTCATCCTCCCTAGCTGGCGCATGCCACCATGTCTGCTAATTTGTGTGTGTGCGTGTTTGATAGAGACAGGGTTTTGCCATGTTGCCCAAGCTGGTCTCGAACTCCTGAGTTCAAGTGATCCAACCACTTTGGCCTCCCAAAGTGCTGGGATTACAGGCATGAGCCACCTCACCCAGCCTATTGCTTAGATCTGTAATGTCTAAGGTGTGAGGGACACCTGTGTGAAAAGAGGAACACTTAATCAAACTTCTATTTTGCTTTTTTTTTTTTTTTAGACGGTGTCTCACTCTGTTGCCCAGGCTGAAGTGTAGTAGTGTGATCTCAGCTCGGCTCACTGCAACCTCCACCTCCCAGGTTCAAGTGATTCTCCTGCCCCAGCCTCCTGAGTAGCTGGGATTACAGGTGCATGCCACCATGCCTGGCCAATTTTTGTATTTTTAGTAGAGATGGGGTTTCACCATGTTGGCCAGGCTGGTCTCAAACTCCTGACCTCAGGTGACTCGCCCGCCTCAGCTTCCCAAAGTGTTGGGATTATAGGCGTGAGCCACTGCACCCGGCCTTCTGTTTTGCTTAATGCTCAAATTATTAATCTTTCAAATTTATAAAATAATAGTCTTCTAAACATAAAACAACCAGGAAATCAAAATGTTTTTGTTTAGCAAGTAAAAATTTTCCTAACATTTCAGCATTGATTACAAAACTTATTTTATAATGTACTCTGAAGAGTTTAAATAAAAATCTAAAATTTGTGTTAAAAAGCAAAATATGCACAAATTTTCACAATAATGACAAATTTATGACACTTGGAGTGCTTATAAAGTATTGTTACCATAGATTGAAATTAATGTCTCCATTATCCCTATACTTATATCTCTCTGGGGTTACAGGTTTGTACAGGTTATAATTTGCATGAGGGTACCTGGCCAAAGAGTCAAGGGAGAGCTGAAACAGAGCTTTGACTCTGCTCTTGAAGACATCTTCCCAAGGGCTGGGGCCATCTGGGCATCGCTATGATTTGAACGTTTGTGTCTTCCCCAGATTCCTATGTTGAAACCTAATAACCAGTGTGATAATGTTAGGACGTGGGGTCTTTGGGGAGTGATTAGGTCATCAGGTTGGAGCCCTCATGCATATGATTAGAGGCCACAGAGGCCCCTCCTCCTTATACCACTGAGGACACAG
Organism: Homo sapiens; assembly: GCF_000001405.40. Classification (NCBI taxonomy): domain Eukaryota; kingdom Metazoa; phylum Chordata; class Mammalia; order Primates; family Hominidae; genus Homo; species Homo sapiens. The sequence continues at coordinate 89,075,239 of NC_000006.12, read as the reverse complement.
CAAGAAGTCTGCAGTCTGCAACCCAGAAGAGGGACCTCACCAGAACCTGACCAGCTGGCACCCTGATCTTGAACATCCCGGTCTCTGGAAGTGTGAGAAATAAATCTCTGTTGTTTGTTATCTACCCAGTTTATGATATTTTGTTTTAGCAGCCAGAATGGACTAAGGTGGCTTTTTCTTATTGGTATGAAGGTGTCAAAAGGACTAGTGGCAACCTTAGGGTACAATAATAATGATGGACATTTGATTCTATTTCAGCCTAGATATAAAACCAAAAGAAAAAGCGTGTCATGGCCGGGTGCAGTGGCTCACGCCTGTAATCCCAAAACTTTGGGAGGCCGAGGTGGGAGGATCACTTGAGCTCAAGAATTTGAGACCAGCCTGGGCAAAATGGCAAAACCCACAAAAATTAGCTGGATGTGGTGTTGCCCACCTGTCATCCCAGCTACTCAGGAGACTTGAGGTGGAAGGATGGCTTGAGCCCAGGAGGTCAAGGCTGCAGGGAGCCATAATTGCGCCACTGCAGTCTAGCCTGGGTGACAGAGTGAGACCCTGTTTCAAAAAAAAAAAAAAAAAAAAAAAATAGAAAAAGCATGTCATTTAGACCAGCTGATGTTTAACCAATTGCATCTTAGCTGGGTAACAGTCTCCATTATGCCTTCCTTACCTGAGCCTTGCTCTCATTGTATACATTGATCAAGCTTTTAAAAATCCTTGCCATTTGCAGAATGTATTTCTTTATTTAGTTTATGGAGATAGGGTCTTGCTCTGTTGACCAGGCTGGAGTGCAGTGGCACGATCGTAGCTCACTGTATCAAACTCCTGGGCTCAAGGAACCCTACCACCTCAGGTTCCTGAGTAGCTGGGACTACAGGCAAGTACCACCACACCTAGCTAATTTTTAAATTTTTTATAGAGACAGGGTCTTGCTTGTTGCCCAGGCTGGTCTTGAGCTTCTGGCCTCAAGCAGTTCTCCCACCAGTGCCTCCCAAAGCGCTGGCATAAGCCAATGCCCCTGGCCCTGCAGAACTTTTAATTTCTAGTAAATTGATGCCTCTCCCTGAAATACGGTGTATTTTTTCAAGTTTCAGTTGGCTAGCCTTGCAGAACCTAGTTTCTTATCATTATGTATTGACCTGGCCTGTTAACCATTTTTGTAGACTGATTTTGCCTCATTAACTTGTTATGATTAATAGAGTCATTGAAAGGGTTCATCATGCATGAGGCAGGGATAGAATGTGCAGTCAGCTGTCTTCTTCACGGCATTTGATTAGGCAAATCTTCATTTTGAAACACATTATTGAATTCTGTTTCTACATGGTCCTGTGTGACTCTGGTGCTGACTGACTATTGGATCTTCCTTCTGCCTGGCTGGTAGGTGTGACAGATGCTGTGGAGTAGTTCTTTCTGTTCTTGGTATGGTTAATTTTTTTCCCAGGACTGCTTGACTGATTCTCAGTTCCCGCTATTCTTCTCTCCCTTCTTTCACAAGGAAAGTCATGTCTGTGCTTTATAAACTAATATATGCTTTAGATTTTAAAAAAATCATCCATACACATAACTTTATTTCTGCAATTTTAAAAAAATTAACATCTATATTATCACATTCACTATCTTTTATAGTCAAACTGTTTATTACTAAATTTTCCCTTTGGAGAATCATTATGGACTTTAATAGATTCAAATAGTTTCAATTATCTATAATCATTTCCCTTTTTTTGCTCAAACCTTAGGGTGTAGCCAATGAAAGCCAAGATATTTCTATTGTAGCAGTCTTGTTGCCTGAAGTATTACCTGAGCTCCTTGTCTCACAACCAAGAAAATTAAGGAACGTGGACACCAAGAGTGAGGTGGGAGCAAAAGTTTAATAGGCAGAAGAGGAATGTTCTCCACAGCAGAGAGGGAGTCCGAGTGGGTTGCCGTTTTTACAGTTGAATACAAAGCTTTTGTAAGACACTCCTCTCTTCTCTGTAGCTGTTGTGTAACTTCCCTTATATGTGAAGCTGTCTGTGTAACTCCCCTTATCTGTGCAGCTGCAGACATGTCTTTAGGCAAACACAAAGCACAGCTTCTCATTTGTGCAACTGTGGATATGTTTTGGGTAAGCACCCCCACTCTCTGTACAAGTTCCCCTGGAGCCCACCGTGTACATGCCTGAAAAGGGGAGGAAACTTTTTCCTGGGAGCCAACTGATTACACCAAGAACAAAAGCTTCTATATTGGGCCTTGCTTTCTTTTCTGTGCAGCTGCAACGTGAGTTTTTCCCCAGGCTGCTCTATTTGTGCCTTTAGCTTGATTTCTCAGGCTGTCTTTCTGTTTAAAAGAATTTTACCAAAGACTAGCTTTAGCTGTCTGCTAAATTTTTCCTTTTCTCCTCCCTCACTATTGTCTCTTTAGCACTTCTCCCAAATATTTTTAAGAACATTTTTGCTTTATATCCATAACAAGATGTTCCATACTTATCTTGGCCTTTCTCTGACCCAAGACATGGAGTGAGCTATTCTATTCTGTAAGAAATCTTTATTTCTTTAAATGAAGAAAAAGCAGCAAAATCTAGGCATCAGGGATCAACATCGGATTGTTCCTCATGAGACCTGAGATAGGAAAAACCAAACTGTTTTTCCTACTCTCCACTCACACACTCACAACAATCAACACAGCACACTTCTGTCACCTGATGCATGGAGTTTTGCCTCACACAGCAAGCACTTTAGGGGACAAGAACTGTGTGTCCTATATTTATCATTCAATTTAGTTCTGACATGTCTACCTGGAGTTAGAGTCAGATCCCACAGGTTAAGGGCTCAGTCCCACAAGACTGCCACCACTTCAGACACCAATGACAAGTAGTAGGTTGTCACCTATACTTTTTGTTTGTTTGTTTTTTGAGACAGGGTCTTGCTCTTTTACCCAGGCAGGAGTGTAGTGGTGCTATCATAGCTCACTGCAGTCTTGACTTCCCGGACTCAAGTAATCCTCCTACCTCAGCCTTCTGAGTAGCTGGGATTATAGGTGTATGCCACTACTCCAGGCTAATTTTTAAAATTTTTTTGTGGAGGTGAGGTCTCACTTTGTTCTCAGGATGGTCTCAAACTCATAGGCTCAAGTAATCTTCTTGGTCTCCCAAAGTGCTGGGATTACAGGCATGAGCTACTGTGCCAGGCTTCCCTCTACCCTCTTCTTGAGTTAGATTAATTTGCTAAAACAGATCACAGGACACAGGGAAACACATACATTTACTGGTTTATTATAAAATATATATAGGATACAGGAGTCCAGGCACGGTGGCTCATGCCTCTAATCCCAGCACTTTGGGCAGCTGAGGTGGGTGGATCACTTGAGGTCAGGAGTTCGAGACCAGCCTGGCCAACATGGTGAAACCCTGTCTCTACTAAAAATACAAAAATTAGCCGGGCATGGTGGCGGGCACCTGTAATCCCAGCTACTCGGAAGCCTGAGGCAGGAGAATCGCTTGTACCCAGGAGGCAGAGGTTGCAGTGAGCCGAGATCATGCCACTGCATTCCAGCCTGGGTGATAGAGTGAGACTCCATCTCAAAAACAAAGAGAGAGAGACAGGGAGAGAGAGAGATTATTGTTTATATTATTTTTTCTTCATTGCAAGAATTAACTCAGGTTACCTAAAGTAATGGGTTGTTTTAAGGATATGCACACATAGACATAAGGAAGACAAGAAGACTGACCACATACCAGGCCTCATAAGATACCAGGAAAACCTTCATACCCAGAACTCATGGAAGGAACAAAAATTATGATGTAGTACCTGACCGACTTGAAATGACATTTGGAAACTCAAAATTGATTCAAGATCCAATGTAGCCTTAACTACTAGGTTATTTGTTACTTCTTAGCAGATGTTTGTTGAGCTTTACTCTAAAAGACTCAACTACTCTTTCTGTTTGTTCTTTTTCTGTATTTCTACTTCTACTATCACCACCACCTAGCTTGCTGTTTACCTAAAGTTCAAATTCCAGAGAGAGGGAAGCTGATTGGTTCAATATGGATTGGTCCAGACAGGATAATTGGATGATTAGTCAATATCATCTACATTCAACAGAACTCTTTTACTAGACCTGTGCTGGATGGCTTCTGGCCAGGATGGTGAGACACCTGTCTATAAGGACCCACTTAGGTCCATTTCAGAAACTATGGACAGACAAGCATTGAGAGGATTGGCCAGGCCAATGTAGTAGTTTTATGAGGTGGAGTTTTTTTAGGAATGAAAGTAAGAAATCCAGGGCAACTTCAGGAAGTAAGAATCCTAGGGCAACTCTAGGAATCTCTGACTTCTCTTGGAAAACTGAATTCCTTCCTTCCTTCCTCTCTCCCTCCCTTCCTCCCTTTCTTCCTTCTTTTCTTCCTTCCCTCCCTCCCTCCCAACTGGTGACATTGGTCAAGCTGGGAGACCAGACAGGGTAGGAAATATGAGGGTCAGGAGAGGCGAGAAGAAAGAAGAGTAAAAGATTGGCTCCTGAATTTCCAAATCTAGTTGACTTTGAGAGGAACCATAGCTTTGACAGGGATATGAAAATCAACAGGACAATTTGGAAAGAAAATATGACTATCTTATTTATTTATTTATTTATTTTTATTTTTTTGAGACAGATTCTTACTATGTCACCCAGGCTGGAGTGCAGTGTTGCGATCTCAGCTCACTGCAACCTCCACCTCCTGGGTTCAAGCAATTCTCCTGTCTCAGCCTCCCGAGTAGCTGGGATTACAGGCGCCCACCACTACACCTGGCTGATTTTTTTGTATTTTTAGTGGAGACAGGGTTTCACTAAGTTGGCCAGGCTGGTCTTGAATTCCTGACCTCAAGTGATCTGCCTGCCTTGGCCTCCCAAAGTGCTGGGATTACAGGTGTGAGCCATGGCACCTAGCTGTGATTTTTTGTTCTTTTGAGACAGAGTCTCACTCTGTCACCCAGGCTGGAGTGCAGTGGCACAGTTTCAGCTCACTGGAACCTTCACCTCCCTGGTTCCAGCGATTCTCCTGCCTCAGCCTCCTGAGTAGCTGGGACTACAGAAGCTTGCTGCCATGCCCGGCTAATTTTTGTATTTTTAGTAGAGACGAGGTTTCACTATGTTGACCCAGCTGGTCTCAAACTCCTGACCTCAAGTGATCCACCCGCCTCAGTCTCCCAAAGTGTTGGGATTACAGCACTTGAGTCACCGTGCCCGTCTGATTATCCTGGTTTAGTAAGGTTTTCTCTCTCTTTCTGTCTCTGTTTCTCTCTCTCTTTTCCTTCCTTCCTTCGTTCCTTCCTTCCTTCCCTCTCTCTCTCTCCTTCCTTCCTTCTTTCTTTCTCTCTCTCTCCTTCCTTCCTTCCTTCCCTCTCTCTCCCCCTCCCTCTCTCCCTCCCTCCCTCCCTTCCTCCTTCCTTCCTTTCTTCCTTTCTTCCTTTTTTCTTTTGCGACAAGGTCTCACTGTGTCATCTAGGCTGGAATGCAGTGGTGCGATCATGGCTCACTGCAGCCTTGACCTCCCTGGCTCGAGCAATCCTGCCACCTCAGTCTCTGGGTAGCTGGGACTAGAGGCTCACGCCACCAAGCCAGGGTAATTTTTTATTTTTTTGTAGACACAAGGTCTGGCTATGTTGCTCAGGCAGCTCTTGAACTCCTGGGCTCAAGTGATCTTCCCACCACATCCTCCCAAAGTTCTGGGATTACAGGTATAAGCCACCGTGCCCAACCAGGTTTTATTTTTCATGTTCTTCACTTTCAAGCCCGATGAAGCTGGGTACAGTGGTTTCACACTTGTAATCTCAACACTTTGGGAGGCTGAGGCAGGAGGAGAATCACTTGAGGCTAGGAGTTTGAGTCCAGCCTGGCAACATAGTGACACCCTGTCTCTACAAAAAATTTAAAAAATTAGCTGGGCATGATGGCACACAACTATAGTCCCAGCTACTCAGGAGGCTGAGGTGAGAAGATTGTTTCAGCCTGGGAGGCTGAGGCTGCAGTAAGCCATGATTGTATCACTTCACTCCAGCCTGGGCAACAGAGTGACTCTGTTCCCCCAAAAAAGAAAAAAAAAATTCTAATGAATTGAAATTTTATGTTTTCTCTCTTAAAAACAAAAGAATCCCCAAATAACTAAGTTGCTTTTTAGTTGCCAGTGAACTATTTATACAAAAAGTGTTCCTACTCTTGTGTAAAATATGGAAATCTATTTATTTATCATTCTAGTTATCCTTGGTTATTTCACTTGACATCTCCAGAATGAGAGTAAAATTATTTTCAAGAAGTTTAAAATAAATTAAGGAAAATGGATTGAAACATACCCTGCCAAATCTCATTTACTTTTCAGGCCTCAGGACAGTCAGTTCATTCCTGTCCTTCTAGTCAGCAACAATTCCATAAGGGAAATAGCATATTTCATTTTTACAAAATACTGCAGTGCCCCAATTTTTACAGTATTTGAATTTAAAATGATATGACAGAATAAAATTTCAGACTGTAGAGCTCTTTCAACTATGTGATAGTAAAAGGTTAGAAAACGAACACTTGTTTTGGAGAAATGCTTGTAATTTTTTAACCTGAGTGAGACTGTATAGAGTTTTTTCTTTAGTTTGTAACACTGGAACATAAGAAGAAAAATGAGATTTGATTAATGATTTTCTGGCAATTCATACTAAGAAAAGAACATTTTCATGTCCTTATAACATCCAGAAAAATTTAGGATTTGTGCAGAACAATCAAATTGACATTGCCTGAGTTATCTTTTTTTTTTTGAGACAGGGTCTCTGTCATCCAGGCTGGAGTCCAGTGGTATGATCTTGGTTCACTGCAACCTCTGCCTCCCGGGTTCCAGTGATTCTCTCACCTCAGCCTCCAAGAAGTTGGGACTGCAGGCACGCACCACCATGCCCAGCTAATTTTTGTATTTTTAGTAGAGACGGGGTTTCACCCTGTTGGCCAGGCTAATCTCGAACTCCTGGCCTCAAGTGATCTGCCCGTCTCAGCCTTCCAAAGTCCTGGGATTACAGGCGTGAACCCTCACGCCCAGCGAGTTATCTTTATCATGTTTTTAGTTCATCCTTAAAAATCTAAGGTTTGTACAAGAAGACAAAACTGACATTCCCTAAGTTATGTCATTTTTAAAATTCCTGAACACACAGAGAAAGACCAGAAGTGTGTTTGGATTTCAGAGCTGAAGAACAAGCACAGCCACCTTCACAGGAAAGCTCAGGATGAACCTGTGTGGCTGATATTCTGCCAAGTTTTATTTGAGACATTGATTATGATTCACAGCCAAATATGACTCATTGCTATAAATGCTATATCTAAAATGATGGCATTAGCTTTTTGAGTTTCAGGGGAGAGAAGAGGGTGATATTTTAGCTTAACTAGTAAATTAGCATATTACAGTTATTCTTAACATATGCAAGTGCATATAATGTGATTAGTTTAAATATTGACACTCATATTCTTTAATTTCTAATGTTCTTTAAGATACAGTCCAGCCAGAGGATCACTTGAGCCCAGGAGTTGGAGACCAGCCTGGGCGACCCCTACCCCTGCAAAGAGTAAAAAATTAGCTGGGCATAGAGGTATGGGCCTGCAGTCCTCAGGAGGCTGAGGTGGGAGGATCACTTGAGCCTGGGAGGTTGAGGCTGCAGTGAACCATGATTGTGCCACTGCACTCCAGCCTGGGTGACAGACTAAAAACCCTATCTCAAAAACAAAAACAAAAACAAAAACCATAGAGCCCAGCCAGATAGATAGATAGATCATCCCATAGGGAAGTCCACAAGCCAGTGAACTGCAGGGGCCAAGGGAAAACTTGCTCTTTGCCCTCTGAAGGTTTGCTGAAAAATCAGCTCACAAAAGACATTAATTGGAGAAAAGGCATAGAAATTTTACCTGGGGAGAATCACAGAGTGATTACTTACTCCACAGGGGAGTTTAGAAACTTATATATCATCCAGACAAAAAGGCTGTGGGAGGAAGAAGCAGCAGCATTCTGTTTAGGGGATTAGTAAAGAGAATGAGTGATAGGGGAACAGAGCTTAATTTCTACATTATCTCCTGAAAGAGTCTCTTCACATGTGGTCTTACAGGAAGAGGAAGAAAAAAATTGTTCCTTTTCGTGGGTCTGGATCTTAGGCAGATGAAGGAACTTCAGCTTGATCCCGTGCTTTGGGAGAGATGGTGGAGAGTGTCGTCAGAGAAAACTTGAAGCTTCTTCCATTCAGCATATCAAAGCACTATATTTTGGGATACTGGTTTCTGAGTCCCAACAAACTCAGAGCATACAATCGGCCTCTTACTGCAATATCCTAAAGTGTAAGCAGTCAGGCAAGGGTGACTTAATTTTTGAGAATCAAACCACACATACAATTAAATAGGAATAAAAGGAACCTGTAGGACATAAATACAGCAGAAGAAAAAATGTTTAAAGCCCCTCTAATTAATAGCCTCAGTGTGTTAGGAATATAGTACATACATGAAACAAAAACAAGATGCAATAAAAAAAAATTTAAAAACTTGGTAGGATCAGGGGTGTGGGCCACCACACCCAGCCGAAAATCTGACCCACAGAGCCTAGCCCAAATTATAAAATTGTGAGCAAATAAAGTGGTTCCTCTCTATATCCCTTTTGTCTTCTTCAAGGTTATTTTGAGCTATTATGTTTTGGGGTAGTTTGTTGTGCAGTAATAGATAAGAGAGTCACTTCAAGAAAACTAAGGATCTAGAACTAGAAATACCATTTGACCCAGCCATCCCATTACTGGGCATATACCCAAAGGATTATAAATCATGCTGCCATAAAGACACATGCACACGTATGTTTACTGCAGCACTATTCACAATAGCAAAGACTTGGAACCAACCCAAATGTCCATCAATGATAGACTGGATTAAGGAAATGTGGCACATATACACCATGGAATACTATGCAGCCATAAAAAAGTGTGGCCAGAATTGGTGGGTTCTTGGTCTCACTGACTTCAAGAATGAAGCCGTGGACCCTCGCGGTGAGTGTTACAGTTCTTAAGGTGGAGTTTGGAGTTTGTTAACTCCAAAGGTCGCGTCTGGAGTTTGTTCCTTCTGATGTTCGGATGTGTTCGGAGTTTCTTCCTTCTGGTGGGTTCGTAGTCTCGCTGGTTCAGGAGTGAAGCTACAGACCTTCGCAGTGAGTGTTACAGCTCTTAAGGCGGCGCGTCTGGAGTTGTTCGTTCCTCCTGGTGGGCTCGTGGTTTCACTGGCTTCAGGAGTGAAGCTGCAGACCTTTGCGGTGAGTGTTACAGCTCATAAAGGCAGTGTGAACCCAAAGAGTGAGCAGCAGCAAGATTTATTGCAAAGAGCAAAAGAACAAAGCTTCCACAGTGTGGAAGGAGACCTGAACGAGTTGCCACTGCTGGCTCCGGCAGCCTGCTTTTATTCTCTTATCTGGCCCCACCCACATCCTGCTGATTGGTAGAGCCAAGTGGTCTCTTTTGACAGGGTACTGATTGGTGGGTGTACAATCCCTGAGCTAGATATAAAGGTTCTCCACTGTCCCCATCAGATTAGATACAGAGTATGGACACAAAGGTTCTCCGAGGCCCCACCAGAGCAGCTACATACAGAGTGTCGATTGGTACACTCACAAACCTTGAGCTAAACACAGGGTGTTGATTGGTGTGTTTACAAACCTTGAGCTAGATACAGAGTGCCGATTGGTGTATTTACAATCCCTGAGATAGACATAAAGGTTCTCCAAGGCCCCACCAGAGCAGCTAGATACAGAGTGTCGATTGATGCACTCACAAACCCTGAGCTCGACACAGGGTGCTGATTGGTGTGTTTACAATCCCTGAGCTAGACATAAAGGTTCTCCAAGGCCCCACCAGACTCAGGAGCCCAGCTGGCTTCACCCAATGGATCCCGCACCGGGGCTGTAGGTGGAGCTGCCTGCCAGTCCTGCGCCATGCACTCGCACTCCTCAGCCCTTGGGCGGTCGATGGGACTGGGCGCCCTGGAGCAGGGGGCGGCATTTGTCGGGGAGGCTCGGGCTGCAGCCCGCCATGCCTGAGCCTTCCCCCGCCTCCATGGGTTCCTGTGAGTCTGTCGGATTGGAGCGGGCGCCCCGCCTGGCCAGGGGCAGGGCTGGCTGCTCCAAGTGCGGGGCCCACCAAACCCACGCCCCCCTGGAACTCCAGCTGGCCCGCAAGCGTGGCGCGCAGTCCAGGTTCCCGCTCACGCCTCTCCTTCCACACCTCCCTGCAAGCTAAGGGAGCAGGCTCTGGCCTTGGCCAGCCTAGAAAGGGGCTCCCACAGTGCAGTGGTGGGCTGAAGGGCTCCTCAAGTGCCGCCAAAGTGGGAGCCCAGGCAGAGGAGGTGCGGAGAGCAAGCGAGGGCTCTGAGGACTGCCAGCACGCTGTCACCTCTCAAAAGGATGAGTTCATGTCCTTTGTAGGGACATAGATGAAGCTGGAAACCATCATTCTGAGCAAACTGTCGCAAGGACAGAAAACCAAACACCGCATGTTCTCACTCATAGGTGGGAACTGAACAATGAGAACACTTGGACACAGGGTAGGGAACATCACACACTGGGGCTTGTCGTGGGATGCGGGGAGTGGGGAGGGATAGCATTAGGAGAAATACCTGACGTAAATGACGAGTTAATGGGTGCAGCACACCAACATGGCACATGTATACATATGTAACAAGCCTGCACATTGTGCACGTGTACCCTAGAATTTAAAGTATAATAAAAAAAAAAAACAAAGAAAGAAAACTCCTCTAGCTGGGCATGGTGGCTCACGCCTGTGATCCCAGCATTTTGGGAGGCTGCGGTAGAAGGATCACTTGAGCCCAGGAGTTCAAGACCAGCCTGGGCAACATAGGGAGACCCCTGTCTCTACAAAAAATAAAAAATTAGCTAGGTGTGATGGCATGCACCTGCAGTCCCAACTTCTCAGGAGGCTCAGGTGGGAGGATCACTTGAGCCGAAGAGGTCAAGGCTAGAGTGAGCCATGATCATATCACTGCAGTCTAGCCTGCATGACAGAGCAAGACCCTGTCAAAAAAAAAAAAAAAAAAAAGGAAGAAAGAGAGAGAGAGAGAGAGAAAGACAGAAGAAAGAAAGAAAAGAAAGAAAAGGAAAGAAAGAGAAAGAAGGAGGGAGGGAGGGAAGAAGGGAGAGAGGGAAGGAAAGAAGGAAAGAGGAAGGAAGGAAGGAAGGAAAATTTAAAATATTTATTGTGACAGAAATAAAAATTTGAAATTGAAAAATATAAGCACATTTAAGACAATCTCCCAGAAAGTAAAATTTAAGGATGGAGAATTTGAAAAGAAGGAAAAGAGAAAGAAGATCTGTCCAGGAGGCCCAATATTTCAAATAGGAATTTCAGACAGAGAAAACAGAGTAAATGAAGAGAGGAAATTAACAAAAAAATAATTTATGCAAATACATCAGAACTGAAAAACGTGAGTCTGCAGGTTGAAGTAGCTCACTGAGTGCTCAGCACATGTGTGAAATGAGTCCTACATCAAGAAATGTAATAATAAAAAGAGATGATCATTAACACCTTTTTAAAATTGCTTCTTGGCTTTTTGCCTAAGATCAAGTACAGTGTCTCTTCTTATCAGTTTAATATCTGATACGTCCTTTGTCTGAGGACAATATATTAAATGGATTTTTGGAGCAGGGAGATGGAATAGGAGCATGCTCCATCCACTCCACACATAGACCTGGTATTGCAGTACCTCCAGGATCTGTGCTCTCTCACCCCACATGCTATAAACTAAAAAAAAGAGGCTGGGCGTGGTGGCTTATGCTTGTAATCCCAGCACTCTGGGAGGCTGAGGTGGGTTGATCACTTGAGGTCAGGAGTTTGAGACCAGCCTAACCAACATGGAGAAACCCAGTCTCTAGTTAAAATATAAAAATTAGCTGGGTGTGATGGCATGCCCCTGTAATCCCAGCTACTCAGGGAGGTTGAGGCAGGAGAATAGTTTGAACTTGGGAGGCGGAGGTTGCAGTGAGCTGAGATCATGCCACTGCACTCCAGCGTGGGTGACAGAATGAGACTTCGTCTCAAAAGAAAGAAAAGAAAGGAAGGAAGGAAGGAAGGAAGGAAGGAAGAAAAAAAATTAAAATATTATTATTTATTTATTTTTGCAGTTTAAAACTTATGCATTGTTTATTTCTGGAATTTTCTTTTAATATTTTGGGACCTTAGTTGACCATGAGTAACACAAACCACAGAATGCAAAACAGTGGATAAGGGAGGGACTACTGTACATATTTTCGCCTAAGATAGTTCTGTATATTCTTCTGTTAACTGGGTAGCAAAAGCATATAGAAAGGTTTTGGGGGGATGCAGTGTGTTGCTCTTCTGTAATGACAGTAATTTACTTCAAGACATTGCAGGAGACGGGGTTAAAGGAGTAAAAGGCAGGAAGAGAAGGATTCATTTCACGCCTACCTGTACAGAGACATTTTCTTGCACTCTACTTTTTTTTTTTTTTTTGAGATGGGAGATATTTACTTTTTTTTTTTTTTTTTTTTTTTTTTTTTTTTTTTTTTTTTGAGACAGAGTCTTGCTCTGTTGCCCAGGCTGGAGTGCAGTGGCACGATCTTAATCTCAGCTCACTGCAACCTCCGCCCCCCAGGCCTAAGCGATCCTCCCACCGCAGCCTCCCAAGCAGCTGGGATCACAGGCGCGTACCACCATGCCCAGCTAACCTTTCTGCATCTTTAGTAGAAACAGGGTCTCACCATGTTGGCCAAGCTGGTCCTGAACTCCTGACCTCAAATGATCCACCCACCTCGGCCTCCCAAAGTGCTGGGATCACAGGCATAAGCCACTGTGCCTGGCTGCATTCTACTTTTAAACTTTGAACTAAATTTCATTAACAGTAAGCTTGGTAATAAGCAAACCCTTTAAAATGTGGCATAAAAAGACTGGGCACAGTGGCTCAGGCCTGAGGCGAAGGCAGATGGATCATGTGACCGCAGGAATTCGAGACCAGTCTGGACAACATGGCGAAACCCTATCTCTACAACAAAATACAAAAATTAGCTGGGTGGAGAGGGTGCGCGCCTGTGGTCCCAGTTACTCGGGAGGCTGAGGCGGGAGGACCACCCGAGTCCAGGAGGCAGAGGCTGCAGCGAGGCGTGATCACACCACTGCACTCCGGCCTGGGAGACAGAGGGAGATGCTGTCTCCAAAAAACAAACAAAAAAGGGGACATAAAGGATAGCTGTAGGGACTCTCTGGGGCTCTCTTAATGTCTGACCATCCATTATTTGGAAGTAATGTTCTCTATAGAGTTAATTACATAATGGCATTGTAATTACTAAGTGCCCTTAAAATGAATATCAAAGGCTTTTACAAACTGGCAAATAAAATTTAACTCTGCAATCTTTGTTAGGTACACGTTATAAAAGTTTTTTGTTTTGTTTTGTTTTTTTTGAGGCAGGGCCTCACTCCATTACCCAGGTTGGAGTGCAATGTTGTGATCATAGTTCATTGTAGCCTCAAACTCCTGGACTTGATCAATCCTCCCACCCAGCCTCTTGAGTAGTTAGGAGTATAGGTGCTCACCACCACAGCTGGCTAACTTTTTAATTATTTCTTTATTTATTTTTAGAGACAGAGTCTCGCTCTGTCGCCCAGGCTGGAGTGCAGTGGCATGATCTCGGCTCACTGCAACCTCCGCCTCCCGGGTTCAAGCAATTCTATCGCCTCAGCCTCCTGAGCAGCTGGGATTAGAGGCGCCTGCCACCATGCCTGGCTAATTTTTTTTGTATTTTTAGTAGAGACAAGGTTTTACCATGTTGGCCAGGCTGGTCTCAAACTCCTGACCCCAAGTGATCTGCCTACCTCAGCCTCCCAAAGTGCTAGGACTACAGGCATGAGCCACCGAACCTGGCTAATTATTTATTTTTTGTAGAGATATGATCTTGCTGTGTTGCCCAGGCTGGTCTTGAACTAATGGGCTCAAGCAATCCTCCTGCCGTGGCCCCGCAAAGTGTTGGGATTACAGGCCTGAGCCTCCACCCACGGACTGTTTTATTTTTGAGACAGGGTTTTGCTCTGTCACCCAGGCTGGAGTGCAGTGACACGATCATAGCTCACTGCAGACTTGAACTCCTGGGCTCAAGCAATCCTTCTGCCTCAGACTCCCAAGCAGTCGAGACCACAGGCATGCGCCACCACACCTGGCTAACCCCTGCACTTTTTGTAGAGACGAGGTCTGTGTTGCCCAGGCTGGTCTCAAATTTCGAACCTCCCTCTTCAGCCTCCCAAAGTGCAGGGGCTACAGGTGTGAGCCACTGCACCAGCCCCACATTACAAAGCTTTTAAAGCTAGGCCCACAAGGTTCAAGGTTGTAGTACAACATGATCATGCTTGTGAATAGCCACTGCTGTCCAGCCTGGACAACACAGCAAGACCTGCTTCTCTTAAAAAAAAACAAAAACAAAAACAAAACACCTCTTAAGAGGTTGGGCGTGATGGCTCATGCCTGTAATCCCAGCACCTTGGGAGGCCGAGGCGGGCGGATCACCCGAGGCCAGGAGTTCAAGAACAGCCTGGCCAACACGGTGAAACCCCATCTCCACTAAAAACACAAAAATTAGCCAGGTGTAGTGGCGCATGCCTGCAGTTCCAGCTACTTGGGAGGCTGAGACAGGAGAATCGCTCGAACCCAGGAAGCAGAGGCTGCAGCAAGCCGAGAATGCACCAGGTGACAGAGCTAGACTCCGTCTCAAAAAAAAGACAGCCTTCAGAAAACAACGTTACTCAAAATGCCTTGTGTTTAAATTTTAAAACTTCATTGGCTGACAGAAAACTGCCATACTTTCTTCCCACTACCATCCTGCTATTCCTGAATTCAATTTGCAAAAAGCAGCACAGACCAAGAAGGGTTCCTTAGGTGCTCAACAGAATTTAAAGAAGTAGGAAAGATATGTTTACAATTAGAAAGTAAAACTTCGCTCTCAGTTTAAAAAAATTTTTTTCTTTTGTACATATTTTAAAGTACAGTTTTGTTGTATTTTTAGGAACTGTGGAAAATGCCTATTTATAATGTCTTTGGAAGGATACCCCATTTTGTAATTGTGGTCTTCCATATTCTTCTGGGTTACAGATGTTGAGATGTATTCCATGGTACTCGCATTTCTGATAAATCCATGTTGTCTGGAAGAGACTTCCTTTCAGCTTTCTGACATCTTATCAAGAATTAGTAGAGGGGCAAGAATTCTTGCCCTGTTAGTTTCCACAATGTAGCCATTTAACACCATCTCATCCAAAATTGTGTGTACTTTATCCAAATTAAACATTATATCTAATTCACTTACTCAGCTGAAATACTCATCTAAAACTTCCACAAAGTTATGAATGAATTCATAAATAGCCATCTTGTTCTCAGTGTCATTAACTCCAACCACAACGAAGAGAGATGCATACTGCCGATATATCAGCTTAAAATCCTTATAATTCAATGAAAGAGCATTGTTCATTGGATCGAGGAGAGACAGCTCTTTATGACTTCTGTTTCCAGAAGTGTATGCTTATTAATATCCACATGTTCATAGTACTTAAAAAGTCGAGTCTGCCCTTGTTTATTCACCATGAGGAAAAATTTTATCATTTTTTCTTTCTTGGCCAGTATTTTTCCAAATATAGTTCAAAAGTTATGACTTATGACAAAGGATGGCTGTAACTGGAACCTGTGCTGCTTGGGGTGTGATGGTCCTCTCAACGGCTTTTCCTGGAGAACCCCTCCCTCTTTCCCGCAGAAGCTTGCTCCCCAACCTTCACTAGCTACGCGGTGCGCGCTTCCTCGGGGCAGCCATTTTGGCTTTTAGTATGGCGTCTGCCATGCCCGGCTAATTAAAAAAAAAAATTATTTGTATTGATAGAATCTCCTTGTGTTGCCCTGGCTGGTCTCAAACAACTGGACTCAAGTGACACTCCCACGCCGGCCTCCCAAAGTGCTGAGATTACAGGCGTGAGCCCCACTCTCAGCCCACAGTCTTTCTAAGGGAAAGACAGGTCACACACAAAGCATCAGAATTGGAATAGTATCTGAAATCTCAGTTTGAAGCTAGAGGACAATGAACAATGACTTCAAAATTTCAAGGGTAAATTAATTCCAACTTAGAAGTCTGTTTCCTACCAAACTGTCAATCAGACATAAGAGTAGAATAAAAATCTTCCAAACACATAACACCTCAAGAAATTTATTCCCGATGCAGTCTTTTCCAGGAAGCTACCGGAAGAAGTGCTTCACTGAAGAGAGTAAACCAAGAAAGAATAAGACATGGAATCTAGGACGCATGAGAGCTCACTCAGGAGAAGAGTGAGAGGAATTTCTGGGGGGAGGGTAAGAAGCAGTCTCCATATGGCATCTGTACAACAGGGCGAGAGAGCCGACTAGCCCAGCCTGCAGCAGGAGGACAGATGAGTCCTGGGGCAAGGGGAAGGTTTCAAAGAAGAAGATGAAATTGCTGGAATTCTCGGTATGTTTGGAGAACTTAAGAAGAGATGTACACTTCTGGCAGAGATCTTGGGGATGAATAAATACTGGGTAAATAAAAAATGAGGTTAAAGAAAAGAGTGTAGGAGAGCCAGAGATCACTTCTAGTACCCCTGTTGGTCTTACGTGGGTTCTTCAGCTGGTTCTAGAAACCAAATCGACACCATGCAGATTAACAAGAGAAAAGCATACAAATTCATTAGTTTTGTTTTGTTTTGAGACAGTCTCCCTCTATCACCCAGGCTGGAGTGCAGTGGTAATATCTCAGCTTACTGCAAACTTCACCTCCCAGGTTCAAGTGATTCTCCCGCCTCAGCCTCCCGAGTAGCTGGGATTACAGGCATGTGCCACCACACTTGGCTAATTTTTTTATTTTAGTAGAGATGAGGTTTCACCATGTTGACCAGGCTGGTCTCGAACTCCTGACCTCAAGTGACACGCCTGCCTTGGCCTCTCAAAGTGCTGGGATTATAGGCGTGAGCCACCGCACCTGGCCCAAATTCATTAGTATTACACATACATGGGGATCTTCACAAGAGCGTCAAGTCCAAAGAAATGGCCAAAGCAAGACAGTTTTTTTTATACTTTTGGGACAAAGAATGATGAATCTGAGAAGAAAACACAGGACTAAGGGGACCTGAGTAGGAGCAATACATTTCCAGGGGTGTCACTAGGAGATATATGGAAGATAAGGGTGATTTCCATAAATATATTTGTCAGGTACATTGCAATCCCACTCTGGGATAATGGCTCTTTTCTGAGCCTTGTGCAGGAGAGTGCCCCTCCCAGAGGAATGTTGATGGCTTGCTGCATGCGGGAGAAGATGGTCAGCTCGCCCTTTCCAAAACTACAACATCTCCAATGTTTTCAACTCAAAATAATCAAAATACCAATTTGGTATATTTTGGGAAGGCATATCATTCACTTCTTCAAGCAAGTGTAAGGCACTTATTAATTGCAAAAAAGAAAAAGTACAAGAAATGGTCTCTATAGCACAATTCATTATATATGTAAACATAAATATCAATAGAATTCAAACTTAGGACATAACTATTAGGAGGATGGGGAAGGAGAATGTATGTATATATTTAAATGTCTTTAGATGACATTCTGGGTAATAATAGAGCTAAAAACCTCATCTTCACAGTAGAAGTCATCAGTTTATATCTAAAACCAAGATATAAAAATTATAGCACTATACAGGCCAGGCACAGTGGCTCATGCCTGTAATCCCAGCACTTTGGGAGGCTGAGGTGAGCAGATTACCTGAGGTCAGGAGTTCCACACCAGCATGGCCAACATGGTGAAACCCCATCTCTACTAAAAATACAAAAAAATTAGCCAGACACGGCAGCTCACGCCTATAATCCCAGCACTTTGGGAGGCCGAGGTGGGTGGATCACTTGAGGTCAGGAGTTTGAGACCAGCCTAACCAAAATGGTGAAACCCTGTCTCTATTAAAATACAAAATTAGCCGGGCATGGTGGTGCATGCCTGTAATCCCATCTACTCAGGAGGCTGAGGCAGGAGAATCGCTTGAACCTGGAAGGCAGAGGTTGCAGTGAGCCGAGATTGTGCCATTGCACTCCAGCCTGGGCAACAGAGCGAGACTCTGTCTAAAAAAAAAAAAATATATATATATATATATATATATATGTGTGTGTGTGTGTGTGTGTGTGTGTGTATAAAACTATATGCATTTTATTTTAAAATATGAAGGTATACACTGAAGGAAGAAGAAGGATTGAAAGGTTGTCTGGGGGAGGAGGGAGCAGACAGGAAGCAAGGGTGGTTAGAGGGAGTCCAGGAGACCTCTGGGATTGTTTTAGACCTGGTAGTACTTACTTTACTTCAAACAACAACATGATTTTTTTTTTCTTTTTTAAGACAGGGTCTCACTCCGTCACTCAGGCTGGAGTGCAGTGGCACAATCACAGCTTACTGCAGCCTCCACTTCGCAGGTCCAAGTGATCCTCCTACCTCAGCCTCCTGACCCAGTCTCAAGATGAAAATAAAAATAAAAAATATATAAAATGAACAAACAAGTGTATGTGATGCCGAAGTGAGCATGTCTATTTAAGTCCTTAAACATCCTTAAATTTAAGTCCTTAAATGTCTGTTCCCCAAATTCATACGTTGAAATTCTAATCCACAAGGTGGTGATACTAGGAGGAAGGGCCTTTGGGAGGCGATTAGGTTATGAGGACAGAACCCTCATGAATGGGTTAGTGCCTGTATAAGAGAGAACCTAGAGAGATCCTTTGCCCCCTTCCACTGTGTGAGTTATAATAAAAAGATGATAGTCTATGGGGGAGTGAAGCCTCACCAGACAATGAATCTACCAGTGCCTTGATCTTAGACTTCCAGCCTCCAGAACTGTAAGAAATACATTTCTGTTGTTTATAAGCCACAGTCTATGATATTTTGTTATGGCAGCCCAAATAGACTAAGGCAAATCCTTTGCCCATTTTTTAATTGGGTTGTCTTTTTGTCATTGAGATGTAAGTGTTCTTTATATAGTCTATATACTACACCCTCATCTGACATATATGAGTGATTTTTCTGGCTGCAGGAACAAAATCTCTGGCCATTTTTTGGTCAGGATATTCTCAAGAGAAGGTTTTGGTTTGAGCACAT
Source organism: Homo sapiens (assembly GCF_000001405.40). Classification (NCBI taxonomy): domain Eukaryota; kingdom Metazoa; phylum Chordata; class Mammalia; order Primates; family Hominidae; genus Homo; species Homo sapiens. The sequence continues at coordinate 89,056,102 of NC_000006.12, read as the reverse complement.
TTACCACAGGTTAAAATCCATATTTTAGATGAACATCTAAGAATATCCTATACTTCTTTTTGATACAGTAGTTTCTGCTACAGAGGTGCTACTAATATTTATCATTGCCCCACTGCATTCCAGCCTAGGTGGCAGAAGGAGACCCTGTCTCTTGAAAAAGAAAATTAAAAATCATAAACACTGGTTGTAAGCTGATCGGCTTGTTTTTCCAAAAAATTAGGTTTTGGAGGCTTACTGCTGTCACATGCTCGGCTGCTCACTGGTTCCAATGGTCAGGCATAATTTATCTCTCAAAATTCACTCACCCTTATTACTTTGATACAACAGCAACACCATTGCCACCAGGTTCTCAAAAGTGCCAAATTTTCTATTTGCTCAGTGCATACGGTTTCTTTCTTTTCCAGATTTTCATATGTGAAAAAGCAAGATTCCGCTTACTTTACAATCTTTGAGTGGTACTGGTATTTTAGAAGATGGATCACATGAATCCCTTGGCTTCTCATACTCCCTGGTCACTGACCAGTGTGTATGCACCCTATTATGCCACTCTGGGAGTCTTTAGAACCCACTTATTTTCCAGACAAGGAAAGTGAAATAATTTAGAATTAAGAGTAGCGGCCGGGCATGGTGGTTCACGCCTGTAATTCCAGCACTTTGGGAGGCCGAGGCAGGTGGATCACCTGAGGTCAGTAGTTTGAGACCAGCCTGGCCAACATGGTGAAAACCCATCTCTACTAAAAATACAAAAATAAGCCAGGTGTGATGGCACACACCTGTAATCCTAGCTACTCAGGAGGCTAAGACAGGAGAATCGCTTGAACCCAGGAGGCAGAGGTTGCAGTGAGCTGAGATCGTGCCACTGCACTCTAGCCTGGGCAACAGAGTGAGACTCTATCTCAAAAAAAAAAAAAAAGAGAGAAAGAAAGGAAGGAAGGAAGGATGGATGGATAGAACCCAGCACGCAGGGGCTGAGTGCTGTGGCTCGCGTCTATAATCCCAGCATTTTGGGAGGCCGAGGTGGGTGGATCATTTGAGCTTAGGAGTTTGAGACCAGCCTGGCCAACAGGGTGAAACCCCGTCTCTACTAAAAATACAAAAATTAGCCGGGGGTGGTGGCGTGCGCCTCTAGTCCCAGCTACTCAGGAGGCTAAAGCATGAGAATCACTTGAACCCAGGAGGCAGAGGTTGCAGCGAGCCAAGATCACACTACCACACTCCAGCTTGGGTAACAGAGCGAGACTCTGTCTAAAAAAAAAAACAAAAGCACACAAAATGGGAGAAATTATTTGCTAATCATATATCTGATAAGGGCTTGTATCTAGAATATATAAAGAACTCTTACAACTTAATAATAAAAAGACAAACCAATTTTTAAAAAGGCAAAGGATTTGAATGAACATTTCTCCAAGGAAGATATATAAATGGCAGATAAGCACATGAAAAGATATTCAACATTGTTACTGTAGTTATTAGTGAAATGCAAATCAAAAGCTGAAATGAGATACCACTTCACATCCACTGGTCTGGTTAGAATTTAAAAAGACAGAAAATAATAGGTGTTGGTGAAGATATGGCAAAATTAGAATCCTTACACCTGTTGGTGGGATTGTAAAATGATGCAATTGTTTTGGAAATAGTTTGTCAATTCCTCAAAATGTTGAACAGAGTTATTTACGACTCAGCAATTCTACTCCTTGGTATATAGCCATGATCATTGTAAACATATGTGCACACACAAACGTGTACACAAATGTTTATATCAGCATTATTCATAATAGCCAAAAAGTGGAAACAATCCAAATGTCCATCAACTAATGAAAGGATAAACGAGATGAGATATATCCATAACACGAAATATTATTTGGCCATTAAAAGGAATGAAATACTGATACATGCAGCAACATGGATGAATCATGGGAACATTGTGCTCAGTGAAAGAAGCTAGACACAAAAGGCCAATTTTGCATGGATTCTATTTATATGAACTGTCCAGAAAGGAGAAAAACCATAAAGACATAAAGTAAATTAGTGGCTTCCAAGGGCTGGGGGAAGGGAGACAATGGGGAGTGACTGCAAATAAGTATGGAGTTTCTTTTGGGTTGAAAACAAGTTTCTAAAAATAAGATAGTGGTGATGATTACACAATTCTGTGAATATACCAGAATCCACTGAATTGTAAACTTTAAAAGGGTAAATTTTATGCTATGTAAAATATATCAGCTGGGTGTGGTGGCTCACACCTGTAATCCCAGCACTTTGGGAGGCCGAGGCGGGTGGATCACCTGAGGTCAGGAGTTCAAGATCAGCTTGGCCAATATGGTGAAACCCCGTCTCTACTAAAAACACAAAAAAATTAGCCAGGCATGGTGGCAAGTGCCTGTAATCCCAGCTACTAGGGAGGCTGAGGCAGGAGAATCACTTGAACCTGGGAGGTGAAGGTTGCAGTGAGCCAAGATGTTGCTGCACTCCATCTCAAAGAGTGACAAAGATGGCAACAAGAGCAAGACTCTGTCTCAAAAAGAAAAAAAAAAGAAAAAAGAAAAATATCTCAGTAAAGCTGTTATATTAAAAAACAAAAACTCAGTGCTTTTTTTTATTTTTTGAGACAGAGTCTCGCTTTGTCACCCAGGCTGGAGAGCAGTGGCACCATCTTGGCTCACTGCAACCTCCGCCTCCCAGATTCAAGCGATTCTCGTGCCTCAGACTTCCAAGAAGCTGGGATTACAGGCATGCACCACCACACCTGGCTAATTTTTGTATTTTTAGTAGAGATGGGGTTTCACCATGTTGGCCAGGCTAGTCTCGAATTCCTGGCCTCAAGCAATCTTCCTGCCTGGGCCCCGCAAAGTGCTGGGATTACAGGCGTGAGCCACCATGCCCGACCTCAACTCAGTGCTTTTTAAATTTACCAGTTGAGCTCAGAGTAAAGTGAATTCTTAGACACAGAAATATTCTTTCCAAGTGGGAAATTCCTCTATCTAGCCTCTCCGTTAATTAATTCATCTCTTTAATGTCTGTAAAGTTTTTTATTGAAATATCACATCTTCCTTCCCAGGGCACTGCTGTACAGATTTAAGTAAAAATTTGTGGAAGCTTTTGAATTTTAAACAGACAAAAACAGAGCTTCTTTGATTATAAATGATACAGGGGACCTGGCATGTTCATCATATGTTTTATTTTTGTTTTTATATAATTTTTAATTTGTTTTTTGAGACAGAGTCTTGCTTTGTTGCCCAGGCTGGAGTGCAGTGGCACGATCTCAACTCACTGCAACCTCCACCTCCCAGGTTCAAGCGATCCTTGTGCCTCAGCCTCCTGAATAGCTGGGACTACAGGCCTGCACCACCACACCTGGCTAATTTTTGTATTTTTAGTAGAGATGAGGTTGGGCCATGGTTGGCCCAGGCTGGTCTTGAACTCCTGGCCTCGAGCAATCTTCCTGCCTGGGCCCCCCAAAGTGTTGGGATTACAGGCGTGAGCCACCGAGCCTGGCCTATTATGTACTTTAATATGTAGTCCTATTTGATTACATAATACATATTTAAGTAAACCATTTTAGCTGGGACTGTTTCTGAATAAGAGGAAACAATACATTAGACCATAAATAAATAACTTTCTCCACTCTAAAACCATTAGTGGGACTTACCAAAATAAGCACGTCTTGCCCTGTAGCAAAATGATAAATAAATATAGCTTTTAGTACTATAAAAGAAGAAGAAAAAAGTATCTTTGAGAAGGATTTGAGGGGCACTGCCATAAGATAGGTGGGTATAGGATGTGTGTAAAGCCTTTAATAAGCCTCAAATATATTGTAATTTTCCTGCTTTCAAAGAACTTATACCTTCTTGAGGAGGCCAGCTTTCCATGAACAATGTAATTAAATGGGATAATGTATGAAAAGCACATGCTTTTGGTTCACATTAAATAAGACCATCAGGCTGGGCATGGTGGCTCACGCCTAAAATCCTAGCACTTTGGGAGGCTGAGGCCGGCGGATCACTTGAGGTCAGGAGTTTGAGACCAGCCTGGCCAACATGGTGAAAACCCATTATATGGTTAGGCTTTGTGTTTCCACCCAAATCTCATCTTTAGTTGTAATCCCCACGTGTCAAGGGAGAGGCCAGTTGAAGGTAATTGAATCATAGGTGGTTTCCCTCATCCTGTTATTGTGATAGTGAGTTCTCACGAGATCTGATGGGTTTTAAGGGGTTCTTCCCCCCTTCACCTGGCACTTCTCCCTCCTGCCACCCCATGAAGAAGGTGTCTTGCTTCCCATTAGCCTTCTGCCGTAATTGTAAGTTCCCTGAGGCCTCCTCAGCCATGAGGAACTGTGAGTCAATTAAACCTCTTTCTTTCCCTAAATTACCCAATCTTGGGCAGTTCTTTATAGCAGTATGAAAATGGACTAATACATCTGTCTCTTCTAAAAATACAAAATTAGCCAGGTGAAGTGGCCCACATCTGTAATCCCAGCTACTTGGGAGGCTGAGGCACGAGAATCGCTTGAACCCAGGAAGCAGAGGTTGCAGTGAGTAGAGATTGTGCCACTGCACTCCAGCCTGGGCAACAGAGTCAGACTCTGTCTCAAAAAAAAGAGAGAGATCATCAGAATTCATTTATTTAACTTGCTTTCACTAAAAACTTAAGTGCCTTCTATGTGCTAAACACTGTATTAGACTTGGGAATTGTTGTGTTAAACAAGGATCATGTTTAGGCCTCCTAAATAGCAATGTAGGCATTAATGCAAAAGGTATCAGAAGTTAGTATAGGATGAAGTGCAATAGAGATAGTTTATTTCTTAGAAAAAGCTTTGGAAAATTCTAAGCACAAAGGTTGGACTTGTTATCCGCTTACTAAAATGTGACTCTTGCAGGTTGCAGCAGCAGTCACATACACTCATTTTTTCAGCGCAGAGCTGGACTACTTGTCATGGAAGGAAGGTGAGTGGTATTTGGGGCCTGGCTAGGGCTACTGACAGCTGACCGACTGTATCTTTTCTCTGTAAAGCAGGTAAGCAAAATACACAGTAAAGGTGTCCTTGGCCCGTGGCTGTAGTAAAGGTGCTGGCCCACGGCTGGAAGGGCTTACAAACCAGAAGGTGTTACCTAAGGCCTTTCTACCCATGGTTACAAGGCCACTCCAACATACTGAGGATTTACTCATCTTACAGCTGTACCTGGTAAGAGTCTGCTATATTTCCACCAGTTCCCCAACGAATGTGGGCAAAGCTGTGGCTCTGCCAGCTAGACTCAGGAAGTTACAGAGGTAGATATATAATTATGTCACCAACTTTTCCCCTTCTGAGAGCCAGCTCCTTCCACACACACCCAGCAGGCTGAGCTTCATTGTTTCTTCTTCAGCCTGGGCACTGAGACATGTTTGTTCATTAATGTACCTGAGCTTCTTAAGCTGTTGTCTCTCCTTCCTGAGAATGCATGATGTGTTTTCTTTTCCTCAACACCCCACTTTCTTGGGGTTTTGGTTTGTTTGTTTTTAGAAACAGGGTGTTGCTATGTTGCCCAGGCTGGTCTCAAACTCCTGGGCTCAAGCAATCCTCCCTTCTTGGTCTCCCAAAATGCTAGGATTTCAAGTGTCAATCCTTTTCTAGGATGTCTAGTCCACTTGCTTTTACCCAGGACAAACATACTCCCTCAGGGACTCACCTCTATCCAGTTTTCCTGCGCAAGGCTGCCAGCTGTTTCATACATTACTGGAAAATTGTGCAATTCTAAGCAAAGAGGCTGGAGGCTGGGATTCTGTGCCAATATTAGAATCTGGGGTTCCCGGAGGGCTGAGGGCTGTGTTGCAGAGAAGATTGTTGTCATTGTTGCAGCAACTATTGCTCTAGGACAGCAGTTTCAGAACGTGGTCAGAGAAACCCTGGGATCTCTGAGGTCCTCCCTTTTCCAATCACCTATCTGTATAAGGTCAGATTTCAACCAAAACACATCTCAATAGATTGAATGCAGATGTAGGTATGAGAATCCAGCTCCCTTCTGTCAAGAGATTTGCAAAAAATTAAAATTTTTGTTTTAATTTTAATACAATAAATATTGACATAACCCATGTAAAGAAAATGCCTTGGAGTCCCCAACAATTTCTAAAAGTTGTAAGGGGGTTCTGAGATTGAAAGTTTGAGAACTGCTACTCTAAGCTACTCTTGGCCCCACTTTGTTCTTCCCGCTCATCTTGAGGGACCTCATAAGACTCATTGCTTCAACTACCACGTCCAAGTTGGTGATTGTTGTGGGCAGTACATAAGCTTCTGCGTGCTGTTCTGCAAGCACCTGGGGATAAGGGAAATAAGATTGCCCCTGAGAATTGAACTGGATAAATCCATACACAGCAGATATGACCCACCATTCATGCATTCAACAAATATTTATTGAGCACGTACTCTGTGCCATACACTCTTCCAAACACTGGGCTTACAAAACAGAAAATCCCTGAACATCCTACTGGGGTATACTGAGAGACGATAAAAGAGTATAATGGGGTCCGGTTTGGTGGCTCATGCCTGTATTCTCAGCACTTTGGGAGGCTGAGATGGGAGGATTGCTTGGGGCCAGGAGTATAACACTATCCTGGGCAACAGAGTGAGACCCTGTCTACAAAAAATTTAGGAAAAAAAGAAAAAGAAATCAAAGTAATGTGACAAGAACTGTATGTATGCGTGAGTTTGTGTGTATATGCCTGTATTTTCTTTCTTTCTTCCATAAATTATTCCCCAATAGCCATTCTGCTAGTAGCCCTCCTGGGAAGTGGTGTTTACAAATTTCATCTTGGTAAGGAGGCAGATATGATGTAAGACAAGTTCCAGCCATGGAGGTGGGGTAAGGAAGAGAGCAAGGAGAGCAGATCTTAGGATTGGCAGCTCAGGGACAAGAGCACAGCAGCATCTTTGCAGCACAGGTTGGCAACCATCCAGAGGAGAAAAGCATGGGCTATGAGCCACCATGAAGTCACTTAAGCACCACCCTTCAAACACCATCTTAAAGGATGAAAAGACAAAGGGAGAGAAACAGCTCTAATGGGGAGTTATTGGCTGGAATGAGAACTTAAGTCCGAAGAATGAGATACTTTTATTGGTAATTTTAAGTTCCATTTCAAACATTTTATTTGCATGTCTGAGATGTAGTGTGATAAAATTTCAATCTGGCTGCATTAACGTTTTACTGCTGCTGGACTGTATCTGAAGCCTTGAGGCAGGGAACTCAGGCAAAAATGGCTCTATTAGACTCTTCCTTCCCATTCAATCTAAACCCAAGTGTTACCACCCAGATGACCACATGGGAGAAAGGAGACTGAAAAGAAGACCCCAGGAGGCAATGAAAACAGGATGCAGGTCTTTTTCTCCTGAAGGAAACAGTTCCCATCCTCTTTGCCACTTAGGCTACCTGGAAGGGAAAAGCAGAAGAGTGAAGAACTGGTCACTGATCACATGCAGCCTGCATTCAAGAAAGAAGACAGGGCTAGAGAGGGAAATAAAGGGCGGGTCTTTTTCTGAGGGTGCCAGAAAATTCTGGCCTTCCGAGAAGATGAAGAAAGACAACCCCTCTCATGTGGCCCAATCAGTGTCCCTGGAATGACTCATCAGATTAGGGGCTCCTTCTTGGAGTGGGAATGAAGATAAGGATCAAGGAGGAAACTGGATGAATGCCTCTCCCATCATACCCAAACTCACAGCATCCCTAAAAGGCGTTTTAAATGGAGAAATTGAGACTCAAGGTAGAGAAAATAAAGTGAAGTCATACTCTAGGAGCAGAGCCAGGTTTTGAACCCAGATTTGACTTGTTGCAAAGTATAGCCAGTTCTTGCCAAACCCCAAGCTTCCCCACTCCCACTCCCCATCAGAACCTGTTTGGTTTTTTTGAGACAGTCTCGCTCTATCACTTAGGCTGGAGTGCAGTGGTGGGATCACAACTCACTGCAGCCTCGAACTCCCAGGCTCAAGCGATCCTCTCACTTCAGCCTCTTAGGTAGCTGGGACTACAGGTACATGCCACCACACCCAGCTAATTTTTTTATTTTTTGTGGAGATGGGGTCTCGCCTTGTTGCCCAGGCTGGTCTTGAACTCCTGAGCTCCAGCGATCTGCCCACCTCAACCTCCCAAAGTATTAACGATTACAGGCGTGAGCCACCTGGCCCAGCCCAGAACCTGTTTTATTTAGTGGAGGCAATCTTTCTTGCATCTTGCAGTCTTGTGTCTTTTCCTACCCTGGGATATAAGGTGAAATTCCTTGTCTAGAAGAACCACGGCTGTAGCAATTATTCATCCATCCAGCAAATATTTATTGAGCGTGAGGGGTGAGGTCTGTCCTCAGTTCTGGGTCATGAAATCACTTTTATGATTATTTCAGTTTCCTGAAATGTGATAAGCAGCTAAATGGATCCAGCCATAGGAGGAGAACTGATTGAAAAGTGAGGAAGTAGAGGATGAGAGGACAAAGACCAACATTTAAAAGCCCTAAAGTAGCTGAGGTTCCTCAATGAGGGTAGGACAGGAACTGTGTTGTTTACACAAAATGAGATGGTGTCAGTGAAGCTTTTCTTGGGGGTGGGGGAGAGTGTGTGCACATACTCCGTTTTTCCCTGATCGTTTTCTGTGCTGATGGAATCCTGTTCCATGGATAGATTGTGCTTTTATTTTTAAATTCATTTTTTGAAGCTGATTGGCAGTTTGTAATCTTTCCAGCCTTTTCCTGAGCAATTCTAATCACCTTTCAACTTTTTTTGAGGTACCATACAAAGCAATCTAATTGTTGACATAAACCAATGTTGGCTATACGATTAACCCTAGCACAGAGTTGATTTATCTACTCTGGTTTATCCTTAGCAAAATTTAAATCCCAAACCTACAACAGTTTCAAACTACTCTCCTTCAGCCTTCTATTAATGTAAGTTCGGGTAGTACTAACTTAAATGTAGTTTGCATGATAAATCTGTTCTCTAAGATTACATGTTTTCCAAACCAAGTATGCTTAACTTTTAGATCATCTAGGAGAAAATAGAGCACAATAATAAATAGCAGGGGCCCCGAACTTCACCGTCTAGTTGAAGCCCCAGTGACTGCATTTATTAGCTCTGTGACCTCGGCAGAAGCATTGAACTTTTCTCTGCTTTTTCTTATATATAAAATGGGGATAATAAACAGCTTCTTTTCCAGAGTTGAGAGGGGAATCAATGAGTCAGTACTACTCAGTAGGAAATAAATGTAACTTAGTAAATGTCAGTTTATTTTTTATTTATTAATTTTTTTTCAGGCCAAGCATGGTGGCTGTAATGCCAGCACTTTGGGAGGCCAAGGTGGGTGGATCGCTTGAGACCAGGAATTCAAGACCAGCCTGGGCAACATACTGAGACCCTGTTTCTATTTTTAAAAAATTTATGAAAAAATTAAAATAATTTTTTTCTTTCTCTTTTTTTTTTTTTTTTTTTGAGACAGGGTCTTGCTCTGTAGCCCAGGTTGGAGTGCAGTGGCATGATCACGGCTGACTACAGCCTCGACCTCCTGGGCTTTAGTGATCCTCCCACCTCAGCCTCTCGAATAGCTGAGACTACAGGCATGAGCTGCCGTGCCCAGCCTAATGCCGGTTTTCACCATTATTAGTTTTTAAGTTTCTTTCCCTCTGTTGCCTTCTTTTTGAACAATTAAAGCCATTTATTTCGTTTAAAAAAACCTGATTAAAGAACTAATACTTATTGATTCTCTATTAATTATTGGTGAAAGATGCAGAGCAGACATAAAAAGACTAAACAATAAAAACTACCCCTTAATCCTAGGCCTAAGAAATATAACCACTTTTAAAACAACTTTCAAGAAATCTGGCCGGGCATGGTGGCTCATGCCTGTAATCCCAGCACTTTGGGACGCCAAGGTGGGCTGATCACTTGAGGTCAGGAGTTCGAAACCAGCCTGGCCAATGTGGCAAAACCCTGTCTCTACCAAAAATACAAAAATTAGCCGGGCGTGGTGGCAGGCGCCTGTAATCCCAGCTACTCAGGAGGCTGAGGCAGGAGAATCGCTTGAACCTGGGAGACAGAGGTTGCAGTGAGCTGAGATCGCACCACTGTGCACTCCAGCCTGGGTGACAGAGTGAGATTCTGTCAAAAAAAAAAAAAAAGAAAAAAAAGAAAATAAATCTATTTACTAGACTTTCTAAGAAATGTCTGAAATGTTGATTATTTGACTTACAGAAAGAAAAAACATTTGTACCAATGTGCTATTTCTCTCCTCTCGACTGTTTCGGTAGGAATTTGTGTATGAGTAAACAAATTTCTAGTCATCACATAAAATTTTCTTTGCCAAGAAAGATTAATGAATCATCCTCAGTATCCACTCTTGTCTCCTCTGACACAGCCTCAGAGGAACCCACCATCATACTTTTCCATCTCCATGGCTTCACGTCCTCATTTGAAGAACAGGGACAGCGAGAACTTGATGGCACTTCTGGTCCATGTTTCTCACACAGGGACACAAAAGCCTAGGAAGAAGCCGTAATTGCTGGAGCTGGGATTAGAGGCCAATACACTTCCCCCACCTTTTTTTTTTTTTTTTGAGATAGAGTCTTGCTCTGTCACTCAGGCTGGAGTGCAATGGTGTGATCTTAGCTCACTGCAACCTCTGCCTCCTGGGTCAAGTGATTCTCCTGCCTCAGCCTCCCGAGTAGCTGGGATTACAGGCATGAGCCATCACACCTGGCTAATTTTTGAATTTTTAGTAGAAACAGTGTTTCACCATGTTGGCCAGGCTGGTCTTGAACTCCTGACCTCAAGTGATCTGCCCTCCTGGGTCTCCCAAAGTACTGGGATTACAGGCTGAGCCACTGCGCCCAGCCAGGCCAGTCTGCTTCCCACCACACTGTGCAACCGTGCCAGGCTGAGCTCAGAGCATTCTGTCCTGCGCCCAAATCTGGCTTCCTACTTCTAAAACCACCCTTATCTGAGAGGGTGGCTCTAAAAAGGAAGCAAGTCCAAGCTGTGAAAGGGCTTTGAAAGAGGAAGAGAGATATTCCGAAGCTGCAGGAAGGTTTACTCTTTGTGCTCAAAAGCATGCAGACCTAAAACAATGGTTCTTAGATCTGTCTTGTTGGTGGAAGCCTTCTTCGTAATTTGGAGTAGCTTACCTCCCAGGTCTGTGCAAGAGAAGGCTGTTCTTTAAAAATAAATCACAGCATAGCCTCTAAGGAAAAACCACCCTAAGGAAAAGGGTGGTTTTGAAAAATAGGTCAGCTTCAGGCTGGCGGACCACTCCCTCTCAGAAGAAGCAGGGTGGGCGGAGAAGGCCTGAGGACTGAGGAATAAGACAGCCCTCAAGGACTTTTACAGGAAAATAGTGTTACAGTCACCAAGCGAACACCTGCAGGAATACAGAAACAAGTACACAAGGTGTGCAGATTAATACCAGGTGGAAGGCAGACATAGCTACATTGGTGAATATGTCTTTGAAGGAAACCCTGGCTTGTTTGTGTTTTTTTTTGTTCAGGAGGCTGAGGCAGGAGAATTACCTGAGGCCAGAAATTCAAGACCAGCCTGAGCAACTAGTGAAATCCTATCTCAAAAAAAAAAAAAAAAAAAAAAAAAGAACGTGAAATATTCAGGATCAAAAAGAAAAATGAAGCCGGGCGTGGTGGCTCATGCCTGGAATCCCAGCACTTTGGGAGGCCAAGGCGGGTGGATCACTTGAGGTCAGGAGTTTGAGACCAGCCTGGCCAACATGGTGAAACTCCATCTCTACTAAAAATGCAAAAATTAGTGGGGCCTAGTAGTGGGCACCTTTAATCCCAGCTTCTCTGGAGGGTGAGGCAGGGAGAATTGCTTGAATCTGGGAGGTGGAGGTTGCAGTGAGCCGAGATTGTGCCACTTCACTCCAGCCTGAGTGACCGAGCAAGACTCTGTCTCAAAAAAAAAAAAAAAAAAAGGAAAGAAAAGAAAAAAATTAGATACTTCCTTTATTACTTCTATTTGATCTTTTCATATTGAGTTTTGTCTTTTTTTTTTTTTTTTTTTTTTTGAGATGGAGTTTTGCTCTTGTTGCCCAGGCTAGAGTGTAATAGCGCAATGTCAGCTCACCACAACCTCTGCCTCCCGGGATTCTCCTGCCTTAGCCTCCCGAATAGCTGGGATTACAGGGATGTGCCAGCACACCTGGCTAATTTTGTATTTTTAGTAGAGATGGGGTTTCTCCATGTTGGTCAGGCTGGTCTTGAACTCCCGACCTCAGGTGATCCACCCACCTCCCAAAGTGCTGGGATTACAGGCATGAGCCACCATGCCCAGCTGTTTTGTCTTTTTAAAGAAAAAGTAGGCTGGACACGATGGCTCATGCCTGTAATCCTTGCACTTTGGGAGGCCGAGGCAGGAGGATTGCTTGAACACAGGAGTTTGAGACCAGTCTGGGCAACATAGAGAGACCCCCATCGCTACAAAAATATTAAAAAATTATCCAGGCATGGTGTGCCTGTAGTCTCAGCTACTCAAGAGGCTGAGGTGGGAGGATTGCCTTAGCTGGGTATTCGAGGCTGCAGTGAGCCATAGAACTCTAGCCTAGGTGACAGAGTGAGATCCTGCCTCAAAAAAAAAAAAAAAGTAACAACGCTCTAGTGTGTTTACATTTGGATGAGACAAAATTAAATAAGATCAAATATGCAAAGTGCTTGTCTTATATAGGCTCTTTTTTTTTTTTTTTTTTTTTTTTGAGACAGGGTCTAACTCTGTCACCCAGGCTGGAGTGCACTGGTGTGATCGTAGCTCACTGCAGCCTCAAACTCCTGGGCTCAAGCAGTCCTCCCACTTCAGCCTCTGAAGTAGCTAGGATTACACATGAGCCAACACACCTGGCTGAATTTTTTATGTTTTGCAGAGCCAGGGTCTCACAATATTGCCCAGGCTGATCTCAAAGTCTTGGCCTCAAGTGATCTTGCCACTTCAGCATCCATTGGTTCAACACTATGAACTGATTTTATCTGTGCAGTGGATAGGAAGAACCCATTGGATGATTACAGTTATAAGTCCCTTCTGACAGATGAGAAAACAAAAAGGCAGAGAGGTTAAACGATTTGCCCAAGGCCAATAATTAGTACTACATGATCCCAAATCTATCAGATCCATTTTAACCCACTATGATCAGTCTTTCTGCCCCGCCGACCACACCACCAAAACCACTTTTTCAGTGACTTCTCCATTGCCAAATCCTATTATCAATTTTCAGTCCTATCTTACTCCACCTGTCAGCAGCATTTGACACAATTGATCACTTCCTGTTTCTTAAAACCTTTTTTTATTCTATTTGGTTTCCAGCACTCCACCCTGTTCTTCCTCTCCTGTATCTCTCCAAGTCTCCTTTGACTAATTCTTCCCATTGTCCTGAGCATCTCAGGGTTCAGTCCTTGGATATCTCTGTCCATATCCATTCCTTGGATGCTCTTGATTTAAACACCCACTCCCCACCTCCAAACTTATTCCTTCTTGAATGTTCCCCATTCCAGTGGCTCGGGGCTAAACCTTAAGGTAATCCTTTAATGTTTTTCTCTCCCATTTCACACCTAATCCATCAGTAAATCCTATGAGATATATATGTGAGCGTTTATATATATGTATATATATATATATATATATCTCTCTCTCTGAAATTATTATATATATATAAAATCTCAAATATGACCATTTCTCCCTGCCTTCATTGCTACTACCAAGTTCAACTCCCACCTAACACTGCAGAAGCCACCTAACTGGCTTCCCTTTGCCCTGCCTTGCCCCTCTACATTTAGTTGCCCACATGGCAACTAAATTTAAAAAAAAAATTTTTTTTTAAATTATACTTTAAGTTCTAGGGCACATGTGCACAACGTGCAGGTTTGTTGCGTATGTATACATGTGCCATGTTGGTGTGCTGCACCCATTAACTCGTCATTGACATTAGGTATATCTCCTAATGCTATCCCTCCACCCTCCCCCCACCCCACAGCAGGCCCCGGTGTGTGATGTTCCCCTTCCTGTGTCCGGGTGTTCTCATTGTTCAATTCCTACCTATGAGTGAGAACATGGGGTGTTTGCAAAGTGATTTTTTAAAATGAGAATCAGATCCTGTCACTGGTCTGCTCAGAAGCCTCCAACAGCTTTCTATCTTGTAGAGAAAAATCCCAAGTGCTTACCATGACCCCTGACTACCTCTCCGATCACTCTCACTCCCTCTCTTGCCTCTCCCCACGCACTAGCCTTGCTTTTCCTTGGTCATGCCAAGCTGGCCTGGTCTAAGGGCCTCTCTTGCTGGAGCCTGTCTGAAACGCACTCCCCAGACCTCGGCAGGGCTCACTCCTACACTAAATTCAAGGATCCTGTCAAAGGCTGCCTCACATATCCTCTGAAATGACACTCCCACCCCTCTCTATTCCTTTACAGTGATATGACTTATTTTCTTCATGGCTCTTATCACTACTTGTCTTTTTGTTCACCGCTGTATCATCAGTGTTTATTATAAAACAGGACACATAGTATGCCAGGCACTGTTCTAGGCTCTGGAAATGTGGAAATGAATAAAACAAAGTTCTTGCCTTGATAGGGTTTATGTTTCATGAGATGCCACAAAAATAAACAAACATGTAGCACACCTGATGGTGGTAAGCTCTTTTTTCTTTCTTTTTTTTTGTTTAGACAGGGCCTCACTCTGTCGCTCAGGCTGGAGTGCAGTGGCGTGATCATGGATGGCTCACTGTAGGCTCCCTGGGCTCAGGTAATCCTCCTGCCTCAGCTTCCCAAGTAGCTGGGACTACAGGCACATGCCACCACACCTGGCAAATTTTTTGTACTTTTTGTAGAGACTGGGTTTTGCCATGTTGCCCAGGCTGGTCTCAAACCCCTGAGCTCAGGTCATCCACCCGCCTCGGCCTTCCAAAGTGCTGGGATTACAGGCATGAGCCACCATGCTAGGCCCTGATGGTGATAAGTTCTATAGAGAAAAATAAAGCAGGGCAAGGGGGATTGGGAGTGCGAGGATAGAGGTTTTGGATTTTGCTGTTTTGAATACAGTGGTCAAGTAAAGTCTCACTCATAAGGCAAGGTTTGAGTTGAGACCTCAACAAAATGAGGGGGAAAGTCGTAACAATATCTGGGGGAAAGAATGGTTCAAACAAAAGGAAGGGCAAGTACAAAGAACCTAAGGCAGGAATGTATATGGCTTGTTGGAAGAGCAGCAAGGAAACCCGTGTGGCTGAACAGAATATTTAAGAGGGAGAATCAGAAGATGGTGACCCAAGGCCAGGCACAGTGGCTCACCCTGTAATCTCAGCACATTAGGAGGCCGAGGTGGGTGGATCACCTGAGGTCGGGAGTCCAAGACCAGCCTGGCCAACATGGCGAAACCTCATCTCTACTAAAAATACAAAAATTACCCGGTGTGGTGGCGCGTGCCTGTAATCCCAGCTACTGGGGAGGCTGAGGCAGGAAAATCGCTTGAACCCGGGAGGTGGAGGTTGCAGTGAGCTGAGATTGCTCCACTGCACTCCAGCCTTGGCAACAGTGCCAGACTTCATCTCAAAAAAGAAAAAAATTTAAAGAAGAAGATGGTGACACAGAGGTAAGAAGGGGCAAGAGTGTAGGGCCTGTAGTTTATGTAATGAATTTGTTGCAAAGTTTTTCTTTGAGATGGGAAACTATTGGAGTGTTGGAGTGTTTTAAGCAGAGGAGGGGCATGATATGCTTGCATTTACAAAGGACTATTCTGGCTAGGCATGGTGGTTCATGTCTGTAATTCCAGAGCTTTGGGAGGCTGAGGCAGGAGGATTGCTTGAGGCCAGGAGTTCGAGACCAGCCTGGGCAACATAGGGAGACCTCGTCAGTCTCAAAAAAAAAAAACGAAAAAGAGAAAGCCAGGTATGGTGGCATGCACCCCTGTATTCATACCTACTGAGGAGGCTGTGGTGGGAGGATCGCTTGAGCCCAGGAGTTCAAGGCTGCAGTGATTTGTAATTATACCACTGCACTCCAGCTTGGGTGACAGACTGAGACTGTACCTCTGGAAAAACATTAAATAAATAAATAAATAAAAAGGACCATTCTGGTTGCCATGTTAAAATGAGATTATAGAGGGGCAAGGGTGGGAGCAAAGAGACCAATTGGGAGTCTGATGCAGTAATGCAGGCAGAAGGTGATAAAATCGTGATCCCCAGTGGTAATGATAATGGTGGCAAGAAGTGGTGAAATTCAGGATGTATTCTGTATTGAGCTAACAGACTTTATCAATGGATTGAACATAAAAAATGAGAGAAAGGGAGGAGTCAAGGATAAAACCAGTTTTTGGCTGGGGAACTGGTAAGATGCAGTTGCCATTTACTAAGATGAGGAAGAATACAGGAGTGTGGAGACAAAAGTGATTCCATCTTGGAGGTTAATCTGCCATGTTGACTTCTGATTAGCCCTGGTCCTGTGAATGCCTCCTGGTTTCTACTTTATTTACTGTCCCAAGTGTAAAAACAAAGCAACCTTGATGTTATCGCATACATTAGAGGCTATGATGCATATAGCATTCTTGCCTGTTCTGGAGGATTGCCTTTCATTGTCTTGGTGGAGGGAGCATGTACACCCTTACCCTATGGTACATAAGCCCTGGGTCTGGGGAGTAACAATGCAGAAATCTACCTGTCTTGCGGCCTCCCAAGACCGTGCCTCCATCTGTAAGTTCTTCCAGTAAAACACCCTATACTGACCTACATCTGCCTCGTTTTTGGGTTTCTTGGCTCCTTAGGCATTTGAGGCTGCTTTGCATATATGGCCCTTTCACAGAACAAGGAGGCACAGATTTAGGGGCTGAGGAATCAGGCATTTTCTTTCAGACATCTACATTTAACATGCCTAATAAATATACATTGGTGATATCACTCAGGCATCTAAATATATGATTGGAGTAGGTTCAACAGAGAATGGAAGAAAAAGAATTGGAGACAGCACATATAGACAATGCTTTCAAGTTTTGTGTAAAGAGAGGCAGATAAGGTGGCAGGCAGAAGGGACACATGGGGTTGAGAGATAGACAACGTCATATGTTAAGATGAAGGTATCTTTTGGGAGGCGGAGCTTGCAGTGAGCCGAGATCATGCCACTGCCCTCCAGTCTGGACAACAGAGAGAGACTCCATCTCAAAAAAAAAAAAAAAAAAAGAAAAAGATGAGGGTATTTTAGAGTATGTTGATAGGCTGATTGAAATGATTTAGTAGAGAGTAAAATTTGACTGTGCAGAACAGAGGGATAATTTCTGAGGTAATTATCTTTGAGTAGGCAAGAGAATATTGGATTTAGTACACAAGTGGAGACAATGACCTTGGACAGGAGCTTAGTTTATCCATGACAACACTCATAGGAAGGCAGAGAAAATCGTAAATGTGGTAAAGGTAGCATGTAGAAGACTATTTTTCTGGTTGCATCCTCTTCTTAGGGAAAGGGAGGTAGGGTCATCAACTGTGTAAGATTTAAGGTGAGAAGAGAAGGTGCAAAAAAGTGAACGATTTAGGGAAATGCAGGATTGTCAGGCAGCCCTAAGGGCACACCTAAGGATAGTGGTCATAATTTAATGTGAGCCACTTCATATGGTTAATTGTTTTCCTCCAGCCATGTTTAAAGAGGAGCAGGTGTGATATGGTTTGACTGTGTCCCCACCCATATGGTTTGGCTGTAGTCCCCATAATCCCCACATGTTGTGGGAGGGACCTGGTGGGAGGTAATTATGGGGACCTCCATGTTGTTCTCATGATAGTGAGTGAGTTCTCATAAGATCTGATGGTTTTATAAGGGGCTTTTCTCCCCCTTTGCTCTGTACTTCTCCTTGCTGCCACCAGGTGAAGAAGGACATGTTTGCCTCCCCTTCTGCCATGATTGGAATTTTCCTGAGGCCTCCCTAGCCCTGTGGAACTGTGAGTCCTTTAAACCTCTTTTTCTTCATAAATTACCCAGTCTTGGGTATGTCTTTATTAGCTGCATGAGAACAGACTAATACAGTAAATTGGTACCAGGAGTGGGGTGCTGCTGTAAAGATACCCAAAAATATGGAAGCAGCTTTGGAACTGGGTAACAGGCAGAGGTTGGAACAGTTTGGAGGTCTCAGAAGAAGATAGAAAAATGTAGGAAAGTTTGGAACTTCCTAGAGATTTGTTGAATGGTTTTGACCAAAGTGCTGGTAGTGATATGGACAATAAAGTCCAGGCTGAGGTGGTCTCAGATGGAGATGAGAAACTTGTTGGGTACTGGAGCAAAGGTGACTCTTGTTATGCTTTAGCAAAGAGACTGCTGGCATTTTGCCCCTGCCCTAGAGATCTGTAGTACTTTGAACTTGAGAAAGATGATTGAGTGTGTCTGGTTGAATAAATTTCTAACCAGGGCCCAAGGGCTGTTTAGTCAGTGGGTGACGGATCCTGCCAGGACTGGGTCTTTCCCTTCAAGGCAGTAGTTTCCCTTCGGTCCCAGAGTGTGTCTAGACATGTTGTCTGGGAACTAGGGCTTGAAATAGGGCCTCATGACTCTGACCAGTGCCCTATCCTACTGTGGCTGAGCTGGTATACAAGATGAAAGGCAAAGTCATCCTTTTCTTCCCTCTCCTCTTGTCAAACAGAAGGAAAAGTTCTCTTCTGGAGCTGTGAGCTGCACTGCCTGGGGTTGGGGGAGGGGTGGCATAAGCACTCCTTTAGCTGCCCTGGCTGATGTCTCATTGGGGCATGTGCTCTCCAAGTCCACTAGTTCCGAGCCCAGCACAGCACTAGGGCTTGAAGTCCTTGCAGCCTAGACTGTCATTCAAGTTGATTTAGGGCTCCAGAGCACTTCAGCCTGTAGTGTGAGGCTCGCCAGAACTCAAGTTCCAACCACCGGGATGGGTGATTTCCCCTCTGGCCAGGGCTGGTCTGAATGCTGCCTCTGTGGGTGAGTGTCAGCTGAATTCAGTCTGGTTTTTCTTTCTGTTGTGACAGGGCATCACTGAGTTCAATGCAAAATCTCACAATGCTGGGCTTTCTGTCTCCCAAGCACACATTTCTCTGTGCCACGCAACAGCTGCTGTGGGGGTGCAGGAGGGGATGAGGGGTGGGTGGTGTTGGCAATTCAGGGCTGTCTTTTATACCCTCTTCAGTGCCTCTTTCAGTGAGATGAAGTTAAAGCCAGGTACTGTGAGTGCTCACCTGATTTTTGGTTATGACGGTGTTTTTGCCCAGGCTGGAGTGCAGTGGCATGATCTCGACTCACTGCAAGCTCCGCCTCTCAGGTTCATGCCATTCTCCTGCCTCAGCCTCCCAAGTAGCTGGGGCTACAGGTGCCTGCCACCACGCCCGGCTAATTTTTTGTATTTTTTAGTAGAAACGGGGTTTCACCATGTTAGCCAGGATGATCTCGATCTCCTGACCTTGTGATCCGCCCGCCTTGGCCTCCCAAAGTGCTGAGATTACAGGCACAAGCCACCGTGCCCGGCCAATGATGGTGCTTTTTTATGCAGATAGTTATTAAATTTGGTCTTCCTGCGGCAGGGGATAAGTGGTGGGGACTTTTATTCTGCCATCTTGCTTCATCCCCCAGTTACAGACTTTTTGTGGCCTATCATTTCCTCTTGAAATTATCATCTATTGAAAAACTGAAATAAAAAGCTCAAAAATGAATTCTTATTGTGGTGATGATTGTGCAACTCTGTGAATGTACTTAAAATTTTTGATTGTGCACTTCAAATGGGTGAATTTCATGGAATGTAAAAAACCACAAAAACTGTTTAAAAAACTGAATTTATATTTATTAAATACTATAATGACATATTTGAAATTTAAAGTCAAGGTCTAGCTTAAAATAGTGCTCAGTGTTGATGTTTTTAAATAATTAAGTAACCTACCAGAGCATAGTTCTAATAAAAGGAAAATCCACTGGAAAAGAACTAGGTCACTCATTATGTGTTTCTAGTACTCGTTAATATGAAACAGAAGTGAAACTGCATCATTGCCTGGGATTACTGGAGTTTGCATAAGGCTCCAGGAAATTCCTTACTTGCAACACTCCTTGGCCAGCACTGTATCTGCCTTGTCCTTTCTGATAAAGTCCACCCCATGTTGTCTATGTACTTGTCCTTAATCTTTCTTTGCTTGTCAGTTGGCTGGATATGCTCTACTGCTAGGAGTGTAACCATTTTTAGTCCTGACGTAGGAAGACAGCTAGAAGATAGTAGTAAATTTTGCTGACAGGAAAAAGGCCAAGTTGGAACTCGCATGCATGTAAATCATCCTGCTAGTTAGTCATTGTTCTCACCAATAACACTACGGATCTGGAGTGTGACTTGAACAGAGCGGCTATGTGAATACTCAGCTGGCCTGGTTCCTGCGGACTTTGGAAAGCCCTTAGGTGGGACCGGAGTGTTCTGAGGTGGGGCGTGCTGAGTCATGTCTTCTCAGCTGCTCTTTTGTAATAATTATTCCTGACAGTGACCAGTCACTGAACATTCCAGGCTTACGCCTGTGTTACTAGACTTTTTATGTTTATTGCCAAACTGAAATGCTGAAAACACCCAGCAGTGGTAGGTACACTGCAAGTCTCCAGTCAGAAGGCCTCCATTCCGGGATGATTAATATCACGTGCCAGTCCTGTTGCTCTGCTTCTCCTCCCAGGATGCTCCAAGCTCCCAGCTGCACTCCCAGCCCATCCAGGCTGGACACCGGGCACCTTCCTGTCTCAGCTCACATTTCGCCTTCCTGAAGATCTGAGACAGTCTCTCCCAACTTCACGCACTGGCTCTGCCACTTACCAACTGTGTGACTTACGGATGGTGGTTTGGCAGTAGATGGTCAACACAGATGATTATCTTTCCTGGCTGTTCTAGAGTAACAATACCATCACTGTCCTCTGATTGGAATTTGCTTCATAATTTAGCATTTAACCTTAAACTCTCTTGTACCTTTGCCCACTATTTCGTGTGGTGTTTATTTTGTTTCCTTAGCCTAAAACCTCCCTGGGAAGACAGAAAAGGCTTTATTTTCTTTTGGGATCCTTTTAGAATGTGTTCTCCATTCACAGAGCAAGCTTATGCAGGCTTTGAATATGTCACAGTTGGTGGGCAGTTTAGTTTGTTGACACCACTGTTTTCAGTTCCATTAGGTTGGGGCAGTAGGATCAGATCAGGTAACGAGGGTGTCAGGGCATTGGGACTGAGTTGAACCCAACGGACCATGGCTGACTATGATGTGGAGGTTGTCTCATTGCATCAGAAGAGTTCAGTTTTTCAGAAAGTGGAAAGCCCTCATTTACGTCATCAGTCAAAACAGAGGGCTTCTCTTACAGCCTAATACATGAAATGTCTATTTCTCTTCTTCATTACAGACACCCAGTTGCCCTTGCCAGAAACTTGAGTCATTCTTAACGCTTCCCTCTTGACTTCCCTCATTGCCCAAGCTAAGAGTGTCAGCAAGATCCAGTAGACTCAACCTCTCTGTGTCTCTGCAGTCTGGCCCTCCTCTCTATGCCCTCCCCGAGGCTTTAGTTCCGGCTTCCATCATGTCTTATTGGCATCTTTATAATAACCTCACAGCAGGTCTCCCTGTCGTTCAATTTACTTCTCTGTCATTTACCTCCAAAATTCTGCTGCCATTATCTTTCTTAAACAACAGTCTGATCATGCCACTCATATATATATATATTTTTTTTTTTTTTTTTGAGGCAGTCTTTTTCTGTTGTCCACGCTGGAGTGCAGTGGCACATTCTGGGCTCACCACAAACTCTGCCTCCCAGGTTCAAGTGATTCAAGTACTGGGATTACAGGTGTGAGCCACCACACCTGGTCAGATTGGCATGTTGCCAAAAAATCATTCTGACTACAATACGGGGAATAAATTGAAGAGGGAAAATTAAATTCTAGGAATTTTTTTTTTGAGACAGGAGTCTTGCTCTGTCACCCAGGCTGGAGTGCAGTGGCGTGATCTCAACTCACTGCAACCTCCACCTCCCTGGTTCAAGGGATTCTCCTGCCTCAGCCTCCCGAGTAGCTGGGACTACAGGCACCCGCCACCACGCCCGGCTTTTTTGTATTTTTAGTAGAGGCGAGGTTTCACCATGTTGGCTAGGATGGTCTCGATTTCTTGACCTCATGATCCACCCGCTTCGGCCTCCCAAAGTGCTGGGATTACAGGTGTGAGCCACCACACCCGGCGAGTCTAGGATCTTATAATTACATTTGTAGCAGCCCTGCTTCCTTAGTACAGGCCTATACTTGACACATAGCTGATTTTCACTTTGTATAATTTCACCTTAATTTGCTGTGCCAAAGCAGATAACATTGTTTTACAGGTTTTGGAAAGAAAAAGGCAAAATGATATAAACAATTGTTCAATTATTTAACGTTATTAGGGCATGGAGCTGCCAGTTTATTTGTCTGATGCTTTAGAAAGTCCCCTGCTTTCCTGTGCTGGAAATTCCCATGGGTAGACAGTTCAGGGAACCAATTCCAATTCTCTCCTCATGGACTTCCTCCTTCTCTTGGTTTCAGATCCACTTCTATGTAAGTGGATCTGAAGATTTGCCATTTATATGGGAATTTACTATTCTAAAAAAGTATTTCAAAACAGCAGAGAAAAGATGAAGTATTCAATAAATAGCATCAAGATAATTGTCTAGTCATTTGGAAAATAAAATAAAATAAAATTCCTACCTCACACTAAGATCCTATGTTTGTGATCTTGGAGTTAGAGAAAGCCTTAAATAAAACACAAAAAGGAAAAACCGTAAAGTAATGAGTAGGTAAGAAATATTTTATATGTAGGTATATGTGGATATAGATATTTACATAGATATTTATCACATAAAATACATAGAAAGACTACTAACGATTAAAAAAGGCAAACACTACATAGAAAAAAAAGGGACAAACTATATGAAAATGTAATTCTATAAATAGATGTCCAGGCCAGGTGCAGTGGCTCATGCCTGTAATCCCAGCACTTTGGGAGGCTAAGGCAAGCAGATCACTTGTGGTCAGGAGTTTGAGACCAGCCTGGCTAACATGGTGAAACCCCGTCTCTCCTAAAAATACAAAAATTAGCTGGGCGTGGTGGTGTGCGCCTGTAATTCCAGCTACTCAGGAGGCTGAGGCAAGAGAATCAC
The DNA here is from genome assembly GCF_000001405.40 of Homo sapiens. NCBI lineage: Eukaryota > Metazoa > Chordata > Mammalia > Primates > Hominidae > Homo > Homo sapiens. The sequence goes on along the minus strand of NC_000006.12, from coordinate 89,032,998 downwards.
TTGAACCTGGGAGGTGGAGGTTGCAGTGAGCTGAGATCGTACCACTGCACTCCAACCTGGGTGACAGAGCAAGACTCTTTCAAAAAAAAAAAAAAGATGTTCAATTTTATTAGCAATTATGCAAATAAGAATCCACAGATATACATATATCCACACACATGTCAAGGTACAGGAAATGGGTAGCCTCATTCACCGCCAGAGGGAGAATAAACTGTTACAGGCACTTCTACAGCAACTTGGCAGTACTTGTAAAATTAAAATAGATCTAGGATATGACCCAGCTATCCTACTTCTCAGTGTTTAGTATGGAGAAATGTTCAGACTTATGCCCAAAGAGACATGTACAAGGATATTTATCTCTGCATTGGTTGCAAAATGAGAAAGTGAAAGCAACCTAAATACCCATCAATAAGAGAATGCTAAGTAAACTAGAGTCTATCCATGCTATGGAATACTCTACTACAATTTAAAAGAATAAGGCATACCTGGCCGGGCACGGTGGCTCACGCCTGTAATCCCAGCAATTTGGGAGGCCGAGGCAGGCGGATCACCAGAGGTCAGGAGTTCAAGACCAGCCTGGACAACATGGTGAAACCCCGTCTCTACTAAAAATACAAAACGTATCCAGGCATAGTGGTGGGTGCCTGTAATTCCAGCTACTCGGGAGGTTGAGGCAGGAGAATTGCTTGAACCCAGGAGGCGGAGGTTGCAGTGAGCCAAGATCGTGCCACTGCCCCCTCCAGCCTGGGCAACAAGGGCGAAACTTCGTCTAAAAAAAAAAAAAAAAGGCCGGGTGCGGTGGTTCATGCCTGTAATCCCAACACTTTGGGAGGCTGAGGTGGGCGAATCACGAGGTCAGGAGTTCAAGACCAGCCTGGCCAACACGGTGAAACCCCGTCTCTACTAAAAATAGAAAAACTAGCCAGGAGTGGTGGTGCATGCCTGTAGTCCTAGCTACTCAGGAGGCTGAGGCAGGAGAATTGCTTGAACCTGGGAAGCAGAGGTTGCAGTGAGCCGAGATCACGCCACTGCATTCCAGCCTGGGTGACAGAGCGAGACTCTGTCTCAAAAGAAAGAAAAAAAAAGAATAAGACATACCTGTATGGACTGGCATGGAAAGCTCTCAAGTGTGAAAAAAGCAAGATATGAAATAAAATACAGTATGATAAAATAAAAATAAAAAACACAAATAAAATCCATACATAAAAACAAAAAATATATATTTCTATAAGGAAACAGCCTGGAAGAATGAAGAGCTACTCATTTTGGGGGGAGGGTAAAGGATTAGACTTGCTTATCAAAGGAGAATTTAACTTTATATGTAACATTTGATTTTTTAAATAATGAGAAGGAATTATTTCTTGTGTAATCAAACTTTTTGTTTTTTTTTTTTTGAGACAGAGTCTCACTCTGTCACCCAGGCTGGAGTAAGGTGGCCCGATCTTGGCTCACTGCAACCTCTGCCTCCTGGGTTCAAGTGATTCTCCAGGCCCAGCCTCCCTAGGAAATGGGATTACAGGCAGGCACCACCGGGCCTGGCTAATTTTTTTTTTTTTTCTTTTAGTAGAGACAGAGTTTTACCATGTTGGCCAGGCTGGTCTCGAACTCCTGACCTCAGGCAATCCACTCGCCTCAGCCTCCCAAAGTGCTGGGATTACAGGCATGAGCCACCTCGCCTGGCCCAAACTTTGAAAAAATATCTTCTTTAAATGCCATGTATAAGAAAAACATAAACACAATTTTTGTTAGGCATAAACAAAACATCTTTTTATTAAACAGCTTTGTTGAGATATAATTCACAAACTATATAACTTATTCATTTAAACTGTGCAACTCAGATGTTTTTAGTATATTCACAGAGGTGTGCAACCATCCCCACAATCTAATTTTAGAACATTTTCATCACCCCCAAAAGAAACAGTCACTTCTTATCCATCACTCCCACCCCTCAGACAATGATGAAACTGTCTCTATAGATTTTTTCCTGGAAATTTCATATAAGTAGAATCATACAGTATGCATTGTTTTAAAAGTTTATTTGTTTGTTTTAGAGATGCAGGTTTCCCTATGTTGCCCAGGCTTGACTCAAACTTCTGTACTCAAGAGATCTTTCTGCCTTGGCCTTCCAAGTTGCAGGGATTACAGGTGCATAGCCACTGTGCCCAGCTAATAGGTGTTTTTTTGTGGCTGGTTTTGTTCACTTAGCATAATGTTTTCAAGGTTCAATGATGGTTTAGCATGTATCAGCACTTTATTCTTTTTACATAACATTCCACTGTATGGATTATGGATTCCACTGGATGGCTATATATTATATTGTATGGATATAACATTCCATTGTAGGAATATACCACATTTTGTTTGTCCATTGATCAATTAATGGGCATTTGGGATATTTCCATTTTTGGCTATTATGAATAATGCTGCTGTGAACATTTGTGTACAAGTTTTTGTGTGGACGTATGTTCTTGTTTCTTTTGAGCATATACCTAGGAATGAAATTGCTTGGTCATGTTAACGCTATGTTTAACATCGTGAGGAACTACCAAACTGTTTTCCCAAGTGACTGAACCATTTCACATTCCCACCACATGCTTTGTCTTTTGAAAATTGCACTATGGGTTAATGTATGAGAGGCAATTGCTGTTTCATTTAAACTACATCAAAAAGTAGTTTAACCCGTATTCATAATATAGCCCATAGTGCAATTTTTGAGGTTAAAGATACATGTGTGTATGGTAATATATTTAAAATATACTAAAAGTAGTATGTATATATATATACTGTTTATATATACTATAAAATTTATAGTAAAAAGCAGAACCCTGGGTGAGTACTATGTTGGAAATCCCCAAGGACTGGGGAGGGGAGGGGTAGGTAAGAGCAAGGGTCTGGCAGGCATTGGGTAGAGCAATCTGAAAAGACGAGCAGGATGACTAAAGTCGATAATGCAAGCTTCTGCATCTGGAGGAAGGAGACAACTTGGAGCCAGGAATCCTGTTTCTCTGCTTTCTTTGGGGCTTCCCAAGGTATTGAAATAGGAGGACCTAATGCGTAAGAGAGATGATTAGAAATAGGGTCAGTTTCAGGGGAAGGGGTCTGCTGAGTCAGAACCCAGTGCAAGGGTTGGCACAGCTGATTTTGACAGCCTGTCCAGAATTCAAGGCTAGGCTCTAGTCCTTGCATCTCAGGGCTGCAGAACACCTGGCATAAGAGATGCGCCCTTCTGGAGAATCAGGCATGATGGGAGCTGGGTGGCTCACACACCAGGCATGCCAGCTCTAGGGACCATTTCCCAACTGGCCAGTGAGAAGGCTCATTTTAATAGAGCAGGACAGTTTTTCTGTTTCTAGACCTGGACAGCCAAGCAATATCATAATCAACACAGCAGGGGCAGGAGGGCTGGAGCAGGCGGGGGCCTAAAGTATATTAGCGCAGCAGTGACGAGTTTTAAAGAACTTTCATACCCTCTAGCTCCTTCATTCATAACCTGGTGAGTTGGTTTGCTCAAGGATTATTATCCCAAGCTATCTTAAAACTAAAGTCTAAATTGCCATTTATAACTTGGTATGGACTTTCACAACTCTTTCCTAAGCAATTAAGATATAATGGAGAAACTCAGCTCCCCAGAATGGGAGCCCCTCAAAATAATAATATTTAAGGAATCTTAAGTAGTTGTTCAACATTTCTAAATGCAAAGTGTATTAAATTACATATTATTGATACAATTATTTACTTAAGATTAATTTGCTCCCTTACTTCCACTAGCCAATGTAAAGTTTAATGATCTGAAAAAAAAACTTGCACAATAATTCCCATTTCTCTGTGGTTCTTGTTCTCTTTCTAGTTTCCTTTTGTGATTTTGTCTGGAACAAGATAATTTTTTGTAAAGTGTATTAAAGAGATTAAAATGAAGTTAAGAAAATAAATCACTTCCTTCTTCCAGTAAACAGCACCAAAGCCATCCATTCACTGTTGAATCCAGAGGTTTAGTAGATGAGGCTGCTTATATGTACAATTCAAAAACATTCCAAAGCAGATGAATTCACATGATGAGATTTTTGCTTTCCTTTTCTTTAAATTCTTTTTTTCGTTGTTGTTTTTTGAGATGGAGTTTTGTTCTTGCCGCCCAGGCTGGAGTACAATGGCGCGATCTCAGCTTTGCCTCCCGGGTTCAAGCAATTCTCCCGTCTCAGCCTCCTGAATAGCTGGGATTATAAACACCCACCATCACACCCGGCTAATTTTTGTATTTTTAGTAGAGACCGGGTTTCACCATGTTGGCCAGGCTGGTCTCGAACTCCTGACCTCAGGTGATCCGCCCACCTCAGCCTCCCAAAGTGCTGAGATTACAGGCATGAACCACCGTGCCTGGCCTCTTTTCTTTAAATTCTACTCACAGGCACCGTTTGTTTCAACAGTGCCAGGTAAATTTTCCTGATGTAAACTGTAAGAAGCTGTATGTGGAAATGTGAGTTAACAAACACCACATTATTATTTATTTGCAAATGATTTGTGCCTATGTGAGGCACCTGGGGCAACTGCCTGGCTGGCTTGACCCTGAACCCAGCCCTATCTTGTAGTGTTTATTTTCTGTAGCCACCGCCTCTTGGAGTAATGGATTCTATATTTTAGTACATGCTATACATAGAGCTACTTCTTTTATTTTTGTTGGAAGGACAGTCAGGCTTCAAGGAATGTTGCCTATTTCAATTTTTTTCAGGATTTGAGAAAATTACGCTATTCTTTGTGAGTTTAAGATGAACTTTTTTGCAATGGCATCTTTTTTATTTTTACCAGCATACATGATTCCTTCTGCCCTTAATCATCTTTGGTGTCCTCTGGATCTTTTCTAGCTCCACTGTATCTTCAAGAAGCAGAGACTAGAACCCCATAAAATTTTCATCATATAAAAGATTCCAGGGCCAGGTACTCTTTCAGTTGTAGTCACTTCTCTCTCTCTCTTTTTTTTACAATAATCTCCAGACAAGTTTTCAGTTGTTTCCCTTGATGCATCTCCCAGATCTGTGCTTGCCACAGACTGAAACTTATTTGAGAATTCACGGCTGGTTCCTCCTTTTTTACATGAACCGAATCCAAACAGAAATCACACTTGAGATCATAAACTTACCTTCATTAAATATTTATTGGAGTTTGAGAAGATGCCAGGCATTGTGCTAGGTATGTGGAGGTGGAAATAGGAGGTGGTTTCAAATATTAATAAAAAGCAACAGCTCTTGGTGGGGCATGGTAGCTCACACCTGTAATCCCAGAGCTTTGGGAGGTCAAGGTGGGGGGATTGATTGAGCTCAGGAATTCAGGACCAGCCTGGGTACCATAGTGAGACCCTGTCTCTACAAAAAATTACAAAAATTAGCCAGGCATGGTGGCACATGCCTGTAGTCCCAGCTATTCAGGAGGCTGAGACAGGAAGATTGCTTGAACCTGGGAGGCAGAGGTTGCAGTGAGCTGAGATCATGCCACTGCACTCCAGCCTGGGGTCTAGAAGGAGATCCTGTCAAAAAAAAAAAAAAAAAAAAAAAAAAGGAGGGGAGTTAAAAAAACAAAAAAGAGCAGCAGCTCTTAACACACAGCCTGGCTGGGCGTGGTAGCTCACGTCTGTAATCCCCGAACTTTGGGAGGCTGAGGTAGGAGGACCATTTGAGCCCTGGAGTTCGAGACCAGCCTGAGCAACATGGCTAGACCCTGTTTCTACAAAAAATACAAAAATCAGCCAGGCGTGGTGGCACATGCCTGTAGTCCCAGCTACTCAGGAGGCTGAGGCAGAAAGATCCCTTGAACCCAAGAGGTCAAGGTGGTTTCAAACATTAATAAGAAGCAGCAGTTCTTGGCAGTTCACTGGGTGCAGTGAGCTGTGATTGCACCACTGCACTCCAGCCTGGGCAACAGAGAGAGACTCCGTCTCAAAAAAAAAAAAATTAAAAAAATTAAAAAAATTTTAGAGCAGATGATTCTGTACTAAAAAAGAAAATAATAAATAAATTAAAAATTAAAAACACACACACACCTAACGGGTGAGAAAAATGAATGAAAAATTATCTATCTGCATGTAAATGCTATGGGTTCAACCCATCTCTAGGAAGTTATATTCATTTCTATTATTGCTGTAAAAAATTACCACAAATTTTGTGGCTTCATTCAACACAAATTTATTCTCTTACAGTTCTGGAGGTCAGAAGTTAGAAATGAGTCTTAAGGGCTAAAATCAAGGCACTGACAGAGCCAGTTCCTTCTGAAGGCTCCAGGGGAGAATCCTTCCTCCCAGCTTCTAGAAGTGGCTGGCATTCTTTGGCACGTGGCTGCATCACTCCCACCTCTGCTACCATCATCACATCACCTCCTCCTCTCTTTCACCTCCTGCCTTCCTTTTACAAGGACCCCTTATGATTACATCAGACCCACCTTGATAATCCAGGGTACTCGCCTATCTTAAGATAACTTAATCACATCTGCAAAGTCCTTTTACCATGTAAAATAACATATAAACAGGCTCCAGGGATCAGGATGTGAACCTCTTTGGGGAGCTATCATTCAGCCAACCATAGAAGTCAAGAGAGCAATGACTTAACACGACACTTGAATTTTGAGTGCAGCGATAGCTGGCATTAAGTGGGCCTTTCCTTTATGCCAGGCATTTCACTAAGGGTTTTACATTTGCTTTCTCATTCAGTTTTTATACTAGGCTGGGTGTGGTGGCTCATGCCTGGATCCCAGCACTTTGGGAGGCCAAGGCGGGAGGATCCCTCAAGCCTAGGAGTTCAAGACCACCCTGGGCAACATGGCGAAAGTCAGTCTCCAAAAAGAAAGTACAAAAATTAGCCAGGTGTGGTGGTGCATGCCTGTAGTCCCAGCTACTCGGGACGCTGAGGTGGGATGATCACCTAAGTCTGGGGAGACTGAGGCTGCAGTGAGCTGTAATGGTGCCACGGCACTCCAGCCTGGGCAACAGAGTGAGACCCTGTCTCAAAAACAAAACAATCTTTACATTAGGTCTCAGAGGTCGTGGTTGTTATTATCTCCATTTTCCAGGAGCGGAAAATAAAGCTCAAGAGGTTAAGTTACTTGCTTAACATCCTGGCTAGCAAACAGAGGAGTCAGGATTTGAAAGAAGGTGTGACCCAATTACTATGCTGTACTGATAAAAGGAAAACTGAAGGAGAAGGGCATGCCAGGACAAGGAAGCAGTATATTAAAAGGCCTAGAAGCTGGAAGAGCACGGAGCCTTTGAGGTATAACTGGGGTGAGGAAGTGATGGGAGGAAGAAGGGAAGACAAAGTTGGGAAGGGAGACAAGGGCTGGATGGTGATGGACTCCTGGGAGAAGGGTTCCTGTAGACAATGGGGAATCTCTAAAGGATTTTAGAAAGGTGAGACTGCCGGGTGTGGTGGTTCAATGGCTGTAATCCCAGTGCTTTGGGAGGCCAAAGTGGGAGGATTGTTTGAGCTCAGGAGTTGAAACCAGGCTCAGCAGCATACGAGACCCTGTCTCTACAAAAAATAAAATATTAGTCTGGTATGGTGGCATGCACCTGCAGTCCCAATTATTCGAGAGGCTGAGGTGGGTCATTTGAGCCCAGGAGTTAGAGGCTGCAGTGATCTTGCCACTCTACTCCAGCCTGGGCAACAGAAAGAGACCCTGTCTCAAAAAAAAAAAAAAAAAAAAATTCAAAATATAAAAGAGGCTGGGTGTGGTGGCTCACACCTGTAATCCCAGCACTTTGGGAGGCCGAGGCGGGTGGATCACCTGAGGTCAGAAGTTCGAGACTAGCCTGGCCAACATGGCAAAACTCTGTTTCTACTAAAAAATACAAAAATTAGCTGGGCGCAGTGACTCATGCCTGTAATCCCAGCACTTTGGGAGGCCCAGGCGGGCAGATCACAAGGTCAGGAGATTGAGACCATCCTGGCCAACATGGTGAAACCCCGTCTCTACTGAAAATACAAAAATTAGCCGGGTGTGGTAGCGGGTGCCTGTATAGTCCCAGCTACTCGGCAGGCTGAGGCACGAGAATTGCTTGAACCCGGGAGGCAGAGATTGCAGTGAGCTGAGATCACGCCACTGCACTCCAGCCTGGCAACAGAGCAAGACTGTCTCAAAAGAAAAAAAAAAATTAGCTGGGTGTAGTGGTGGGGTCTTATAATCCCAGTTACTCGGGAGGCTGAGGCAGGAGAATCTCTTGAACTTGGGAGGCAGAGGTTGCAGTGAGCCAAGATCATACTACCACTGCACTCCAGCCTGGGTGACAGAATGAGACTCCATCTAAAAATAAAAGGGAGAGAGATGGAGGGAGACAAATTCCTGGTGATGTCATTTGAAGCCCTGGATATAGCCATACTTGAAGTCAACCCACTGGGCCCTGGACTTTCCAGGAATATAAGTGCATAAATTCTCTTTCTCTTTTTATTTTTGTTTATCTTGTTTTGGTTTGTTTATATTTTTGCTTGAGTTGGTTTGCATTGGGATTCTACCACTTGCATTTGAAAGTTTCCTAAAGAATGCGGTGGCACCACATGGTCTGGCCCCTTCCTGCCTGTACCCACTGTTCCCTTGATCTCTGTGCTCCAGCAAACTTGGCTTTCTTTCAGTCACTTAGAAATGCCTGGGGATCCTCTGCCATAACTGCTTTGCATATACTACTGCCCTGCCTGGAACATTCTTCCTCCCTCTTTGCCCAGTTAACTCTTACTCATCTTCCAGGTTGCTGCCTAAGGTCATTCTAATAGCTTGTTACAAGGTGGCCCCTGATGAATTCCATCTTCCAGTATTCATGCCCTTGTGTGATAGTCCCCTCTCCTGAACTCTGGGTGGACTGATTTAACCAGTGGAATTCAGCAGATATGATGCTGTGTCAGTTCCAAGCCTAAGCCTTAGGAAAGGCTGGCAGCTTCTATTTTTGTGCTCTTGGAAGGCTTGAGCCAACATATTAAAGGTCTGATTATCCTGCTGGAGAGACCAAATGGAAAGATTACATGAGAGAATCCCAGCTGTGGCCTAGCCTAAGTGCCAGCTGGATGCAGCCTCCTGAGTGACCACTGACAAGACCAGAGAAACTGACCATCTGAGCCCAGCCCGAATTACAAAATTGTGTGCAAATAAAGTGGTTCCTCTCTATATCTCTTTTGTCTTCTTTAAGCTTGTTACTTTGTGCTATTATGTTTTAGGGTAGTTTGTTGTGCAATATTAGATAAGGGAAAGAGTCACTTCAAGAAAACTCCTCTGGCCGGGCACAGTGGCTCACACGTGTAATCCCAGCACTTTGGGAGGCCAAGGTGGGAGGATCTCTTGAGTCCAGGAGTTCAAGACCAGCCTGGGCAACATGGAAAGACCCCGTCTCTACAAAACATACAAAACTAGCTGGGCATGGTGGCATGCACTGGTAATCCCAGCTACTCAGGAGGCTGAGGTGGGAGGATTGATTGAGCTCCGGAGTTGGAGGCTGCAGCGAGCCGAAATCACACCACTGCACTCCAGCCTGGGTGCTAGAGCCAGACCCTGCCTGGAAAAAAAAAAACAAGAAAACTCCTCTAACACTCCTAGACCAAGTCAATCCCATTGCAGACATTTTCACAGGAAAAAAGACATGATCATAGTACTGTGCACATTTCCTTTAGAACACTTATTACAATTCACAGTTGTTTGTAGCTTTAACTCAAGAATGACTTTTCTTTTCAGGGTCCCTTTTCTGTGATAAACTCAATAATTTCAGGAGTATTTATCCAACCTTAAGACATCAGTCTTTATTGTGGTTGGAAAGTTAGGTCTGTCTGCCAAAGGACCCAGTTCTCTGCTTCCATTCCTGCTGAATCTGCTGCTGATCCTCCAAATGCAGGTTCAGTAGAAATTGTAGCACAAAAGTTTCTCACAGAAAAGGTCCCAGAGGGCTCCCTTCCCCCTCCTAATTTGTGAGTCTGCTCTTAAGCATTTAGGCACCATTAATAGGAAAACTAGATTTTAAAAGATTCATGGTGCATGGTTTACAGTATTCAGATTTACATAGCAGGTTCTTCCAAATTACACTTAGGGGAATAAATCAGTGACTAACTTTGGCAATCTCACAAAGCACAGAGCCTTCCAGTTTTAAAGGTTTTTGCTGGTGAGTCATTAAGTTAAAAAAGGAAATCTATATTGGTGATAAATCTTTGTAGAAGTACTCTATGTTCTGCTAAAATTGATTGTTTCTAGGTGGCTACTTCAACTAATATTATGAAAAGAATAGATTTCTGTTGTAATACAAAATGATACTTTCTGAGAAATTGTTCCTAGTCTTGCTTTTTTTAAAAAAAAAGTTGGCACAGGAGATTTATTACAGAGGGTACTTCCAGAGGACCAGAACTTTTAATAAATTGATTCTGTGGTTATTTTCATTGTTTAACATTATTGATCATACACATTCACCAGATTAGAAATTTGCGGTTGCTGTACTTGTGGGGAGATGGCATGGTGGAGACCTAAACTTTATGTAGGTTAGAGCTTACTCTACTGGCAGTCCACAGCTTCAACCATGGTGAGTGAAGACAAAGGAGGATTCCTGAACCCCATCCTCTCCCTCAGGCTGTCTTCTCCCACCCTCCACACACTCCATCACAAAGACCTACATAAGCTTTCTCTCTAGTCGTCACCTCCTCTCCTTTTCCATGTACGCTGCTTTAGTTCAGGCTCTTGTCAATTTGACCTTCAGACTTTTGCTGTGTTCTCATGGATGGTATTCTTGCCTTTAGTCTCAACTTCCAAATCCATCTTCCACCACACTTCTGCAGTGACTGGCTACTTCCTTTCTTAAAACCCTTCAATGATGCATTGTTTCTGCAAGAGAGGTCCTTAACCTATGGTCCACAGATATTTAGCAGACATATGGACAAATGAACTCTCTAAAGTAGTGTAGATGAATGACATGAATACATCTATTTCCCAGGAGAGGGCCTGTAGTTTTCATTACACTCTCAAAAAGGCCTGTGTCTCAAAAAGAGGGAAGAACCACTGGCCTATAGGTGGAAAAACCAGTTCCTTGGCATGTCACATGATTATCAAAAGGGTGGAGGTGAAAAGATGCTGCAAACGCCACAGGCAAAAGGTACCAGTTCCTTCACCCTGCATAACAAAACACAGGACTTGGCAGTATTCAGAATGGCCTCTCCCAATTGTTCTGAGAAGTGCATAGCTGTCCTGTCTCCATGACAGCCTGCTGGTGCAAACTACGAATCAACTTTCTCAGGGGAGGAGATATTTACCTTCTTGCCTCTTTTCAGCTTGGTACTGGAGACAGTGGGAATCAGTCTAAGCACATTTCTAAGGGATCACAGCGGGCCGAGGTGGAATCCAAGAACAGTTCCAGGTGACCTCTGAATCTGGCTTTCCCAAACAGGGTGGGCTTCAAGCTTATTGAAGCTCCATCTCTCACACAACATCCAAGGTCCTTCATGACCTTGCTACTTACTGCCTAGATTTCCAGCCCCATCCTTCCCATGAGTCCCATGCTTCAGACACACAAAATATTCAAAACTCGGCCGGGCATGGTGGCTCATGCCTGTAATCCCAGCACTTTGGGAGGCTGAGGCAGGTGGATCACCTGAGGTCAGGAGTTCGAGACCAGCCTGACCAACATGGAGAAACCCTGTCTCTACTAAAAATACAAAATTAGCTGGACGTGGCAGCACATGCCTCTAATCCCAGCTACTCAGGAGGCTGTGGCAGGAGAATCTCTTGAACCCAGGAGGTGGAGGTTGCAGTGAGCCGAGATTGTGCCACCGCACTCCAGCCTGGGCGACAAGAGTGAAGCTTCATCTCAAAAAAAAATAAATAAATAAATTCCAAACTCCCTGAGCCAGACATGCACTTTGACGACCCTTTGCCTTTGACATAACAATAACATAAAGGATAATAATAATAATAACTTAAAATTCCAGTGAAAACTCTGTGAGGTAGGTAATACCCCCAGTTTACAAATGGGGAAACTAAGGCTAATGGCAGTTAATGTGCCCAAACCTAACAAAGGAAGTAAACATGACCTAGAATTACCCCTTTCTTTCTCCTCTGGCAAATGCTACTTGTTACAGTGTCAGCTCACGTCACTTCTCATAAGGTCCATTCTAACTTCTCTAGATAGAGTTAGGCATTCATGCCTCAGTTTCCAAAACATCTCCAAATGATTCTTTATTTTAGTAGTAAGATATATTTATTCCAGAAAATTGGGAGACTCAGAAAAACAGTCCTCAAGAGTATATCTATCCAAATGCAATTATTGTTAGCATTTTTGTAACTATTCTGACTTTTTAATATTGCTATTACCATTATGTGTATATTATCTTGTATTCTATTTTTTAGGGACTAGTAGTATAAGCGTTAACATTTCCCCATCTTGTTATGCAGTTTTACAATACCTTTATTTGGTATTGTAAGGATATTTTGGGTGCAAGTAACAAATAACTGTTAATTCACATTGTCTTAAACAATAAGGAATGTATGGTAATTGCTGCTTTAAAAAATCTCAGAAGTAGGGCAGGGCCCAGGTATGCTGTAATTTGGGTTCTAGCCATATTTTACTGCAGTTATCTCACATCTCCCTCCCTGCTTTTGACCGTCTGTCATTGTCCTCAGGGATCCCTCAGATCACAAGCTGGGGCAGCCTACTTCCTTGTTTGTGTTCTGCACAAGAGGGGGAGAATGCTACCCTAATGATGGAATAAAGTTCCATTTTAAACACAAGAGTGGGAGAATGCTACCCTAATGATGGAATAAAGTTCCATTTTAAATCTGATTGGGCCATTTTTAGGTCATGTGCTTCTTCCTGGACATAGAATGGTCCTTGGGGCAATGTAATTCACTTTAAGCTTGACCCTTGGCTTATTTTTATTTTATTTTATCTTATTTTGAGACAGGGTCTCATTCTGTCACCCAGGCTGGAGTGAAGTGACACTAACACAGTTTACTGCAGCCTCAACCTCCGGAGGTCTTGCCATGTTGCCCAAGCTGGCCTTGAACTTCTGGTTTCAAGGGATCCTCTCACCTCAGCCTCCCAAAGTGTTGGGATTACAGGCGTGAGCCACCCTGCCCAGCCAACCCTTGGTTTAAACTTGTATTCTTGAACCAATCACTGGCAATCCCACTGGATGGGATTATGACCTTTGGTTTGTGTGGAATCAGCTTTTGGAATTGAGAATGAAGTCAGCCTCTCTTGAGTCACCTGATTGCATGGATGAGGCACGCAAACTGGGAGTCTGTTAGGATGGAACACGGTGGGATTGACTACTACTATGTTATTTTTATGTTTGTTAATTTTAGTAGGGGAAAAAAGCACTTCATTGCTATTTTAACTACTATGTCTATAGTATCCCTTTTATACTCTATTGTGGCACTTCTATATCATATTGTGATTTAGTAACCTGTGGGCCTCTTACAGATCATGAGCTTCTTAAGGGTAGAAGATTTTTTGGCTGGGCACAGTGGCTCACTTCTATAATCCCAGCACTTGGGGAGGCTGAGACTGGAGGATTGCTTGAGCCCAGGAGTTCCAGATTAGCCTGGGCAACACGGCAAAACCTCATCTCTACAAAGAATACAAAAATTAGCCAGGTATGGTGGTATGTGCCTGTAGTCCCAACTACTCAGGAGGTTGAGGTGGGAGGATGGCTGGAGCCCAGGAGGTTGAGGCTGCAGTGAGTCGCTACTGTGCCACTGCACTCGAGCCTGGGCAACAAAGCGAGACCCTGTCTCAAATAAATAAATACATTTTTAATAGTAATATTTGCTACCTCAATGTAATTGTATAAATGTTAGTTAAATAATTGATTAAATGAAAGAATAAATGAATGGATATAGTGAAGAATACACAGGATAAGACACAAGAAGATGGCTTTTAGGATGGTCCTCATGAAACTTGCAAATGGTAGTATAATGAAGAAGAGACAGAGGTTTTTTTGTTTTGTTTTGTTTTTTTGAGACAGAGTCTCACTCTGTCGTCCAGGCTAGAGTGCACTGGTGCAATCTCGGCTCACTGCAACCTTCACCTCCTGGGTTCAAATGATTCTCATGCCTCAGTGTTCCAAGTAGCTGGGACTACAGGCGTGCACCACCACGCCCGGCTAAGTTTTTTGTATTTTTAGTAGAGACAGGGTTTTCCCATGTTGGCCAGGCTGGTCTCAAACTCCTGGGCTCAAATGATCCATCTGCCTCAGCTTCCCAAAGTGCTGGGATTAAAGGCATGAGCCACTGTGTCTGGCTAAGATTTTTTTTTTCAAACAAACATTTATTGAGGTCATACTATGCATGACCTGATGAAAATACTACAGGGAACAAGACAGTTTTATTTCTGCCTTTATGGAGCTTATATTCTAATCGGGAGAATAAACATTAAAGAAATGACTATGAGTTCTACAAACAGGAGTGCAGGGAGTTACGGACATGTGTAGTTGAGGGCTGTTCTAGGCTCTAACCTTGAAGCTGCTTCCTTTCTCTTGGTCAGAATCAGATCTTACTCTAAATCTTGTGCTTACAATGAAGACAGACAACTCAGGGCATGCAAAGACAGAGACTAAGCCAAAGTTTTTACCTGCTCTTGGCTCCCTGTTAATCTAGTTTATCAGTATTTAGTTATAAATGGCACTGCTTGTGGGTCTCTGCTCTGGCTGAGACGGTCCTGCAGGTGCTGACACACTGGGGGCTGATTGTGGATATCAGAGGCAGGCAGCAAAGGAGTCTTGCCCCCAGTTGGCTGATGAGCTACTGCACAAACTACCTGACTCCTATTCTGGTGTGTGTGTGTGTGTGTGTGTGTGTGTGTGTGTGTGCACTGTTGTTCTGGCCTGTTTTATTGCTTCCTGCAGCAGAAGTTGTAGATCCATGGAAATGTCCAGTGACAACTCTCTTGCCTTGTTTGGGATACTGAAGGGCAATATTCCTCTTACTATTATGTAATATAAAAGGCAAGCAAGCATGATTTCTAAACCAAAACAGGCTTTTAATGGGAATTTTTCTTTTCGTTGTTTTACTGTAACTTTTATTTTAGGTTCAAGGGTACATGTGCAGGTTTGTTACGTAGGTAAACGGCGTGCCACAGGGGTTTGGTGTACAGATTATTTCATCACCCACATAGTAAGCATAGTACGCAATAAGTATTTTCTCTTTCTTTTTTAAATTTATTTTGGAATTTTGTGGGTACACAGTAGGTACATATTTATGGAGTACATAAGATGTTTTGATACAGGCATGCAATGCTTAATAATCGCAACACAGAGAATGGGGTATCCTCAAGCATTTATCCTTTGTGTTACAAATAATCCAATAATACTTTTTTAGTTATTTAAAAATATAGTTATTATTGACTATAGTTACCTTGTTGTGCTAGCAAATACTAGGTATTATTCATTGTTTTTAACTATTTTTTTTTTTACCCATTAACCATCCTGACCATCCCCCAACACCCTCCCACTATTTTTCCCAGCTACTGGTAAACATCCTTCTATTCTCTATTTTCATGAACTCAGTTGTTTTGGTTTTCAGATCCCACAAATA
This sequence comes from Homo sapiens, assembly GCF_000001405.40. NCBI lineage: Eukaryota > Metazoa > Chordata > Mammalia > Primates > Hominidae > Homo > Homo sapiens. The sequence continues at coordinate 89,017,470 of NC_000006.12, read as the reverse complement.
AGTAAGAACCTGCAATGTTTGTTTTTCTGTGTCTGGCTTATTTCACTTAGCATAATGATCTCCAGTTCCATCCATGTTGTTGCTAATGACAACAACATTCTTATTCTTTTTTATGGCTGGGTAGTACTCCACTGTGTATAAGTACCACATTTTCTATATCCACTCATCTGTTGATGGACACTTAAGTTGCTTCCAAATTTTGGCTATGTGAACAGTGCTGCAACAAACATGGAAGTGCAGATATCTCTTCAATACACTGAATTCCTTTCTTTTGGATATATACCCGGCAGTGGGATTGCTGCATTGTATTTTTGTTTTTTTGAAGAAACTCCAAACTGTTCTCTGTAGTGGTTGTACTAATTTTCATTCCCGGCAACAGTGTATGAAGATTCCCTTTTCTCCACAACCTCACTAGCATTTGTTATTGCCTGTCTTTTGGATAAAAGCCATTTTAACTGGGGTGAGATGATATCTCATTGTAGTTTTGATTTGTATTTCTCTGATGATCACTGATCATCAGAGCACCTTTTGAGCACCTTTTCATATGCCTGCTTGCCATTTGTCTACCTTCTTTTGAGAAATGTTTATTCAGATCTTTTACCCAGTTTTTAATCAGATTATTAGATTTTTTTCTATAGAGTTGTTTGAGCTTCTTATATAATCTGGTTATTAATCTCTTGTCAGATGGATAGTTTGCAAATATTTTCTCCCATTCTGTGGGTTGTCTTCTTCACTTTGTTGATTGTATCTATTGCTGTGTAGAAGCTTTGTAAGTTGATATGATCCCGTTTCTCCATTTTTGCTTTGGTCACCTGTGCCCGTGAGGTATTTACTCAAGAAATTTTTTTCCCAGACCAGTGCCCTGGAGAGTTTCCCCAATGTTTTCTTGTAGTAGTTTCATTACTTAGATTTAAGTCTTTAATCCATTTTGATTTTATTTTTGTAAATGATGAGAGATAGGGGTCTACTTTCTTTTTTCTTTTCTTTTTTTTTTTTGAGATGGAGTTTTGCTTTTGTTGCCCAGGCTGGAGTGCAATGGCACGATCTCGGCTCACTGCAACCTCCGCCTCCTGGGTTCAAGCGATTCTCCTTCCTTCCACCTTCAACCCTCAAACCCTCAAGTAGGCCTCAGTGTCTGTTATTCCCCTCTTTGTTTTCATGAGTTTTTGGGGTCTAGCTCCCACTTAAAAGTGAGAACGTGTGATATTTTGTTTTCTGTTCCTGCTTTCATTTGCTTAGGCTAATGGCCTCCAGCTCCATCCATGTTGCTGCAAAGTACATGATCTCATTCTTTTTCATGACTGCATAGTATTCCATGTTGTATATGTGCCACATTTTATTTATCCAGGCTACCATTCATGGGCATTTAGGTTGATTCCATGTCTTTCTTATTGTGAACATACATGTGTATGTGTCTTTATGGTAGAGTGATTAATATTCTTTTGGGCATATAACCAATAACAAATGAAATTGCTGGGCCGAATGGTAATTCTATTTCAAGTTCTTTGAGGAATCACCGAACTGCTTTCCACAATGGCTGAACAAATTCATAATCCCACCAGCAGTGGATAAGCATTCCTTTACTCTGCAACCTTGCCAGCATGTGTTATTTTTTTACTTTTTAATAATAGCCATTCTGATTGTTGTGAGATGGTATGTCATTGTGGTTTTGATTTGCATTTCTCTAATGATTAGTGATGTTGAGCATTGTTTCATATGCTTGTTGGCCACATGTATAAAGAGTCTAAATAGCCAAGGCAATTCTAAGCAAAAAACAATAAAGCTGGAGGCATCATGTTACCTGACTTCAAACTATATTACGAGGCTATAGTAATCAAAATGGCATGATACTGGTAGAAAAACAGACACACAGACCAATGGAACAGAATAGAGAGCCCAGAAATAATGTCACACAACAAATGTCTGATGTTCAGCAAAGCTAACAAAAGCAAGCAATGGGGAAAAGACTCCTTAGTCAATAAATAGTGCTAGGCTAACTGGCTAGCCGTATGCAGAAGACTGAAATTAGACCCCTTCATTCCATATACAAAAATCAGTTCAAAATGGATTAAAGACTTAAATGTAAAATCTAAAACTAAGGCCAGGAGTGGTGGCTCATGCCTGTAATCCCAGCACTTTGGGAGGCCGAGGTGGGTCGATCACTTGAGGCCAGGAGTTTGAGACCAGCCTGGCCAACATGGCGAAACCCCGTCTCTACTAAAAATACAAAAATTGGCTAAGCATGGTGGTGCACACCTATAATCCCAGCTACTCTGGTGGCTGAGGCACAAGAATTGCTTGAATCCAGGAGGTGGAGTTTTCAGTGAGCAGAGATTGCAGCACTGCACTCTAGTCTAGGCGGCAGAGCAAGACTGTTGCCCAGGCTGGAGTCTCAAAAACAGAAAAACAAAAAACAAAACAAAACAAAACAAAACAAAAAATACTAAAACTATAAAAACCCTGGAAGATAACCCAGGAAATACCATTCTGGACATACGGCCTGGCAAAGATTTCATGATGAAGACACCAAAAGCAATTGCAACAAAACCAAAAATTGACAATGGGCCCTAATTAAACAAAAAAGCTTCTGCACAACAAAAGAAACTATCAATAGAGTAAACAGACCACCTATGGAATGAGAGAAAATATTCACAAACTGGGAATCTCACAAAGGTCTAATATCCAGAATCTATAAGGAACTTAAATTTACAAGCAAAAAACAAACAACCTCATTAAAAAAGTGGACAAAGGACAAAACGACACAAACAGACACCTTTCTCTCTCTTTTTTTTTTTTTTTTTTTGAGATGGGGTCTTAGTCTTTCATTCAGGCTGAAGTATGGTGATGTGATCATGGTTCATGGCAGTGTTGACCGCCTGGGCTCAGGTGATCCTCCTGCCTCAGTCCCTGAGTAGCTGGGACCAAAGGCACACAACACTACACCCAGCTAATTTTTATTTTATTTTATTAATGTATTTATTTAGAGACAGAGTCTTGCTCTGTCACCCAGGCTGGAGTGCAGTGGTGCAATCTCAGCTCACTGCAACCTCCGCCCCCTGGGTTCAAACGATTCTCATACCTCAGCCTCCTGAGTAGCTGGGACCACAGGTGCACGCCATCACACCCAGCTAATTTTTGTATTTTTAGTAGAGACAGGGTTTCACCATCTTGGCCAGGCTGGTGTCAAACTCCTGTCCTCAAGTGACTTGCCCGCCTTAGCCTCCCAAAGTCCTGGGATTACAGGTGTGAGCCACTGCATCTGGCTATCCCAGCTAATTTTAAAAAATTATTTGTAGAGACGGAGTCTTGCAATATTGCCTAGGTTGGTGTTAAACTCCTGGGCTCAAGCAATCCTTCCACCTTGGCCTCCCAAAGTGCTGGGATTACAGGCATATGCCACTGTGTACTGCTTTTCTTTTTTTTTCTGGACACTTTTCAAAAGAAGAAATAATGGGGATTTTTCTTTTTTTTTTCTTTTATGAGATAGAATCTCGCTCTTGTCCCCCAGGCTGGAGTGCAATGGCACAATCTCAGCCCACTGCAACTTCCACCTCCTGGGTTCAAGGGATTCTTCTGCCTCAGCCTCCCAAGTAGCTAGGATTACAGGCGCCCGCCACAATGCTCAGCTAATTTTTGAATTTTTAGTAGAGATGGGGTTTCACCGTCTTGGCCAAGCTAGTCTGGAACTCCTGACCTCGGCCTCCCAAAGTGCTGGGATTACAGGCATAAGCCACTGTGCCCGGCTAATAATGGGGATTTTTAAATGTTACACATGTTCCTTCTTATCTTTGAGTAGGGGCGTGTCTTTCTTAAGAACAATTTATGAAGGTTACAGCCTATTAATGACATCAGCTTTCTTTGAGAAGGAAAGTCCATGGTTCCCTGCCGGCTTCAGGGAATTTCAGACCCTGTAAGGTGCTTTCCTATAGCTCCTCTGGGATAGAACCTGACCTAGTTTGGGAGGTGAGGGATTACTTCACTGAGGAAGTGATATCTCAGTTGAAACCTAAATGATGAGTATGACATATGGAAAAGAAGGGGAGGCCTACGGAGGGCAGCATTCCAGGCAAGGAAACAGCATAAGTGGAGGCCTTGAGGCCTCAGACAAGCCTCAGTCTGGGGATTTCAGGGATCCAAAGGTCTCATTCATGTGCAGAGAAATGTGCAGAGAATGAAGAGGAGACGGGTGCTAGATGATGCTGGAAATGGAGGCAAGAGTCTCACTCAAATGGACAGAGTCTCACTCTGTTCCCCAGGCTGGAGTGGAGTGGCGTGATTTTGGCTCACTTCAAACCCTGCCTGCAGGGTTGAAGCGATTCTCGTGCCTCAGCCTCCCAAGTAGCTGGGACTACAGGAGCACACCACCACACCCAGCTATTTTTTGTATTTTTAGTAGAGACAGGGTTTTGCTATGCTAGCCAGGCTGGTCGTGAATTCCTGGCCTCAAGTGATCTACCTGCCTTGGCCTCCCAAAGTGCTGGGATTACAGGTGTGAGGCACCACGCCCAGCCTGTATAGCCTTTAGACGGTGTTATGAATTTAGAATTCAGGCCAGGTCTTAAAGTAAGAAAGTCAAGATGCCACTGAAATAGAGCTTTGAGGTCATAGCCAGGACAGAGTTTATGTGTATATTTTTTTTCTGCTCTTAATATCTCATTACATAATTAACACTATGAAATATATTAAAATTTAATATTCATGTTGCCAAAAGACAAAATTACAACGAATTTAGTTTAAAGATCTTAAATGGCTTTGATTTGTGATTATATCTAGAATCAGGCAACACCTCATTCCATAAAATAGAATGAATGTTCCAATGAGCTGAGCAGAGGAGTTTGGTTTTATAGACAGAAAAGAACTGAGGAAAGCAGAAACAGAAAATGAAAAGCATATTGGTTGTTTCCAAGTTACTTTTCTTGTAAAAGTTAAAGCAGAGGGGACTTCCTTATCATGCAATTTAAAACTGGCTTGTTAGGAGGGACAACTCACACTTGTAATCACAGCACTTTGGAAGGCTGAGATGGGAGGATCACTTGAGTCCAGGAGTTGGCACCCGGGCTGGGCAACATAGTGAGACCCCATGTCTAAAAAAATTAAAAGAATCAGCCAGGCATGGGGGTGTGTACCTGTAGTCCCAGCTACTCAGGAGGCTGAAGCAGGAGGATCACTTGAACCCAGGAAGTTGAGGATGCAGTGAGCTGAGATTGTACTACTGCACCCCAGCCGGGGTGACAGAGCAGATCCTGTCTGAAAACAACAACAACAGCAATAACCACAGCAAAACCCGTCAAAATTAGCTTGTTTGAGGATTTGGCTATGATCATTCTCCTGATTTCTCAGAAGGTCCAATAAACAGCTTAGTTCTAGCTTGGTAGAGTGGAACTTCAGCATGAGTGACTCCATTTTGGTTTGGTCTTGTCAATCAAGAAGAGGTGAAAGACCAGACTGCAAAGCAGTAAAGCCAGGCATTTGTTGGGGTCTTCAGAATTGCAATTCGGGAGACACAGATTCAGCTCCAAGCCAAACTGTTCTGAAGAGAGGGAAGGGAGTACGGTTTTTTAAAGGAAGCTGAGGATGATTACCCAAGTTATTTTGAAAGAATTCTCACTGGTGGAGGTGGCTGGCTTAGTATGTGTGTCTATAGTTCATTGGTTGTTGCTGTTCAGGAGTTGCTGCGCTGGTGAAGTTAAGCTGTTTTCCAGGATATTTACATTCATGATCATTACAATTTGGGCCAATTCAAAGGTTCGAAGCAAGTTTCTGCCTTTTTTTTTTTTTTTTTTTGCTGGGTTGCAGGTTATGCAGGAAGTCCTTCTTAAAATGGCTTCCTGATGCCATTTTATAGCTCTGAACCAGAGTGATGCCATTTTGTATATCACATTTCACATTTCTGCCCTATTGATCCAGATAGGGGATGAGGAAGCATCACTGATCAATGATTGGTGGTCAGCCACAGAGTTATTATCTGTTTCCCTCAGAGCTGGAAGCATCTGTTTCTAAAGTGTTATGTCCCATGGAGGGGGGTTGTTGAAAGTCAGTGTGCATCCAAGACTTCAGAGATTGGCCAAATTTGAGTAACAAAGGAGCTGTCATAAATAAGGAGGGCTGCATCAGTCTATGGTGGTTAGCTGTATATTGGGAGAGACACACATCTGATTAACTATGTCTAAATGTTGTAATATCATGATCTTAACATCCTGGATAGTCTGGCAGCAATGAGAAATATAGATGGTACAAGTTGTTAAAAGAAAAACTTTAGACAAATTAAACTTAACAGAGTTTAATTACACAGACAATGTTTCATGAATCTGGCAGCCGCCAGAACCAGAATAGGTTCAGAGTAACAACAACACTGGGGCAGCCACATGGTCAAATAACATTTATGGACAGAAAAAGGAAAGTGACATATAGAAAACAGAAGTGAGGTACGGAAATAGCTGGATTGGTTACAGCTTGACATGTGACTTAATTTGAACACACTTTGAACAACAGTTAGTTGCCTGTGATTGGCTGAGACTAGGCTACTTGTTAAAAGAGTAGGTTACAATCTGTTTACATATCCAGTTAGGTTACAGTTCACTCTCTATGGAGCAACCTTTAGGCTATACTCAAAATACATAAGAAGGCAGCTTTAGGCAAAACTTTTAACAATTTAAAAATTTAACAATTCTCCCCCTTTAGGCTAATTTCTTAATTTTTGAGAGATTGACAAAAACTTTAGGCATTGACATTATGCTCTCACCATTGTAAATGGACTTTGGGCTCAAATCTCTCTTTAAGACAGGGTCTTTCTATGTTGCCCAGGCTGGAGTGCAGTGGCATGATCTCAGCTAACTGCAACCTCCACCTCCTGGGCTCAAGCAATCCTCCCACCTCAGCCCCTGCAGTAGCTGGGACTATACGTGCATACCATCATGCCTGGGTAATGTTTGTGTATTTTGTAGAGATGGGGTTTTGCCGTGTTGCCCAAGCTGGAGGGTTACTTTTTGTTAAGGGTTAGAGCAGAGGAGCCTTCTTATTATGATAGAATCTCTTTTTTTCAGACTTGTTAGGTCTTGGGTTCCCTTGACTGCAGTTTCCAAAAGAGCAGAGAAGTATCCTGCTCACAGTACCAAAACTGTATGGGCAAAAGGGAAACTTCCCCTTTGCTCTTTGAAAGTTTGCTGAAAATCAACAGACAAAAGGCAGATTAATAGGAGAAAAGGCAGATTTATTAATGTGTGTGTGTGCATGTGTGTGGGAACCAGAGTGTCACTGAAGCTGCTACATTGTCTGGGGTATATACCCTGGGTTTCGATGTTGCGAGCCAGGAAAATTTAGGACACGGACACACCCGAGGAGTTTAGGAGCAGACGTTTAAAAGGCAGAAGAGAAGAGAAAGAGATACAGCTCTCTCTATAGAGAAAGGGGTCTCCTAGTGCAAAGGACCAGCTGATGGTGAATGTGCCAGATTTTATAGTCCAGTTTGAGGAAGTGGTGTCTGATTTACATAGGACTCACAGATTGGTTCCATCAGGTATGACGTTTACATATTGCATAGGGAAGGCTGGTTGCCCCATCCTAATCTTATTACGCAAATGGGCTTTCCAGTTGACCGGCACCATCTTATCTGCTCCTTACAGTACATGTGGCCGAGAAAGAGAAGGGAAGATGGAGTTGCCATCTTGAACATGTCTGGTTCCTAGTTCCTGCCAGTATTCACCTGTGCAAGCTCCCAGCTCAACCTTACAGGCTGCTCTTTGTTAGAAAATGATTTGGGGCTGCTTTTCATTGAAAAGAAAAGCTTTACTGAAGACTCCCATATCCTTACTATCTGCCTAAGTGATTTCTTCTTAACTCCTGTATCGTCATTACCCCATATCCCAACAGGGTACAGAAGCTTGTATCACATTTTTCATAGGTGAGGAAAAAGGTGGCGGATGTAGACAATTCTTTTGAGGTGCAGGCAGTGATCATTAGAATAAATGGATGAGGGAGATAGAAATTAACTTATAGATGATTCTCTTTGGAATCTGAATGAGCCTGAGAGGCAGGCAGGCATTATCTTGTGACAAAGTCCATGTTGGTGTGGTTGCATTCCTCACTTTCTTTTCTGATCAAGATAATGATATTTCAGGGGAAAAATAAAAGGCGATTGAGTTTCTTTTGGAAAGAAAGTTTCTTGGTCAATGAGGAAATTCCAGAGAGTCTCTAGCTGCTCTTGGGAGGGGGAGGAAAAAAACAAGGTTAGTGAGACCTTGATTCTAAGGCTTCTTTTTCAGGCCTTTCAATTTTCAAAAGCGCTCAAAATGCCAAAACGTCACATTTTGGGGAATCATTTCTTGCAACCCCACATTTCCCTCTCTGAAACATCCCTAGTCGTTTCACACACCAAAAGCTGAGTTGGTGGCTGTGGAGAGAAAAATTGAGTGAATAGCGGAGTGGCAAAGGATCCTATTAAACCAGTCTCTCATTTCTGGGAATAGGCCAGTCCAATTAAACAGGTGTGTCTCATTTTGCAGAGGTATTTGAACCAGAGTGACTCCATCTTGAGTAGGTGCTGGGTAAAATAAGGCTGATACCTTCTGGGCCACATTCCCAGGAGGTTAGGTATTCTTAACCTCAGGATGAAATAGGTCAGAAGAACTGGTATCATGAGATACAGGTCATGAAGACCCTGCTGATAAAACAGGATGTGGTAAAGAAGCTGGCCAAAACCCACCAAATACAAGATGGTGAGGAAGGTGACCCCTGGTCATCCTCACTGCTTGTTATATGCTAACTAGGATGCATTAGCATGCTAAAAGACACTCCCACCAGCACCTCAACTGTTAATAAATGCCATGGCAACATCCAGAAGTTACCCTATATGTCTAAAAAGGGGGGGAACCCTCAGTTCTGGGAATTGCCTGCTCCTTTTTCAGAAAACTCATGAATAATCAACCCTTTGTTTAGCATATAATCAAGAAATAACCATAAAAATAGCCAACCAGCAGCCCTCGGGGCTGCTCTGCCTTTGGAGCAGCCCATTCTTTTTAAATTTACTTCTCTAATAAACTTGCTTTCACTTTCCTCTATGGACTTGTTACCGGTGGCGAATCCTTATGTGTCTGTAGCAACCTCAATTCTTGCCTCCTCAGAGGAAAGAATTTGACTGAGGGGCATAAATGCAGAAGGAGGGACTGAGGCAAGTTTTAGAACAGGAGTGAAAGTTTATTAAAAAGCTTTAGAGCAGAAGGCTGGGTGCAGTGGCTCATGCCTCCGAAAGTGCCTGTAATTGCAGCACTTTGGGAGGCCGAGGTGGGCCGATCACTTGAGGTCAGGAGTTCAAGACCAGCCTGGCCGACACTGGTCACAGCCAGTGCCAGGGAAAGGCAGTCTCTCAATAGATAGAAAAAACCTGAAGCCAATAGATAGATGAAACTCTGTCTCTACTAAAAATACAAAAATTAGCCAGTTGTGCACCTGTAGTCCCGGCTGTTCAGGAGGCTGAGGCAGGAACATTGCTTAAACCCGGGAGGTGGAGATTGCGGTGAGCTGAGATCACGCCACTGCACTGCAGCCTGGGTGACAGAGTGAGACTCCGTCTCAAAAAAGAAAACATAAATAAATAAAACTTTAGAGCAGGAATGAAAGGAAGTGAAGTACACTTGGAAGGGGGCCAAGAGAGTGACTTGAGAAATCAAGTGCCCGGTTTGACATTTTGACTTGGGGTTTTATAAGTTGGCATGCTTCGGGATTCTTGCCGTCTTCCCTGGTTCTTCCCTCGGGGTGGGCTGTCTGCATGCATAGCGGCCTGCTAGCACTTGGGAGAGGCCGCATGCTCAGTGTGTTTACTGGAGTTGTATGCATGCTCACTTGAGGCATTCTTCCCTTACCAAATGCTCCTAGGTCATATACCGGTTAAAACGCTGCCATTTTGCCTTTTAGTGCGCATGCTTGAGCCCACTTGATCAACTCCTGAGATCTTACTGGGGATCTGCTGATACCAGCTTCAGGTTTTTTTAATCTGTTGGGAGACTGCCTTTTTCTGGCACCGGCTGTGAGCAATTATTATTTTAGAGAGAGAGCGTTAACAACTGCTTGGCCATCACCTGATGGTTGCCTGACATTCCTGGTTGGGGGGGGCCCTCTCCTGCTCTGCTCATGTTTGCCTAGCTGCCTACAGTGACAGACTCACCCTGAATTCTTTCTTGCATGAGGTCCAAGAACCCTCTATTGATGCCTGAATTGGGACCCCTTTCCAGTAACAATTTTAGGAGATGGCATTGCAGACAGGCTCTCAAACAGAAGAAAAACAAAGGATAATGTTTGGTTTATTGAAAATGCCTGGAAAAAAAAAGGTTAATGTTGGGAATAGTCTATATACCAGTTTTTTTAGAGTCTGGAGGGCAGTCAGTTGAGGTGTCTAGATATTACAGTCAAAGCATCTTTGGTTAAAGTGGAAGTAGGCAGTGGCAATCGGACAGATTTTTCTGTTGTTTGCATGTCACGAGGTTGTTTACACAAGCTTCAGCTTGCAGGGCATCAGGGAAAAGGTAGTTACAATTTTAGTGAATTTAAGTCAGAAAAATGAAGGAAAAATTTGGAAATGTTAGTTTGGAGACTTGTAGCCAGGAAAGAATTCAGAATTTTGTCCAAATTGTAGACAAATAATAAAATCTCAAAAACAATGGTAGGGCTAGAATCTCTCTCTCTTTTTTTTTTTTTTGTGACAGGGTCCCACTCTGTTGCCCAGGCTGGAGTGCAGTGGCATAGTCATGGCTCACTGCAGCCTCCACCTCCTGGGGCTCAGGTGATCCTCCCACCTCAGTCTGTCAAGTAGCTGGGAATACAGATACATGCTGCCACACCTGGCTAATTAAAAAAATACATATATTTTTGTAGAGATGGGGTTTCACCATGTTGCCCAGGCTGGTCTTGAACTCCTGGGTTTAAGTGATCCACCTGCCTCGGCCTCCCAAAGTGCTAGAATTACAGGCATGAACCACTGTGCCCAGCCTAGGACTAGAATCTAATAGCAGGTGTACTATAATTTTCTTCTGAAACATAACTTTTTTTCTCTCCAGTCTTTCTTTCTACCAAAGATAAATTATAGTAAGACCAATTTACTTGCAAAATAACTTTTACTCCTATTATACTTGGCCTGATTATTTGCACAAAATGCAGTAAGAAGAGTGATTGGCTATATAGGCTCTTTAAAGTTGGCTTTTGTTGATGAAAAGAGTTAAACTCTGTAAAATATTTGAAGAGATTTATTCTGAGCCAAATATTAGTGACTATGGCTCATGACATAGCCCCAGGAGATCCTGAAAGCATGTGTCTAAGGTAGTCAGGTTACAGCTTGGTTGTATACATTTTTTTTTTTTAGACGGAGTTTCATTCTTGCTGCCCAGGCTGGAGTGCAAGGGCGCAATCTCGGCTCACCGCAACCTCTGCCTCCCGGGTTCAAGCAATTCTGCCTCAGCCTCCCGAGTAGCTGGGATTACAGGCATGCACCACCACACCTGGCTAATTTTGTATTTTTAGTAGAGATGGGGTTTCTCCATGTTGGTCAGGCTGGTCTCGAACTCCCAAATTCAGGTGATCCACCCACCTCAGCCTCCCAAAGTGCTGGGATTACAGGTGTGAGCCACCGTGCCTGGCCTGGTTTTATACATTTTAGGGACATAAAACACCAATCAGTACATCTAAGATGTACATTGGTTCGGTCCAGAAATATGGGACAACTCAAAGCAGGGACTTCCAGGTCATAGGTGGATTCAAAAAGAGTTTATCAGCCGGGTGCTGGGCAGATCACGAGGTCAGGAGATTGAGACCACCCTGGCCAACATGGTGAAACCCCATCTCTACTAAAAATACAAAAATTAGCTGGGTGTAGTGGCGTGCACCTGTAATCCCAGATACTCAGGAGGCTGAGGCAGGAGAATCGCTTGAAACCAGGAGGCGGAGATTGCAGTGAGCCGAGATTGTGCCACTGTACTCCAGCCTGGTGACAGAGCAAGACTCCATCTCAAAAAAACAAAAACAAACAAACGAACAAAAAACAAAAAACAAAAAGAGTTTATCTAAAAACCTAAAATCAATAGAAGGGAGTTTCTGAGTTAAGACAAGGGGTTGTGGAGACTAAGTTTAATAGATTGCAAAGGTTTTTTATTAGACATAAAAAGATGCCAGACTCTTCAGTGAATTCTCTACTGGCTAAGGAAAAAGACATGGAAAGGGAAGGGGATTCTCTATAGAATTTAGATTTTCCTCACAAGACAGCTTTGCAGGGCCATTTCAAAATATGTCAAAGAAATATATTTTAGGGTAAAATACTTCAATTTCTTTCAGAGCCTACCATCTCATGATGGTATCTTATTGTTATAAAGAGTGTTTTGGCTGAATGTGGTGGCTCACACCTGTAATCTGTGTTACTTTGGGAGGCCAAGATAGGCAGATACCTGAGGTCAGGAGTTTGAGACCAGCCTGGCCAACACGGCAAAACCCTGTCTCTGCTAAAAAAAAAAAAAAATACAAAAATTAGCCCGGCTTGGTGGTGCGTACCTGTAATACCAGCTACTCAGGAGGCTAAACCATGAGAATCACTTGAACCCAGGAGGCAGAGGTTGCAGTGAGCTGAAATCACACCACTGCACTCCAGCCTGGGCAACAGAGCAAGACTCTGATTCAGAAAAAAAAGAATATCTGTTCTGTCAGTCTTTAAGGTTTCTGTTTTAATGTTAATGCTGATCAGCTATGCCTGAATTCTACAGGGAGGAGAGTATAATAAGGCATGTCCAAATCCCCCCTTCCTATTTATGGCCTGAACTAGTTTTTCTTTTTCTTTTTCTTTCTTTTTTTTTTTTTTTTGAGACAGTGTCTTGCTCTGTCACCCAGACAGGAGTACAGTGGTATGATCTCAGCTCACTGCCACCTCTGTCTCCTGGGTTCAAGTGATTCTCATGGTTTAGCCTCCTGAGTAGCTGGTATTACAGGTACGCACCACCAAGCCGGGCTAATTTTTGTATTTTTTAGTAGAGACAGGGTTTCACCATTTTGGCTAGGCTGGTCTTGAATTCCTGGCCTCAAGTGATCTGCCCACCACGTCCTCCCAAAGTGCTGGGATTACAGGTGTGAGCCACTGTGCCTGGCCTGAACTAGTTTTTCAGGTTAACTTTGGAATGCCCTTGGCCAAGAGGAGGTTCATTCAGTTAGTTGAGGGGCTTAGAATTAAATATTTGGTTTACATTTTGCTGGAAATTTTTTTTTTTTTTGAGACAATGTCTCACTTTGTTGCCCAGGCTGGAGTGCAGTGGCATGATAATAGCTCATGGCAGTCTCAACGTCCTGGGCTCAAGCAATCCTCCCAACTCAGCCTCACAAGTAGCTGAAACTACAGGTGTGCACCACCACACATGGCTAATTAAAAAAAAAAATTTGTAGAGACCGAGTCTCCCCTCTGTTGCCCAGGATGGTCTCAAACTCCTGTGCTCAAGCAATTCCTCCTGACTTGGCCTCCCAAAGTGCTGGGATTACAGGCATGAGCCACTGTATTAGTTCATTGTCACATTGCTATAAAGAAATATTCAAGAGTGAGTAACTTATAAGAAAAGAGGTTTAATTGGCTCACAATTCTACTGGCTGTAAGGAAGCATGGCACATCTGTTTCTGGGGAGGCCTCAGGAAGCTTACAATCATGACAGAAGGTGAAGGAGGAGCCAGTACTATACATGGGTGACGCAGGAGGAAGAGAGAGATGGGGGAGGTGCCACACACTTTTAAACAACCAGATGTCATGAGAACTCACTCACTATCACGAGAACAGCACCAATGGGGAAATCTGCACTCATGATCCAATCACCTCCCACCAGTCCCCACCTCCAATATTGGGGACTACAATTTGACATGAGATTCAGGGAAGGACACAAATCCAAACTGTATCAGCCACCTTGCCCAGCCTGCTGGAAGTTTTTAATAAAGAATCTCAGATTAGACTTTTAAAGGCTGGGAAGCCAAGCTAAAGATTGGCCACTAGAATGGGCCTGTAATACCTACATGAATTCAGTGAATTTCTCTCTTCTTGAGGTTCCCCAAATATCTTGAGTTTCTTGGGCCTGTCAGAAAGTAACACTCTTTACTTACTATAAAATCAGGAACCCTGCAAGGGAACAGTGTAGACAAGGTACTAGGCCAATCTTTTCCCAGATCTACTGGCTTTAACATCAACCTTGATTCCTCAAAGCAATCTGGTCACATCTGAAAATACGACATTCCAGTCAAAGCCTTGGTAAAATAACCAGTGTCTCTGATTGTGTCCTGTCACAGAAGAAAACACATTCTTATTAAACTTATGTAAATAACTACATTGCCAACTTGTATGAATAGTTTTTGAATTCTGATGAAATCAGATACAGAAAAAGGTAAATGTTTTAATTTTGCTCACAAAAGTATACTTTACCTAATTGCTGTAAGCTACAAACAGCTTAAGATAAAAAAAGTTTACTGACAATGGAAAACAAAACATAAGAATCAGCAATGCTTGAGTGGGACATCCAACTTCTGAGTAGAAACCTTTGTGGCACCAGTGAAAAAAAATAGAATTAAATACGGGTGATGTTTAGAAAGGCAAGAAGATTTTTGTTCAGAAGTGTGCCCAGTGCAACACCATGGAAAAGGGAGGCAAACCTGTAATCTCAGCACTTTGGGAGGCTGAGACAGGAGAATTGCGTAAGCCCGGGAGATCAAGACCAGCCTGGGGAGCATAGTGGGGCCTTATCTCTACACAAAACAATAAAATATAGCTGGCCATGGTGGTGCATGCCTGTGAGAGGCTGCGGTGGGAGAATTGCTTGAGCCCAAGAGTTAGAGGCTGCAGTGAGCTGTGTTCATACCACTGCACTCCAGCCTGGGTGACAGAGTGAGACCATGTCTCAAATAAATAAATAAATGAAAGAACCAGCAATATTTCAAGCAGAAAAGTTATAGAAAAATTATTTCAGCTGGGTGCAGTGGCTTATGCCTATAATCACAGCACTTTGGGAGGCTGAGGCAGGAGGATTGCTTGAGCCCAGGAGTTTGAGACCAGCCTGGGCAACATAGCGAGACCTTGCCTGTACTAAAAATAAAAAATTAGCCAGTCATGGTGGTACATGCCTGTGGTCCCAGCTGCTCTAGAAGCTGAGGTGGGAGGATCACTTGAGCCCAGGAGGTCGAAGCTGCAGTGAGCCGATCATGCCACTGTACTCCAGCCTGGGTGACAGAGTAAGACCCTGTCTAAAAAACAGTAATAACAACAATTTCAGTCCTTTATTACTTTAGTCTCATGTAATTAATTCTTGCTCTGCTTGATATTGGTTAGCAATTTTATGAGTCCCCTTTTTTCACTGAAGTTTTTGAAATTCTTATGCAGTCCAATTGTGTGATCTCAAAATTATCAGCAGAGGTGTGTATTTAAGAGTACCTGTGACAGTCTCCATTTTTTTCCATCAATCTTCTTGAAGACACAACACTCTAGGATTTACAAACAGAATGGAGAGAAAAAGCGTTAGAATAATGCAATTTGCCAAGATATACCAGATTTTTAGGAATCTCATGCAATTTTTGAACACATGTTAACACATTTATACAAATATAACTCAAAGTTAAGCATCATTTCATTCTTTTTTTTTCCCCAAGGAATTACAAAGCTACTTTTAATACTTTGGGGTGAGCCCCACAGGAATAAAAAACACTGGGAAGGGGCAACTGTGACTCCCATGGCCCGGGGCAGAGAGGCTACCTGAGGGGAAGGAAGCACGAAAGGGACCTGCTGCAGATGCAGGGACACTGGTGAATGGCAGGAGGGTTGCGCATGAAGCCACAAAGCTACTTGGGTTTCTCCTTCTCATTTGCCTTTTTCTGCTTTTGCTGCATGATCTCTGAGTCCCTCTACTTGCAGGTGGCATCAGAAAGCTGGTCATCTTGGTGCTTTCTCTTAAATGAGTTGCTCTGCTTTTCCATATTTTCTGCTGGGTGAGCTCAAGCTGGTCACCATGGGTCATGGCATTGACTGACACCCTGGGAGGCCAAGGTAGGAGAATCACTTGAGTCTACAAGTTTCAGACCAGCCTGGGCAACATGGTGAGACCCTGTCTTTAACAAAAGTAAAAAAAGATTAGCTGGGCATGGTGGCGCATGCTCATAGTCCTAGCTACTCAGGAGACTGAGATGGGAGGATTGAACCCAGGGGTTTGAGGTTACAGGGAGTTGTGATTGTGCCATTACACTTCAGCCTGGGAGAAGGAGTAAGAGCCTGTCTCTTAATAAATAAATAAATAAGAAATGATAATTAAAATATTAAAAAATCTGCTCTTTGATAGAGAGGAGACTCAGTTTTTCAAACAATCTGAAAACTAGGAAAGACATTATAATGCAAATTCCTCTATCTCTTTTTTTTTTAACAATTTACTCAAAAGGTGAACAACTCTTTTACTATTTCTTGTTAACACTACAGGAAAATATTATTCATAAGAAAGCTGCACAACAAGAATTCCTGAGGACAAAAAGAAAAAAGAGAAAACCAAATTCTATCTTTGTATCAATGTATTACTAATGCTAAAGGATATTTTGGATAAAACCTTATAAACAGATTAATCCAATCTCAATCAGCTTTGACCACACAAGATTTCCATAGCCTTTTATTTATTTAAAAAAAAAAAATAGAAACTAGGTCTTGCTGTGTTGATCAGGGTGGTCTCGAACTCCTGGCCTCAAGCAATCTTCTTGCCTTGGCCTCCCAAAGTGCTAAGATTACAGGTGTGAGCCGGCGCACCTGGTCCCATAAACGTTTCATAACCTCTTACAAATCTTTTTCACTCTTTTTTCCCCAACTTTCTGTACCCATTCAGTTTTATCTTTTTTTCTTTTCTTCCCTTATTTTTTCACCAATCTTTCTGTTTTTATTACTTTAATTTAAAAGAACCTTTAAATAACCACTAAACTACACAAAATTACTTTTCCTTGAACAAAAAAACACATCTTCACGTTTTTAAAATAACTTTCCTTACCAAAAACACTTGCTACTTTTCTTACGTACTTTGTATACAGAATTATTTCTCTTACATGTAGTAGTTTTAATGACGTATATTAACTACAACTTTCTTAGTAATGCTAATTTCCAGTGAAAAACCTAGTAAGTAAACATTTTTTTTTTGAGACAGATCACTCTGTTGCCCAGGCTCACTGCAACCTCCGCCTCCTGGGTTCAAGCGATTCTTGTGCCTGGGCCACCCGAGTAGCTGGGATTACAGATGTGCGTCACTATGCCTGGTTAATTTTTGTATTTTCAGTAGAGACGAGGTTTCGCCATGTTGGCTAGGCTGGTCTTGAACTTCCGGCCTCAAGTGATTTGCCCACCTTGGCCTTCCAAAGTATTGGGATTGCGGGTGTGAGCCACTGCACTTGGCCAAGCAATTTTGATTGTTTGGTATCAGGTGCAGAGCCTGGCACAGAGGATAGAGCAGTCAAGACAATGCCTGGAGGATTTGACTCTTTCTAGCATGGCCAGGAGATACAGCTGGGTCAGGGAGGACATACTGGACTTGGCTCTACCCTGTAGTTGGTGGCCTAAGTGCTGTGGATATGCATATGTCTTCAGGCCTCATCATCGCCACCTGTTTAGGCCACAGAATCTAACAACTCAAAACCAAAGATGTAAGCTTATAGCTAGATCAAGAAAATATCAAAAGTATCACAGAAGCCACAGTTTTATTACCTTCAGACATCTAGCAGAGACAGCATACATTTGTCTGACCAGTATACTCAAGCAAAAATGTCTAAAATTCTGAAGATATTTCTATTTTATTTTACCAGCAATTTAAAACCTAGCTTTCTTTAATAGAGATGACTAAAGTCATGTGAACTTGAAAAGCATTTGGGCTAGTTATTTACTTTATAAGTGCTCATTTATTTGTAGGTCAATTTGGTACCCTGCAGACAATATGCAAACAGACATGTTTATACATGTATACATAAAAATACAGACAAACAGCCAGGTGTGGTGGTGTGTCCCTGTGGTCCCAGCTACTTAGGAGGCTGAGGTGGCAGTTCAGCCTGGGCAATATAGTGTGACCTTGTCTTTAAGAAAAGTTAAAAATAAAAAAAATTTTTACTTAAAATACAGACACTCAGGTGTGGTGGGTCACACCTTGTAATCTCAGCCCTTTGGGAGGCTGAGGCAGGAGGATCACTTGAGTCCAGGAGTTCAAGACTAGCCTGAGCACCATAGCAAGATCCCATTTATACAAAAAGTATTAGCCAGGTGTGGTGTTGTGTGCCTGTGGTCCTAGCTACTCAGGAAGCTGAGGCAGGAGGATCACTTGAGCCCAGGTAGTCAAGGCTTCAGTGAGCTATAATCACACCACTGCACTCCAGCCTGGGCAACAAAGTGAGACATTGTCTCAAAAATTAATAAATTGCTGGGCATGTTGGCTCATGCCTGTAATCCCAGCACTTTGGGAGGCCGAGGCAGGTGGATCATTTGAGGACCAGAGTTTGAGATCAGCCTGGCCAACATGGTGAAATCCCATCTCTACTAAAAATACAAAAATTAGCTGGGCCTGGTGGTATATGCCTGTAGTTCCAGCTACTCTGGAGGCTGAGGCGTAAGAATTGCTTAAGCCCAAGTGGTGGAGGTTGCAGTGAGTTGAGATCATGCCACTGCACTCCAGCCTGGGCAACAGAGTGAGACTCTGTCTCAAAAAAAAAAAAAAAAAAAATTAATAAATTTAAAAAAAAAACAGACAAACATACAGACTTAACAGCTTCAATTTTTAAAATTTTAGCAATTAGATATTTAAAACTCACTATTTTATTTATTTTTTTATTTGAGATATGGTTTTACTATGTTGAGCATGCTAACCTTAAACTTCTGAGCTCAAGCAACCCGTCTGCCTCAGCCTCCAGGTAGCTGGGACCAAAGGCACATGCTACTGTGCCCAGCTTAAAACCCACTAGTTAACAAAAGGACAATTAAATTAAGTCATGGCTCTGTAAATGGAACAAGTTAAAGTTTATCTGTCTTACATGGCCAAAGCCTTTCCCTAGTTTTAGAGGAAACAAGATAGCAAATTTACATCTCAATGTAAAGAGAAAGAATGTAAGGGTTTTCAACAAGGAGTTTGGTTGTGTTAGAGGAAGATTAAACATGACACCAAAGTCAAAGTCATGGGAATTTACTATAGATTTTACAAGGAAACATACAGATAAGCCTAGAAAAAAATTCAAAAACCTTTTCCAAATAATCAACTGAATGCTAGAAAGCCATATTTTGGACACCAATCTTGTTAGATATGTGGTTTTAAAATTTAGTTTCTGTTTCTTAACTGGATCACTGAGCTCAGGGTGGACCCCATTAAAAAATAAGGCCAAAAAAGCATTTGCAATTTCTAGGGCCTAATACTAGTATATGTGAAAAGCAGGTGCAGTTGGAAGGAGAGCATCTAGAACCCCAGGAATCCAGGATCCCATTTTTACACTGAATCCCAGGTCCTTAAAAAGAGGGAAACACTAAGCCGGGCACGGTGGCTCATGCCTGTAATCCCAGCACTTTGGGAGGCTAAGGTGGATGGATCGCCTGAGGTCAGGAGTTTGAGACCAGCCTGGCCAACACAATGAAACACCATCTCTACTAAAAATGCAAAAAGTTAGTTGGGCGTGGTGGTGGGCACCTGTAATCCCAGCTACTAGGGAGGCTGAGACAGGTGATTCGCTTGAACCTGGGAGCAGAGGTTGTGGTGAGCCGCGATCGCGCCATTGCACTCCAGCCTAAGCAACAAGAGCAAAACTCTGTCACAAACAAACAAACAAACAAAAAAGGGAAACACTATGGGATCAGGCTGTGCAATGTTTCCACTCTGCACCTTGTTGCAAGGATATTCCCCCAGGGCTGGTGGGTGACCCAACATCAGTTTGCCTACTCTGTGATCAAACCATCCCCCATGGGAATCTTATCACTTTGTGGTGAGTGTTCCTACAGCCTCCAGGTGTCCAAACCACACCTCTTTTTATCTAAACGCATGAAGAAATAAGTAGCTTCCTGCAGTAATAACCATTTGTGATAACCACTGTCAGCCACCTCCAAAACTGCAGCCCTTGCCAGTGACCCACCAGTCTTCACACACAGAAAGGTCAGGTTTCTCTCACAGTACAAAGTAATCCCTGGTACCCCCCAAAGCCAGAGAGATCAGGAAACTCAGTGCAAAAGAGAGTAGAACTTTAGACATGACAGTAACCTGCCCATGACTCTTTAGGCTCCAGGAGGAAAAGAGAAGACCCTAAAAAGGGGATGTATGGCACATTTTCCTGTGTTCCTCAGGGGGTCTCAGTGGCAAAAAAAGCCTGGGTACAGTGGCTCATGTCTGTAATCCCAGCACTTTGGGAGGCTAAGGCAGGAGGATTGCTTGAGCCCAAGAGTTTGAGACCAGCCTGGTTAACATAGTGGGACCCCATTGCTACAAAAAATGAAAACATTAGCCAGGCCTGGTAGTATACACCTGAGGTCCTAGCTATTTGGGAGGCTGAAGTGGGAGGATCCCTTGGGAGGTCAAGGCCGCAGTGAGCCGTGATTGTGCCACTGGACTCCAGCCTGGTGGGCAACAGAGTGAAACCTCGTTTTAAAAAAAAAAAAAAAAGAAAGAAAGAAAAGAAAAGGAAACAAAAGAAAAGAAAAAAAGGCAAAAAGGAAGTAGAAGTGGAAAGAAATGGAAGAACAAATCTTAGAGGAGCCAATTTGGAGATTTTAAGCTTTCTTGAAAGGCCACTGAAATTTTATATTTTTCTCAGCAAAAATCATGCCAATAAAAAAGGAAGCAAATACAAGAACCAAACATATAATTAGAAATGAAATTCAGTCGACTGGAAAAAATTCCCAGAAACAGGATCCAAAAGCGAAAGTTTTTTTTGTTTT
This sequence comes from Homo sapiens, assembly GCF_000001405.40. NCBI lineage: Eukaryota > Metazoa > Chordata > Mammalia > Primates > Hominidae > Homo > Homo sapiens. Next base: position 88,996,562 of record NC_000006.12, on the reverse strand, counting down.
GTTTTTTGTTTTTTTGGGTTTTTTTTGAGACAAGGTCTCCCTCTGTCACCGCGGCTGGAGTGCAGTGGCACAATCACAGCTTACTGCAGCCTCAACCTTCCAGGCTTAAGTGATCCTCTCACCTCAGCCTTTCAAGTAGCTGGGACCACAGGTATGCGTCACAATACCAGGCTCATTTTTTTTCTTTTTGTGGAAATGGGATTTCACTATGTTGCCCAGGCTGATCTTGAACTACTAGCCTCAAGTGATTCTCCTGACTCAGCCTCCTAAAGTGCGGGGATTATAGGTGTGAGCCACTGCACCTGGCCAGTTTTCGTTTTTCAAAAAAAAGAAAAAAAAAAAAGAAAAAACAAAAACATTATAGTCTAAATATCAGCTTTTGATTAAGCTGACTTCTGAATGACCATGAAGATTAAAAAAAAAAATTTTACAAATCTCTTACTATCAGATTTTATCCAGGACAAACAGCCAATATTCCTGGCTTTTGAACTCTTTACCAAAGATATCTTCCTAGAGATTCACCAAAACCAAAATGCCTTAATCAAGATTATGACTTAACCAAGGATGTATGAGGCATCTCCAAAGAGGTGCAAATCAGTCCTCACAAGATTCAGAACCACCCCAAAGATAGCTCCAAGAAAGGAAAGTTTCATTAGACACAAATGGGGTACAACCCACATTTCTGTCTGACCATATCCCTATATATCAGTCAAAGTAGATTTAAAGACAAGGAGTATTTCTAAAGATAAAGAAGATCATTTTGCAATGATAAAAAGGTCATTTAAACAAGAAGACATAATAATTAATTTTATTTATTTATTTATTTTGAGACAGGGTCTCTCTCTGTCACCCAGGCGAAGTACAGTGGCGTGATCTCAGCTCACTGCAAACTCCACCTCTTAGGCTCAAGCTATCCTCCCACCTCAGCCTCCCAAGAAGCTGGGACTACAGGCATGCGCCACCATGTCTAGTTAATTTTTAATTTTTTTTTCTACATATGGGGTCTCACCATGTTTCCCAGGCTGGTCTCAAACTCCTGGGCTCAAGCAACCCAACTGCCTTGGCCTCCCAAAGTGCTGGGATTACAGGTGTGAGCCACCGTGCCCAGCCAAGAAGACATAACAATTCTAAGTGCATGTGCACCTCGTAATAGCTTCAAGGTGTATGAAAGCAAAATATTGATAAAAGAGAAATAGATCTCCAGGCATACTTGGAGGTTTTAATGCTTCTCCTTCAGTGTGTGATGGGGTAAGAAGACAAAATATCAATAAAGTTATAGAAGATTTGGATAGGCCGGGCGTGGTGGCTTATGCCTCTAATTCCAGCACTTTGGGAGGCGAGGTGGGCGGATTACCTGAGGTCAGGAGTTCGAGACCAGCCCAACCAACATGGAGAAACCCCGTCTCTACTAAAAATACAAAATTAGCCGGGAGTGATGGCACATGCCTGTAATCCCAGCTACTCAGGAGGCTGAGGCAGGAGAGTCGCTTGAACCCGGGAGGTGGAGGTTGCAGTGAGCCGAGATCGTGCCATTGCACTCCAGCCTGGGCAATAAGAAACTCCATCTCAAAAAAAAAAAAAAAAAAAAAAAAGATTTGGATAACACTCTCACCATTTTGACTTGATTTACATGTTTATAGATAATCTAATAATTTCAGAGTATACATTCTTTATAAGTTCTTTCCATTCATCAAGATATACTTTATGCTGCTGCATTATATATGCAATTTAAAAATAATATCATTTACAAAAGCATCAAAATATGAAATACCTAGGAATAAAAAATTTAATCAACAATGTGCAAAACCTGCACACTGAAGAACATTAAATATTACGGTGAGAAATTAAGGACCTAAATAAATGGAGTGGTAAACTGTGTTCATGGATTGGAAGCATCCATCTTATTAAGATGTAAACTCTCTTGATATTGGCTCATAGAGCCAAAGCCATCCCAACCAAAATCCTAACAGAATTATTTAAACAGAAATGAGCAAGTTGATTGTAAAGCTTATATGAAGTTGCAGAGAATCTAGAATAGCTAAAATAATCTTGAGAAGGACAAAGTTGGGAGACTTCAACACTTCAAAAACATAATTTTTGAATTCAAAAATTATTAAAAGCACTTTGGGAGTCTGAGGCAGGAGGATTGCTTGAGCCCAGGAGTTCAAGACCAGCCTGGACAACGTAGTGAGACCCTGTCTCCACAAAAAATAAAAAATTAGCCAGGCATGATGGCACACACCTGTGGTCCCAGCTACTCAGGAAGCTAAGGTTGGAGGATTTCTTGAGCCCAGGAGTAAGCCCTGATCACACCACTTTGCACACTAGCCTGGGTGACAGAGCAAGTCCCTGATCTCAAAAAAAAAAAAAATTACTAAAAGGCTACAGTCATCAAAACTGTGTGATACTATTGTAAGTAGATCAATGGAATCCACAAATAGACCCACACATATATAGTGGATTGTCTTTTTACAAAGGTGCCAGGGAAATTCAATGGGGAAATTGATAGGCCAACAAATATGACTAGAACAACTAGATATTTGGAAAAATTATAATTTTATATTACATTTGTAGTATACATTTATGACAAATTACAATTTTAACCCTATGTTATCCATGTTCTGGGAAATAAATTACATATCTGTTACTCCTATAGAGTTCTCTCAAGCCACAGGAGTATTAGTTATTAAGTAAGCTTTGTTAAGGGGCTGCAGTAACATTGTGGACACCAGGGTATCATTTAGAAAACAGTTTGAATTTATTAAATAATGCTTTATATTCTGGATGATATAATACAAATGGCCTTCTGTTTTTAGTTCCTCTACTTACATTCATGATAGAAGTTTCTAATTCCATTTATGACCAATAATACATATTTGTGAGACTGCTAGCAGGTGATGGAAATGCAGGTGTTACCTCCTTGCACAAAATGAAATTTCACAAATAGCTAAATTGATTGAAAGAATTAATAGATCTACTGTAGTTTATTTCTAAAGCATCTTTCTCCTGACCTCTTCTAGGAGGTTGGGGGGTGGGGCTGAAAGTTCCAATCCTCTAATCCTGCCTTGGTTTTTGGGGTGATTAGCCCCCATCCTAAAGCTACATAGGAGTTGCCAGCCATCAGTCAACTAATTAGCATGCAAAAGTATGTTTATCACTTCAGAGAGTCCAAGGATTTTAGGAGTTATATGCCAGGAAGTGGAAGACCAAATATATATTTCACAATATTCAGTGACTAATGAAGGTTAATCAAAAAGGAAGTTCCTGCTCTAACAAACTAAAATGTAAATGTAATTTAGTTTTGAAAACCTTTTCTAACACAGATTGTGTTTTGAGAGTGGTTTCTTGAGGAGAAAAGATCAGGCTGCTATATGATTCTGACTCCCAGATCAAGGGGCCTTTGTAATTGGGCCAAGCTTGGTATTCCCCAAGGAGTTCCTGTCTTCAAAAAGGCCTATTGATACCAGAGGGTAAAGTTGCAGCTGGAGTAGCAGCACAGTTTCTTTCCTATCATTCCAATGATCCAGGAAAGTCTCTCAATGCTGGGACAAAAGTTCCCACCATGAAAGATGTGTTTTCTCTTCCATATAGTGTTAGAGATACACCATAAACTCTCTCTCTCTCTCTCTTTCCTGCCACCCTATTTCTGCAGTGTATTTCCCGCTCTGGTCTATGCAGTCAATGACACTTCCATTACTATAATATTACTTGACATGTTCAAGTTACTGGAGGAGTGATTAGATTACATTCTCTTTACAGTTGCCCTTCAGTATCTGTTAGTGATTGATTCTAGGATCCCCCTTGGATAGCAAAATCCATGGATGCCCAAGTCCCTTGTATAAAATGGCATAGTAGCTGGGTGTGATGGTGCATACCTGTAATCCCACTTACTCAGGAGGCTGAGGCAGGAGGACTGCTTGAGCCCAGAAGTTTGAGACCAGCCTGGGCAACAATAGTGAGACTCTGTCTCAGAAAAAAAAAAAAAAAAGAGAGAAAGAGAATGAGAGAAAATGGGGTAGTATTTGCATATAACCTATGCACATCCTCTTGTATACTTTACATCATCTTCAGATTACTTATAATACCCAATATAATATCAATATTATGTAAATACTTGTTATACTATATTTTAAAATTTGTATTACTTTTTATTGTTGTATTTTTCTTTTCCCAAATATATTCAATCCCCAGTTGGTTGAATCTGAAGATACAGAACCCACAGGTAGGAAGAGATAACTGTAATTAAATAACAGGCCTGAGGATACACACTTGACTAATACTGTCACTACAGCTTGCTTGCTTTCTGTTTCTTTCTTTCTTTTCTTTTTTCTTTCTTTCTCCTTCCTTCCTTCCTTCCTCCCTCCCTCCCTCTCTCCCTCCCTCTCTCTCTCTTTCTTCTTTCTTTCTTTCTTTCTCTCTCTTTCTCCTTTCTTTCTTTCTTTCTTTCTTTCTTTCTTTCTTTCTTTCTTTCTTTCTTTCTTTCTTTCTTTCTTTCTTTCTTTCTTTTCTTTCCTTTCTTTCCTGTTTTGAGACCGAGTCTTGCTCTGTCTCCCATGCTGAAGTACAGTGGCATGATCTCGGCTAACTTCAATCTCCGCCTCCCAGGTTCAAGCGATTTTCATGCCTCAGCCTCCTGAGTAGCTGGGGCTACATGCATGTGCCACCATGCCCAGCTAATTTTTGTATTTTTTTTTTTTAGTAGAGACGTGGTTTCGCCATGTTGGCCAGCCTGGTCTGGAACTCCTGATCTCAAGTGATTCGCCCGCTTCAGCCTCTGAAAGTGCTGGGATTACAGGTGTGAGCCACTGTGCCCAGCCTGCAGGTTACTTTCTAAGGCCTCCTACTACCTGTTACAAATGATCTCTCAGGAAGGATAACATTTGCAAGTGGGTCATCTCAACCATTTTGTGTTGATTCTTAATTTGCTATTTTATGGAGCATGTACCAAGGGCCAAGCTAAGTGCTTTATCCACATTTTTCTAATGTAATCCCCATGACACACTCTCAAATAGATACTTTTACTTCTCCATTTTACAATTAACTTACTTTGGGTCAGAGAGTTAGGTGATGATAGAGCTGAATCTCAAAAGCAGATCTGCCACACTGGAAAAAGCCCTTATGAATACAGTGAATGTTGAAAGCCTTCACCTGAAGGTGTCACCAACCTCTTTCAGCATTAAAATTCCACAATGGAGAAAGGCCTTAAAAAAACAAACATAAAAAAAAAAAATGACGATCTGAGCTCAGAGGGTGACAATCCTGACTTTATCCCCAATCCTACGTATCTTGTTACTCTCTTTGTATTTTCTATCACTTGGTCACCTAATCTAGGCAGAAAAACTATACTAGGCAGCATAGGATGAGATAAAGCAAAAGGCAAAAAACTGCTTTGCCTTTGGGGAGAGTTTGATCTTATTAAGATTTAGTTAAGCAGTGGGTCTCATTATGTTGCCCAAGCTGGTCTTGAACTCCTGACCGCAAGTGAGCCTCCTGCCTGAGTCTTCCAAAGTGCGGAGATTATAGGTGTAAACCACTATACCCAGCCAAGCAGTGGTTTTCTTTTCTTTTCTTTTCTCTTTTCTTTTCTTTCCTTTTTTGAGACGGAGTTTCACTCTTGTTGCCCAGGCTGGAGTGCAATGGCACGATCTCAGCTCACCGCAAACTCCGCCTCCCGGGTTCAAACGATTCTCCTGCCTCAGCCTCCCGAGTAGCTGGGATTACAGACATGCAACACCACACCCAGCTAATTTTTGTATTTTTAGTAGAGAGAGGGTTTCTCCATGTTGGTCAGGCTGGTCTCGAACTCCCGACCTCAGGTGATCCACCCACCTCGGCCTCTCAAAGTGCTAGGATTACAGATGTGGGCCACCACGCCTGGCCAAGCAGTGGTTTTCAATTTAAGATACATACTAGAATCATCTGTGAAACTTTTTTTTTCTTTTTTTCATTTTGGAGACAGGGTTTTGCTCTGTCATCTGGTCTGGAGTGCAGTGGCATGTTCATAGCTCACTGTAACCTCAAACTCTTGGGCTCAAGTATCCTCCTGCCTTGATCTCCCAAAGTGTTGGGATTACAGGTGTGAGCCATTGTGCCTGGCCTATCTGTGGAACTTTAATAAATGCTGATGGCAGAAATTCTGATTTAATTGGTGTGGGTTATGAAGACTGGGCAACAGGACTTTTCAAAATGTCCCAGGTATTCTAATGTGCAGCCAAGGCTGAGAACCAGGGAGAAGGTAGAAAGAAGACGGTAGAAAGAATATCCTCAAATGAAAAAACATTATAGCAACTACAATGTGCAAAATGGTATTTATTTCTGTGAAGGTTATCAGAATCGAAATTGAGTCATTCATGTTAAAAAAAAAACAAGACAAAACAAAACAAAACAACAAAACAACCTGGACAAATAGAGCCAGAGAAGGCTATGAAGAGAGGATTCTCATGCATGTATACCTGATAAAACTATCATAAAAGATTCTGCAAATAATACAACATTGCACAAAGGCCATCATAATGTTACACAAAAAAAATTTTTGCAAGGACACCTACCCAATAACTGCCTGTCTAGCCCAGACTGGCGTCACCCTTGTTATTGATCTTTGTAGCCAAGGATAATTATTTCAAAACAATTATATAACCTCCTCATTTTTTTTCCTTTAAAAAAACCTTTGTCTTTCTTTACCTCCCTGAACACACACATAGTTTACTATGGCATGCATATTGCCATTGCAATGCTCTATTCCCACATAAACATCATTTTCTTTTAGAGAGTCTCTCTCTGTTTGTTATTTAGGTTGACATTCCTTACCTCCTTCCACAAAGGATATGATGTAGCTAAGAAACTATTGGGTACAGAATGAATTCCACTGAAGAGCACAGAGTTTGAGGTACTTGTCGAATAGGCCAAAGATGGGCTAGGACATGTGAGGTTGATATTGAAATAATTCAGGTACATTTTTATTTCTCTGGTTTTGATTTGCAAGGCAGCAGTGGCAGATTTTAGAAAAAAATAGTTCTTAGAAAACAGCTGATTGGTCCAGGTACTGTTTCTAGGTGACTAGTCCAAGAACTGTTTCCAGGCAGTTGATTGGTCCAGAAGCTGTTTCCAGGCTGCCTAGCCAGTAGATTGCCTTGTCTCCAAGGGTTACTCAATTTACAAAGTGATAACAGGTCTCCAAGGCTTGTGCGGAATTATAATTTTTCCCAGTACAGAAGCTTATTGAAGAAAACACCAGTATTTTAAGGATGACTCACAGGCACACTGTACATTTCTTTGATCCATCTTCCCTAAGGGTTATGCATTGCTTATAATGCAGAAGCTTTCTAAATGATTTTTTCACAAGTCAAGGAGTGGCTGGAGCTATTCTATGAAAAATTTATAGCTGTTAAAAGAGCAACTTTAAACTATTTCATGCAGTTCAACTGTTAGACTATTTCCAGTCTTTTCTTTCCCCTTCTCAAGAGTAGATGCAGCTGTTCTCAGTTTAATATCAGAAGAGAAAGAATGATGTAAACAATGATGGTATAATAATACATGAAGAAAACCAATAAAAGGGTAAAATCACTGCAATCCTATAATCTTAATACTTAACAATTTTTATTTTCACGTAGTTTTCTTCTAACCTAAGGTCAATATTATTTGGACAATGATATACATAAAATTTAAGGCTTAACTGTCAACCATATGTTTAAAAGTACTTTCAGTGCCAGGTGCGGTGGCTCACACCTATAATCCCAGCACTTTGGGAGGCTAAGGTGGGAGAATTACTTGAGGCCAGGAGTTTGAGGCCAGCTTGGCCAATATGGTGAAACCCTATCTCTACTAAAAATATGAAGATTAGCCAGGTGTGGTGGCATGTGCCTGTAATTCCAGCTTCTTGGGAGGCTGAGGCATGAGAATCGCTTGAACTCGGGAAGCAGAGGTTGCAGTGTGACAAGATCGCACCACTACACTCCAGCCTGGGCGACAGAGCGAGACTCCATCTCAAAAAAAAAAAAAAAAAAAAAGAGAGAGAGAGATTTTTAGTTGATTTATAGTGGCTAATCACATTTTTTAAAAAAGTATGATATAACATGATTTGTGAGCAAAATTAATGTTTTTATCTTCAGATTCAATGAATCTTCTGAGCAGCACACACACACATATGCTGGACATTCATTTTACTAATTATCTCATTAAAAAAAAAACAAAAATAAACATTTGTGGAGAAGCCCCATTTTGGCAGTCTGTGTTATAAGGACTGGAGATACGGCTGGGATGAAAACAGACAAAATCCTCTTTCTCTAGAAGGGAAAAATAGGCTATAACAATCACAGCAAACACAAAATGGTTTTTTTTCCATGTGCTTTACATGTATAAACTCATTTAGTTCTCCTAACCATCCCATGAAGTAGGTGCTATCATTATCTCCATTTTATAGGGGAGGGAACCAGTGCACAGAAAGGTTAAGTAACTTGATGAAGTTGCACAGCTAGTGAGCATTAGAGCTAGGATTTGAACCCAGGCATGTGGCTCCACAGGCTACACGCTTAACTGCTATGCTATTCTTTCTATAATTAGCTCCTCTATTCTATGTATTCTGGTGACACAAGGAACCAAAAGTTTTCCTTTTCCTTTCTCAAATATTTTCAGTTTTTGCTTCAGATATTTAACTATTTGAACGCTAGGGCCAGGTGTGGTGGCTCTTGTCTGTACTCCTAGCACTTTGGGAGGCCCAGATGGGAGGATGGCTTGAGCTCAGGAGTTTGAGGCCAGCCTGGGAAACATAGTGAGACCTTGTCTCTACAAAAAATTTAAAAAGCTAGCTGGGTGCATTGGCATGCACCTGTAGTCCCAGCTACTGGGGAAGCTGAGGTGGGAGGATCACTTAAGCCCAGGAGGTAGAGGCTGCAGTGAGCTGTGAATGAGCCACGGCGCTCCAGCCTGGGCGACAGGCAAGACCCTGTCTCAGAAAAAAAAAAAAAAAAATCCAGACACTTAAAATCACAGTTGCTCTTAAAAGCATAGCTTTGATTTAGATTGACCTGGAATAAGTTCCATGTCTGTCACTCAGTAGCTGTGTGATTATGAGCAAGTTTCTAAATCTCACTAAAGTTCTCTTTCCTCATTAGTAAATGAAAATAATCGTTTACCTCCTAAGGCTGTTGTGAGAATTGAGGATAATATGCATGAAAATCATTTGATCCTGGCACAAAGTAAGTGCCCAATGAATGGTTACTTTTATCCAGTCATACATTCATTCAATCAGCAAATATTTGTTGAGCATCTGCTATGTTCCAGGTATTGTTCTAGGTACCGGGGATATAGCAGTGAGTAAAACAGACAAAGATCTTGCTCTCAAAGCAATTCCATGGCTTTTTAGCCTTAATAAAATGTGCTTAATCTTATTAAATTTGTTTATATTAATTAAATTGTAGTTTAAATTTCTATTTATTTTTTAATTAAATTGTGTGGTATATAGTTATTTAAATGCATTTAATATTATTTTTAAAGCATTAGTAAAGTTTGTTTAATCAGTTATTCCCTCTTTTCTCCACTGGCTTTTTGTCATAGTCACTTAAATGTAATCAAATTTCTTTTATATTTATTTCTTTTCTTTTTTTTTTTTTTTGAGATGGAGTTTCGCTCTTGTTGCCCAGGCTGGAGTGCAATAGCATGATCTCGGCTCACCACAACCTCCGCCTCCTGGGTTCAGGCGATTCTCCTGCCTCAGCCTCCCGAGTAGCTGGGATTACAGGCATGCGCCACCATGCCTGGCTAATTTTGTATTTTTAGTAGAGATGGGGTTTCTCCATGTTGGTCAGGCTGGTCGTGAGCTCCCAACCTCAGGTGATCCACCCGCTTTGGCTTCCCAAAGTCCTGGGATTACAGGTGTGAGCCACTGCACCTGACTTATTTCTTTTATTTATTTATTTTTGTTTTTTAATAGAGACAGGGTCTCGCCATGTTGCTCAGGCTGGTCTAGAACTCTTGAGCTCAAGCAGTCCTCCTGCCTCAGCCTCCCAAAGTGCTGAGATTACAGGCATGAGACACCATGCCTGGCCACATTTCTTTTATATTAAAAAATCCCTGAATCAACCCTTTGACTTCAAGTTAGCTGACAGTGGCTGCTTTAGTTCCTTGCTCCCTTTGCTATAGATATTATCTCACTCACTGTCTCCACTCTCTAGGTTGACTTCATGACTTCTCATTCATACTCCAGAGCACTGGAAGCAGTCTCTTGTTTCTTGTGGAGAGGTCACGTTATGGCAGGCTGTGTTCTAAGGACTGGAGATATGGCTGGGATGAAAACAGACAAAATCCTCTTTCTCTAGAAGGGAAAAATAGGCTATTGCTGTAAACAATAGGTATCACTCTCAACAAGGTCACCCCCTTCCTTAAAACCATTCAATGACTCCATATTTACCTCAGTGACTCATGTTTACTTGATGAAGTTGCACAGCCCCAGATAAAGTCCAAACTCTTTAAAGTGGCATGTGGGCATGTTCCCTCCCTCCCTAGCCTTCCCTCCCACCATTCCCTTTTCTACCTCCACTCCCTCCCCTGCTCACTGCCCCAAACACACACACACACACAGTTCCCATTCTATAGATGGGCTTGACATTGCCCAGAAGTACCATACTTTTATCTGTAAGCAGTGGTGTTCTAGAGTTGATTTGTGTGGGAGTGTGAGAGCGTATGGTGCATGTCTCTTCCCAATTGCATGTTCAGTGAGGTCATGGTGGGAGTAAATCAAGGAAACTGGCAAAATCTACAAATTAGGGCATTCTTGCTTCTCTCTAGAGAGTTATTAAACATTTACCAGCTCACCATAGCCCCTAGGCCTTTGCATTTATGGCCCTTCCCCTACCCTAACTTGGCCCAGCTTAAATGTCCCTTCCTCCTGGGAACTGTGTTTTGACTCTTCAGGATTGGGATAGATACCCTTCACTGTGATTCTTTGGTAACTTGGGCAGCGGCCCCACTATTTTTCCCGTATTCTATACTGGCCAAGTAAAGTCCTTGAGGTCAGGGCCCTTGTCTTGTTCATTGTTGTTCTTGTCTACCTAGGATAGTGTTTGGCACATAGCAAGGTGCTAAACTATATTTTTAAGTGAACCAATACATGAATAATTAAAGTAAGCCCTCCCTACTAATAATAGGCTTTTTATGGTTCAAGAATGTGCCTTAATCTTTGTATCTCCTGAAATTCCTCACACAGAGAAAGTTTAGTAGATGTTTGAATAGATTGAATGGACTAGACTTGAATGTGCTTTATATGAGCCTAAAACTAGGGCCCAATTTAAGATATCCATTCTAGAAGTGAGTCAATGATATTTGAGATTATGATTCTATAGAACCAAAACCTGGAGTATTGAAATATGTCACCAGAAACTTAAGATTTTCCCTGGCCATTAATTTGCCTTGATTTATTACTCTTATTTCCTTGTTTTTTCTAAGGTGATCCCAAGCTCGTTCCACTTCCTTCTTCCCTCAACCTGGCTTTTCTTTTTGAGACAGGTTCTCACTCTGTCACCCAGGCTGGAGTACAGTGGCGTGATCTTGGTGTGCGCCACCATGCCCAGCTAATTTTTGTATTTTTTTGTAGAGATGCGTTTCGCCATGTTGCCCAGGCGGGTCTGTGACTCCTGGACTCAGCCAATCTACCCACCTTGGCCTCCCAAAGTGCTGGGATTACAGGCATGAGGCACCACGCCTAGCCACCCTATTTTTAATGTACAACTTAGGCATGCTCTTTGCTCACAAAATGATACGCTCATTGAACCATGAGTAGGAAAGCAATGTGGTGCAGTAAGAAGTGCTTGAAACTTAAAGTCAGGAGACACTGGTTGTGTTCCTGTATGTCACAACTTTCTGGTCTTTTCATCTGCAATAAGAAAGATAATATCTTCCCTATCCAATTCACTACATTTTTAAAGATGAAATGAGTTAACATAGGTGAAAATGCTTCTGTAAATTGTAAAGTACTACATAGAGTAAATGCAAATTTCTCAAACAAATTGATCTTCAGCACATGCTATCATTTACTTAATAACTCCCTAGCAAGCAAGTGATATCTGCAAAGAAGTAAGAGTGATCCAGTATAGAGAGAGGTTATTTGCCTGGGAAACAGGATGCCTGTAATTAGGTAAAAATGATGGTTTCATGTTGCAAAGACTTAAAGCATCAGCTTCATATCAGATGCTACATAGGAAATGTGGGGTGATTCTGCCTGAGATGCCAAGTGTGCTATCAATCAAGAATAAAAAACAACTGGCCTAAAACACAAATGATAAGGATATACTGGTGGCTGATGACTGGAATAACAAAGCTTCATTCTCCCAAAGGATCTGATAGACTCCAATTAATTTAGAAGCATAGAATGATGTCAAATACAGATCTGTACCAAGCAACAAAGTTCTGCTTTCAAATAGATAGCTGTCAGTGAATATCTCAAATTGCAGACATCGATGCAGATATATGGTTTGCCCTTTTCTTAGTTTGGGGAGATATTTTTCCTTTGCAGAAGTTAGTTATTAGCCTCCCATAAGAGGAAGGGTTCTCGGCGTGGTCCTCCAAACAACAGCATCGTCATGGCCCCAGAGCTTATTAGAAATGCAGTATCTTGGGTTCATGCCAGACCTATTTAATTAGAATCTGCATTTCAATGCAATCCAGGTGATTGACTGCATTTAAGTTTAAAGTGCACCACCATAGGGACCAACTATTCATTTTTCAAATGAAAACTCAAGACTTGAAGGGTGATTTTTTTCCCCCTTAAGGTCTGACACACTTAAATCCCAGTTTGGATTAGAACAAAGATTTCCTGCCTCTGCTGGCAAGTTCCAGCATTGCACACCCTCTCGCAGCCTGGTTCTTTGGCTTACTGGTTGGGAGGCTTGGGGCAAGTTATTGAACCTATCGCTGAGCTGGTTTCCTCATCTATAAAATGGAGATGATAGCAATGTCTACCTCATACAACTGTGAGGATTAGGCCGGGTGTGGTGGCTCATGCCTGTAATCCCAGAGCTTTGGGAGGCCGAGGTGGGCAGATCACTTGAGGTCAGGAGCTCAAGACCAGCCTGGCTAACATGGTGAAACCCTGTCTCTACTAAAAACACAAAAATTAGCCAGGCGTGGTGGCAGGCACCTGTAGTCCCAGCTACTAGGGAGGCATGAAAATCGCTTGAACCCCCAGGAGGCAGAGGTTGCAGTGAGCAGAGATCATGCCACTGCACTCCAGCCTGGGTGAGAGAGTGAGACTTGGTCTCAAAATATACATATGTGTGTGTGTATATATATATGTATATATGTAAGGCACAATACACACACAAAATTGTATTATCAAGTGAAAAGATAGTGTTCCACATAATTCAAACAGTAGAATTAATTTTTTAATTAAATTTGTATTGCACACAGAAACAGAGTTATTATCTCTGAAAACCTTTGTGCCTTGACAGTAGCGTTCAGAAAGCAGTTGTTTTCCTTTCAATCTTTAGTATTTTCCAGTAAAGAAACTTATATAAAAGCTGGATAGGCAGAGGTACCCTGCTAGTCACTGTTATTTAATTACGTGGTAGGTTAGGCTGACCTCTATTATTATGAGTTTGGTGAAGCGGGGCCAAACCCAACATTTGGAATAGGCACACACATGTGTAATAGAAGAACCTGACTCACTGACCCACTTTCTTGGTTACCAAAGCAATGAGAGTTTGGATTATCTGGTTTTTAGCTCCACCTAGTGACCATATATATGGCTCAGTTTTCAGCTGTAAAATTATGGAGAATTCTAGTTTTATGTTTAAACAAAAATACATTCAACTTCTCACTATTCAGGGGAAATGATCCCATATACACATTTTTGATTTTTTTGTTTTGCATAAAATAACAGGCTTAGAGTTCCTGGAGATGATCAGAAAGTTAGAGGACTTCCTATTTAGAACAGAAAGATTGGAGTCATCTTTGATTTTTCCCTTATTTGGTATGTCCATTCTGTCATCAAGCTCTAAAAAAATTAATTTATCAAAACATTATCCAGCCACATGTACTAATTTAATGCTTCCTTTGGGATTGTCTGCTTAGTGAAGCAATGTATTGGACATTACCCTAGAGTTTGGGATTCCAGGCCCCGCTCCTTTGCAGAGCCTTGGAGAAGAATGATTATAGGTGTATCTAGAAAGAGAAGGCTTGAGCAACAGGGTTTCCAGTCCTACAAAACTTGCCTTTTCCCACAGTGTGGTTGGTTGAGAAGCAGAAGAGAGCTTCTGGACCTGAGGGAGCCACAAAAAGGATCAGCGCAAGCTATATGACCGGATGGTCAGTGATAATAGGCAACCTTTCCCTTTACCTGCTTCTTGGAAATGTGTTGTCTGAGCCCTCAGAACCAATATATAACTCTAGGGATAGGGTAGGGCAGGAAGCCCCAAGGATGCCAGAACTGAGGGCTGGGCGTGGTGGCTCACATCTGTAATCCCAGCACTTTGGGAGGCTGAGGTGGGAGGATCACCTGAGGTCAGGAGTTTGAGTCCAGCCTGGCCAACATGGCAAAACCCCATCTCTACTAAAAATACAAAAATTAGCTGGGTGTAATCTGTAATCCCAGCCACTCAGGAGGCTGAGGCATGAGAATTCCTTGAACCTGGGAGGCAAAGGTCGCAGTGAGCCAAGATCGTGCCACTGTACTCCAACCTGGGCAACAGAGTAAGACTCTGTCTCAAAAAATTAAAAAAAAATGCCAGAACTGAAATTTCCTCCCTGTTTAGCAAGAAGGGGACTCAGAATCAAGATTAAGTTGATTTATAGAAAATAAAGAGATGCCCATCCTGGCCAACATGGTGAAACCCTGTCTCTACTAAAAATACAAAAATTAGCTGGGCGTGGTGCCACGTGCCTGTAGTCCCAGCTACTTGGGAGGCTGAGGCAGGAGAATTGCTTGAACCCAGGAGGCGGAGGTTGCAGTGAGCCGAGATCATGCCACTGCACTCCAGCCTGGCGACAGAGCAAGACTCTGTCTGAAAAAAAATAAAATAAAATAAAATAAAATAAAATAAAATAAAATAAAATAAAATAAAATAAAGAGATGCAATGTTTTTGCACACAGGTTTGTGGCTGGAGAATCAGATCTCTACATTAGGAACCTGTTCAGTGTTGGCTGTACTTTGCAGCCCTGGAACTGGAGTTATTTCATATTGAGACCTTGTTAATGAGTTGATGTGCAGACATGAATTTGGGCCTTTAGAAGTCACTGATCAGTGAGGGAATGCCTGCAGACTCTGAGTTAACAAGATTTGAAAGCATGCTATGGAAAAATTTAAATTCCTTGGCACCTCAACAACATACTAGCAAACCGAATCCGACAACACATCAAAGAGGTAATTAACCACGATCAAGGGGTTTCATCCCAGGGATGCAGAGATTGTTCAACATATGGAAGTCAATAAATGTAATGCACCACATAAACAGAATTAAAAACAAAAACAATATGATCATCTCAATAGATGCAGAAAAAGCATTAAAATCAGGCATTACTTTATAATACAAACTCTCAACAAATTAGGCATAGAAGGAACCTACCTCGAAAATAATAAAAGCCTGGGCACAGTGGCTCACACTTGTAATTCCAGCATTTTGGGAGGCCAAGGCAGAAGGATTGCTTGAAGGCAGAAGGATTGCTTGAAGCCAGGAGTTCCAGACCAGCCTGGGCAACAAACTGAGACCCTGTCTCTACAACAATAAATAAGTAATTAAATAAATTAAAAAAATATAAAAGCCATATGTGGAAAACCCAGAGCCAACATTATACTGAATGAGGAAAAGTTGAAAACATCCCCTCTAAGAACTGGAACAAGATAAGAATGCTCACTTTCATCACTTCTATTCAACATAGTACTGAAAGTCCTAGCCAGAGCAATCAGGCAAGACAAAGAAATAAAGGGCATCCAAATTGGAAAAGCGAAAGCTGAACTATCTCTGTTTGCCAATGATACAGAAAACTCTAATGACTCCTCCAAAAGACTTTTAGATAGGAAATTGATTCAGTAGAGCCTCAGGTTACAAAATCAATGTACACTAATCAGTAGCACTGTTATACACCAACAAGGACCAAGCTGAGAATCAAATAAAAAACTCAATCCCTTTTATAATAGCTGCAAAAAAGTAATAATAAAATAGGAATATACTTAACCAAGGAGGTGAAAGATCTCTACAAGAACTACAAAACATTCCTGAAAGAAATAATAGATGACACAAACAAATGGAAATACATCCCATGCTCATGGATTGAAAGAATCAATATTGTGAAAAAGACCATTCTGCCCAAAGCAATCTATAGATTCAATGTAACTCCTATCAAAAAATCAACATGATTTTTCACAGAATTCGAAAAAACAATCCTAAAATTCATATGGAATCAAAAAAGAGCCCAAATAGCCAAAGCAACCCTAAGCAAAAAGAACAAATCTGGAGGCATCACATTACCTGACTTCAAATTATACTGTAAGACTACAGTAACCAAAATAGCACAGTACTGGTATAAAGTAGATACACAGACCAATGAAACAGAATAGAGATCCCAGAAATAAAGCCAAATACAACCAACTGATCTTTGACAAAGCGTACAAAAACATATATTGGGGAAAGGACACCCTATTCAATAAATGGTGCTGGGAAAGCTGGATAGCTACATGAAGAAGAATGAAACTGGATCCCTGTCTCTCACCCTATATAAAATCAACTCAAGATGGATTGGATTAAAGACTTAAATCTAAGACCTGTAACCATAAAAATTCTAGAAGAAAATCTAGGAAAAAACTCTTCTGGACATTGGCCTAGGCTAAGAATTTATGACTAAGACCCCAAAGCAAATGTAATAAAAACAAAAATAAATGGGATCTAATTGAATTTAAAATGTTTCTGCACAGCAAAGTAAATAAACATCAGAATAAACAGACAACCCACAGAATGGGAAAAAATGTTTGCAAACAATGCATCTGACAAAGGACTAATATCCAGCATCTATAAGGAACTCAAACAAATCAGCAAGAAAACAAAAATAAAAACAAATAATCCCATTAAAAAGTGGGCAAATGGCTGGGTTCAGTGGCTCACATCTGTAATCCCAGCACTTAGAGAGGCTGAGGCAGGAGAATTGCTTGAGCCCAGGAGTTTGAGTCCAGCCTGGTCAACATAGTGAGACCCTCTCTCTACAAAAAAGAAAAAATTAGCCAACGTGGTGTCTTATGCCTGTAGTCCCAGCTACTCAGGAGGCTGAGGCAGGAGGATTGCTTGAGCTCAGGAGTTCAAGGTTACAGTGAGCTATGATTGTGCCACTGCACTCCAGCCAGGTGACAGAGCGAGACTTTGTCTCAAAAAGAAGACGGGGTGGGCAAATTACATGAATAGACACTTCTCAGAAGAAGAGATACAAATGGCCAACAAATATATGAAAAAATGCTCAACATCACTAATCATCAGGTAAATGCATATTAAAACCACAATGAGATATCTGCCACCTTACCCAGCCAGAATGGCCATTATTAAAAAGTCAAAAAACAATATATGTTGGTGTGAATGTGGTGAAAAGGGAACAATTATACACTGCAGGTGGGAATGTAAATTAGCATAATCTCTATGAAAAATTTCTCAAGTATGGAATATGGAGATTTCTCAGAGAACTAAAAGTATACCTACCATTCGATCCAGCAATTACACTACTGGATATCTACCCAAAGGAAAAGAAGTCATTATATCAAAAAGACACCTGCATGCATATGTTTACTGTAGCACAATTCACAATTTCAAAGATGTGTCACTAACCTAAGTGCCCACCAGGTGATGAGTAGATAAAAGAAATATATATATACACCATGGAATACTACTCAGCCATAAACAAAAACAAAATAATACCTTTTGCAACTACTTGAATGGAACTGGAGGCCATTTTTTTTTAAATTTTATTTTTTATTACTTATTTAAAATTTCTTTTTCATTTTTTAAAATAGAGATGGAGTTTCGTCATGTTGCCCAGGCTGGTCTGAAACTCCTGGGCCCAAGTGATCCGCCCACCTCGGCCTCCCAAAGTGCTGGGATTAGAGGCGTGAGGTACCACGCCCAGTGGAGGCAATTATTCTAAGTGAAGTAACTCAGGAATGGAAAACTAAATACTGTATATTCTCACTTATAAGTGGGAGCTAATCTGTGGGGACACAAATGCATACAGTGTGGTATAATGGGCATTGGAGACTCAGAAGGGGGGACGGTGGGAGGGCAGCGAGGGATGAAAAACTACATATCGGGTACAATGTACACCATTCAGGTGATGGGTACACTAAAATCTCAGACTTCACCACTGAACAATTCGTGCATGTAACCAAAAGCCACCTGAACTCCAAAAGCTATTGAAATAAACTATATATATATATTTATATATATGAAGTGCCCATATTTTATCCTAGAATGTAAAGTTTTATTTATTTTAGGTTTAGATCTTTAATTCATCTGTAATTTGTTTGGGGATGAGGAGTCAAATAGAAATCCAGTTTCTTTTTTTTTTTTTGAGATGGAGTTTCGCTCTTTTGCTTAGGCTGGAGTGCAGTGTCGCGATCTCGGCTCACCACAACCTCCGCCTCCCAGGTTCAAGTGATTCTCCTGCCTCAGCCTCCTGAATAGCTGGGATTACAGGCATGTGCCACCACGCCTGGCTAATTTTTTGTATTTTAAGTAGAGATAGGGTTTCTCCGTGTTGGTCAGGCTGATCTCGAACTCCCAACCTCAGGTGATCCACCCGCCTCAGCCTCCCAAAGTGCTGGGATTACAGGCGTGAGCCACCATGCCCGGCGAAATCCAGCTTCCTTTTAAACCTAAATGGCAAGCCAGATGTTGTAATAACATGTATGGAATAATCAACTCTTCTTTCTCCACTAATTTGGAATGTAATTCCCAAATATTTTGGGGTCTACTTTTGGGTTCTCTATTTGATCTATGTTAATAAAAATAACCATAACAACATAAAATAAACTCCTTGTTCAGGAGGAACTCTGCTGGTTCAGAGTTGTTGTGTTGGCAGAGGGAAGGCAGGGTGTGCCAGGCAAGGTGTCAGAGCCCCAGTATCAGGATCAGCATGGGTTGGTAAAAAGAATTTACCTTTGGAGGCCGAGGCAGGTGATCACTTGAGATTAGGAGTTCGAGACCAGCCTGGCCAATATGGCAAAACCCCCGTCTCTACTAAAATTAGAAAAATTAGCTGGGCGTGGTGGTGCATGCCTATAATCCACCTACTGGGGAGGCTGAGATAGGAGAATTGCTTGAACCCAGGAGGAAGAGGCTGCAGTGAGCCGAGATCATGCCACTGCACTCTAGCCTGGGCGACAGTGAGACTGTGTCTCAAAAAAAAAAAAGAAAAAAAAAATTTACTGACAACATTATAGTTTTGAAAAAGGAAAGTTTTATTAGAAAGAAAGCAAGCTGCAGAAGAGTGCAGCAGGTGCCTCAGTGAGAGGACTGAGCATGCCATGGTAGATTTTTCCTTAGGAGCATTTATGGAACTTAAGGCGGGAGCTTAAGGGTAATTTGGACTACATTAGCTATGCAGGTCATGATAAATAATTACATTTGTAGACATTTTGGTGCCTTAATGTCAGCAAGGGTGGCGCAGTAAGTTTCAGCATGACATTCTGGAGATGTCTAGAATAGATTCTAGTTACTTATAAATTTTCTTGGGAAAAGAAATCTGGAACCAGATGCTTGCTTTAGATACTAGGGAAGTCTAATTACTTTTAATTTCCCCAGATAGAGTGTTTGACAGGCCTCAGATGGCCTGTTTGATAGTCACCAGGTGGTCTTTGCTCCCTTCTAAATGCCTCAGTTAAGCAGTTTTTGTCTCTGGGGCCTGTTCAGTGGTCACCAGGTGACTTTGCTCTCCTCAGGGGTGAAGTTAACTTTGCTCATATTTCCTTCTTTGCAGTCCCTAGCAGTGTTGAAAGAAAGGGAAGGATATGGACGGTAATTTTTAAAGCATCTATCTCAGTCTCTGCCTTTCTACAAAACTTCATGATTCTTTCAAACTAAATAACAAACAGAGACTCTCTAAAAGAAAATGATGTTTATTTGGGAATAGAGCACTGCATTGGGATTTTGTGTACCATAGTAAACTATGTGCATGTTCAGGGAGGTAAAGCAAGACAAAGGTGTTTAAAGGAAAAAATGAGAAAGATTACATAGTTGTTTTGAAATAATTATCCTTGCGTACAGAGTTCAATAACAGGGGTGATTGAGGCTGGATAGGCATTACTGGAAAGATGTCTCCCTCTGTTGCCCAGGCTGGAGTGCAGTGGTGTGATCTCGGCTCACTCCAACCTCCACCTTCTGGTTTCAAGCAATTCTCCTGCCTCTGCCTCCCGAGTAGCTGGGATTACAGGTGTGCACCACCATGCTCTGCTAATTTTTGTATTTTTAGTAGAGATGGGGTTTCATCATGTTGGCCAGGCTGGTCTCAAACTACTGGCCTCATGTGATCTGCCTGCCTCAGCCTCCCAAAGTGCTGGGTTACAGGGGTGAGCCACCATGCCAGGCCTGCATAAGTATTTTTTGCATAAGGTTGTGATGGCCTTTGTGCAAGGTTGTGGTTTTTGCAGTCTTTTGTGATGGCTTCTGTTATCAGGCACACACACATGAGGGCCCTCTTTTCATACCCTTTACCTGGCTCTATTTGTCAGGATTTGTTTTTGTTTTTGGTGGCGGTGGTTTTTAAAAAACAGAAGTGACTCCATTTTGATTCTGACAACTTTCACAGTTCTCAGAAGGAAGACATACAGCAACCAAATTCCTGGGGCAACCAGAAACTGGAAGAGGCAAGGAAGGATCCTCCCTTAGAGGCATTAAAGAGAACATGGCCCTGCCAACACCTTGCATATGTCTAGCCTCCAGAACCAGGAGAGAATACATTCTTCTTGTTTTAAGCCACCCAGCTTGTGGCCTTTTGTTACAGCAGCTCTAGGAAACTGATGGGCGCCCTCTAATGGGAGGTGAGCCTCTAGAGTCCGAGGGCATTTTCTGGGGCGGACCCCTGGTGAGTGAGGACTATGGAGATACTGGCAGGTATGTTAAGTTAATGCTTGCCACCTCCAAAGGGATACCTCATGGTTGCTGCCTTTGAAGACCTCAGTGCTCTTAAAGCAAACAGTGATTTAGTATTTGTGACTGAATGAGTTCTTTAGAACATTCTTTTTGGGCATTAAAAGCTCAAGAGTGTACCAGGTAAATTCTCTTTAAAATAACTTGGGAAAAGTTTGCTGAATTTATACCAAGGTTAGAGACTTTGGTTCAGAGAACGCTGGCTCCAGGAGCTTTAGAACCAGAAAGCATCAGTTAGAAGAGGGGCAGGTCCAGGTTTTGCGTGGCTTTGTATTAGTTTCCTAGGGCTATTGTAAAAGAGTACCAAACACTGAGTGGCTTAAAACAACCGATGTTTATTGTCTCACAGTTTTGGAGGCTAGCGGTCTGAAACCAACGTGTTGGCAGGGCCGTGCTCCCTCTGACAGCTCTAGGGGAGAAACCTCACTTGCTGCTTCTAGCTTCTGGTGTCTGCCAGCAATCCTTGGCATTCCTTGACTTGTAGATGTGTCACACAGCCATCTTTCCTCTGTGTGTCTTCATGTCATCCTCCCTGCCAGTCTTTACGTCCATATGTCCCCCCTCTTACGAGATACCAGCCATACTGAACTAGGGCCCAACCTAATGAACTCATTTGCACCTGATAACCTTTATACAGACCCTATTTCCAAAGGTGGTCATATTCTGAGGTACTAGGGGTTAGGACTTCAATGTATCTTTTTTTTTTTTTTTGAATTTTGAGACAGGGTCTTGCTCTGTCGCCCAGGCTGGGAGTGTGGTGGTGCAATCTCCGCTCATTGCAACCTCTGCCTCCTAGGTTCAAGCAATTCTCCTGCTTCAGCCTTCTGAGTAGCTGGCACTACAGGCATGTACCACCACACCCAGCTAATTTTTGTTATTATTATTATTTTTTTTTGTAGAGGCAGGATTTGGCCATGTTGCCCAGGCTGGTCTGAAACTCCTGAGCTCAAGTGATCTGCCCACCTCTGCCTCCCAAAGTGCTGGGATTACAGGCATGAGCCACTGCACCCAGCCAAGGACTTCAACATATTTTCAGTGGTGGACAATTCAACACATAACAGTTTTGAACTTAAACAACTTGGTGTGGGAGGGGGGAGGTAAGAGGGGAGCATATCCCTTTAAAAATATCCTTTTCAATGATATAAAATTACAAATAACTAATTTGGCCTTGGGAGGAGCTTATGCAAGTAAGAAGCCTCATAGTAAGTTTTCTGGTATCTTCTGTTGGCAGGTATCATTTGACAACAATGAAGTAATATCACATCCATATTTAATTCCTATGAATTTACCTGTACAAGTGTGGGCATACAAGAGAGAGAGGCTGCTTGTTGTTTTGCTCCCTGGACCTGTACCATGGAGTAAGATGTGAACTGAGACCTTTTGGAGAGGAGCATCAGGCTGTGAAAAGTGTGATTCTGTTGTTTAAAGATTGCTATTTTTTATATGACGGGGCCTACATGCTAAAGACTTCAAGTGGTGCTCCGATGAAAAAAACAATGGAGGGTAATTCTGAGTTTTTCTTTTGTCCAAAACCCTGAGTTTAGAACCTGACCTCTATGTGAGATGGGACTCTAGCGTTCTTCCTCAGCTCTAAACTTAACCCAATTTGATCTCCTTCTGAACTTCTCCCATCCACCAAAGCTGGTACAGTACAGGAAGGAGGCGGAGGTGGTGGGTCATCAGTATGAGAAGGGAGCTAGGCACATAGGCACCAGCTCAGTCCCTGCCTGGTAGAGATGAGGATCGATCAAAAAAGCAACACTGTTCAGTCTCAGAGGGGGTACATTTCTGTAATAGCCTTTAATAGTTGAGTAAGGCATAAACACCTGTTGGGGAAAAAGTTAGCAAAAAAACCTCCTGTCAACCCAGAAAATTCTCTTCATAAATGTAGGGGAAAAAAAGAGTTGTATTATTGAGTAGGCATTAAACCAGACTGAGATGTGCATCACAGGCCATCCATTCATGAGATTGCAGAGACAGAAAGAAACCTCACTCTTTTACATATCCAAGTACATACAATCCTTTACATACATGTTCTCAAGATAAACAATAACTTGTCCTTATAGAGGAGGACTTGGTAGTATCATTTGTTATATACTCATGGTTCATCCTAGGTTCACTTGGTTATTGGCAGTGGCCATCTGTGTTAGTTAACTGCTGTTATCTGAAAGAAAAACAAAACTCACTCCTAACACAAACAGGTAGTTACTGAGAACAAAGAGCCTTAGGCTAGGGTGACAGGAAGATAGGGGCACTATCTTACTTGATGTTTACATTTCAAAGAGATAGTGGAGGTGGGAGGATCTCTTGAGCTCAGGCGTTCAAGACCAGCCTGGCATAGTGAGATGCCATTTGTAAAATAAAATAAAATAAAAAAAAACAAGACATACTTCCCAGACCCTAAGAAAAACACTTCTTGTTGTAAGGGCTGTAGGGCAGGCAAGAGGCTCATTTTGCTTTTGAAAAGATTTATCTGCATATCAGCTGGGTGCTGTGGCTCACACCTGTAATCCCAGTGTTGAACAACTTTCTTCTTGGTTCAGCTAAGAGCTGGGTCCTTGCCACATGGCCATGAAATATTAGGCTCGCAGACACGTGGAAGGGTGAGAATAATGAAATTTACTGGGCAAAAAGAAAAAAAAGGGAAATGGGGACTCTCTGCAAAGCCAGAGTCCTGCAAGTGTGCTTCCCAGCTCACAGATTGAATCCCAGGTTCCACTCAGGAAGAGGAGGGGCCAGGCTCTTCCCCCCTGCAAATGGTGCAAACTTCCCGAGGCTCCACCCCAGTGTACACTTCTCCCAGTGCACAGGCCAGCTGGAGTTTCTCCAGGGACCCCTTTATACTTGGCTGTACATTGCGAGGGAGGAGCTACCTGTGCTCTGAGAATGGGCAGGTCCCCTTTCCCGGGCTGGGGTGAGGAATGGGGACCAGGGAACACCTGCCTGTCCAGGAAGAGTATCCGTACACCCTAGAAAGAAGCTGAGCAGCCTCTGGAGGTGACACTCCAGAATGAGTGGGAGGGAGCTGCCATTTAGCAGGTGTTTAGCGGTCTGTGCTCTAAAGAAGTCCATCTAACTGCCATTAGGATAAGCATGATGACCAATCTTAACTGCTTCCTGCTGTTAAGGGGGGCGATGTTTGGGGAAACAGCAGTTAGAGCTGCCTCAGAGGCCTATTTAAGGGTTCCTAGCAGAAGGGGCCGTCATCAGAGGCTCTGGTTGTGTGATTGTTTGGAGTTTGATGGCCTGAAGGCAAGAAGAGACAAATCGGGTTATTAGAAAACATGTATTAAAATGAAACAAGGGGAGGGGTAAGGGCAGCTCAAAAATCCCAAGGCCTTTTACCAGTTTGCATGGGGAGAGGGAGGCCACAAGCCCTACTGGTAGTAAACTTGACCCTTTTGCCAGCATGTTGGGCTTCTTCCAACATGGGTTCCCTTCTTCCAACAGGGCGTTCCCTTCCCCTGAGCCTAATCCTAAACCAACCAGTTTAAGGTTTGGGAAATTAACCTTTCCAGTTTGGAGGATGCATCTGAGGGGAGTGTCCTGTAGTACGAAGATGCAATTACCTATCTGTGAAGAGAGGACAGAGGAGGAGAGAGGAAAAAAGAAGGAGCTTTTTAAAGGAGTCTCAGGGGTTCAGGATGCATTTGAAAAAGGTACAGACTGAAGATGAATGGCTACCCATCTAAAAGAACGGGAGCAGGAGTCTCTTGTTCCCTTCTCTTCCTAGCAGATACCCCAGGTATGTGAGGGAGAGAGGGAAGAACATTCTCTTTCCCACTTCTGTCTTTGCATCCCTGCGTCCCGGTGACCTTGTCAGGTGCTGCCGTGGGTGCCAAAGTGGCTTGCACCCATGAAGCAAGGAGGGCCTAGAAAATAGGAATTATCTGATCTCACCACTGTTTCTATCCCACCTACTGTCAGTAGTCTGGAGTTCCCTAGACCTTATTTATGCCATGGATACTAGCATGATCTTTATCCATGAAACAGGAGGCTTGGCTTAATCGGCAGGAATCAGCCATGCTCACCTGTGCTGTGCCTTTAAACTTCTGTTATCGTCTGCCTCTGCATCCCTCAGATCCAGTTTTCTTTCCTAGGGCTTTAACGCAAAGCTTGGAATTGAGTTTGGGACAAAAATGTGTCTAGGGTGGGGACTGCATGAACTCCTTCTCATAAGCCAAATGCTAAGGTGAAACTGTGGAACTGAGTCCTCCTCCAACAAGGGAGAGAAAGGGATGTCTTGTGACACACCCAGATAACTGGTGGCTATAGTTATGCTTGCTTAGGATTTGGGCACATCGTGCTTGACTTTGGTTAGCTCCCTTGGTCTTACTTTCCCAAAAAGGAAACCTCTGAGTGATGGGCATCCTATTTATTCCCATCACCTGGCAGGATTTGAAGGATAATTGGTCAGAACTAGAATATTGGTCTGGATTTTTACATTACCCATCCCTCTTGTTCTTTCTGGGCTACAGCCAGAGATTGCTGGTTGGTTCACAGGAACAAGCAGGGTTAGTTTAAAATGTAGGCAAAAACTTACAGACAACTAATGAGTTTATAATTTAATGACAAATGTATGATAAGTTTTGAAGCATAATTTCTCTCTCTCCAGTCCTCATTTTTGTTAAAAAAAATTATGGTAGGACTGAGTTGTTTGCAAAATAGACTTTAGTCTTATACTTGGCCTGCATAAAGTGCAGCAAGAGTAATTATTCCTATACAGGCCTTTTGGATTGGCTTTGATAGAAATCTGTTTTACAAGGAATCTCAGAGAAGGCCTTTTAAAGCTGAGCCCAGCCTTGGGTTTGTATCCTTAAATACCTGTGAGTTGAGTGATCCTCTCCTTTTAAAGTCCTAAGATAAACTTGGAGCCCCTAGGCCTGTTAGAAAGTGACATTCTTTACTGACCACAGGTCAGGAACCCTGTACAGGGACTGCGTAGACAAGGATATGAGGCCATTTTTTTTTCCCCAAGGGGCTTTTATTGGCTCTGCAAGTTGAGACTGACTCCTGAAAGAGAAGCATACCCTTCAGTCAAAGCCTTGGTAGAATAACCAGTTTCTCCAACTGTGTCCTGTTGCAAAAGAAAAATGGATTCTTACTGCGCTGATGCAAACAACTATATTGCCATAAGTTAAGAATACTCACAGATAGTTTCCAAATTCTGGAGAAGCCAGGCAGAGAGACAAATATGCTCCAATGTTGCGGGAAGTCAGGGACCCCGAACAGAGGGACTGGCTGGAGCCGCAGTACAGGAACATAAATTGTGAAGATTTCATTTTAATATGGACATATATCGGTTCCCAAAATTAATACTTTTATAATTTCTTATGCCTGTCTTTACTTCAATCTCTGAACATAAACTGTGAAGATTTCATTTTAATATGGACATTTATCACTTCCCTAATAAAACTCTTATAATTTCTTATGCCTGTCTTACTTTAGTCTCTTATTCCTATTATCTTCATAAGCTGAGAATGTACGTCACTTCAAGACCACTATTGTGTCAAACTGTACAAATTGATTGTAAAATGTGTGTTTGAACAATATGAAATCAGTACACCTTGAAAAAGAACAGAATAACAGTGATTTTCAGGGAACAAGGGAAGACACCATAAGGTCTGACTGCCTGCTGGGTAGGGCAGAATAGAGCCATATTTTTCTTCTTGCAGAGAGCCTATAAACGGACAAGCAAGTAGGGAAGATATCGCTGAATTCTTTTCCTAGCAAGGAATATTAATAATTAAGAACCTGGGAAAGGAATACATTCCTGGTGGGAGAAGTCTATAAACAGCTGCTCTGGGAGTGTCTGTCTTATGCAGTTGAGATAAGGACTAAAATATGCCCTGGTCTCCTGCAGTACCCTCAGGCTTACTAGGATTGGGAAACCCTGCCCTGGTAAATTTGAGGTCAGACTGGTTCTCTGCTCTTGAATCCTGTTTTCTGTTGTTTAAGATATTTATCAAGACAATATGTGCACAGCTGAACATAGAACCTTATCAGGAGTTTTTGATTTTGCCCTTTGCCTTGTGGTCTTTGCTTTGCCCTTTGCCTCGTGATATTTATTGGCCTAGAAGCATATGATCTTTGTTCTCCTTTTTGCCCTTTGAAGCATGTGATCTTTGTGACCTACTCCCTGTTCATACACCCCCTCCCCTTTTGAAGTCCTTAATAAAAACCTGCTGGTTTTGCGGCTCAGGTGGGCATCATGGACCTACCGGTATGTGATGTCGCCCCTGGTGGCCCAGCTGTAAAATTCCTCTCTTTGTACTCTTTCTCTTTATTTCTCAGACTGGCCGACACTTAGGGAAAATAGAAAGCACCTTCATTGAAATACTGGGGGTGGGTTCCCCCGATACTCCAAATTTTGTTCACAGGAGTATACCTTACTCAATTATTAAAGGGTGTAAATAGTTCAAAGTAAGTTTCCTTGACTCTGAAAAATAAGGGTCAGCAATATTCTAAGCAAAAGTCAAAAAGATTGCTTCAGCTTTCTGAGTTCAGTCAATTTAGTTCTTGATTTGCTTGATATTCATGAACATTTCAGCTCTTTGTGAGTCTTGTACATTTTTCCTTTTGTTACAATCTCCAAAGTCATCAGAAATTGGTATTTGAGAGCACCTGTTAACGTTCTATAGCTCATTATAAATCATCTTTTGAAAAGGATTAAAACAAGACAACAATTGTCTGTGAATAACAAAATGTCCAGGGTAGTTACAGTTAGAAACACAATTGACAAAGAAGTTTGGTTATCTCAGACATTAGAATTTTAGAAATCCCATACAATTTTGGAACATATATTAGTATTATTCACAATAATATAACCTAAAGAAAACTGGGCCGGGTGCAGTGGCTCATGCCTGTAATCCCAGCACTTTGGGAGGCTGAGGAGGGTAGATCGCCTGAGGTCAGGAGTTCAAGACCAGCCTGGCCAAAATGGCAAAACTCTGTCTCTACTAAAATACAAAAAAATTAGCTGGGCATGGTGGTGGGTGCCTATAATCTCAGCTACTTGGGAGGCTGAGGCAGGAAAATCACTTGAACCTAGGAGGCGGAGGTTGCAGTAAGCTGAGATCGTGTCACTGCACTCCAGCCTGGTTACAGAGTGAGACTCTGTCTCAAAAAAAAAAAAAAAAAAAAAAGAAAAGAAAAAAAGAAAACTGAACATTATTTTGGCAATCCCACATACCTAAACATGTCAACTAATCCTGTTTACATTTCTCTTCTGGACACTCTAGGGTCCTTCTGGAGCCTCTGAAAAGCCAGGTGTCAGGAAAGACAATTTTGAAACTGAAGTTTGATTTTTGGGAAGCCTGTTAAATATGTTAGTGGTTTAAAACACTTGATGTTATGAAATAGAATTCCAGATTTCCATAAATTATTTATTTTGCCAAAATTACTCAGAAATTTTAAAGAAGCAAAAACTTTTTATAACCCTTTACAAATTTTGCTAAAGTGCAGATTAGTGCCTTAAGAAAACTTTGTTGTGCTTTTATTTCAATGCTCAATTTACTTTTGAATTTAGCCAATGTTCACACACAGCATTTCTTTTGCAAGATTAATTTTAACCTTCCAGAACTTGTTTAAACCTTTAGCTTTATCTTACCTAATTTAAAACAATTCCCTAACCCTAGGCAAAAATTTACATTTCCATGCCTTCCATTACCTTTTACTAAAAAACACATTTTACTGTTCTTACACACCTTGCATGTAAATCTATTTTCAGTAGTTTCAATTATACATTATAATGGTAACTCCTAGCAATTTTAACTTTAATGTAAAACCTGGTAAGTTGTTTTAATTGTGTGCCAGGTGCAGCGAAGTTTTGACTCCTTCTAGCATAATTAATGACATGGTTAGTTCCATATGTCCCCAGGCCTTATCAATTGTGAAGCCAGCAAGTCAGATAGTTCTCAAAACTCAAAAAGCAGTTTATAACATTAAAACATTTAGCAAGACTAGTACCTAACCTGCATAATTTAGTCCACCTATTTACATTTTGATGACATCTGTTTTTTACCAATAATCTTTAAGGCTGTTTTTATTTCTCAAAGATTAAAGTCACATGAACTGAAAGGTACCACATCTTTTACCTTCCCTTTAAAAAATATATGATCTAAGCACTTGTCTTCCTTTAGGCCAATTAGAGTTTTTTTTTTTTTTTTTTTTTTTTTTTGAGACAGAGTCTTGTTCTGTTGGCCAGGCTGGAGTGCAGTGGTACAATCTCAGCTCAATGCAACCTCTGCCTCCTGGGTTCAAGGGATTCTCCTGCCTCAGCCTCCCAAATAGCTGGGACTACAGGCACGTCACCACACCTGGCTAATTTTTGTATTTTTAGTAGAGACAGGGTTTCACCATGTTGGCCAAGCTGGTCTCAATCTCTTGACTCTCAAATGATCTGCCTGCCTTGGCCTCCCAAAGTGCTGGGATTACAGGCATGAGCCACCACACCTGGCCTTAGAGCTCCTTTTTTTTTTTTTTTTTTGAGATGGAGTTTTGCTCCTGCTGCCCACGCTGGAGTGCAATCTCCACCTCCCAGGTTTAAGTGATTCTCCTGCCTCAGCCTCCCAAGTAGCTGGGATTACAGGCATGTGCCACCATGCCTGGCTAATTCTGTATTTTTAGTAGAGATGGGGTTTCTCCAAGTTGGTCAGGCTGGTCTTGAACTCTCGACCTCAGGTGATCTGCCTGACTCAGCCTCCCAATGTGCTGGGATTACAGGTGTGAGCCACCGTGCCTGGCCTTTGAGCTCTTTTCATAGACATCATGTACACAACATATATATAGCTACACAGACAGGCAGAAGAAAACCAGTCCCCATAAGATCCTTTTTCACAACCAAACTTTAAGGAGAATATAAACAGGGATCCTTATCATTCCTAGCCTAGTGAAAAAGAAAAAAAACATCTGGTTTAAAAGTTAACTGTTGATGGGGTGAAGAAAAAAGGATGCCTGGGGGAATAAACCTTTTATTCTTAGGCAAATGGTTCCTCTACCAGGGAGAGAAGCTTATCAGATGGAGTTGAGCCTTGGCCAGGGAAGGGGAAGATGCTGTGGACATGTGGCATTCCCCAGCCCCAGCTGGGAGGGGAGAGGGAATGAGGAGCTGCGACTTGCCTATCCTTCCCAAAAAACGAAGGCAAAGGCCATGGAAAGGCCCCTGACCCCAGGGAGCGATGGGAGTGGGGGCATGGTTTCCCTACCCTCAGAAGTCCACGCATGAAAAGGCTTAGAAATGACAGTGAAAAGTTTTGAGTCCCCGTGTCACTCAACCGCTTCTCAAGCCCCACATTGGGTGCCAAAGCTGTTGTACGACTTTCTCCTTAGTTCAGCTAAGAGCTGGGTCCTGGTCACATGGCCATGAAATATTAGGCTCACAGATGCCTTGAAGGGTGAGAATGGAATTTATTGGGCAAAAAGAAAAAAAGGGAAACAGAGACTCTCCCCAAAGCCAGAGTGCTTCCTGCCTGGTAGACTGAATCCCAGGTTCCACCTAGGAAAAGGAGGGGCCAGGCTCCTCCCCACTGCAAATGGCGCAAATTTCCCAAGGCTCCACCACAGGGTGCATTCCTCCCAGTGCTCAGGTCAAAAGGAGATTCTGCCAAGGAATCCTTCCCACCTGGCTGTCTTACCAGCACTTTGGGAGGCTGAGGTGGGAGGGCTGCTTGCAGGAGTTCCAGACGAAAAAAGTATAAAAAAGTTAGTGGGGTGTGGGGGCCTGCACCTGTAGTCCCAGCTCCTTGGGGGCTGAGGTGAGAGGATTGCTTGAGCTTGGGAGGTTGAGGCTCCAGTAAGGCTGCCCTGATCATGCCCACTGCACTCTAGCCTGGGTGAGAAAGTGAGACCCTGTCTGCAAAAACAAAAGATTTATCTACATATCAAAGTGAAGAGGAAGGATTAATAAATATAGGTTTTTCTCAAGGAAAAGTCCTAGGAAAAGGGAAGACAGATAAGATCTCTCTCTTTTGCCAAAAGAGAACGTTCAATCTTATTTTTTACATGTACACACTCTTCCTTATGGGCAAAATGGATGTTTGATGAAAGACTCACCAATGAAGAGAATCTACATCTGATAAAGAGGAGATCAAGACATATCTGGGAGGGTGTCAGGGGTTCCAGGAAGCGGGGGAGGAATCATGTTGGTCTGTCTGTGAGCATCTATTTTTCTTCTCACAGAGTAGTAGAAACTTGGGACTAGGAGCAATATAGGCAGAAACACACATCAGGCAAGGCATTCCTGACAGGCAGAGAGAAACTGCCTGCTCATCGGGATGCCACTCTCCTACTCTACTCTCTATTGTGGACAAAAGGTAGCCACAGGGTCCTCCCAATTCTGTGGCAATGAGTATGGAGAGGGCATAACTGGATAGCAGAATAAAAATCCAGTGCACATTGCTGCCTTACAGCCAATAACAGTTGCTCGCCAGTGGTATGAAGCTTCTGTGTGCCTAGGACTGAGCTACTGGGTATAGCGTGTGTGGGAAGGGGAGTCACCAAGGGGAGTCATCCCCAGAAGGGGAAGGTAAGATACTCTTCCAGGATCAGGCTCACCTTTCCCATCCTTGGAGGGGGTCTGGGGATGGAAGGTTTTTACCACTTTGGGCATGGTACACACTCTATCAGCAGAAAAGGGAATTCATCGGAGATTATTTGGGTAGACTGATGGCCTTAAAGGAAACTGGGTATTATCTTGTTCTGTCAGGGGAGGAGTTTACACCTTCACTAACAGTTCTGAGCAGATGCAACAGCAGGACAGACCAGAAGTGTGACCTAACTCAGGCTGCCTCAGAGAGATTGCTGTTGGACTGCCTCTATTGATGGGACTCTTACTGAGGGGGTCCAGGCATTCAGGGGGTTGAGCGTCCCAGAAAGTTCCCCACCGACGCTTTAAAAATGTATTCCCTGCAGCCTTACGTTCTTGCAGTTCCAATATAGCATTGGTGTTTAAAGCCAAACTACATTATAATTGATTCGCCATCATCCAGCTTTATATTTAACACTTTAATCTGGTAACAAAGGAAAGGCTCGTTAAAGGACGGCATTTATAAAAATTTTTCAAGCACCTCTGCTTAACTCGAAGGGAAAATAAAAGGCACTGTTTATTTGGTAGGCCAAGGAGAACAACGCCACGAAGAGGTTCTCCACTGATCAATTCCTACCTTTGTCAATTATACCACATTAATTAGTAACTTTTTTTGGAGACATGGACCCTCTCAAACTCCCCAGTATGCTTTGAAACTTTGATCCAGAAATGTACAAACAAAACTCTAAGTGTTCTGGAATTAATTTCAGAAGCTTCATAGATCCTCGTAAGTACTCACCAAAAGAAAAATTCCCCATTTCTGGTACTCCAATCTCATGTCCTTAGAATTCTCCTAAGACTTGTTCCCTTGAACAACTTTCCCTAATTGCAAATCAAACCTAGATCCGGCTGGGACGCCAAGCTTGAGCTGTGGTAACGCTCAGAAGGCCTCTTTTCATCAGTAAAATAGATGCCTTAACGGAAGTGGCGGGCAATCTACGCATGGAAAGGCGCTTGGCTTCCCTCTTTTTTGGGTTTCTCTAGGTTGTCTGGATGGGAAAAAAATACACGCTTCGTCCTGCGGAGTTCGGTACGAGGGCAATTGCACATGCGCAAAGGCGAACCAGTAGCGTCCGGGCGCGTCCGTGGAGCGGGACGGGGCGGGGCGGGGCGGTGCCGAGTGGGGCGAGAGAAGGCCCGCTCCTCCCATTCGTCGCGTCCTTAACTCTTTGCTATCCTTCCGCTGAGCTTCCTCTTCTTTCCCTCTGACCTCGGAAAGGGGGCGGGGCTTTCGGGGGCGGAAGTTGCGGTGCATTGTGGGTTCTCCTGGAGCTGTGGAGTTGATCCTGAATGAAAGTGGCGCGCCGCCCCTGACGTTACCCGGATCGGAGAGGTTGGAATTCAGATTACGGCTGCGATTCGGGTGTCTCGGACCCCGGTGTGCACCGGACCACGGGGAGGCGGCTCCAAAGGCGCGGTGAACGTTGGTGAGGGAGGGCAGCTCTGCGCAGCCCCAAGACATGGCTCACAACAAGATCCCGCCGCGGTGGCTGAACTGTCCCCGGCGCGGCCAGCCGGTGGCAGGTAACCTGGACTGGGGGGCGTTCGAATCCCCACACTCCAACGTGCCCGGGGGTGGGCCGACTGAGGAGCTCAGCTTTTGGTGGTTCTGTGCCCATTAGTGGTATTTCAGGAGCGGGATATGCTCCGTCGGATTACGCTTCGTGGATGAATGGGAACATGAACGGGAGGGGATGGTCGGCGGATGGGGGGCACTTGTTACTATTCCTGCAAGGCTAACTGTGCGAATGTGAAGGTAGACAGGAGGTTGGTGGCAGGAGGTGAGGATCCAGGAATACAGTGGGCGTACTTTGAGTCTTAGTAGTTTGCGAACCTGTTAGGGTTCAACCTTCCCCTCGAAAGAAGGGATGAATATCAGTATTGAGATGGAGGAGGGTTAAGGAGGGAAGGGGCGGTTCCCAGCGGTGAAATGGGGTCACATTGAGACTGGGAATCTGGAGGGTGTTTTTGTTAGTTTTTTATTTTTATTTTCTTGTGAGACAGGGTCTCTTGCTCGGGCTGGGGATCCTCCCACCTCAGCCTCCCAAGTAGCTGGGACTACATGCTCCTGCCACCGCACCCGGCTAATTTTTTTATTTATTAAAGTATATATATATTTATAATGTATATATTTGAGACATAGTCTCTCTCTGTCGTCCAGGCTGGAGTGCAGTGGCGTGATCTCGGCTCACTGCCTCAGCCTCCCAAGTAGCTGGGATTACAGGCGCGTGCCACCACACCCGGCTAATTTTTGTTTTTAGTAGAGACAGGGTTTCATCGTGTTGACCAGGCTGGTCTCCAACGCCTGGCCTCAAGTGATCCGCCCGCCTCGGCCTCCCAAAGTGCTGGGATTACAGCCGTGAGCCACTGTGCCTGGCCATAATTTTTTTGTTTATTTTTTGTGGAGACAGGGTTTCACTGTGTTGCCCAGGCTGGTCTTGAACTCGTGGACTCAAGCGATGCTCCCACTTCGGCCTCCCAAAGTGTTGGGATTATAGGCGAGAGCCACCCCGCTTGGCCGGGTTTTTGTTTTTTTTAATTATTTTTCTTGTAGTTTTTTTCATCTTTATTGAGCTTGAATACAATAAGCTTTAAAGCGTACAGTTTGATAAATTTTGACTGTATATACACAAATATATCTCTTTCCTAGGAAACAACCATGAAACCCCTCAAAGTTTCCTCTTGCCCCTTTTTAAATCCCTCCTTCGCCTGGCAGCCACTGATCTGCTTTCTGTAATTATAGATTGGTTTGCATTTTCTAGAAATTTTTAAATAAATGGAAACATATAGTGAGTACTCTTCTTGGGGTGGAAGGAAGTGTGTGTGGCTTTTTTCACTCAGCATAATTAATTTGATACTCATCCAGATTATGCATGTATCAATAGTTTATTCCTTTTTTATTGCAGAGTAGTAGTTTATTGTTCTGGGTATACCACAATTTGTTTACCTGTTCATCTATTGATGGTCATTTGGGTTATTTCCAGTTTTTAGCTATTACAAATAAACCTGCTGTGAACATTCATGTACAATTCTTTGTGTGGACATATACTTTCATTTCTCTTGTGTAAGTCTCTAGGAGAGGAATGGCTGCATCATATGGTAGGTGTATGTTTTAAGAATTTTAAGAAACTGCCAACCTCTTTTCCAAAGTGGTAACACTTGATAGTCCCACCATCAATGTATTATACAGAAGAAATTCAAAGGACTTAAAAACTAGCAAAAAATTTGGACACTTCACAAAATAAGTTATATGAATAGCCAAAAAGCTATGATGGCGTGGTGGTATGTGCCTGTAATCCCAGCTACTCGGGAGGCCGAGGCAGGGGAATCACTTGAACCCAGGAGACGGAGGTTGCAGTGAGCTGAGATTGCACCACTGCACTCCAGCATGGGTGACAGAGTGAGACTCCATCTCAAAAAAAAAAAAAAGTAATTTGTACTTATCGTGTAATTTATTAGTAAGGGTTCTCTAGAGGGACAGAACTAATAGGAAATATATGTACATATATATATATACACACACACACATACATACACACACACACATACAGACGTAAAGGGGAGTTTATTAACTGTTAACTCACACGATCACAAGGTCCCACAATAGGTTGTCAGCAAACTGAGGAGCAAGGAGAGTCAGTCTGAGTCCCAAAATGGAAGAACTTGGAATCCAGTGTTTGAGGGCAGGAAGCGTCCACCACAGGACAAAGATGTAGGCTGGGAGGCTAAGCCGGTCAAGTCTTTTCACATTTTTCTGCCTGCTTTATATTCTAGCCATGCTGGCAGCTGATTAGATGGTGCCCACCCAGATTAAGGGTGGGTTTGCTTTTCCCAGCCCACTGATTCAAATGTTAATCTCCTTTGCAACACCCTCTACACCCAGGATCAATATTTTGCATCCTTCAATCCAATCGAGTTGACACTCAGTATTAACCATCACAGTAATTTCTTTGATATTTTGCATATTGAGGAAAATGTTATGGCTGCTCAAACTTATATGTTGTAAATGTTAGGATTCACTTTACTAGTACTAGAAGTTCATAATTTTCCTGAATCAGAAAGAAAATGGTACTAACTACATATAATTTGTTTCTCTGTGAAGTCACTTTCTCTGATGAAACCAGACTTGCAATGAGAGAGAGCTCTTGGAGACAGGGCCAAGCTTTATTTTCTGAAGAACTGTTTTTTCCTCCTTCTGAGTTAATAGATTTCAGGTGAATACTTGGAAGAAAACAAACTTATAATTTCTTTTCCTTTTTCCTTTTTTTCTTTTCTTTTCTTTTCTTTTTTGTATTTTTAGTAGAGATGGGGTTTCACCATGTTGGCCAGGCTGGTCTCCAACTGCTGACCTCGGGTGATCCGCCTGCCTTGGCCTCCCAAAGTGTTGGCATTACAGGTGTGAGCTACCGCACCCAGCCCTCCCTAGTTTCTTAAAGATATATCATTCAACATAAAATTATTTCATATCTGCTATGTAAAGAGCTTACTAGGAACTGTGGGAATGTAAATATGAGACACAGCCAGGTGCATTGGCACATACTTGTGGTCCCAGGTACTCAGGATAGTGTGATGGTGATAGTGATGGTGATTTTGAAGTCATTTTATTTAGCAAATATTTAAATGTCTACTTTGTGCTAGTCCTGGGTGCTAGGGAGATGGCTAAGATATATTACCCTTAAAAAGCAGAGTCTCATGGGAGTAGCAAACCATCCATTTTAAGCACAGTTCTGTTGTAAAAAATGTAGCAATGACTCTATTGTGGTATATGATGGGAATCAGAGGTAATAAACCTAATTCTTTGAGGTTGAGGAAGAAGAGATGGGAAGGAAGAAGGAGATCAGGTGAGACTTCCCAGAGAAGGTCATACATGAATTATCTTCAGTAAATAGAAGTTTTCTAGATAAATAGTTGGCAGGGGGTGTTATTGAAAGTTTCTGTTAGGATAGGATGATGATGGGAGAGATAATAGACTGAAAAAGTGTCTTTGTTCTGGAAGATGTAAGTGAGGTTAAGAGGTTGGAGAATAGCCTGATCATACAGGCAAGTAGGGTGTGATAAGGTATCCTAATATTTATATGCTTTAAATTTTCAGTGGCATACAATTGCAGTTTTTTTTTTCAGCATCGAGATGAGATTATTTGAATCCAAGTTAAAAGCTTACTTTGACTTTTCTGTGTTTAATGAATTGATGGAGAAAAGAGTGGAAATGGAGAGACTAATTAGGAACTTGTTGTAGTCCAGGTGAAAGACAATAGTGATAGTTTAAAAGTGACAGATGAAGAGTAGAAGGCTAATTTGAGAGATATTAAGAAGGGAAAATGGACAGAACTTGATGTCGTATTTAGAATGAGGGAAAGAGGGTCAAAATTTAGTCTCAAATGTCTGGCTTATGCACATGAGATAGTTGATATTATTAGGGCTTACTGAGAGAGAAGCAGGTTGGAGGAGATATTAAGATCCTGATTGCTCAAATAGAGATCTTTAGTAAAGATCTTTTTAAAAAACATTTTTATGTTATTTCAGTAGTTTTTGGGGGACAGGTGGTTTTTGGTTACATGGATAAGTACTTCAGTGATGATTTCTGAGATTTTGGTGCACCTGTCACTCAAGGAGTGTACACTGTAGTAGTCTTTTATCCCTCATCCCCCCTCTCCACACTTCCCCCTGAGTACCCAAAGTCCATTATATCATTGTTATGTCTTTGCATTCTCATAGCTTAGCTCCCACTTACAAGTGAGAACACAGGATATTTGGGTTTCCATTCCTGAGTTACTTCACTTAGAATGATGGGGTCCAACTCCATCTAGGTTGCCATGAATGCCATTATTTCATTCCTTTTTATGGCTGAGTAGTATTCCATGGTATATATACATATCACATTTTCTTTATCCACTCATTGGTTCTTGGGCATTTAAGCTGGTTCCACATTTTTGCAATTGCAAATTGTGCTGCTGTAAACATGCCTGTGCAAGTGGCTTTTTCAGATAATGACTTATTTTCTTCTGGGTAGATACCCAGTAGTGGGATTGCTGGATCAAATGGTAGTTCTTCTAGTTCTTCAAGGAATCACCATACTGTTTTCCCTAGTGGTTGTAATAATTTACATTCCCACCAGCAGTGTAAAAGTGTTACCTTTTCCCCACATTCATGCCAACATCTAATATTTTTTGATATTTTAATTATGGCCATTCTTGCAGGAGTAAGGTGGTATCTCATTGTAGTTTTAATTTGCATTTCCTTGATAGTGATGTTGAACATTTTTCATATGCTTCTTGGCCAACTGTATATCTTCTTTTGTCTGTTCATGTCCTTTGTCCACTTTTTGATGGGATTATTTGTTTTTTTCTTGCTCATTTGTTTCAGTTCCTTGTAGATTCTGGATATTAGTTCTTTGTCAGATGCATAGTTTGCGAAGATTTTCTCCCACTCTGTGGGTTGTCTGTTTACTCTGCTGATTATTTCTTTTGCTGTGCAGAAGCTTTTTAGTTTAATTAGGTTCCATCTATTTATTTTTGTTTTTGTTGCATTTGCTTTTGGGTTCTTGGTCACGAACTCTGCCTAAGTCAATGTCTAGAAGAGTTTTTTCCAATGTTATCTTCTAGAATTTTTATGGTTTCAGATCTTACTTAAGTTTGAGTTGATCCATCTCCAGTTGACTTTGTATAAGGTGAGAGATGAGTTTCATTCTTCTACGCGTAGCTTGTTAGTTATCCCAGGACCATTTGTTGAATAGGGTGTCCTTTCCCCACTTTATGCTTTTGTTTGCTTTGTCAAAGATCAGTTGGCTGTAAGTGTTTGGCTTTCTTTCTGGGTTCTCTATTCTGTTCCATGGGTCTGTGTGCCTATTTTTATACCAGTACTATGCTGTTTTGGTTACTATAGTCTTGTAGTATAATTTGAAGTTGGGTAATGTGATGCCTTTACATTTGTTCTTTTTTGTTTGCTTACCTTGGCTATTTGGGCTCTTTTTTGGTTCAATGAATTTTAGGATTGCTTTTTCTGGTTCTGTGAAGAATGATGATGGTACTTTGATGGGAATTGCATTGAATCTAAAGATTGCTTTTGGCAGTATGATCATTTTCATAGTATTGATTATACCCATCTATGAGCATGGGATGTGTTTCCATTTGTTTGTGTCATCTGTGATTTATTTCAGTAGTGTTTTGTAGTTTTCCTTTTAGAGATCTTTCACCTCCTTGGTTAGGTATATTCCTAAGTATTCTATTGTTATTATTTTTTTTATGCAGCTGTTGTAAAAGGGATTGAGTTCTTGATTTGATTCTCAGCTTGGCCATTGTTGGTGCATAGCAGTGCTACTGATTTGTGTACGTTGATTTTGTATCCTGAAACTTTAAAGAATTCATTTGTCAGATTTGGGAGCTTTTTGGATGAGTCTTTAGGGTTTCCTATGTATACAATCATATCATCAGTGAACAGTGACAGTGTGACTTCCTCTTTACCAATTTGGATGCCCTTTATTTCTTTCTCTTGCCTGATTGCTCTGGTGAGGACTTCCAGTACTATGTTAAATAGAAGTGGTGAAAGTAGCATCCTTGTCTTGTTCCAGTTCCCAGGGGGAATGCTTTCAACCTTTCCCCATTCAGTATAGTGTTGGTCATGTGTTTGTCATAGATGCCTTTTATTATGTTGAGGTATGGCTCTATTACCTTGAGGTACGTCCCTTCTGTGCCAGTTTTGCTGAAGGTTTTAATCATGAAGGGATACTGGATTTTGTCAAATACTTTTTCTGTATCTATTGAGATGATCATGTGATTTTTGTTTTTAATTCTGTTTATGTGACGTATCACATTTATTTTTATTTTATTTAGTTATTTTTGAGACAGAGTCTTGCTCTGTCACCCAGTCTGGAGTGCGGTGGCACCATCTCAGCTCATTGCAACCTCTGCCTCCCGGGTTCAAGTGATTCTCCTGCCTCAGCCTCCTGAGTAGCTGGGACTACCTGCCACCACGTCTGGCTAATTTTTGTATTTTTAATAGAAGCGGGGTTTCACCACGTTGGCCAGGCTGGTCTTGAACTCCTGACCTCAAATGATTCACCCACCTCGGCCTCCTGAAGTGCTGGGATTACAGGCAAGAGCCACCACGCCTGGCCAACATTTATTGACTTGTGTATGGTAAACCATCTCTGCATCTCTGGTATGAAACTCACTTGATCATGGTGTATTACCTTTTTGATATGCTTTTGGATTTGGTTAGCTGGCATTTTGTTGAGGATTTTTGCATCTATGTTCATCAGGGATATTGGTCTCTAGTTTTCTTTATTGTTATATTGTTTCCTGGTTTTGGTATTAGAGTGATACTGGCTTCATAGAATGATTTAGGGAGGATTCCCTTTCTCTGTCTTTTGGAATAGTTTCAGTAAGATTGGTAGCAATTCTTCTTTGACTGGTAGAATTCAGCTGTGAATCCATCTGGTCCTGCACTTAAAATTTTTAAATTTTAATTTAATTAATTTATTTTTGTTTTCTTGGACTTTTTTCTTGGCAGTTTTTTTATGACTGTTTCAGTCTTGCTACTTGTTATTAGTCTGTTCAGAGTTTCTCTTTCTTCCTGATTTAATCTAGGAGGGTTGTATATTTCCAGGAATTTATCCATCTCCTCTAGATTTTCTAGTTTGTGCATATAAAGTATTCATAGTACTATTGAATGATCTTTTATATTTTTGTTGTATCGGTTGTAATATCTCCTGTTTTGTTTCTAGTTGAACTTACTTGAATCTTCTTCTTTTCTTGGTTAATCTTGCTAATGGTCTATCAATTGTGTTTATATTTTCAAAGAACCAGCTTTTTTTTTTTTTTTTTTTTTTTTGAGACAGAGTCTCGCTCTGTCACCCAGGCTGGAGTGCAGTGATGCCATCTTGGCTCACTGCAACCTCTGCCTCCTAGGTTCAAGTGATTCTCCTGCCTCAGCCTCCCAAGTAGCTGGGACTACAGGTGGCCCGCCACCACACCCGGCTAATTTTTTTGTATTTTTAGTAGAGATGGGATTTCACCATGTTGGTCAGGCTCAAACTCCTGACCTCAAATGATCTGCCTCCCTTGGCCTTCCAAAGTGCTGGGATTACAGACGTGAGCCACTGCACCACATCCAGAACCAGTGTTTTGTTAATCTTTTGTGGATGTTTGGTATTTTTTGTTTGTTTGTTACAGTTTAGTTCTGCTCTGATGTTTGTTACTTCTTTTCTTCTGCTGGGTTTGGGTTCAGTTTATTCTTGTTTCTCTAGTTCCTTGAAGTGTGACCTTAGATTTTCTGTTTGTGCTCCTTCAGATGTTTTGGTGTGGGTTTTTTTTTTTTTTTTTTGAGATGAGTCTCACTCTGTCACCTGGGCTGGAGTGCAGTGGTACGATCTTGGCTCACTGCAACCTCCGCCTCTTCTGTTCAAGCGATTCTGCTGCCTCAGCCTCCTGAGCAGCTAGGATTACAGGCGCCCGCCACCATGCCTGGCTAATTTTTTGTATTTTTAGTAGAGACAGGATTTCACCATGTTGGCCAGGCTGGTCTCGAACTCCTGACCTTGTGATTTGCCCGCCTTGGCCTCCCAAAGTGCTAGGATTGCAGGCATGAGCCACCACGCCTGGTGATGTAGGTATTTAATGCTATGAACTTTCCTCTTAGCACTGCTTTTGCTGTGTCTCAGAGGTTTTGATAGGTTGTGTCACTGTTATCATTCAGTTCAAAAAATTTTTAAATTTCCATCTTTATTTCATTGTTGACCCAAAGATTATTCAAGAGCAGAAATTTTAATTTCCATGTATTTGTATAGTTTTAATTTTTATTTATTTATTTTTTCTGAGATGGAGTCTTGCTCTGTCACCCAGGCTGGAATGCAATGGTACGATCTCAGCTCATTGCAACCTCTGCCTCCCAGGTTCAAACAATTCTCCTGCCTCAGCCTCCCTAGTAGCTGGGATTACAAGCCCGTGCCACCATGTATTTTTAGTACATGGCTGGCTAATTTTTGTATTTTTAGTAGAGGCATGGTTTTATCATGTTGGCCAGGCTGGTCTTGAACTCCTGACCTCAGGTGATCCACCCACCTCAGCTTCCTAAAGTGTTGGGATTACAGGCATGAGCCACCACGCCTGGTCGTGTATTTGTATAGCTTTGAGGGTTCCTTTTGGAGCTAATTTTCAGTTTTATTCCACTGTGGTATGAGAGGATACTAGATAGAATTTCAATTATCTTAAATTTATTGAGACTAAATATCTGTTAAGTCCATTTGTTCTAGGGTATATTTAACTCTATTCTTTTTTTGTTGACTTTCTCTCTTGATGACCTGTCTAGTGCTGTCAGTGGAGTATTGAAGTCCCCCACTATTGTTGTGTTGCTGTGTATTTCATTTCTTAGGTCTCTAGTAGTAATTGCTTTACAAATTTTGGAGCTCCAGGGTTAGGTGCATATATAGGATTGTGATATTTTCCTGTTGGACGAATCCTTTTTTTCATTATATAATGTCCTTCTCTGTCTTTTTGAACTGTTATTCCTTTAAAGTTTGTTTTGTCTGACATAAGAATAGCTATTCCTGCCCGCTTTTGATTTCCAGTTGTGTAGAATATCTTTTTCTACCCCTTTACCTTAAGTTTATGTGAGTCCTTATGCATTAGGTGAGTCTCTTGAAGGCAGCAGATACTTGGTTTGTGGGTTGTTATCCATTCTGCCATTCTGTGTCTTTTAAAAGGAGCATTTGGGCCATTTCTATTCAATGTTAATACAGTATTGAGATAAGGTACTGTTCTATTCATAATGCTAGTTGTTGCCTAAATACCTT
The DNA here is from genome assembly GCF_000001405.40 of Homo sapiens. Classification (NCBI taxonomy): domain Eukaryota; kingdom Metazoa; phylum Chordata; class Mammalia; order Primates; family Hominidae; genus Homo; species Homo sapiens. The sequence continues at coordinate 88,954,080 of NC_000006.12, read as the reverse complement.
TTTTTAAAAAAATTCTGTTATCGTTTTATAGGCCCTGTGAAATTTATGCTTTAAGGATGTTCTATTTTGGTGTATTTTGAGGTTTTATTTCAAGGTTTAGAACTCCTTTTAGCATTTCTTGTAGTGTGTCTTTCATTTCTTGTAGTGGCCAATTCTCTCAGCATTTGTTTATCTGAGAAAGACTATCTCTCCTTCATTTATGAAGCCTAGTTTTGCTGAATACAAAATTCTTGGCTGACAGTTATTTTGTTTCAGGAAACTAAAGATGGGACCCCAATCCCTTCTGGCTTGTAAGGTTTCTGCTGAGAAATCAGCTGTTAATCTGTTAGGTTTTCCCTTATAGGTTATCTGAGGCTATTGTGTCACAGCTCTTAAGTTTCTGTCCTTCATCTTGACTTTAGATAACCTGATAACTATGTGCCTAGGTAATGATCTTTTTGTGATGAATTTCCTAGGTGTTCTTTGAACTTCTTGTATTTGGATGTCTAGATCTCTAGCAAGGCCAGGGAACTTTTCCTCAATTATTTCCTCAAATAAGTTTTTCAAACTTTTATGTTTCTCTTCTTCCTCAGGAACACCAGTTATTCTTAGGGTTGGCTGTTTAACATAATCCCACATTTCTTGGAGGCTTTGTTCATTTTTAAAATTTTTTTTCTTTGTTTTTGTCTGATTGGGTTAATTTGAAAGCTTTGTCTTCGAGCTCTGAAGTACTTTCTTCTACTTGTTCTAGTCTATTATTAAAATTTTCCAGTGCATTTTGTATTTCTCTAAGTGTGTCTTTCATTTCCAGAATTTGTGATTGTTTTTTCTTTATGATCTCTATTTCTCTCTGGAGAATTTTTCATCCATATCTTGTATTTTTTAAAATTTCTTTAAGTTGATTTTCACCTTGTTCTGGTATCTCCTTGAATAGCTGAATAATCAACCTTCTGAATTCTTTATCTGGCAATTCAGAAATTTCTTCCTGGTTTGGATCCATTGCTGGGGAGCTAGTATGATTTTTGGGGCGTTTTATAGAACCCTGTTTTATCATATTACCAGAATCACTTTTCTGGTTCCTTCTCGTTTGAGTAGACTGTTTCAGTGGAAAGGTCTGAAACTCAAGGCGTCTGTTCAGATTCTTTTGTCCCACAGGCTGATCCCTTGATGTTGTGCTCTCTCCCTTCCTCTAGGGATGGGGCTTGGGGCTTCCTGAGAGCTGGATTGGTGTGATTGTTATTGCTCTTCTGGTTCTAGTCACACTGTGGAGTTACCAGGCCCTAAGGCTGGTGCTGAAGAATGTCTGCAGAGTCCTGTGATGTAATCCATCTTCAGGTGTCCCAGCCATTGATACCAGCACCTGCTCTGGTAGGGGTGGCAGGGCAGTAAGTAGACTCTGTGAGAGTCCTTGGTTGTAGATATATTTAATGTGTCGGCTTTCTCAAATGCTGGTTATGCTAGTAGTGAAGTTGTCATGTGAACAGACTCAGGACCTCTGGTTAGCCAGGATGTTGCAGGCAGTGGTATATTAGCTGTTATTTTATCTTTCCTGGGAGCAGGATTATTTTGTCATGAGTTGCTGTAATGGCCTGAGTTAGTTGGCTTTCAGCCAGGAGGTGGTGCTTTCAAGAGAGCACTAGCTGTGGTGCTAGTTGGGGGATCTAAGTTTGTCTTAAGTTGGCCAGGGTTAGTATTCTGGTTTCTCAGGCAATAGGTGGGGCATAAAGCTCCCAAGAATTTCTGTCTTTTGTGTTCAGCAACCAGGGCAGGTAGAGAAATACCATCAGGTAGGGGAAGGATTAGGTGGATATGGGCTCAGACTCTCCTTGGGTGGGGCTTGCTGTAGCCACTGTAGGGGATGGGGGGTGGTTCTTGGGCCAACAGGTTATGTTCCAGAGAGGATTATGGCTGCCTCTGCTGTGTCATATAGTTTGCCAGGGAAGTGGGGGATAGCTGGTAATGAAAGGCTTCACCCAGCTCCCATGCAGTTGGTGAGGCTGGTCTTACTTCTGTGGTGCACCCCCTCACTCCTCAGACCTTGCCCCTGAATGTAAGTTTCCCCACTGAGAAAGCGAGCATGGCTTTCAGGCCCTACCCCTCCCTGTCTGCCTCCCTGTCTGCCCACTGGGCAGCTTTTGTGCTCATATCTGCAGCAGTTCCCGTTCATTCCCTGGATTCTGCTTAAGAAAATTCATGCCTGGTCAAAATTATTATGAGTTTCATTTGGAAGCTTTTTTCCCCCCATGACCCTCCCTAATTCTGCTGTCTGCTTTCCCCGAGGGCCCCTGTGAGATGTAGTCAGGAATGGCTTCCCTGGGCTTGAGCTGGAGACTGGGAGTGCCTACAAGGCTCTTCCTGCTGCTGCTTCTACTTTTATATTTCACTCGGCTCTCTAAATCCATTTCAGCTGTAGGTAAGATTAAATCCTTCTCCTGTGATCTGGATTTTCAGATTCCCCAATGGGGAATGTGTGTTCAGAGGCAGGTTTTATCCCCCCTCTCACACTTTGGGAGCTCATGGTTTTTCGCCTGTCTCGTGGAATTTACAGCACTGTCTGGCTTCTTTCAACGGATCTGTTTGGCTGTGGCAAGTTCTTGAAATCAGAGAGCAATGAAGTTTGCTACATAGATTGACTCTTCATGAAAGATTTCTCTGTAGCATTTTAGCCATGGTAGAACTTTCTTTAGCCATGGTAGAACTTTCTTCAGGGGTGGAGTCAATTCTCCCCAACCCTGCTGCTGCTTTATCAATCAAGTTTATGTAATATTCTAAATCCTTTGTTGTCACTTCAGCAATATTCACATCTTAACTGGGGCTAGATTCCATATCAGGAAACCACTTTGCTCATTTGTAAGAAGCAACTCCTCATCTGTTAAAGTTTTATCATGAGATTGCAGCAATTTGGTCACGTCTTCAGGCTCCACTTTAAAAAATGTTTGTATTGGCCAGGTGCGGTGGCTCACACCTATAATCCTAGCACTCTGGGAGGCCGAGGCAGGCGGATCACCTGAGGTCAGGAGTTCAAAACCAGCCTAGCCAACATGGTGAAACTGCATCTCTACTAAAAGTATAAAAATTAGCTGGGCATGGTGGCAGGCACCTGTAAACCCAGCTACTCATGAGGCTGAGGCAGGAGAATCACTCGAACCCGGGAGATGGAGATTGCAGTGAGCCAAGGTCGCGCCACTGTATTTCAGCCTGAGTGACAGAGTAAGACCCTGTCTCAAAAAAAAAAAAAAACCAAAAACAGTTATTTATTTATATTTTTTTGAGACAGTATCTCACTGTGTCCTCCAGGTTGGAATGCAATGGCATGATCATGGCTCACTGCCGCCTCGAACTCCTGGGTTCAAGCGATTCTCCCATCCCCGCCTCCTGAGTAGCTGGGACTACAGGTGTGTGCTACTATGCCTGGCTAACTTTCAGGCTCCACTTCTAATTCTAGTTCTTTTGCTATTTCCACTACATCTGCAGTTACTTATTCCACTGAAGTCTTGAACTCCTCAAAGTCATCCATGAGGGTTATAATAAACATTTCAAATTCTGTTGATATTTTGACTTTCTCCTATGAATCATGAATATTCTTAATGGCATCTAGAATGGTGAATCCTTTCCAGAAAGTTTTTGATTTATTTTGCCCAGATTCATCAGAGGAATTACTGTATATGGCAGTTATAACCTTATGAAATGTATTTCTTAAATAATAAGACCTTTTTTAGGGAACCCACTCTGTAAAGACAAACAAAAATAATATAGGACTTGAAAATTGAAACTATCCCTTGATCCATGGGCTGCTATGTTAGTAGGCATGGAACCAACATTAATCTCCCTGTACATTTCCATCAGAGTTCTTGGGTGCCTAGGTGCATAGTCAGTGAGCAGTAATATTTTGGAAGGAATCTTTTTTTCTGAGCAGTAAGTCTCAACAGTGGGGTTCAAAAAATTCAGTAAAACATTCTGTAAACAGATGGGATGTCATCCAGGCTTTTGTTGTTCGTTGATAGAGCACAGACAGAGTAGATTTAGCATAATTCTTAAGGGCCCTAGTATTTTCAGAATGGTAAACGAGCACTGGCTTCAACTTAAAGTTACCAGCTCCTAACAAGAAAGTCAGCCTGTCCTTTGAAGCTTTGAATCTAGGCATTGACTTCTCTCTAGCTATGAAAGTCCTAGATACCATTTTCTTCTAATAGAAGGCTGTTTTGTCTACACTGAAATCCTGCTGTTTAGTGGAGCCATGTTCATCAATTATCTTAGCTATATCTTCTGGATAATTTGCTGCAGCTTCCATAACAGCACTTTACCTTGTACCTTTATGTTAGAGAGATGGCTTCTTTCCTTAAACCTTGTGAATCAACCTCTGCTAGCTTCAGATTTTTCTTCTGCAGCTTCCTTACCTCTCTCAGCCTTCATAGAATTGAAGGGAGTTGCTGCCTTGGTCAAGATTAGGCTTTGGCTTAAATGGAAATGTTGTGGCTGGTTTGATCTATTCAGACCACTGAAATTTTCTCCATATCAACAATAAGACTATTTCACTTTTGGCCAGGCATGGTGGCTCACGTCTGTAATCCCAGCACTTTGGGAGGCCGAGGTGGGTGGATCACGAGGTCAGGAGTTCGAGACCAGCCTGGCCAATATGGTGAAACCCCGTCTCTACTAAAAATACAAAAAAATTAGCCGGGCATGGTGGTGCTCACCTGTAGTCCCAGCTACAGGGGCTGAGGCAGGAGAATCGTTTGAACCTGGGAGGTGGATAGAGGTTGTAGTGAGCCGAGGTTGTGCTACTGACTCCAGCCTGGGCAACAGAGCAAGACTCTGTCTCAAAAAAAAAAAAAAAAAAAAAGACTGATTATTTTGCTTTTTTATCATTTGTGTGTTCACTGGAGTAGCACTTGTAACAGCCTCCAAGAGCTTTTCATTTTCTTTTTTTTTTTTTTTTTTTCATTTTATTTTATTTTATTTTTTATTTTTATTTTTTTTAATTTATTTTTTTATTGATAATTCTTGGGTGTTTCTCACAGAGGGGGATTTGGCAGGGTCATGGGACAATAGTGGAGGGAAGGTCAGCAGATAAACAAGTGAACAAAGGTCTCTGGTTTTCCTAGGCAGAGGACCCTGCGGCCTTCCGCAGTGTTTGTGTCCCTGATTACTTGAGATTAGGGATTGGTGATGACTCTTAACGAGCATGCTGCCTTCAAGCATCTGTTTAACAAAGCACATCTTGCACCGCCCTTAATCCATTTAACCCTGAGTGGACACAGCACATGTTTCAGAGAGCACAGGGTTGGGGGTAAGGTCACAGATCAACAGGATCCCAAGGCAGAGGAATTTTTCTTAGTGCAGAACAAAATGAAAAGTCTCCCATGTCTACTTCTTTCTACACAGACACGGCAACCATCCGATTTCTCAATCTTTTCCCCACCTTTCCCGCCTTTCTATTCCACAAAGCCGCCATTGTCATCCTGGCCCGTTCTCAATGAGCTGTTGGGCACACCTCCCAGACGGGGTGGTGGCCGGGCAGAGGGGCTACTCACTTCCCAGTAGGGGCGGCTGGGCAGAGGCGCCCCTCACCTCCCGGACGGGGCGGCCGGCCGGGCGGGGGGCTGACCCCCCCACCTCCCTCCCGGACGGGGCGGCTGGCCGGGCAGAGGGGCTCCTCACTTCCCAGTAGGGGCGGCCGGGCAGAGGCGCCCCTCACCTCCCGGACGGGGCGGCTGGCCGGGCGGGGGGGCTGACCCCCCCCCACCTCCCTCCCGGACGGGGCGGCTGGCCAGGCGGGGGGCTGACACCCCCACCTCCCTCCCGGATGGGGCGGCTGGCCGGGCAGAGGGGCTCCTCACTTCCCAGTAGGGGCGGCTGGGCAGAGGCGCCCCTCACCTCCCGGACGGGGCGGCTGGCCGGGCGGGGGGGCTGACCCCCCCCCACCTCCCTCCCGGACGGGGCGGCTGGCCGGGCAGAGGGGCTCCTCACTTCCCAGTAGGGGCGGCCGGGCAGAGGCGCCCCTCACCTCCCGGACGGGCGGCTGGCTGGGCGGGGGGCTGACCCCCCACCTCCCTCCCGGATCGGGCGGCTGGCCGGGCGGGGGGCTGACTCCCCCCACCTCCCTCCCGGACGGGGTGGCTGCCGGGCGGAGACGCTCCTCACTTCCCAGATGGGGTGGCTGCCGGGCGGAGAGGCTCCTCACTTCTCAGACAGGGCAGCTGCCGGGCGGAGGGGCTCCTCACTTCTCAGACGGGGTGGTTGCCAGGCAGAGGGTCTCCTCACTTCTCAGACGGGGCGGCCGGGCAGAGACGCTCCTCACCTCCCAGACGGGGTCTCGGCCGGGCAGAGGCGCTCCTCACATCCCAGATGGGGCGGCGGGGCAGAGGCGCTCCCCACATCTCAGAATATGGGCGGCCGGGCAGAGACGCTCCTCACTTCCCAGTAGGGGCGGCCGGGCCCGAGGCGCCCCTCACCTCCCGGACGGGGCGGCTGGCCGGGCGGGGGGGCTGACCCCCCCACCTCCCTCCCGGATCGGGCGGCTGGCCGGGCGGGGGGCTGACTCCCCCCACCTCCCTCCCGGACGGGGTGGCTGCCGGGCGGAGACGCTCCTCACTTCCCAGATGGGGTGGCTGCCGGGCGGAGAGGCTCCTCACTTCTCAGACAGGGCAGCTGCCGGGCGGAGGGGCTCCTCACTTCTCAGACGGGGTGGTTGCCAGGCAGAGGGTCTCCTCACTTCTCAGACGGGGCGGCCGGGCAGAGACGCTCCTCACCTCCCAGACGGGGTCTCGGCCGGGCAGAGGCGCTCCTCACATCCCAGATGGGGCGGCGGGGCAGAGGCGCTCCCCACATCTCAGAATATGGGCGGCCGGGCAGAGACGCTCCTCACTTCCTAGATGTGATGGCGGCTGGGAAGAGGCGCTCCTCACTTCCTAGATGGGATGGCGGCCGGGCGGAGACGCTCCTCACTTTCCAGACTGGGCAGCCAGGCAGAGGGGCTCCTCACATCCCAGACGATGGGCGGCCAGGCAGAGACACTCCTCACTTCCCAGACGGGGTGGCGGCCGGGCAGAGGCTGCAATCTCGGCACTTTGGGAGGCCAAGGCAGGCGGCTGGGAGGTGTAGGTTGTAGTGAGCCGAGATCACGCCACTGCACTCCAGCCTGGGCACCATTGAGCACTGAGTGAACGAGACTCCGTCTGCAATCCCGGCACCTCGGGAGGCCGAGGTTGGCGGATCACTCGCGGTTAGGGGCTGGAGACCGGCCCGGCCAACACAGCGAAACCCCATCTCCACCAAAACCAGTCAGGCGTGGCGGCGCGTGCCTGCAATCGCAGGCATTCGGCAGACTGAGGCAGGAGAATCAGGCAGGGAGGTTGCAGTGAGCCGAGATGGCAGCAGTACAGTCCAGCTTCGGCTCCGCATGAGAGGGAGACCGTGGGGAGAGGGAGAGGGAGGGAGAGAGAGGGAGAGGGAGAGGGAGAGGGAGAGGGAGAGCTGCTGTCGAGCTTTTCATTTTCATTCACAACTTGGCTAACTGGTGCAAGAGGCCTAGCTTTTGGCATATCTGGGCTTTCAATGTACCTTCTTCACTGAACTTAATCATTTCTAGTTTTTGATTTAAATGAGAGACATATGATTCTTCATTTCACTTGAACACTTAGAGGCCATTGTAGGGTTATTAATTGGCCTAATTTCAATATTATTGTGTCTCAGGAAATAGGGAGGCTCCAGGAGAGGGAGAGAGACGGAGGAATGGCTGCTCAGTGGAGCAGTGAGAACACATACAGCATTTATTTATTAAGTTTGCCATCTTATGGGTGTTGTTCATGGCACTCCAAAACAATTACAGTTGTAACATCAAAGATCACTGATCATAGATCACTGTAACAAATATAATAATAATAAAAAAGCTTGAACTATTGTGGAAATTACCAAAATGTGGCACAGACACAAAATGAGTACATACTGTTGGATAAATTACTTGATAGACTTGATAGACAAAAGGTTGCCACAGACTTTCAATTTATTAAAAAATGCAGTATCTGTGAATTACAGTAAAGCAAAGTATGCCTGTAATACTAGTTTCTCTCATAAACAACTGCCCAAAACTCAGGAGTTCCAATCAAACTATATTTCTTGCTCATATCGGAATGTGTTGTATCAGGCAACTTTCCCAGGCTACTCTTCTCTGATTAGCAACTCGCTAGAGTCTTTCCATCTTTGATGCTGTCATCTTAAACATGTGACTTCTAAAGTTGCTATGAAAGGGGAGGAGCAGGCATGGGTGATCTCTCAGGGGGTTTTATGGCCAGGCTTGGTAGTCGTATAGCTAACTTTGGCCCGTATCCCATTGGCCAGAATCCAGATACATGGCCCTCACTCAACTACAAGAGAAACTGAGAAAGCTAGTCTTTCATTGTGTCCTGGAAGAAGAAAGTAAATTGACTGTGATGAACAGATAGTGTCATTTCTACCATGGCAATAGATAAAACTTCTCCCAGGCAGAGACCGTAGAGAGAGTAGAGAAGGTCCACAGTGGAACCCATAGAAACCTGACATTTAGACGTTGGTTAAAGAAAAAAGAGGGAACAAAGGAGTTGAGGACGAATAGCTAGAAATTGATGGAGGTGTTAGGTGGGTGATTGAAACTAACAAGAGTTTGGGTGTCATGTAAGGCAGGAGAGTTTTTCAAGAAGAAAGAAGTTGTCAGATACATGAAATGCTGCTGAAATGTTAAGATACTAGAAAAGTTGGTAAAATCTGTTGGTGACTGTGACAAATATTTTCAGTGGGAATGTGAGATCAGAAGCCAGATTAGAGTGGATTAATGAGCTACTTGGTTGCAAGTCTCTTAGAGAGTTGTAGTGGATTGCTGAGGAATATGTGTAGATGGCTCTGAGACCTGTCTAAGAGGCTAATTGCTACCTTTCCTACCTTTCGGATAGAGTGGCCAAAAGAATGGGGATAGCGTGGCCAAAAGGAATGATCAGAAGTGACTTGAGAATGGCCAGCTGACCTGAGAAGGAGGCAGGGGTTGGAACATTGAAGATGTAGGACTATCTTCATCAGCCCGTCTACCAAGGCCGTGGATGGACCTTAGTCATATCAGCAGAAGCTGCTGGGATGGAAACTAACAATGCCCAAAGATCAGATGCAATACAGTTCAGTTTACTGGAAGCAAGAGGGGAAAAAGATGGTGTACAAAATAGCAGTTGCCCCCCTTTCCCCCAATGCCAGGTTCTCTACCTTTGAGGAATGTAGTCACATTCAGGAGGAGAATCCTGATTTGACTGTGGGCTATCTTGAATGGGAGCTCAAAAACTAAATTATGCACAGTTATAGAGAAGTAAAGTCTACACTCTTGCTCACACATGTATACATAAATGAATTGGAGGTAATGAAGTAAAGATAGGAGTATGTGTATTAAACTTTTTAAAAAGTTTGGTTATGAAGAGGAGTAAAAATGAAGCATAAGTTGGGGGATAAGGGAGAGTTTAGGGCTTATTTAAATGCTGATGGAAATGAGCCAGCAGATGTCTGAGATGCTGAAGATGTTGGGGGTGGGGGTTGGGAGAGGAAGAAAGGATTGATTGGTGGCCCTTGAAAGGCAAGATGGTAAGGAAATCCCGAGCAGAAGGGAGGATTTTTAATGGGAGGAGGAGTATGGGCTGAGATACAGAAAGGTTTATAGATTAACTGCAAAGGCAAGGCAAGTTTCTGCCTAAAGGTGGAGAGGCATTGTTGAATAGCAGTTTCATTCATGGACTCTACATCCGTAGTCTTCATTTGAATCACTGTTTTTACCATTTATTAGTGGTGTGACATGTGGCAAGTTACTTAATCGCTCTTGCTTTGTTCTCATCTGTAAAACGAGGAATAATAACAATACTTATTGTTAGGAGTAAATGAATGAATTATGTACAGTATTTTAAACAGTGTCTAGCATGTGGTAAACATACACAATTAGCTTTAATTATTATGGCTTCTTTTGTTTTTTTCTTTTCAGTGAAGTCTAACTTAAAGTTGTCAGTTGAAAAGGGGATGTTTTAGGAATGAGGAAAAGATGTAAAATATTTATCATAAAGGAGAGCTAATGGTGTGTGGTAGGATTGCCTTTGATATTGGTGATTATGAAGTATAGTGTCACCCATCTTTTGTGCTGTGAGATTTGCTCTAGGAAGCCTCAGCTACATATGTGTAGGCACAAAGAAGTCAGGTGGTTAAGTTCATTGAGGTCTGGATTTTTCTCAGGTGAGTGTGACTGGGTAATGGGGGCAGAGCAAGGAGGTTAAGGGTATTTACAGGGGACTAATTATGTTGATCCACTGTGGGCTCTGATGTTGGATAAGAAGGAAAGGGAACCCTGAAAGAGCTGATGGAAATAGGATTGGACTTCTGAGGCAGTAGTAAGAGGGAGAGAAAGTCTGATGGGATGAATCTTCTTATTTATTTATTTATTATGTTTATTGCTCATGATTTATATTTTCCTAATAGAATATAAACACTATGAGGGCAGGGCTTTTCTGTTTTTTGTTTGTGTGTGTGTTTTTTTTTTCCTTTTCACTAATGTAATCCGTGCGCCTAGAACAATGCCTGGTACATAGTACATACCCACTATATATCTGTTAAACTAAATGAAGTAAAAGAAACCTAAATCAGATGTTGGTGGAGGTGGTGAGAAGTGGTCAGATTCTGGATGTATTTTGAAGGTGGAGCTACGGGATTTGCTGATGGATTGGATGTTGGGTGTGAGAAAAGGAGAATAGGCAAGGATAACCTAAAAGGTTTTGGTCTTGAGCTGCTAAAAGAATGATGTTACTATTTGCTGAGATAGGGAAGACCATGAAGGGAGCAGGTTTTAGAGTTTGAGTATTAAGAGTTGAGATTTGGATATCAAATCTGAGACATCTGTTAGACATAAAGTAGAGGTTCAGTAGGCAGTTGATATCCATCTAGAGTTAAGGGAGTGATTTGAACTGGAAATATAAATTTGTAAGTCATTAGCACATTGATGGCTTTTAAAGCCATGAGACTAGATGAGACACCAAGGGAGTGAATGAAAATATAAAAGAGGTCCAAGGATTGAGTCCTGAGACAAAACATAGAGGAGTCAGGGTGAGAGGGGGAGCCACTAAAGTAGACTGAGAAGGAGAGGCCAGAGAGCTAGAAGGAAAACCAGGAGGATATAATAGTATTCTGGAATTTAGGTGAAAAAAGTGGTTCTTTTGTCAAAAAGTGACCAGTTGTTTTATGTTGCTGAGAGCTTAAGGTGAGAACTGAGAGTTGACCATTTGATTTAGCAATGTGGAGGTTATGGGTGACTTTGATTTTGTAGAAAACAAAATCTTAAAAAATTATTTTTTCATGAAATTTAGCTTAAAGCCTTTGGACAGATGTTAAGACTTCACTTAGGCAGATAATATTGTTTTTATTGTGTTTGAAAATGTAAGGCCAGGCTCAGTGGCTCATGCCTATAATCCCAGCATTTTGGGAGGCCGAGGTAGGCGAATTGCTTGAGCTTAGGAATTCGAGACCAGCCTGGGCAACATGGCAAAACCTCATCCCTACAAAAAACACAAAAAATTAGCTGAGTGTGGTGGTGTGCGTCTGTAGTCCCAGCTACTGGGGGGCTGAGGTGGAAGGATTGCTTGAGCCCAGGAGGTTGAGGCTGCAGGGGCTGACATCACGCCACTGCACTCCAGCCTGGGCAACAGAGTGACACCCTGTCTCAAAAATAATACGCATACATATATCAGTTAAAATAGATGTTAAAAAAATTGGTTAGAGGTGACTTCCTCTATGCTATACTGTCATTCAGAAAAAAAGGTCAAAAAAAGTCAGTCTTTCTAGCTGAAATAACCACTGATAGTTGTTTGAAGGATGATTTTGGTTAGCATCCTCTCAGAATGATATCATATTCTAGCATGGTCTTTATCCTGAGATATAGAATAAAGCCTACAACTTTTTAGTATCAGGTTGGAGAAAGTTCCAACCTGATAATAAAAACCATATAGGGCATATAATCCCAGCACTTTGGGAGGCTGAGGTGGGTGGATCGCTTGAGCCCAGGAGTTTGAGACTAGCCTGGACAACATAGTGAGACCTGACAACGTGCTCCCCCCAGCAAAAAAATTAGCTGGTTATGGTGGTGTGCACCTGCAGTCCCAGCTACTTGGGAGGCTTAGGCAGGAAGATTGCTTATGTTTTTAAGAGTTTTAAATTAATAACTTTTTTAATGTAGTGGTGTAGAACTTAGATAATGGAAGTTCTATTCACTGGTAATTTTTCTTTTGCTGTTATATTTGATTGTCAATTTTTATAATTTTTTTGTCCTTGGCTGAGGCAGGAGAATGGCATGAACCTGGGAGGTGGAGCTTGCAGTGAGCCGAGATTGCGCCACTGCACTTCAGCCTGGGCTACAGAGCGAGACTCCGTCTCAAAAAAAAAAAAAAAAGATGTAGGGTAGTATCTTTGAAAAGTATAGTTTAAATTGAGAGTACTTTATGAACACTTGCATTTTTAGATTGCTTTTCCATTTAAAATGTTTTAAGAGGCTGGGTGCGGTGGCTCACGCCTGTAATTCCAGCACTTTGGAAGGCCGAGGTGGGTGGATTGCTTGAGCCCAGGAGTTTGAGACCAGCCTGGGCAATGTGGTGAAACCCTGTCTCTACTAAAAACACAAAAATTAGCTGGGCTTGGTGGTACACACCTGTAATCCTAGCTACTTGGGAGACTGAGGCAAGGTAATTGCTTGAACTCAGGAGGCAGAGGTTTCAATGAGCTGAGATTGCACCACTGCACTCTATCCTGGGGGACAGAGCGACACTTGGTCTCAAAAAAAAAGGTTTTAAGAAGGTGATATTTGAGAATTGTTAATTATAGAATTTTAATCTGAAACATTTCCTTTTATGGAAATGATTACCTATCTGTGTTGTTTAGGAAGATTCTTACCTCTGAAGACAATGTTAGGACCAAGATATGATAGTCAAGTTGCTGAAGAAAATCGGTTCCATCCCAGCATGCTCTCAAATTACCTAAAGAGCCTAAAGGTAAGAAACAAAATTTATTTTTGTCACTGATTTAATATACTTTGTTCAGTCTTGTTCTTCAGGTGGCTTTTAAAAAAATCTTATTATTTTAAAATAATTAATAGACTCAAGGGAAGTTGCAGTAATTGTACATAGAATTCTGTGAACCCTTCTCCCAGCTTCTCACAATGGTGTCATTTTATATAATTGTAGTACAATATCACAAGCAGGAAATTGACATTGATACAGTACTGTTAACTGATTGCAGATCTTATTTACTTTTGATATGCATTTGTGTGTGTGTGTAGTTCAGTACAGTTTGATCTCATGTGTAAATTCATGGTAGTGATTATAGAACTGCTGCATCTCCACAGAGGAATTCCCTCATGCTACCTCTTTATGGTCAAACTCTCTCCTCACCCCGTCCCTGTACTCGCCAGAGTAGAAAAACAAAAATGTGTAGTTTTTCCATTTAAGAGAATGCCCACCTGACATCCCAGCCCCCAGCAAAACTTACTATAGCCTCCACTAACAACCACACCCTGAGCTACCAAGGAAACTGACTGTGTTTACAGTTGAAGAAACCATACAGAGACTACACTACTGCATGCATCCAGAATCATAACCAAAGTGCTTTACCCGACCAACACCACAGATATAGCTTCAGGAAAAAGTCCTTCCCTCCAAAAGCTAATTCCAAAAATTGGGACTGGGGCTGGGTGCCATGGCTCATGCCTGTAATCCCAACACTTTGGGATGCTGAGGCAGGTGGATCACTTGAGGATAAGTGTTTGAGACCAGCCTGGCCAACATGGCAAAAACCTGTCTCTACTAAAAATACAAAAATTAGCCAGGCATTGTGGTGTGTGCTTGTAATTCCAGCATACTCGGGAGGCTGAGGCACAAGAATCGCTTGAACCTGGGAAGCGGAGGTTGCAGTGAGCCAAGATCACATACCAGTGCACTCCAACCCAGGCAACAGAGTGAGACTCTGTCTCAAAAAAAAAGAAAAGAAAAAAAAAAAAGAAAAACTGGGGCTGGGATGGTGGCTCATGCCTGTAATCCCAGCACTTTGGGAGACTGAGGCAGGAGGATTGCTTGAGGCCAGGAGTTTGAGACCAGTGTGGGCAGCATAGGGAGACCCTGTCTCTACAAAAAATTAAAAAAAAAAATTAGCCGGGCATGGTGGTGTGTGCCTGTAGTCCCAGCTACTTGGGAGGCTGAGGTGGGAGGATCACTTGAACCCAGGAGGTTGAGGCTGTAGTGAGCCATGATTACCCACTGCAGCCTGGGCGATAGTGTGACCGTGTCTCAAAAAAAAAGGAGAAGTGAGTGTTACACCAGATGTGCAGATATCAATGTAAGGACATGGCAAACATGAAAGAGCAAGAAATATGCCATCTCCAAAGGAACACAATAATCCTTCAGCAGCAGATAAAAAATTCATAATCCTTCAGCAGCATAATAAAAAAATTCATGAAATGGTGGACAGATAATTCAAAATTTTGATACTAAGGAAGCTCTGTGTAAGAAAGAAGAGAATACTGAAAAGCAATACAGAATACTGAAAAGCAATACAAATCAGAAAAACAATTCAGGGTATGAATAATAAGTTTACCAGAGATAGATATCAGAAATTCAAACAAATTCAGGAAATGAAGAATTCATTGAATGAAATAGAAAATAGATCAAAGCTTCAATAATAGACTAGATCAGGCAGAAGAAAGAATCTCAGAACTTGAAGACAGGTCTTTGGAAGTAACCTAGTAAGACAAAAATAAAGATAAAATGCTAAAAAAGAATGAGCAAAGCCTTCTTGAGATATAGGACACCAGAAAGTGGCCAAATATTCAAATTTTTGGTGTTCCAGAAGATGAAGAGAGAACAAAAGGGTTAGAAAACCTATTTAATGAAATAATAGATTAAAACTTTCTAAGTTTAACAAGAGGTTTAGACATCCAAGAGGATCAAAGATCCCACAAAAGATAATATCTAAAAAGGTCTTCTCCACAACGCGTTATAGTCAAACTGTTAAAAGTCAAAGAGAAAATTCAAAAAACATTAAGAGTGTCTAGTCATTTATAAGAGAGCTCCCATTAGACTAATAGTGGACTTCACAGGAAAAACCTTATAGGCCAAGCGAGAGTAGAGGATATATTCAAAGTTCTGAAAGAAAACGCCTACCACCCAAGGATACCATACCCAGCAAAGTTATTCTTTCTTCATAAATGAAGGAGAAATAAAGTCTTTCCCAGACAAGCAAAAGCTGAGGGAATTCACCACAACTGGACTGGTCCTGTAAGAAATGCGTTAGACAGTCCTGTACCTGAAATTGAAAGACTAGTAACCACCATCATGAAAACACAAAAATATAAATAAAAACCACTGACAGAGCAAACACATCAACAATGAAGGGGGAAAAACTCAAATGTTACCACTACACAATACCACCAAACCACAAAGATGAAACAATAAGAGAGAAAGAAAGGACAAAGAATATACAAAACAACCAGAAATTAATAAAATGACAGGAATAAGCCTTCACATATTAATAATAACCTTGAATGTAAGTGGATTACACTTTCCATTTAAAAGATGTAAACTGGCCGAATGGATATAGAAACACGACTTATCCATATGCTGCCTACAAGAAACTCATCTCAACTGTAAAGACACACATAGACTGAAAGTAAAGGGATGGAAAAAGTGTTCCATGCACATGGAAACCAAAGGTGAGCAGGAGTAGCTAAACTTATATCAGATAAAACAGACTTTAAGTCAAAAACAGTAAAAGGAGATCAAGAAGGTCATTATATAATGATAAAAGGATCAGTTTGGCAAGAGGATATAACAATTCTAAACATATATGCACTCAACATCAGAGTACCCAGATATATAAAGCAAATATTATTATATCTAAATGGAGATACAGTCTCCCGTATAATAGTAGTTGGAGACTTCAGCACCCCACTGTCATCATTAGACAGATTGTCAAGACAGAAAATTAACAAACATTGGATTTAAAGTGCACATTAGACTAAATGGACCTAACAGACATTTACAGAACATTTCATCCAGTAGCTATAGAATACACATTTTTCTTGTGAGGAAATGGAACAATCTCTAGGATAGACCATATGTTAGGACACAAAACAAGCCTTAACAAATAAAAAAGTCAAAATCATATCACATACCTTCTTAGACCACAATGGTAGAAAAGCTAGAAGTCAATAATAAGGGACTTTGGAAATTGTACAAATACATGGAAATTAAACATGCTCCTGAATGACCATTTGGTCAAGGAAGAAATTAAGGTGGAAATAAACCTCTTGAAACACATGAAAATTGAAACACAACATACCAAAACCTAAGAAGTACAGCAAAGCAGTGCTAAGAAGGAAGTTTATAGCAATAATTGCCTACATCAAAAATGTAGAAGGATTCAGATAAATAATGATGCACCACAAGGAACTAGAAAGGCAAGAACAAACCAAAAATTTGTAGAAGGAAAGAAATAATAAAGATCAGAGCAGAACTAAACAAAATAGACACTAAAAAAAAAAATACAAAGAATCAACAAAATGAAAAGTTGGTTTTTTTGAAAGGATAAACCAAATCAATAAATCCATTGCTAGACCAACCAAGAAAAACAAGACCCAAGTAAACTAAATCAGAAATGAGAAAGAGAATATTACAGTTGATACCACAGAAATACAAAAGATCATCAGAGACTATTTTTTTTTTTTGAGATGGAGTTTTGCTCTTGTTGCCTAGGCTGGAGTGCAATGGTGGGATCTCAGTTCACTGTGACCTCCACTCCCAGGTTCAAGTGATTCTTCTACTTCAGCCTCCTGAGTAGCTGGGATTACAGGCATGTGCCACTGCGCCTGGCTAATTTTTTGTATTTTTTAGTTGAGATGGGGTTTCTTCATGGTGGTCAGACTGGTCTCGGAACTCCTGACCTCACGTGATCTGCCCGCTTCGGCCTCTTAAAGTGTTGGGATTACAGGCGTGAGCCACCGTGCCTGGCCCATCAAAGACTATTATGAACAAGTATACACTAACTGGAAAACCTGGCAGAGGTGGATAAGTTCCTAGATATATGCAACCTACCAAGATTGAATCAGGAAGAAATAGAAAAGCTGAGCAGACCAATAACAGGTAGGGAGATTTAATCAGTAATGAAACATTTCCCAACAAAAAGTCTAGGACCGGATGCCTTCACCACCAAATTCTACCAAACTTTTAAGGAAGAACTAACACCAATCCTCAAATAATCCTGAAAAGATTGAAGAGGAGGGAATTCTAACTCATTCTGTAAAGCTAGCATTATGTTTATACCAAAACCACAACAAAAAGAGAAAACAGGCCAGTATCTCTGATGCAATGATGGTTCAGCATATGCAAATCAATAAATATGATACATTACATCAATAGAATGAAGGACAAACACCATGTGATCATCTCAATAGAGTCAGACAAAGCATTTGATAAGAATCAACATCCCTTCATGATAAAAACTCTCAACAAACTAGGCATAGAGGAAACATAACTCAACATAATAAAGACCATATATGACAAGCCCACAGCTAACGTCATACTAATTGGGGAAAAGCTTTCAGCTTTTGCCCTGAGAATTAGAACAAGACAAGGATGTCCACTTATTCATCATGGTATTGGAAGTACTATCTAGAGCAGCCAGGCAAGAGAAAGAAATAAAAGGCACCCAAATTGGAAAAAAAGTCAAACTGTCCCTCATTGCTGATGATATAATCTTAAATCTAGAAAAACTTAATGATTCCACCAGAAAACTCTGAGATCTGATGAGAAATTCAGTAAAGGATACAGAATCAACATACAGGCTGGACAGTGGGTCACACCTTTGACCCCAAAGTGCTTTGGGAGGCTAAGGTGGGAGGTTTGCTTTAGGCTAAGAGTTCAAGAACAGACTGGACCCCAAAGTGAGACCCCCATCTCTACAAAATATTTTTTAAAAATGTAAAAGTTATCCAGGCACAATGGTGTGTTCTTCTAGTTCCACCTACACAGGAGGCTGAAGTGGGAGGATCACTTGAGCCCAGGTGTTCCAGGCAGTGGTGAGCCATGATTGAGCCACTGCACTTCAACCTGGGCAAAAGAATGAGACCCTGTCTTTGAAAGAAATACACAAAAAAAGAAATCAACATACAAAAATCAGTAGTGTTTCTGTATGCTGATACTGAACTAGCTGAGAAAGAAATCAAGAAGGCAATCCCATTTATAATAGCTACAAAAATAGTAAAATACTCAGGAATAAATTTAACCAAGGAAGTGAAAGATCTCTGCAAGGAAAACTAGAACAGTGATGAAGGAAATTGAATGGAACACAAACAAATAGAAAGACCTCCATGCCCATGGATTGGAATAATTAATATTGTTAAAATGACCATACTTTCCAAAGCAATCTGCATATTCAGTGCAATCCCTATAAAATACCAATGACATTTTTTATAGAAATAGAAAAAACTCCTAACTTTTTAATTTTATTAAAAAAAACTTTTTTTAAAGATGGGGTTTCACTGTGTTGCCTAGGCTGGTCTTGAACTCCTGAGCTCAAGCAGTTCTCCCACCTTGGCCTCCCAATGTGCTAGGATTACATGCATGAGACACTGCACCCCACCTGAATCCTAACATTTTTATGGAACCTGAAATGAGCCTGAATAACCAAAGCAATCTTGAGCAAAAGGAACAAAGCTGTGGGCATCACACTACTTTACAGTGTATTACAAGGCTATAGTAACCAAAACAGCATGGCATTGGTGTAAAAACAGACTAATGGAACAGAATAGAGAATCCAGAAATAAATGCATGCATTTACAGCCAACTGATTTAGACAAAGGCACCAAGAACATACATTGGGGACAGGACACTCTTTAATAAATGGTGCTGGGAAAATTGGATATCCATATACAGAAGAATAAAACTGGACCTTTATCTCTCACCATATACAAAATCAAATCAAGATGGATTAAAGACTTTAAATGTAAGACCTGAAAGCAGAAAACAGTAGTTTTGAGATGAAAACATAGGGAAAACACCGTGGGACATTGGTTCAGTAACAATTTTATGGCTAAGACCTCAAAAACACAACTCAAACAACAATAGACAAATGGGATGATATGAAACTGGAAAGCTTCTGGACTGGGTACAGTGGCTTACACCTGTAATCCCAGCACTTTGGGAGGCCAAGGTGGGAGGATTGCTTGAGGCCAGGAATTGGAGAACAGCCTGTGCAACAGAGTGAGACCTTATTTCTTGGTGGCACATACCTGTGGTCCCAGCTACTTGGGAGGCTGAGGCAGGATGACTGCTTGAGCCCAGTAGGTCAAGGCTGCAGTGATTCATATTCACACCACTGTACTCCAGCCTGGGCAACGAGTGAGACTCTGTTTCAAAAAATAAAATAAAAAAGCTTCTGCACAGCAAAGGAAACAACAGAGTGAAATAACAACCTACTGAATAGGAGAATATATTTGCAAACTATTCTTCTGAGGGATTAGTATCCAGAATATACAAAGAACTGGAAACAACAGGAAAAAAATCCCATTAAAAAGTGGGCAAAGATGTGAATAGACATTTCTCAAAAGAGGACATACAAATGGCCAACAGATATATGAAAAAATGCTGAAAAAAAGCTCAACATTACTAATCATCAGGAAGATGCAAATCCAAACCACAATGAAATATCATCTTGCACCAGTTAGAATGGCTATTTATGACTAGGTACAGTGGCTCATGTCTGTAATCCTAGCACTTTGGGAAGCTGAGATGGATGGGAGGATTACTTGAGGCCAGGAGTTTGAGACCAGCCTTGATAACATAACGAGACACCATCTTTAAAAAAATTCAAAAAATTAGCCAGGCATGAGGTATGTGCCTGCCATCTTACCTACTCAGGAGACTGAGGTGGAGGGATCCCTTAACCCCAGAAGATTGAAGTTACAGTGGTGAGCTATGATTGTGCTACTGCACTCCAGCCTGGGTGGCAGAGCAAAACCCTGTCTCTCTCTCAAAAAAACAAAACAAAACTATTATAAAGACAAAAACCAACAGATGCTGGCAAGGATGTGGAGAAAAGAGAACTCATATGCTGTTGGTTGGAACGTAAATTAGTACAGCCACCATGGAAAACAGTATGGAAATTTCTCAGAAAACTAAAAGTAGAACTGCTATACGATCTAGCAGTTTCACTACTGAGTATTTATCCAAAGGAACAGAAATAATTTTATCAAAGGGTGGATGAATGGATAAAGAAAATGTGGCATATATACACAATGGAATACTATGCAGCCATGAAGAAAAAATGAAATCATCATTTTGCAGCACATGGGTGGAACTTGAGTTTATTATGTTAACCAAAATAAGCCAGACACAGAAAGACAAATTCCACAGTTTCACTCCTGTGGGAGCCAAAAAAGTTGATTTCATATCTGTAGTCCTAGAACTTAGGAGGCTGAGATGAAAGGATCACTTAAACCCAAGAGTTTGAGGTTACAGTGAGCTATGATTGTGCTACTACATTCCAGCCGGGGCAACAGAGTGAGACTCTATCTCTTAAAAAAAAAAAACTGATCTCATGGACATAGAGAGTAGAATGATAGACGATAGATACCAGAGGGTGGGAAGGGTGTGTGGGCAGGAGGAGCATGGTGAAGGGAGGTTGGTTAGTGCAAACATATAGTTAGATATAATGTATAAATTCTTATTTTTGGTAGCAGGGTAAGGTGACTGTTGTTAGCAATGATGTATTGTGTATTTCCAAGTAGCTAGAAGAGAGAACTTGAAATACTCTTAACACATAGAAATGATAAATATTCAAGGTGATGGATACTCCAGATACCCTGATTTCATCATTACACATTACATGCATGTAATAAAATATCACATATACCCCATAATACATAAAATATAGCATATCAATTAAAGAAAGTGCAGATTGTTTCTCTTGCCTTTTTTTTTCCTGTGGGGACCCAAGGGGGAAAGAGGGAGGGAGTAGAAACTCAAGGATTAAAGTGGAGAAAGGGTGGCTTTTGGAGGAAAGTTGGGGTGCTGATAGGAGAGAAAATAAAGATGAATACCAGGCAGGAAAATTTGGGGATTGAAACAACCATCAACCTATGTGGTATAAATTGTCTTCTTTTTTATATTAGAGTATATGCTTCAGAATGAGGTGGAAGATGTATGAATTTACTATTACTTTTTTTTAGCCTCAGTTTAGGTGTGCGTTTCTAAGTGAGACTATCTTGCTGGCTGATTGTGATTCTAGGTTTTAAAGATTTTTCATACTGAAGGGCCCTGAATGCAAATCAACTTCTTCAGCTCAACAGAAGTAATAATGGTTTTTGTTCCAATCCAGAAAGAAAAATTGGCTATAATCTGTTGGGGGAACCAGCCCCCAATATTTCAACGTAGGTTCTTTTCTATTTTCCCTAAATGTCGGCCGGTCTGAGAAATAAAGGGAAAGAGTACAAAAGAGAGAAATTTTAAAGCTGGGTGTCCAGGGGAGACACATGTCAGCAGGTTCCGTGATGCCCCCTGAGCCGCAAAACCAGCAAGTTTTTATTAGCGATTTTCAAAGGGGAGGGAGTGTACGAATAGGGTGTGGGTCACAGGGATCACATGCTTCATAGGGCAATAAAAGATCACAAGGCAGAAGGTCAGGGTGAGATCACAAGGTCAGGGCGAAACTAGAATTACTAAGGAAGTTCCCTGTCCCACTGTGCACACGTTGTCACCGATAAACATCTTAACAGGGTTCAAGAGCAGAGAACCGGTCTGACTAGAATTTGCCAGGCTGGAATTTCCTAATCCTAGCAAGCCTGGGGGTGTGCAGGAGACTAGGGTGTGTTTCATCCCTTATCTGCAACTGCAGACCCTCCTAGAGCGGCCATTTTAGAGGCCTACTCCTGGGAATACATTCTTTTCCCAGGGCTGTTAATTATTAATATTCCTTACTGGGGAGAGAATTCAGTGATATTTCTCTTACCTGTTTTTGGCAATAAGGGAAATATGGCTCTGTCCTGCCTGGCTCCCAGGCAGTTAGACCCAATGGTCATCTCCCTTGTTCCCTGAACATTGCTGTTATCCTGTTCTTTTTTTCAAGGTGCCCAGATCTCACGCTGTTCAAACACACATGCTTCATGAAAAATCTGTGCAGTTAACACAATCATCACAGGGTCCTGAGGCCACATACATCCTCAGCTTACGAAGATGATGGGATTAAGAGATTAAAGTAAAGACAGGCATAGGAATTTTACAATTTATATTCTTCTGCCATGGCTTCAGCCGGTCCCTCTGTTAGGGGTCCCTGACTTCCCGCAACAATGGTTGACTTATTGAGATGGGATTAAGCCTCCAGTAATATGCATATGGCCATGTATACTGTTCTTCATTGGTTACTTAAGGAATTTATGAGAGAATTTTGACTGTACATACTTTTTTACCCTATGTGTTAGAATTTAACTGCCCAAGGTGTGATTCTTAGGCATCACATGGTACCTAAAAATCATAGTGATTTTTGTCATTTTAGAAATAGACAATACGTTCACTTACTTCAAAAATCCACAAAAAAAGGTTGGTATCATGAAGTCTCCCTCTCACTTTTGCTCTCTATCTGCCTAGTCCCTCACCACATACCACACAGGTTCCACTGTTTTTAGATTTTTTAATACATCCTTTCAGAATTTCTTTATGTGTATGTAAGCAACTAAAAATACAGATTGCTGTGTTCTCCCCTGCACACTCAAGGTAGCACATTATATATGCTGGTCTGAAACTTGCATTTCCAGCTTAATAGTATACTCTGAAGATCTTCATATATTAGCACATAGAACTTCTTGTTCTTTTTTTTTTTTTTTTTTTTTTTACAGCTTTATAGTATTCCATTAAAGTATGTACAGGTTGAGCATCCCTCATCCAAAAATATAAAATCTGAATCTTTTTTAGCACCTACATGATGCCCAAAGGAAATGCTTATTGGAACATTACAGGTTTTGGATTTTCATATTAGGATTGCTCAACCTGTAAGTATAATGCAAATATTGAAAAATCTGAAATCTTGAACACTTCAAGTCCCAAGCATTTCAGTTTAGGGAATCTTCTTACTACTTTACTTGGATGGTTTCTTTATGGAACTGGAAAATGTGTGCTGACATTTTCTGAAATTTACCAGCATGGGGTCATTTTTACTGCTTTTGTGTGTCTTCATTGCATTTTCCCCCTTGTATTGCTTCTGCTTCCCTGTAATCTGCCCCATCTTCTCCAGACTCCTTAGCTCTTGGGTAGATGAGAGATAGGTCTGCCACTTTATGGTGAGCTCTTTCTTACCGGAAATGTATTTTTATTGGCATTTTCCTAAAATCTGCTGCTCCTGGGTCTGCTTCTCTTTTCTTCCTTTCCATATAGCTTCTGTAGTGTTCTTAATTTTTTGGCAGAACTTAGACATTTTTTATGAATGTGTGGATTTTATATGCGTTCGTTTTACAGAAAATGAAACTTTTTTTTAAACAATTTACCTTGTTTTTATATGATACTGAAAGAATAGGAGAGGAAAATTTATTTAATTTTTTAATCTTTTTCCCCCCAAACACATGGTTTTTCAAGCGATCCTCTTGCCGTGGCCTCCCAAAGTGCCAAGATTACAGGCGTGAGCCACTGTGTCTGGCCAAATTTCCCGTACTACCATCTTCTTAATAAGATTGTCTCTATTTTTAACCTTGTTTCTTTTCAAAAAATGTAACTTGAGGCTTCAGTATATTTTCAGAAAATAGAAGAGTTGTTAATAACAAAGAAAGGGACATATATATAAAATATATATAATAAGATACATGTTTTATATGTATATATGTATATATGTTTATGTATATATGTATATACATATATGTATATGTATATATGTATGTACGTATATGTATATGTATGTATACGTGTATATATGTATACACGTATATGTATATACGTATATGTATATATGTATATGTATACATATGCATATACATGTATATGTATATATGCATATATATGCATATATGTGTATACATATGCATATGTATATATGTATACATGTATATGCACATATGCATGTATACATATGTATATACGTGTGTATATGCATATGTATACATATGTATATACGTGTATATATGCATATGTATACATATGTATATATGTGTGTATGTATATATGCATATGTATACATATGTATATGTGTGTATATGTATATGTGTGTATATGTATGTATATATATATACACATCATATATATGATATAAATGGATTGTCTCATCTTTTAAGCCTGGGATATAAAATGGTGTAGTCAATAGATATTAACAGAATTATTGGTGGTGGCTGCTTGGAAGGCTGGGGTGGGTGATTTGTGCCGAGAGCTTGAGTTGTGGTATACTTCAGATAGATGCCATTCCTGCTCTAGCCTCTTGTCTAATAAATCACAGGTGCAGAGGTATATGCAGCAAACACTAGAGAAAACTCTAGCATTTTCTCTTTTGCATAGACTTTTGTGATGTTGGCAGTAGAATTTGTTTTGCTTATATTCCTGTTCTTTCCTTAGTTTGGGAGTTAATTTATTTTATCAAGTGCCTGCTTAGTTTTAGTGTCTTGAATAAGACTTTGATAAGTGATACTTTTATTATCAATTGTTCAGGGGCAAAGTACATACAGAATCTCCCTCAATGTAAATGAATGAACTGTAGTATTGCCATTTAGTCTACTTATTTGGGAACAAATTAAGTTACTAGTAAATTTGCCCTTTCATTTTTTTTTTTTTTTAGGTTAAAATGGGCTTGTTGGTGGACCTGACAAATACTTCAAGGTTCTATGACCGAAATGACATAGAAAAAGAAGGAATCAAATATATAAAACTTCAGTGTAAAGGGTAAGTTATATATTAAGATTCTTTAATATTGAAACCTTTCATCACAATTTGTAATCTCTTTTTTCAAAAAAACTTTTTCTATATTACTAGACATGGTGAGTGCCCTACCACTGAGAATACTGAGACCTTTATTCGTCTGTGTGAGCGGTTTAATGAAAGAAATCCACCTGAACTTATAGGTATGTTTGGCTTTACTTTGCCACTGTTGAATATTTTATTTTGCAGTTAGGTTTCTGTTTTCTTGTTTGCAAATAAGTTGATATGAAAGTTTTTTCTGTTTTAAATAATGACCAAGTAGTGTTTATTAAAATGAGAGATTGACTTGTGAATTATGTAATAAATGTATTTTCATAATTTTTACATTTTTCTAGATAAAGCCCTGATTTCCTCTCTTCAGGTGTCCTGTTGGGAAAGTCTATCCTAAACACTACATATTTATTTTTTATACTTCTACATTTTATAATTTTACATTTTATACTATATTATTCTGAAACTTCATTCTTTTTTATTCAGGATTTCTGAGAGCAATGTATGGTGATGTAATTGTAGTTCATTTTTGCTTCTATATAGTATTCCATTATACAAATACACCACAGTTTATACTCTTGTTGATGCACAATTCCTTCATCAGATTTTTATTGATTGCTACTCTATCTATACCAGGCACCAGCTCGTGGAACACATCAGTGAACAAAATAGAAAAAAACATCCTGCTCTTACAGAGCTCATATTCTAGTGTGGGCTGGAGGCTGAGGGAAGGAGGGCAGGCAATAACAAATTTAATAAGTAAATTTTCATAAAATGGCAGTTACTGAAAATGACTTTTGAGTTATTTTCAGGTTTGTTGTTGTTGTTGTTTTGCTTTTATAAACAATGCTGCTAGGAGTGGTCTTCTAGAATTTTTAAGGTTTGGTTTTAAATTTAATTTTTTTTTAATGAAAAATTATTTTTTGAGACAAAGTCTTGCTGTATCGCCCGGGCCGGAGTGCAGTGCTGCGATCTTGGCTCACTGCAGCCTTGAACTCCTGGGCTCAAGTGATCCTCTCTTCTCAGCTTCCTGAGTAGCTGGGATTACAGGCACACACCACTACCCCCAGCTATTTATTTTTATTTTTATTTTTTGTAGAGACAGGGTCTCACTATGTTGCCCAGGCTTGGTTTGAACTGCTGGTGTCAAGTGATCCTCTTGCCACGGCCTCTCAAAATGCTGAGATTACAGGCATGAGCCACTGTGCCTGGCCAACTTTGCTTTTCTGTTATTTCTGTTGGTATATGGTTTAAATTGAGGATGCAATGTAAAGTTTCCTTTTCTTTCTTTTTTTTTTTTTTTGAGATGGAATCCCACTCTGTTGCCCAGGCTGGAGTGCAGTGGAGTGATCTCGGCTCACTGCAACCTCTGCCTCCCAGGTTCAAGCGATTCTCCCACCTCAGCCCCCTGAGTAGCTGGGATTACAGGCATGCACTACCACACCCTGCTAATTTTTGTATTTTTTTTTTTTTTGAGATGGAGTTTTGCTCTTGTTCCCCTGGCTGGAGTGCAATGGCACACTGTCAGCTCACTGCAACCTCTGCCTCCTGGGTTCAAGCAATTCTCCTGCCTCAGCCTCCTGAGTAGCTGGGATTACAGGCATGTGCCACCATGCCCGGCTAATTATGTATTTTTAGTAGAGACAGGGTTTCTCCATGTTGGTCAGGATGGTCTTGAACTCCCAACCTCAGGTGATCTGCCCGCCTCAGCCTCCCAAAGTGCTGGGATTACAGGTGTGAGCCACCGTGCCGGGCTTAATTTTTGTATTTTTAGTAGAGATGGGGTTTCACCATATTGACTGGGCTGGTCTTGGACTCCTGGCCTCGGGTGATCTGCCTGCCTACCTCGGCCTCCCAAAGTGCTGGGATTACAGGCGTGAACCACCATGCCTGCCCAATTAAATGTTTTCTACATAACCAACCATTTGTTTCAGCACAGTTTATTGAGTAGTTCTTTCTCTTCTTAGGGCTAGATGATGTAAATTCATATATCTACTGTTTGAAAATATTTCCTATTCATCTCATTTTAATTTTTTGGTAATATTTTAAAACTTTTTTTCATCAAATTTTTTTGTGTCTTGTTTGATTTTAAGTAGCTAATGTTTTTCCTTATTTAGATAATTAACGGAAAAACTAGTAGTAAGAAAATTTGGGGATATATTGAGAACGTAAGATAAAAAAGAAAACATCAGCAACTTTCCTGGAAACAAGCAATAATTAGTTAGAAAATATAATCAGAAAATAGTCCCATTAATCTTAACAATATTGGCTATCACATATTGAACATTTCCTCCCTGCTAGTCTTTGTGTAAACCATGTCACACACATTGTCTCATTTTCTTTTCATAGCAATTATATTAGGTAGATAGTATTGTTATGCCCTTAAACTGAGACTTGGAAAAGTTAAGACTGCTGAAGGGTCACTCACACAGCCAGTAAGGGCTAGAGTGTGGATTATATCCTAAGCAATCTGAGTTGCATGTTCACACTTGAAACTACCTCTCTCTTCTATAACAGAAGTACAAAACACCAAGGAATTTTTACTAATAAATGTAGATGGTCTTTATGAAGAAAATATATTTAAATATTAAAATAAACATGAAGAAATGGAGAGACGTTACTTGTTTCCACATTAATTTCAAAGTTTTAATGTTGTTCTAACCAAAATCCCAATGAAAGTTAGGCAGAATTACTTTGAAATTAATTTGTAAAATCCCCACCTCTATTAAGTCACTGAATATTACCGAGCACAGAAAAAAATAGTTTGGCAAATCAGACATGCAAGTTATGAGCAAGAAAAATTTGAAAAACAAGAGTAATGAGGAGATTTTTCTTTCCAGTCATTAAATCATATGGTAAAGCAATGGAACTGATAGCACTAGTTCCTGGTGGTAAAGGAGATGTTTTTAAATTAGAGAGGAAAGGTGTGATTTTTCACCAAATGGTGTTCCATTAGTCAACCACATAATAAGTGAATTTTAGGTGTATTAAATATTTTTAAAAGGACCAAAAAGAATATAGGAGAAAATAGTAAATATTTATTTAATTCTGGAGTAAACAAAGAAGGATATTCCATGTATATCACCAAAGACAGAATCCATAAATGAGTATTTTTCTTTTAGGAGTGCTCCTGGACTGCCTGTATCAGAACCACTTGAAGATACTTGTTAGAAATGTATGTTTTAGGGCCTATCCTGGACCTACGTAATCAAAATGTCTAAGGATGAATGTTAGGAATCCAGATTTTTTTTTAAGAGACAGGGTCTTGCTATGTTGCCCACTTGGAGTGCAGTGTCTATTTATAGGCATGATTATAGCACACTACAGCCTCGAACTCCTGTCCTCAATTGATCCTCCTGCCTTGGCCTCCTGAGTTGCTGGGACTACGTGCACCACTGCACTTTTGCCAGGAATCTAGATTTTCAAAAGAAAAGTATTAGGTGGCTTTTATGCAGACTTAAATTTGAGAACTGCTGTCAGAATTTAAAGTATGGTGGCTATTAATGATGATAGTAACAGCTAGTTGTTTTTTTTTTTTTTTTATGAGGTAAGGTCTTGCCGTATTGCCCAGGCTAGAGTGCAGTGGTGTGACTTCGGCTCACTGCAACCTCTGTCTGCAGGGCTCAAGTGATCCTCCCACCTCAGCCTCCCGAGTAGCTGGGACCATAGGCGTGCGCACCACCACACCCTGCTAATTTTTGTATTTTTTGTAGAGACACTGTTTCACCATGTTGCCTAGGCTGGTCTTGAACTCCTGGGTTCAAGTGATCTACCCACCTTGGCCTCCCAAAGTGCTGGGATTACAGGCGTGAACCCTTATTTATTAATAAGCTAGTATTAATAAATGCTTATTATTTGTTCAGTGGACTTGGGGAACTATAGATAAGGAAAGTGAGTCTCAGAGAAGTTAAGTACTTCGCCCATGGTCATGCATCTAATAAGTAGTTGAGCCAGGTTTTTTCTTTTTTTTTCTTGTCACTGCTATACTAACAAGGATAAGCCAGGTTTTTAATCCAGTTTCTGGCTTTAAAGTTGAAATCTGTAATTAGTTGCTGTAATTAGTTTCTAGTTGGCCACATAAAAGAGAAAAATTTTTGTCTTAAAAAAAAACACAACAGGTGGGTATAGTGGCTCACCATTGTTATCTCAGCACTTTGGGAGGCTAAGATGGGAGGATCACTTGAAGCCAGGGGTTTGAGACCATCCTGAGTAACAAAGTGAGACCCTGTCTCTGTAAATAAAAAAATTAGCCAAGTGCAGCAGTGTACTCCTGTAGTCCCAGCTACTTAAGAGGCTGAAGTGGGAGGACTGCTTGAGCCCAGGAGTTTGAGGCTATAGTGAGGTATGATCACACCTGCACTCCAGCTTGGGCAATAGAGTGAGAATCTGTCTCTAAAAAAAAAAAAAAATTGGAGAGGAGAATGTTTGAGGGCAAAGAAAAAAATAAAACATAAAACAACAACAACAAAAGACACAACAGAAGGGAGGCAAAAAGATGTTGGACAAATTGGGGTCTGGCTTGGTGGCACATGCCTGTAATCCCAGCTACTTGAGAGGCTGAGGCAGAAGGATTGCTTGAGCCCAGGAGTTTGACACTGGTCTGGGCAACATAGCAAGAATTCTGTCTCAAAAAAAGATTTTGACAAATTTGGAAAAATATCTGAAGCATATGTGACATAAAAAGTTAATAATCTTATTTATGAAGATATCTTATACACCAGTAAGTGAAAGAGGCATTCCTTAATAGAAAATTATGGAAAACAATGAAAGAGCAATTTACAGAATATGAAATACAAGAAGCCAAGAAACATGAAAAAAATTTTTCTCACTTGCTAATGAGATACAAATTAAAGTACATGCTGGTAGCTGCACTCCACATCAAATTGGCAAAGATTAAAAAAATTATATTTCTGAGAGCTCCTAGGGGACTTTGCCCTGCATTACCTGGGAGGGGTGTCAGTTCAGTTCTGGGTTGAACAAGGCCCTTGCACATGGCATGTTGGGGGACCAGCCTAAAGTTCTTGTCACCTCCTCATGCGAAGCCAGCCAGCACTATCCTGGATGGAGCCCCCCAGCATTGAGGTGGCCCTTGGCCACCCCTCCTCAGGGCCTCCAGGATAACTTGAGTACCCCTCCCGGTGGCTTCCCCTTCCTCTCCCTGGGGCTGCCAGGGGCACGTTGCTCTGTGCCATGGACTGAAACCAGCTCCTGGTGACAGAATGACCTGTTTGTTGGAAATGCCTTGTTGCCAGAGAAAGGAATCTTGGAACAAAACTATTTTAATTGTGAACTGGCCATAGAACACCTGTTTTTTTTTAAATCAACTTATTAAGTTGGAGCACTATAATAGCTCTTGCTGATTTAGCTACGATATGTTTGTTGAACACATAATGCTATGTTTTATGAGGAAAAGGGATCGTAAGGAAGAGTAATGTTGCACCTAACATTAGGTGGGTAAAAGTGGCCTTGTGTTTGTGTCTGTTTCTACACAGAGCCTTTGGGTTTTGTTCTCTTCATCAGGTAAATGTTTGTTGCATACCCTGCTGCACAGAGAACCTCCCTGCGTCTGTTTCTCTGCTCCTCTGTGGCTGACTCAATAAACTTTTCCTTCTTGGAAAAAAAAATTATAATGTCTGTTAGTGTCAAGGATTGGATAAAATGGGTGCATTCATACACTTTTGAGTGTTAATTGGTATAGTCTCTACAGAGGGCTATGTGGAGAGAGAACATGGTGGTATTTCTCAAGATCCTTAAAAGTGTTTCTCTTGACTCATCAAGACTACGAACTTATTTTAAGGAAGTAGTCAGAGATGGACATAAAGAGTTATGTGAAAGGAATTTCACCACAGCTTCCCTTGGTAACAAAAAAACAACCTGGAAACAACAATCATCAATGGTCAGTAAAATCATTAAGTAAAATACAAAATGGAAAACTTTATAACAGAAGAAATGAGCAGCCACCACTTGAACCCACTTATGTTAGTACCACTAAAAGTGGGACAGCCAAACATTATGTGCTTGCTGATGTGGTATGAAAGAAAATACACAGTACCATCTATAAAATATTCTTACCTAAAGTCTTAAAAGTGAATCTAATTATGTCTCTGGATTTAACTATCAATTTACAAGACATATGGGAGATAAGAGAACAAGCTAATTGAAACCATGAGGATGCAATCAGATAAATCCAGAATGTGGAACATTTCATAGAACAGTGGCTAGGCTTTTCCATCATATTGATTGCATTTAAAAGAGCGAATCAGGGACACTTGAGATACCTAACAAAAAATGCAGTTTGTAGGTATTGTTGGATCCTGGTTTGAAACATTAACTTTATCCCAGTACTTTGGGAGGCCGAGGCGGGTGGATCACAAGGTCAGGAGATCAAGACCATCCTGACTAACATGGTGAAACCCTGTTTCTAATAAAAAAATACAAAAAATTAGCTGGGCGTGGTGGCGGACGCCTGTAGTCCCAGCTACTTGGGAGGCTGAGGCAGGAGAATAGCATGAACCCGGGAGGTGGAGCTTGCAGTGAGCCGAGATTGCGCCACTGCACTCCAGCCTGGGTGACAGAGCGAGACTCCATCTCAAAAAAAAAAATTTTTTTTTAAGGTAATTGAGGAAATCTAAAAACAAACTAGGTTCTAGATGACGTTAAGGAATTTATAACTCTTCTTTTGGTATAATTATTGCATGGTAATCATATGAAACCCAGAGTCCTTATTAGAGATGTGTATTGAAACATTTTTAGTGACATGACATGTCTGTGACTTGCTCTAAAATGTAGTTTAAGGTCATTAAAATGCTAATTACTCTGATTTGATCTTTATACATTGTAGACATGTATTGAAATATCACACTCTACCCCATAAATATGTATTTATATATTTATAATACAGTTATTATGTATAAATTAAAAATAATAGTAAGAGCTGGGCCCAGTGGCACATGCCTGTAGTCCCAGCTACTTGGGAGCTAAGGTGGAAAGACTGCTTGAGCCTGGGAGTTGAAGTCCAGCCTGGACAACATAGCCAGACCTGGTCTCTAAAAAATTATTTAATATAATAATAATAAAGGCAAAAAAAAAATTAATGTGGTTGTTCCTCAGACTCCTCAGGGGATTGGTTCTAGGATCCCCCTCAGATACCAAAATCCTCTGATGCTCAGTGCTCAAGTGCCTTGTATAAAATGGCATAGTATTTGCATATGACCTATGAACATCCTGCCGTTTTCTTTGAATCACCTCTAGGTATTACTTATAATACCTAATACAATGTAAGTTCTATGTGAACAGTTACTATATTGTATTTTTAAATTTGTATTATTTTTTACTGTATTTTTTATTGAGTTTTTTCCCAAATATTTTTAATACAGATATAGGAAGGCCAATTTACTCCAAAAATATTATTAAGGGTGGAGGATGAAAAAAAATCAGCAAAATGATAATTACCAAAGAGGGATGATGGATACATGAGGTTTCATTTTTCTATTCTCACTGCTTTGGGTATGTCTGCAAATTTCCATAATAAAAAAAAAATTTGAGAGTACTGCCCCAGAGAAGCTAACAGTATGGTAAAAATTGAAAACATCTGGTTCTAAGGGTTTCAGATAAGGGACTATGAAGCTGTAGTTACTGCTAAGGATTAGAAAAGGTTTCAAGCTTCTGTGTGTTTCAAGAACTTTATATTTCCATGAAGCCTACAGCATTAGCCCACAGCCTCACCAATTATCAACTGATAACTGAATCAGTTGTCAACTGTAATTGATAAATTAACAATTATATCAGCTAATTCAAAGATTACTTTTTTTTTTTTTAAAGACCAGGTCTCACTATGTCACCCAGGCTGGGATTTTTTTTTAAAACCAAGACAGCTTTGAAAAGAAACCTGAGTCTAACCTTTGCCACATCACAAATGTTTACTACTGGTCACAAATATTGATCAGCAAGAGTTTGTGCAAGGCTGATAAAAATTCCTTCTCTGAAACTAAAAATAAATGAAAGTACTATAAAAGCAGGACAGTATTTTCAGATCCTAAGACTACTTAAGCTTGATTCTTTAGTGCTTTTTATTTAGAAAGGTGTTATCAGCAATCAGTTCTGAGACTAGTTTCTGTTATTGTCTCTACAGTAATACTATAAGAAATAACTGGCAATACATCCTGTGCTCCAAAATTTGGCAGGCCCAAAGCAAATGTTTCCAATTCAATCCACATGAACAGAATCACTGCCGGGAATATAAAACAAAATATATATATATCACTAGGTTCTATAAATTTTATAACCTGTAAACACTCAAAACAATTAGAAGTTTTTCTTATCAGTTCTTCTAAGAATACAACTGCACAATTTATAACAAGGATGAATTTGTTTTCCTAAACCTGGAGTATGAATCTTTCTAAAATCATGACATCTAATGCCAGAGGTTAAAATTGCTTGACTGCCCTCCTTTGAATTCATTAAGCATATTTAATGTTTACCCCTATAATGGCTTCTCTCAAATGAGAAAACACTTCTGTGAGTTGTTTTTACTTATTCAGATAAAGGCCTCAGTATTACCTTAAGCTGTGTAGGTTCTAGTCATATACCTCAATATATGTGTATGTATGTGTGACTGTTATATATATTCATATAAATGTATGAATATATATACACACATCCTTAACATATTTCATGTATATCTCATAATATTGTTCTGTTAAATAATAGCTGCATACTGTACCATATAAATAACCTGCTTTTTTCAAAACAACAAATACAGTATAGTAACTGTTCACATAGCACTTACATTGCATTAGGTATTATAAGTAATACCTAGAGGTGATTCAAAGAAAACGGCAGGATGTTCATAGGTCATATGCAAATACTATGCCATTTTATACAAGGCACTTGAGCACTGAGCATCGGAGGATTTTGGTATCTGAGGGGGATCCCAGAACCAATCCCCTGAGGAGTCTGAGGAACAACTGCATTAATTTTTTTTGCCTTTATTGTATTATATTAAATAATTTTTTAGAGACCAGGTCTGGCTATGTTGTTCAGGCTGGACTTCAACTTCATCCCACAAATTGTAACAATTAAAATTGTCTCTAGACATTACAAAATGTCCCCTGGGGGGCAAAATCTTCCCCAGTTGAGAACTACTGAATCCTCGGTGCAGTGGCTCACGCCTGTAATCCCAACACTTTGGGAGGCCGAGGCGGGTGGATCACCTGAGGTCAGAGTTTGAGACCAGCCTGACCACCATGGTGAAACCCTGTCTCTACTAAAAATACAAAATTAGCCAGGCGTGGTGGCGCATGCCTGTAATCCCAGGTACTCAGGAGGCTGAGGTAGAGGTTGTAGTGAGCCGAGATTGCTCCATTGCACTCCAGCCTGGGCAAAAAGAACAAAACTCCGTCTCAAAAAAAAAAAAAAAAAAAAAAAAAAGAACTACTGACCTAATTAGACTGATCAAATAATTAGGATTTTTAGCATTAAAAAATTTATCTAGCTAGTGAGATAGAAATAAAATTGTGGGCCAGGTGTGGTGGCTCATGCCTACAATCCCAGAAGACCAAGGCCAAGGATCTCTTGAGCCCAGGAGTTCAAGACCAGCCTTGGCAACATAGAGAGACCCTGTCTATACCCCCCACACCCTCCAAAATAGTGTATGTTGAGATCAGGCTTTATTTAAAAAGATACATTGTCACCAGCCCCTTTATAAACTGCCCCAACATGTATAGCTATAGCTAATCTCTCTGTCTATTTGTTGGGGAGTTTCTTTCCCTAGTTTGATTGTAAATGCCATATACATTTATTTCATTATATTAGCTTGCCTGGAAAAATTTGAATAGAAGTTGCCTTGAAATAGTTAATTGTGAGCTAATATTTAGTTAAAAACTGTGGCTTACTTACCACTAGATGGACCCATTCTCATGATGAAGAAAACTGAAAATTGCTTTAAACAAAAACTGAAGACGTATCTAAGCTTGTAGTATACCTAATTAATGGATTTTTTAATATCAAATACATAATCTCCCACATTTTTCTATAGTGGTTTGTTTTGATGGTTTTGTAACTTTATAACCCTATCTATAAATGTTTTGATGTATAACTGAACCATTAGACTAAGACTTTTTGTATTTGCATATAAAGAATATTAAAAGGAAAATGGTACTTTCCTAGATTACATATCTTCACATGACATATTAGCTAATTGGCAATTATTATTACATTTCCTATTCATAAAAATATTTAATCTTGCAAGAGTAAAAATTGGATACAAAAACAGTAGCTTAGGTGAGAAACATCGAAAGTTGAAATATTTGTTGCTTGAATTGGTCTGAAATAGAAGATAGTAAGGAAATTTACATGTTGGGTTAAGATACATGAATACAAAAATGTGTTTATAGTGCACATCTTTGTGTGGCTTTTTTGAAGCACTTTTTCTTACAAAGCAATGGAGATAATGGAATTTATAGATTTTCTTGGTCATAGCTATTTATTTCTAAGTGATGTCTTCAGTTCAAGGCTGATCTCTTTGTTTTTTATTTTCTTCTTTCAGAAACTTAATTTCACTTATATCGTTTCTATTATTGTCAAGCTTTGTGGTTTAACTAGGTTCTTGTCCTGAGCCTGTAAACATACCTAAACTTGTTAAATAATCCCCTCCCGCTGAAAAAAACCCCGTACCCTTCTTTCTGTTTTGCATTCCCTCTTCCCTTTCTCAGCTGACTTTTTAAAAGAATCTATACTTGAATCCATTTTTTCCTATCCACTTTGTTGCAGTCTGGAGTCCTCCCTCAGCACTGTTTTTTGTTTGTTTGCTTTTTAAGACTGTGTCTCACTCAGTCATCCAGGCTGGAGTGCAGTGGTGCAATCATAGCTCACTGCATCCTCGACCTCCTGGTCTCGAGCAATCTTCCCACCTCAACCTCCCGAGTAGCTGGTACTACAGGCACTTGCCACCATGCCTGGCTATTTTTTAAATTTTATTTTTTGTAGAGACAGGGTCATACTGTGTTGTCCAGGCTGGTCTTGAACTCCTGGCCTCAAGTGATATTCCCGCCTCGGCCTCCTAAAGTGCAGGGATTACAGGCATGAGCCACTGCACCTGGCTAGCACTCTTAATCAAATAGTGATTTTCCATTCTAATCATTATGTGACATCTAAGCACTCATAACTTAGAAAATTTCCTTTACTTGGCATACATGACCCTGTGTTTTTGTTCTTTGAAGCCCATCATGGTTCATTCTCAGTCTTTTTTTTGAGATGGTGTCTCGCTCTGTCGCCCAGGCTAGAGTGCAGTGGCATGATCTCAGCTCACTGCAATCTCTGCCTCCTGGGCTCACGCGATTCTCCTGCCGCAGCCTCCCGAGTAGCTGGGATTACAGGCAACCGCCACCAACCCCAGTTAATTTTTCTATTTTTAGTAGAGATGAGGTTTCTCCATGTTGGCCAGGCTGATTTTGAACTCCTGGCCTCAAGTGATCCGCCACCCTCAGCCTCCCAAAGTGCTGGGGTGGGGATTACAGGCCAGAGCTATAATCAGCCGTGGGAGTGGTTTTTCTAAACTCTGATAATTTTATTGCCATGCTTAAAATTCTTTACTATATCTCCATTGCCTTTATAATCTTTAGTATGTTTCACAGGTTTTTTTAGGATTTTGACCCTTTCATTTTCTCCAACTGCATTTGGCATTTCTTACCACAGCTCATATTCTAGCCATTCTGATTTAT
The DNA here is from genome assembly GCF_000001405.40 of Homo sapiens. Lineage (NCBI taxonomy): Eukaryota > Metazoa > Chordata > Mammalia > Primates > Hominidae > Homo > Homo sapiens. The sequence continues at coordinate 88,917,416 of NC_000006.12, read as the reverse complement.
TTATAGTTTGCCATATGTGCTTTTTTGATTAATATATTTACATTTGCACAGATTGTTCCTACTGTCTGCAGTTCCATTGTATAAATATCCTTTTTTATTGAGAGTTGTTCAATGACTAAGGTTTTTATTCTAAATATTAATGGTCATTTTATTATACCAGGAATGTAGAAATTGGTGATTTGGCTCAATTGATAGTTGTTTTCAAAAAAATTTTAAAAGTAGCATGTTTTGTGGTGGGCAGGCCTATGCAAACCTATTCTCAAAGTCCAAGGAAGCAAAGAAACCAAAGAAAGAGACTGACAAATCCGGTTTCTTAGAAAGATATATTTAATAGGGACTTAAAAAGAAACCAGTCCTGCTTGTCAGGTGGCAGTGAGATAAGATGGTGGATCCCCACCATTACTCCCAAGGCCAGGGCTTATAAACCACAGGAAACAGGTGATTCAGAAGGGTTAAGTAGAACAAGTAAGTACAATCACATCAAGGTTGTTTTTACCTTTGGGCAGGATTTATAGTTAGGACATGCTCTTACACAAAGAACAGTAGATAAACTAGAAATCTTAGAGGCCTTCCCAGAACTGGGGTTAATCAGAAGTCAACATAGGCAGATTAGCATCCAAGATGGAGTTGCTTTGGCCTCCACATAGTAAAAAATTTTTTTGGAAAGAACTCCTACCATAATATACAAATGAGATTAAAGTGATTTTTTTGGCATATATTTTTAAATGTATCAAATGTATAACCTGGGTTTTTGATAAAGTTCATTGCTGAGAACAAGGCCATATTGATGAACACAAATATTTGGATTATGTTATTAATACAAACTACAGACTTATACCAGCATCTCACTTTAGCATCTAGCTAAAAAAACAACATATTGAGATATAATTTTATATAAAACAGCATTCATTTAAATTGTACACTCTGATGATTTATTTTAATTTTTGAGACAGTGTCTCACTCTCACCCAGGCAGGAATGTAGTGACGCCATCACAGCTCACAGCCCCCTCCACCTCCTGGACTCAAGCGATCCTCTCCTCTCAGCCTCTTTAGTAGCTGGGACTACAGGCACACACCACCATGCATGGCGAATTTTTGTATTTTTTCTAGAGACAGGGTTTCACCATGTTGCCCAGGCTGGTCCTGAACTTCTGGGCTCAAGTGATCTACCCGCCTTGGCCTCCAAGTGCTGGGATCACAGGCATGAGCCACCTGCCTGGAAGAATCTGAGGTTTGATAGATGTAGATACTGGTAAAACCACAGTATGAGGGTTCCAGTTCCTCTACATCCTCAGGAACACTTGATACGGTCACTCTTTTCAATTTTAGCTATTTTAATGAATGTATACTAGGATCTCATTGTGGTTTTAACTCGCATTTTCCTGATAATTGATGATGTTAAGCAACTTATGTGCTTCGTGGTCTTACATATTTTGTTTTGTAAAGTTCAGATCTTTTGCCCAGGTTTAAAAAATACTGTGTTATCTTATTGAACTGTAACAGTTTTAAAAAAAAATTTTTATTTGTATCAGCAAATATTGCCTGACAAAATAGTTCTTTATATATTCCAGATATAAGTCCTTTGCCAGATATATGGGTTGCAAATATTTTCTGTGGCTTTCCTTTTGCTTTTTTAATTTAAATTTAAATTTTAGGTTCAGTGGGTAACATGAGCAGGTTGTTATAAGGGTATATTGTGTGAGGCAGGAGTTTGGGCTTCTGTTGGTTTTATTACACAGATAGTGAACATAGTACCCAATAGGGAGTTTTTCAGCCCTTGCCCTTGTTCCTCTCTTCCTCCTATTGGAGTCCCCAGTGTTTGTTCCTGTCTTTATGTCTGTGTGTACCCAAAATTTAGCTCCAGCTTATAAGTGAGAACATGTGATAGGTGGTTTTCTGTTTCTGCGTTAATTCTCTTGGGATAATGGCCTCCAGCTGCATCCATGTTACTGCGAGGGATGTGATTTCATTCTTTTTTATGGCTGCATAGTATTCTATGGTATATATGTACTGCATTTTATTTACCTAGTCCACCATTGATGGACACCTAGGTTAATTCCATGTCTTTGCTATTGTAAATAGTGCTGTGGTAAACATACAAGTGCGGGTATCTTTTTGGTAGAATGATTTGTGTTCCTTTGGGTATATTTCCAATAATGGGATTGTGGGTCAAATGGTAGTTCTATTTTTAGTTCTTTGTGAAATCTCCAAATTGCTTTCCACAGTGACTAAACTAACTTACATTCCCCCCAACAGTGTATAAGCATTCCCTTTTCTCTGCAGCCTCTCCAGCATCTGTTATTCTTTGACTTTTTAGTAATAACCATTCTGACTGGTATGAGATGGTATCTCATTGTGGTTTTTATTTGCATGTCCCTGGTAATTGATGGTGAGCATTTTTTCATTCTTGTTGGGCCACTTGTATGTCCTCTTTTGATAACTGTCTGTTCATGTCCTTTTCCCACTTTTTAATGGGTTTATTTGTTTTTTGCTTGTTGAATTAAGTTCCTTGTAGATTCTGGATATTAGTCCTTTTTCAGATACATAGTCTGTGAATATTTTCTCCCATTCTGTAGGTTGTCTGTTTACTCTGTTGATAGTTTATTTTGCTGTGCAGAAGCTCTTTAGCTTAATTATGTCCCACTTGTCAATTTTTGTTTTTGAGGACTTAGACATAAATTCTATGCCTAGGCTGCTGTCCATAAGGCTATTTCCTAGGTTTTCTTCCAGGATTTTTATAGTTTGCAGTCTTACATTTAAGTCTTTAAGCCATCTTGAGCTTTTTTTTTGTATATGGTGATAAATAGGGGTCCAGTTTAATTCTTCTGCATATGGTTAGCCAGTTTTCCTAGCACACTTTATCGAATAGGGAGCCCTTTTCCCATTGCTTATTTTTGTGACTTTGTTGAAGATCGATTAGTTGTAGGTATGTGGCTTTATTTCTGGGTTCTCTATTCTGTTGCATTTGTCTGTGTGTCTTTTTTTTGTAGGAGTACCATGCTCTTTTGGTTACTGTAGCCTTATTAGCATAGTTTGCGGTTGGTTGTAATATGATGCCTTCAGCTTTGTCCTTTTTGCTTAGGATTGCTGTGTCTATTTGGGTTCTTTTTTTGGTTCCATATTTTATAATAGTTTTTTTTCTTCTGTGAAAGAAAAATGCTGTTGGTAATTTGACAGGAATGGGGTTGAATCTGCAGATTGCTTTGGACAATATGGACATTTTAACGATATTGATTCTTTCAATCCATGAGCATGGAATTTTTTTTATTTGTTTGTGTTGTCTGTGATTTCTGTCATCAGTGTTTTGTAGTTCTCCTAGTACAGATCTTTCACCTCCTTGGTTGGGTGTATTCCTAGGTATTTTATTTTTTTGTGTGGCTGTTGTAAATGGAATCGTGTTTTTCATTTGGCTCTCAGGTTGAACATCATTGGTTTATAGAAATGCTATTGATTTTTGTATGTAGATTTTGTGTTCTGAAAATTTACTGAAATAGAGAACATATGATGTCCTCTCTTCCTATTTGGATGCCTTTTATTTCTTTCTTTTGCCTGATTGCTCTTGCTAGCACTTCTAGTACTATGCTGGATAGGAGTGGCGAGAGTGGGCATCCTTGTCTGGTTCCTTTTCTTAAGGGGAATGGTTCCAGCTTTTGTCTGTTCAGTATTATGTTGGCTGTGGGTTTAGCATAGATGGTTCTTATTATTTTGAGGTATGTTCTTCAATGCGTAGTTTGTTTAGGATTATTATCATGCAGGAATGTTGGATTTTGTCAAATGCTTGTTTTGCAGCCATTGAGATGATCATGTGGTTTTTGTTTTGAATTCTGTTTATGTGTTAAATCACACTTACTGATTTTCGTATGTTGAACCAACATTGCAACCCAGGAACAAAGTTTGCTTGAAGCAGTGAATTAGCTTTTTGATGTGGTGCTGGATTTGGTTTGCTAGTATTTTTTTGAGGATTTTTGTGTCTATGTTTATCAGGGATATTGGCCTACAGTATTTTTTTTTGTTGTGTTTTTGCCAGATTTTGGTATCACAATATGTTGGTTTTGTAGAATGAGTTAGGAAGGGGTCCCTTCTCTTCAATTTTTGGGGATTGTTTCAGTAGGATTGGTACCAGCTCTTCTTTGTATCTCTGGTAGAATTGGGCTGGGAATCCATCTGGTCTAGGGCTTTTTTTTTTTTGTTTTTTTTTTTTGTTTTTTTTTGAGACAGAGCTTCACTCTACTGGCCAGGCTGGAGTGCAGTGCTGCAATCTTAGCCCACTGCAACCTCTGCCTCCTGTGTTCAAGCAATTCTCATGCCTCAGCCTCCCGATTAGCTGGGATTACAGGCGTGTGCCACCATGCCTGGCTAATTTTTTGTGTTTTTAATAGAGATGGGGTTTTGCCATGTTGGCCTGTCTGGTCTTGAATTCCTGGCCTCAGTGATCTGCCTGCCTCAGCCTCCTAAAGTGTTGGGATTATAGGTGTGAGCCACTGTGCCTGACTAGGGCTTTTTTGGGGTTGGTAGGTTTTTTATAACTGGTTCAATTTCAGAGTTCATTATTAGCTTGTCCAGGGTTTCAGTTTCTTCCTTCTTCAGTTGTGAAGTTGTGTGTTTCCAGGAATTTATTCATTTTCTCTAGATTTTCTAGTTTGTGTGCATAGAGGTATTCAGAATAGTCTCTGAGGATCTTTTGTATTTCTGTGTGGTTGGTCGTAATGTCACCTTTGTCATTTCAGATTGTGCTTATTTGGATCTTCCCTCTTTTTTTTTCTTTGTTAATCCAGCCAATGGCCTGTCAATCTTGTTTATCCTTTCCAAGAAACAACTTTTCATTTCACTATATGGTTTTCTTTACATGGCTTTTTGGGTCTCAACTTCTTTTTGCTCTGCTCTGATTTTAGGTATTTCTTTTCTCCTGCTAATTTTGGGATTTGTTTGTTTTTGTTTTTCTAGTTCCTTTAGATGCGATATTAGATAGTTTGAGATCTATCTTCTTTTCATTTCTTTTTATTTTTGGTGGCAGGGTCTCACTCTGTCAGCCAGGCTAGAGGTCAGTAGCACGATCATAGCTCACAGCAGCCTCAAGCTCCAGGGCTCAAACAGTCTTCCTGCCCTAGCCTGAGTAGCTAGGATTACAGGTGCATGCCACCATGCTTGGCTGATTTTCAGCATTTTTTTTTTTTTGGTAGAGATGGGGTCCTGCTTTATTGCCCAGGCTGGTCTTGAACTCTTGGGCTCAGGTGATCCTCCTGCCTTGGCCTCCCAAAATGCTGGGATTACAGGTATGAGCCACCATGCCCAGGCCTTTCTGTCTTCTTCTTCTTCTTTTTATTTTATTTTTTGAGGTAGGGTCTTACTTTATCACCCAGGATGGAATTCAGAGGCACAATCTCTGCTCACTGCAGCCTCGACCTCCTGGGTTCAAGCAATCCTCCCACCTCAGCACTCCCCAAGTAGCTGGGACTACAGCAATTTATTTATTTTATTTTTTGAAATTTTTTGTAGAGACAGGAGTCTTGCTATGTTGCCCAGGCTGGTTTCGAACTCTAGACCTCAAGCCATCTGCTTGGCCTCTCAGAGGGCAAGAAGTACAGGCATGAGCCACTGCCTCCAGCCATTTCTATCTTCTTGATGTAGGTAGGCATTTAGTGCTGTGAATTTTCCTTTTAACACTAATTTTGCTGCATATCAGAGATTTTGGTGTATTTTACCTCTGCTTTCATTTGTTTCAAAGAATTTTTGTTTTCTTTCTTAATTTCGTTGTTTGCCCAAAAGTCATCCAGGAGGAAGTTGTTTCGTTTCCATGTAATTGTGTGGTTTTGAGTGTTTATCTTGGTATTGATTTCTATTTTTATTTCACTGTGGTCCAAGCACATACTTGGCATGATTAAGATTAAAAAAAAATTTATTGAGACTTGCTTTAGTACCCATCTGGAAGTTCTTGTTTTATGAATCTGCGTGCTACAATATTGGGTGTATATACATTTAGGATAGTTAAGTCTTCTTGTTGAATTGAACTTTTTATCACGTAATGATCCTCTTTGTCCTTTTTTATTGCTGTTGGTTTAAAGTTTATTTATCTGAAACAAGAATAGCAACCCCTGCTCTTTTTTGTTTTTCATTTGCATGATAGATCTTTCTCCATCCCTTTACTTTGAGGCTGGGGGTATGAGTTAGTTTCCTGAAGATAGCAGAAGGATGGGTCTTTTTTTATTTTTTTCATTTTTAAATTCAACTTGCCACCCTGTGTCTTTTAAGTGGAGTGTTTAGACTGTTTACATTCAAGGTTAATGATACGTGAGATTTTTTTCCTGCGGTGGTGCTGTTGGCTGGTTGCTTTGTAGCCTTGATTGTGTAGTTGTTTTATAGGGTCTGTGGGCTGTGTACTTACGTGTATTTTTGTGGTAGCAGATACTGTTTTTGTTTCCATGTTTAGAACTCCCATAAGCATCTCTTGTAAGGCCAGTCTAGTGGTAACAGATTCCCTTAGCAATTGCTAATCCTGCAAAGATTTTATTTCTCCTTCGCTTATGAAGCTTAATTTGGTGGGATATGGAATTCTTGGCTGGAATTTCTCCTAGGATGCTAAATATAGGCCTCCAGTCTCTTCTGGCTTATAAGATTTCTACTGAGAAGTCTGCTGTTAGCCTGATGAGGTTCCCTTTATAGGTGATATGACTCTTTTTCTAGTTGTCTTTAAGATTTTTTCTTTTACATAGACCTTGGAAAGTCTGATGACTCTGCCTTGATGATGGTCGTTTTGTATAGTACCGTACAGGGGTTTTCTGAGTTTCTTATATTAGCATGTTGACCTGTCTAGCAACTTTGGAGACATTTTTGTGGATTATATTCTCAAATATGTCTTTCATGGTGCTTACTCTTTCTTCTTAGGAATATCGTGGGTTGTAGGTTTGGTCACTTTATGTAATCCTATTATTTCTCAGAGGCTTTGTTCATTTGTTGAAGATTCTTTTTCTTTATTTTTGTCTGACTCAGTTGCTTCAAAGGATTGGTCTTCAAGCTCTGAGATTCTTTCCTCTGCTTGGTTTAGTCTGTTGTTAAGCATCTCTTATAAGGCCGGTTGTTAAGATTTTTAATTGTATTTTGAAATTCCTGTGGTGAATTGAATTTCAGATTGGTTCTTCCTTAGTATAGCTATGTTATATTCCAAATCTTGGATTGTTTTTCTGACTTCCTTGGATTGGATTTCAACCTTCTCTTGGGTCTTGTTGAGCTTCCTTGCCATCCATATTCTGAATTCTGTGTCTATAATTTCAGACATTACGTTCTGGTTGGGATCCATTGCTAGGGAGTATATGCAATCCTTTGGAAATAACAAAACACTCTAACTTTTTGAATTGCCAGAGTTCTTGCACTGATTACTTCTCATCTGAGGGAACTGGTCCTTCTTTTTGTTTTTGAATTTGCTGTTGATTGAATGGGTTTTTTTTTTTTAAATATTCTTTTTTCCCTTGAGAGTTTGATGGTGGTAAATGTTGTGTATAGTCAGTTGGCTTCATTTCTGGGTGCTTTCAGAGGGCCAAGGCTCTGTATGAGTTCCTTGGTTGTAGATAGGTTTCTATGAGGGTTTCACAGGCTTTGCATGTTGAAGCAGTGTATTTTGTTTTGCTGTGTAATTCAAGCTGCAGTTGGTGCTTAAATATAAGGGCAGATAGGCTCTTACACAGCTGCGCATGCTCCCTTTGTATTTCATTGTGTCCTCAGCAGTGCTCTGGAGAGAGGACGCAGGGTAAGAGATGACTTTCTCTCATAGTCTGTTCTTAAGCCTTGGTGGTATCCCCCTCAGCTACTGGCACTGTCTCACGTTTCCTTTGCTCTGTGTGGGGCTTTGGTGGGCTTCTCTTCCTGCTCGCTTAGATATGATTCAAGCCAAGGGTTAGGCCACCAGGAGACCTGAAACTCCTTAGGGACCTACCAGTCCCCTGTGCTTGTCAGTAAGAGTGGGTTGTGGGGTATGTCTGCAGGTGGTCTGGTAATGCAGTGGGTCAAGCAAGGGTGGTAGATCCTCAGGCAGGGAAGTGGCACCGTATGTGTGTGTAGCCAGTATAGTGACCATGGCCCGGGTTTGCAGCCCAGCCGATGGCTGTGTGGCCCTCACAACTTGCACTCCCCTGACCTGGTTGGTCTCTGTCTGATGTCTGTCTCAGGAGCAGGCGCAACCAGACTGGCCAGGCTTGTCTCAAAAGCCCTGCGTGCCCAGTTCGTTGAGCCATTTCAGATGCTCCAAGCCACGGAGCTTCCTGGGGAAGAAACCTTGGCTGGCTGTCAGGCCACACCCATCCTGGACTGGTCTTCTGAAGAGAGGTTGCTTAGTTTCCATGCCACACTCTTCTCTGTATTCTGAGAGTGAAGGCTCCTTTCCTGCCCAAGCTCAGGCCACAGAGCTTAACTCAATACCCCTGGGCAGTGTGCTTGAGTCCTGGGGAAGTGGGACCAGGCCTGCACATTTGTCCTCTGGCCCCTTAGGATCAGCCAGCAGGCTGCCAGCAGAACACTCAGGCAGGGAAGTGGAGGCTGTTCTGTGGGCACTGTCTTGCAGGAGCAGCCAGGCAGGCAGTCTTTGAAGAGTTGGCAGGCAAAGGGGCATGTGGATCAGATACACTATGGTCCTATGGCAGTGGCAGTCTTACTCTCTTCGCCCTGCAGATAGCAGGACCTGCAGCCACTCAGTACAAGCTGGAGAGCCTTGGAGGATGGGCCCTATGGTGGTGTTTTGCTGCAGCTGCACCGTGGTCTGTGGGGCTCATGGCTAGAATCTTGTAGCTAGGATCCCAGAGGACCATGGTGGGAGTGTGGTGCCCCAGGGTTCCTTTACTCAGCCCTCCCTTAGGTCCACACTGGAACTGGGGGCCAGTCCTGGTGCCTAGTTACTCCAAGCAGTCTACGTCGCTTCTTCCCTCTTCAAACACTGTGTCTGCTTTGCCTCTCTATTGGCTTTCAGTGTTTTCTCTCAAAAGATCTGTTCAAAGTTGCAGGATTTTGTATTGTCAAGTTTTGGTGGTTCAAAGTGTGGTGGCTTACTTGATATTTTGGTTCCTTTTCATGGAAGAGGCGTTTTTCAGCTGTAGGTAGTTGGCCGTCTTGCCTAGAACTCTTTTTTATATTCTTAATGATGTCTTTCAAAGAGCAAACCCTTGCTATTTTGAAATAGTCTAATTTATCAGTATTTTTCTTCATTTTATGCTTTTTGTGTTTTATCTAAGAAACTTTTTCTACTCTAAGCTTGCAAAGATTTACTCCTGTATTTTCTTCTAGAAGTTTTGTAAATCTAGCTAGTTTATTTCTATATTTGATCTTAGTTGCACTGTATCAGTATGATCTATATATACAGAGAAGAATAATTTGTAGAAGGTAATATTAGAAAGATACAGGCTGGGCATTGTGGCTCATGCCTGTAATCCCAGACTTGGGGAGGCTGAAGTGAGAGGATTGCTTGATCCCATGAGTTTGAGACCAGCCTGAGCAACATAATGAGACCCTGTCTTTACCATAGAAAAAAATTAGCTGGGGATGGTGGTGTGAGCCTGTAGTTCCAGCTACTCTGGAGGTTGAGGTGGGAGGATCACTTGAGCCCAGGAGGTCAAGGCTGTGGAACCTGATCATGCTACTGAACTCCAGCCTGGTTGACAGAATGAGATCCTGTCTCTAAAAAAAAAAAAAAAAAAAAAGATACAGCTTAAATATTAGGATATCCTTTAATTAAATAGAAATAACAGGAAAAGCTTCATTTTGAAGACTGTAGGAGAGTCAGCAATATTGTCATGTTTTAATTACTATTTTCAAACTAGTTATATTCGTCTCTTCTCACATAAAGATACTACTCGAGAATGGGTAATTTATGAAGGAAGGAAATTTAATGGACTCACAGTTGTGCATGCCTGGGGAGGCCTCAGAAAACTTACAATCATGGTGGAAGGGGAAACAGGCACGTCTTAAGTGGTGAGAAAAGAGAGAGGGCATGTGAAGGAGGAACTGTCAAACACTTACAATCTTAGTGGTGAGAAGAGAGAGAGAGGGCATGTGAAGGAGGAACTGTCAAACACTTACAAAACCATCAGATCTCATGAGAACTCACTCACTATCACAAGAACAGCATGGGGGAAACCACCTCCATGATTCAGTCACCTCCCACCAGATCTCTCCCTCATGGGGATTGTGGGGATTACAAATTGAGATGAGATTTGGACGGGGACACAGAGCCAAACCATATCAGTAGTTAAAATGATCTTGAATATGTTCTGAGAAAGAGTTTAAGAAAATAAATTTTCTTTCCTAGCTGGTTTCTTTCTTTTAAAAATTTATTTAGAAAGATTATAACCTAACTTGAAAATACAGTTAGTTGGTTTCTAGAGAGCTTCAAGGTAACTTAATTTTTATTGTACTATATATCTATCAGTTAATTATTTTCTGTAGCTAGTCACTTTTGTTGATTATATTTAATTAGTATCAGGCCCCATATGAATTTATATTTCTATTAGTTTATTTGCTCTGTTCTAGCTTCTGGATTTTAGAAAATAGGATTTGACTATTTTGCAAATATATGCCATTGATCATGAAGAGGACCGTTTTTTTTCTACTAGAGAAATTTAAAGTTTGAGGGTCAGAAGGATCTTGTGTGTATGTGTTTTATGTGTCCTTTTGAGTTGTGTGTTTGATGAAAATACCTCCTTATTTAAAATGCTTGGAATCTTCTAGCTTTAGGAGAACTTGTTAAACAGTAGAGACAGTTTTACATCAATAAACCTATATATTACACTTAAACTTCTAGCTAGTTATAAATTAGATTCTAAGCAATTCAAACTGACAAGTTTTCAAGTTATAAGGGTGTTTCAAGTTAAAAAATTAAAAAATGTAATTATTTTATAAACTAGCTGAAATGTTTTGATTGCAGGTTGGAATTTTAAAGTAAATGTGGCCTCTGCAGTGATTTGTTAATTTTAACCAAAGCTACTTTATTTTCTAGGTGTTCATTGTACTCATGGCTTCAATCGCACTGGTTTCCTCATATGTGCCTTTTTGGTGGAGAAAATGGATTGGAGGTATTTGTATCTTGTTATAATGGAAGATGTATTTTGTAATAAAAAATTTTATTGATATTTTAGTTGCAGAATTTTGTATTGTCAAGTTTTTGGTGAACTCATGATTAATGTAATTTGAACTGCTTTTCATTTTAGATATGGTTAATCTTTATACTACCATTACTTGGTGTGTGTGTGTATGTGTGTATGTGTATATATGTATGTTTTGTTTTGTTCTTTGAGACAAGGTTTCCTCTGTCATCCAGGCTGGAGTGTAGTGGTGTGATCATGGCTCATTGCAGCATTCACCTCTTGGGATCAAGCAATCCTCCCGCCTCAGCCTCTCAAGTAGCTGGGACCACAAGTATGTGCCACCCATGCCTGGCTAATTTTTTCTTTTTTGTCTAGTGAGGAGGTCTCCATATGTTACCCAGGCTGATCTTGAATTCCTGGGCTAAAGTTATCTTCCACCCTTGGCCTCCCAAAATGTTGGGATTACAGGCATGAGCCACCACACCCAGCCAGGTGTTTTGCATTAACCAGCAAATCACTTTGAGTGCTTATGAATTTCATAAACTGTATATTCACTTTTTCAGATTTTTTTCACCTCTTACAGAATTATCAGAGACAGATTCTTCCAATATTTTGTATTTTAGTATTTTTGGGAGAGTGTTACTCCATTTAAGCCAATCAACATGTCTTTATTGAGCATCTGTTATTTTTGAAGTGTGTTTTTAGATCCTGAGAGATTACGACTTTAGTACCCAATATTCTTAAGAGAATATATTACTAACTGAATTTTCTTGTTGACTGAGGGAGCATCATTATTTATGTTTACAAAGATTTTCACATAGTAGGTCCTTTTTTGAATATAATCAGTTGAAGTACACATATGATTTTGAATTTTGCAGTATGCATTGTTGGTGGTTCTGTACTGCATGTACTTTCTAGCTCTGACCATTCAGATGCTCTCCACAATGATCTCAGTTTCCTATGTCAGATTTAGCCTATGCTTATCCTCTCTTTGATGATCTAGACTCTTAGTGCCTGGATCTGTTGAAAGTTCCTGTAAAATCAATATGCTTTTACTTTGCTCACATTGTTGTTTTTTTGACTGATGTTTTGCTGCAGAGTCAGACCTCAACCTTCAAGACTAAATTCTTCACAGACCCTATCTAGGTCTCTACTATATACTCATAGCAATTTATTTTTAGAATTTCAGAATTTTCTGAATACCTTATATTAAAACCTTTTCAGAATGAATGTGTCCCTTAATAGATTGAATGACTTGAGGGTGAGGATTGTGATTTGCCCATTTTATAAACTTCTGTTGTACTTTATATGGAGCCTTGAATATAATAAGTGAGTTTTTGATAAGCCTGCATAAATAGAGGATAGCGAGGAAATTGCATGGTGTTTGTTTCCTATAGTATCGAAGCAGCAGTTGCTACTTTTGCCCAAGCCAGACCACCAGGAATCTACAAGGGTGATTATTTGAAGGAACTTTTTCGTCGGTATGGTGACATAGAGGAAGCACCACCCCCACCTCTATTGCCAGATTGGTGTTTTGAGGATGATGAAGACGAAGATGAGGATGAGGATGGAAAGAAGGAATCAGAACCCGGGTCAAGTGCTTCTTTTGGCAAAAGGAGAAAAGAACGGTTAAAACTGGTAATGTTTAAAAATATTATAATAGGTTTTTTTTTTCCTTTTTCTGCAAGCTTATTGAGATTTATAAAAATGGAATATTGGCCATGTTTCTTTAGCTAGGTTTGTCAGATGATTCATCCTAGCCCTTTCTAAAAAAAAAATTTTTTTTTTTTGGAGAGAAAGTTTTGCTCTGTTGCCCAGGCTGGAGTGCAGTGGCAGCCTTGACCTTCTGGGCTCAAGTGATCCTCCCACCTCAGCCTCCTGAGTAGCTGGGACTGTAGACATGTGCCAACACGACTGGCTAATTTTTAATTTTTACATTTTCTGTAGAGAAGGTTCTCACTTTGTTGACCAGTCTGGATTTGAACTCCTGAGCTCAAAGTGATCCTCCTACCTTGGCATCCCAAAGTGTTGGGATTACTGGCATTAGCCACTGTGCTTGGCCTTTAAAGGTTCTTAATAGCCACGAGTCTGTCTTTTCAAAGAGAAAAATTGCAGTTACGTAAATTTTTCCTGTTTTTGTTTCTTATGTCTTTAGATATTAGATAATATCTAAAAGAACTTTTAGATATTAGATTGAGAACTTACTATTTCTTTACAAAGTATTGTGAGATTTCAACTAAATACCTAGTGAATATTTTTACTAATGCTTTACAAAATTGTCACATAATTAAAATAACTTTACATATGAATTCTGCATCCCCCTCCCTGGGTGATGCTTTCATGGTTTCCATAAAATTAAATCAAGAAGACTCTCACTTCTCTAGCCAACCTTTAATAATCTTCTAGAAATAAAAGAGCTAACCATAAATATGAGGAGTTATCTTCTTTTACTGGAGGATAGGGGAACTGTTGAGAGGAAAAGTATTGGTTGTACTTGTACACACACAAGTATATGATATAGGCCAAAGGGAAAAGTTAGGGAAAGTATGGAGGTAATTGTGTTAATGAAATTATTAATTAAGGTTCCTAGTATATTATGGTTGAGTGGTATATACCACGACTCATTTATTAGTAGGCATGGTTCACAGGCAAGGAAGTAAATGCTTTGTTAGTTTATGTAAACCATGTAAGTTATTTTTGGCTTAAAAATTTTTTTTTGTTTGTAAAACAATGTTTTAATTGCATTTACACATTTTAAATTTTAAGACTATAAGGACACTGAAAAGTGTAAATTGCTTCGAAACATAGAAATTATTTCAAAAGTAATTTATTATTTTATTCTGATTTATTATTTCCTGGATTTAGATATCTGAAATTACTGAGTCACATACCTAGAAAAATAACAATCACATTCTAAGGAAACTTCAATAAGCAGCATAGCATAAAATATAGGTTTTGTTTGTTTGTTTTTGGAGACAGGGACTCAACTCTGTTGCTCAGGCAGGAGTGTGGTGGCATGATTATGGCTCACTAGTGGCAGCCCAGCCTTGACCTCCCTGGGTTCAGTGATCCTTCTACCTCAACCTCCTGAGTTGCTGGGACTACTACAGTGTATCTCTTACAAGCACCATGTTGCTGGGTTTTATTTATTCAGGCAACAGTTTTTGCCTTATCATTTAGTCCATGTACATTTCATGTAAAGATTAGATTCAAATTGTCTTACTCTTTTTTTGTGCCACTAGTGGTATGTTCCTTTCTTGCCTTCTTTATGGTTGCTTTTATTCTTCTATTACCCCAACCCATTGCTTGTTGACCATACATTCCTTTACTTTTCTTTTATTAGTTACTCAAGATTTCATGGCCAGGTGCGGTGGCTCACGCCTGTAATCCCAGCCCTTTGGGAGGCCGAGGTGGGTGGATCGTGAGGTCAGGAGATCAAGACCATCCTGGCTAACATGTGAAACCCCGTCTCTACTAAAAATACAAAAAATTAGCTGGGCGTGGTGGCGGGTGCCTGTAGTCCCAGCTACTCGGGAGGCCGAGGCAGGAGAATGGCTTGAACCCCAGAGGCAGAGGTTGCAGTGAGCCAAGATTGCGCCACTGTACCCAGCCTGGGTAACAGAGTGAGACTTTGTCTCAAAAAAAAAAAAAAAAAAAAAAAAGATTTCACTATACATCTTTTTAAAGGCTGGTATATATTAGTACTTTTGTCACTTTTTAGACAATGCAAAAATCTTATTTGTTTATTTTTGAGACAGGGTCTTACTCTGTCAGTCAAGCTGGAGTGCAGTGGCTTGTTCATAGCTCATTGCAGCTTTAGATCCCTGGGGTCAAGGGATCCTCCCACCTAAGCCTCCCAAGTATCTGTGATTACAGGTCTGTGCCACCATACCCTGCTAATTTTATTATTTTTTTTGTAGAGACAATGTCTTGCTATTTTGGCAGGGATAGTCTTCAACTCCTGGCCTAAAGTAATCTTCCTGCCTTAGCCTCCCAAAGTAGTAGGATTATAGGTGTGAGCTGAGCCACTGCGCTTGGCCAAGAATTTTACAATCTTTTATTCCATTTACTTATTCCTATCTTTTTTGGTATTGTGTTTTTTAATTCTATGTGTATCTTAAACCCCATGATGAGACCTTTTATTTTTATTTTTATTTTTTTTTAAAGAGATAGGATCTCACTCTGTCATCCAGGCTGGAGTGCAGTGGTGTGATTGTAGCTCACTGTACTTTGAACTTCTGGGCTCAAGCTATCCTCTCATCGCAGCCTCCTGAGTAGCTGTGACTACAGGTGTGTGCCACCATGCCCGGCCATGGCATTTTTATACAGCTATTATTGGTTAGGTATACCCACATATTTACCCTTTCTGCTGCTCTTTCTTTCATGTATTTTTGTGGTTCCATTTTGGATAGTTTTCCTTCTAACTGAAGAGCTTCCTGTATTATTTCCTTCCATGTGGGTATGCTGTTGCACATTCTTTTAGTATTTGTGTGAAATTGTCTTTTTCGACATCATTTTGAAGAATGTTTTTTCTGAGTATAAAAATCAGGGTGGTTAGCTGGGCGCAGTGGCTCACGCCTGAAATCCCAGCACTGAGGCGGGCGAATCACGAGGTCAGGAGTTCGAGACCAGCCTGGACAACATGGTGAAACCCCGTCTCTACTAAAAATACAAAAAAATTAGCTCGGCCTAGTGGCAGGCGCCTGTAATCCCGGCTACTTGGGAGGCTGAGGCAGGAGAATGGCTTGAACCCGGGAGGCGGAGGTTGCAGTGAGCTGAGATCGCGCCACTGCACTCCAGCCTGGTCGACAGAGTGAGACTCCATCTCAAAAAAAAAAAAAAAAAAAAAAAAAAAAAGATCAGGGTGCTTGACAGTTATTTTTTTTCTAGCACTTTGAGTGTTTCATTCCAGAATTTATTTCTGTTGAGAAGTTAGCTACCTTGTTGCTTCTTTGAAGGTAATTTCTTATTGTTTTTGATTTTCAGCAGTTTTACCATGATATTTCTACTTGTGGTTTTCTTTGTATTTATCCTGCGTGGTGTATGTAGGAATTCTTAAATATATAGTTGGAGTTTTTTTCCTAATTTGTTTTAGACAATTTTTGGCTGTTATCTTTTTAAGTATTGTTTCAGATCTATTTGTTCTTTCTTCTGGAGCTCAACCTAATACCAGTAGGCCTTTAAATTTTTTTTTTTTTCTTTTTTCTTTTCTGGAGACAGTCTAGCTCTGTCACCAAGGCTGGAGTGCAGTGTTGCGATCTTGGCTCACTGCAAGCTCTGCCTCCCGGGTTCAAGCGATTCTCCTGCCTCAGCCTCCCAAGTAGCTAGGATTACAGGTGTGCACCACCACACCCAGCTAATTTTTGTATTTTTAGTAGAGACAGGGTTTCACCATGTTGGCCAAGTTGGTCTCAAACTCCTGACCTCAGGTGATCCACCTGCCTCTGCCTACCAGAGAGCTAGCATTATAGGCGTGAGCCATCGTGCCTGGCCTAAAATTTTTTTTTTTTTTAAAAACTGTTTCCTGTGTTCTTTTTTATATTCTTTATCTTTTTGTTTATTTTTTTAGTTTGGATATTTTCTTGTTTTTTTTTTTTATTCTTTTTATTTATTTTTTTTGAGACAGAGTCTCTCTCTGTGGCCCAAGCTGGAGTGCAGTGGTGCAATCTCAGCTCATTGCAACCTCTGCCTCCTGGGTTCAGACGATTCTTCTGCCTCAGCCTCCTGAGTAGCTGGGACTATTGGCACCTGCCACTACGCCTGGCCAATTTTTGTATTTTTAGTAGAGATGGGGTTTCACCATGTTGGCCAGGCTTGTGTGGATCTCCTGACCTCAGGTGACCCACCTGCCTCAACCTCCGAAAGTGCTGGGATTACAGGCATCAGCCTACTTTGGATATTTTCTTCTGACCTATCTTGGCATTTACTAATGTCCTCATTAAGCTTTGTCTAAGCTGCTGTTAAACTCATCCATTGACTACTTAATTTTAATTATTTTACTTTCACTCCTGGAATTTCCATTTGATTTTTTAAAAAATGATTTTCAGTTCTCTTCTGGAATTCTTCATCTTGTCATTTCAGTTTTTGAAAATATTAAAACCAGTTTTTAAAAAGTCAAATAAAAAGTAAAACTAATATGTCGGTCTCCTGTGGATCTTTTTTTAAGTTTTTTTTCTCGTGTCCTTTTGATATCTAGTCAATTATAGTTTTTTTTTTTTTGCATATTTGAGTATTTTTGATTGAATACTAGACATTGTTTATGAAAAATTATGTAAATAATTTGAGGCTCTGGTCATGTTATCTTTCTTTAGAGAGGATTTACTTTTGCTTCTACAGAGAATTAGGAGCAGAATATCTTAATTAAGGATTGAGCTGTTAGAAACTAGACTTTAGTTTTGGGGCAGTGGTCTATTTTTGCTCTGCTCTTATTCCTATAGCCTGTGAGGATCTTCATTGAAAGTGTGGGGAATTAAATTGGACTCCTTCCACTTGAAGACCTGTAACTCCAGCTTTTATTTCCCATTGCTGTGATATTACTGAAATTTCTGTTCAGCTTCTTAGTGTCTTAGCTACCATTTTTGAAACAGTGCCTCTAGAGGAGAGTACTAGAAAGGAAAAGCTGTAGAAGATGTCTAGCTCACCTCTCTGGCCTCCCTTCCTCCTGAGTTTTTGGCCCTTCAAGTCCTTATTGCCTTTCTAATTCTCTGAGGTCTTCAAATGAATTCTTTAACATTGTCCAGCTTTTTTTTTTGTGGCTACAAAGTTAGTCTAATTAGGCTGGGTGCAGTTGCTCACACCTGTAATCTCAGCACTTTGGGAGGCCGAGGCGGAAGGATTGCTTGAGCTCAGGAGTTTGAGACTAGCCTGGGCAACGTAGTGAGACCTCGTATCTACAAAAAATTAAAAAATTAGCCAGGTGTGGTGGTGTGCACTTGTAGTCTCAGCTACTTATGAGGCTGAGGTGGGGTGGATTGCTTGAGCCTGGGAGGTTGAGACTGCAGTCAGTGAGCTGTGATCATGTCACTGCATTCACCTGCACTTCAACCTAGGTGACAGAGTGATAGGCTGTCTCAAAAAAAAAAAGCCGAAACCTTCTTTCTCTCTTTTTGGAGAAAGCAATTAGTCTTGATTTCTGTTATGAGTTGGTGATTTTTGAGAATATTTGTGCTTATACCTCCAAAGGCCGAATTAGGAAAAAAAAAAAGTTCTAAAACCTTATGCCTTTTGGTAGTTTTTTCTTTTTTCAAACCATAATTAGTAAATCCTAAAATTATTAAATATTTTACTCATATAAGTAATATATTAAAGATGAAAGAACATTAATCTTTAGTTTATTAAAGAAAGTTTGAAAACGAAAGAAAACTTATAATCCTTCAACTTTCATACTACCATTGGTATTGTTGTCTTTTTAGAATAATTTTTCCCTATTTACTTATTTATTTAGCTTTAAAACATACACAGATGACTTAAAGATGAGTTTTTTTTTTTTTGTAAAATATAAATGCAAACATCTAGGAGTATATAGAGTTAAAAGGCAAAATATTTCTTCATTCCCAAGCCATTTGCTCTGTACTTTTTGGTTATTTCTTTGCATATGCACAGAAAACATAGTATAGAAGAATAACTTAGTGTAGAAGAATATATACTGGGGAGATACATATATATAATATATATATATACACACACACACACAGTATATATACTAAAAATTATATATTGTAAAAATTAAGTCCTATATAAAAGTAATACTAGATATACTAAGAAAGGAAAAATTAAAAATTTTTCTATTTGAGAAAGCAAATAGAACCTTTCTTTAGAAGACAAGAGAGGCTATCAATCCATAAAATAATAGCAGGCTATTAAGAAGAGGAACAAATTAGAGATCTTGGAAATGATAAGATTAAAAAACCACTTAGTATGTGGGATGAGTAGCAGAATGAAATTATCAAGCTAGAGGATCTAGCTATGAAATCCTTCCAGCATGCAGCATGAAAAGACAAAAGAAATGTAAAATATGAGAAATAGTTTAGAATTAACTTAAAGGGAGCAATTTAACAGTATGATTTCATGGAGAGGACAAAATTCAATAAG